>NC_000004.12:99546381-100171381 GCF_000001405.40 Homo sapiens | reverse complement strand
TCTTGAGATGGAATCTACTCGTGGTGAAGATGCTGTGAACATTGCTGAAATGACAACAAAGGATTTAGAATATTCCATAAAGTTAGTTGATAAAACAATGGCAGTGTTTGAGAGGATTGACTCCAATTTGGAAAGAAGTTCTACTATGAGTCAAATGCTATGAAACAGCATCACGTGCTACAGGAAATCCTTTTGTGAAAGGAGAAATCAGTTGATGTGGCAAACTTCATTGTTGTTTTATTTTCAGAAATTGCCACAGCCATGCCAACCTTCAGCAACCACCACCCTGATCAGTCAGCAACTACCAACATTGAGACAAGACCCTCCTCCACCACCAAAAAGATTACGACTCCCTGAAGGTTCAGATGATCATTAGCATATTTTAGCAATAAAGTATTTTTAAATTAAAGGGTGTACATTGTTTAAGAGACTGCACTATAATGCAAACATATCTTTTATGTGCACCGAGAAACCAAAACATTTCTGGGACTCTCTTTATTGCAATATTTGCTTTATTGTGGTAGTCTGGAATGATATCCACAATATCACCAAAATATGCTTGTATATAGGTTTTATTCTAAATATTGACTTAATTCTGGAAACTGGATGGAAGATTGCGACTTTTTATTGGAATGGCTGCCTCCAAGAAGGGACATAACTTTGGGTGAGGGTACTGCCTGCAGAAGGTCTCAGCTGAAAGTTGTCAGCCACCAAAACATCCAGTTTTTGAGTAGATGAGTGTCCTGGACCTGTATGGCACACAGTGGCATCCATTACAATTGCCACTCCTTTTAAGGTGAATGTAGAAAGGTGGAAATGAGAAATTAATGTCTGTTTGAAGTGATGGAAAGGAGTTAAGTCTGCAACATTTTAAATTCCAAATTATTAGGGCTCTTGTTGGTCTCAGCTCTGCATCAATCTCATTCGGGTAACTTACATCACAGTGTTCTCAGGTTTGTGTGGAACAATTCTGACATATCAAACATAAGTCTAACTAGCATAGCATGAATCTGTAAATAAACAAAGGAAGTGTTTGCCAGTGAAAAAGGCTTTGCTAGGGTCTCATGTATTTGTAGAGGCTGGAGAGAACAGCCAGGAAGTTTTGACCTGACTCACTGAAAATGACATAAGGATAACTCCCTAAATGGCAGTACCAGCTCTCCAAACTTTTGTATGCCCAAGACTCTCCACTTATGATCTTAGGTGTGATGAAAAACAACAGACAATGAGAAAACTGATTTTTAATAATCAGTCTACAAATGTAAAGGGTCCCAGTTGAAGTAGAGGCCCAAAATAACATATTATTGAGTATAGCACCACACCAGATGGCCTCTCCCAGATCGTGTGGGGGCGAAGAATACTTTATTTGCCTGAGTCACAGAATTACTGATGTGCACGATGGGAGCCAAAGTTCAAAGCTGCTCTTGATTGGAAGCCCTGAAAAGTATTGCTTTAGTTTTTCATAGTAATCAACTCAAATGGCTGCACTTTCAAATTCTTTCATCTAGCAACTTTTAAATCATTGCAAAGAGTGGAATTTTATTAGTTTAAAAATGATTTCTTTTTGCTTATTGACTGGTATATGTTGTGTTTGTCTTTAATAAGCAGAGGAAGTAACAGTAAATCCAGTTGAATGCTGATATAAACTGTGGGGTTTCTGGCCTCAGAGGTGTAAGTAGAAGAGCAATGAACAAGGTTGTTATGGAAAAAAAGTATTTCTGGAATCCAAGCATTGCCATTATAAGTTGGTTTATCTTTATTACTCTGAGTTTCCAGAGTATTACAACAAATTACACAGTTTACAACAAACCTTTTATGATAGTCTTGTAATGTGTCTTTTCTATACTTTAATTCAAGTAGGAAAAATAAACAAAACAAAGTTTCCTCTTTAAAAAATTCAGGACTAGACCAAGAAAGCAAGCAAAAAATGTGAAAACAAACAAGCAAACAAACAAAAACTATCTCTTCAACGTGCCTTTCTATGTAGTTGCGTTTAAAGCTTCTGTTAGTAAGCACTTTTCCCCCATCACCTTTATTTATTCTACTTCTCACCTGACCCCTATCTTCACAAGATTTGCACTTATTTATAAGGCAGTTTAAAAACTCATGTATCCTGTCTAAATCATTTAAATGAAAGCTTTTGTTATGTTATAATATTTGATAATATATGATAGGAAATATGAGCCAGTCCTTTACACAGGGTGGTTGGATTCAATGTTATCATGAGCAAATAAAATGAAGTCTGTGAATACTTGCCTTAGAAAGGACCTTTGCAAATAAAACTAGGCAGAGTGAAGCATCCTTGTACAGATCAGGACAATTTAGATCATAAAGTAGTAGAGCTGTAACTAATTAATAAAAACAAGGGGAGGGTATTAATTGAAAGCAATACTGTGTTGATGTAAAAATAAATGTAAAAAATATTAATGTTAAAAAAAAGCATGCCTATTCCCAACCAAGGTAGAGCAGAGTTTCCCTAATTTGTGTAACGTGGGAATCACCTGGGTCACAAATTAACAAATTTCCAGAGCTACCCCTGGGAGATTGTGAATCAGATCTGAGGTCAATTCTGTGTTTAACAAATCTCTCTGGGATTTGATGTGACTGGGCAAGTGAAGGAATTACCAGTGCTTCTGTTTATTCTAATACAACATTCCTAAGAAATCGTCCTTTCTGCCAAACTGCATTCTAAAAATAACAGCATTCACAGAAAAAATTATGATTAGAGTTAGTCACTCAAAACCGATATTGTAACCAGAGCACTAACAAAAATAATAACAGTCCTAACCGAGCAAACAAAAAGCTACAACCGTAAAGAAATGTTACAGTAGTAAATGTAGGATTTTACTATTAAAAGAAAAAGTGAAAGCTAAAAATGAAAGGGTGTGTAAGGAAGGATCTCCTTGTTGAATCATGAAAACAAGGACAAAAAGAAAAGGATAGGGAGAACCCAACAATATGCACTTTCAAGTACAACCAAATTGATCCTAGAGGAACCCCAGGAGGTGAATGGGCTCCATAGAGCATCTTCATCTGAGGCTTGCTGCCTCCCACTGTGTTCATGTAATTTACACTCAGTTTTGTGACTTGTAGGCAACTGTGGTGAAATTGCTTATGACCAGACCAAATTCCATGTCCTATTGATATCTTCCCCCTATTTAACAATAGCTTTTGAGGTAATGAGTGTTATAGAAACACAGGTTATAGAAGTAATGGACTAAGATTGGATATGTTCATAGCTGCAGCAATGTTAAGTTAAAGTAGCCTTTCTAAGAACATATTAAATAAGGATGAAGAGGCCTGAAATGTTCATACTTTCTAACCCAGTGACTTCCTTGCAAGCATCCAAGTGTTGCTACTGGCTGCACTGCCACTGCCCACGTGGGAAATTAATTGCCACTCTTCTGGCACATGAATTCCACACAGCCCTGCTTCTTCAATGCTCTATCCTTCAATTCAAGGCCTAGGATGGCCCACTTCATAAGAAGAAGTATCATTTGAACACTTACTTTGTACTAGACACTGTACTAGAATGTTGCTGGTTAATCTTCATAATCCAATAAGCAAGATATAATTTCTTCATTTTCCTGAGGGGTAAACCTCAAAGGCATACTTAACTTCTTCAAAGACTCACAGCCATTGATGAGGTTGTGGAATCCAAATGCAAACTTATATTGACTTGGGGTTCATGGCAGGGCCACACCAGCAGGAGGCATTAAATGCTGGAAAGGCAAAGCTAGTCAGATCAAGGCAAGGTTCAAATGTAGAGGGGACCAAACACAAACAGCAACTTCTAAAGTCAGGGTAGACTGTGACTGCAGAGGCCAGAGTTCAACACTGGATGAAGACAGGAGAAAGTGAGGCTGGGCAGCAATAAGCAATAAGATTTCCTTGGCCACTGCATGCACACCCAGGAGTGTTTGCGATTGTCCTTGTGGACTGGTATAGAGGTGGTATGAAGCACACAAGCAGGCTGGCTTAAGGCCAGATGTAGGGCAGAGAGTGGATCAGCGTCTCTATCCAAGTGGTTGTTTTTCACAGAGCATCTTCCTTCCTATAGTCTACCCTAGGTCCCTGGACTTCCACTACCATCTGAGACTCCGGAAGATGCACAAACCCAAAGCCAAATGCCTGGGTTGGAATCCCTGATTTATCGTTAACTGTGTAACCTTGGCAAAGTTTCTTGTCCTCAGTTCCCTTGTCTGTAAAAATAAGTTTAATACCTCAGAGTGATTGTGAGGATTAAATGATTTAATATACATCAAGCGCTTGGAACTGCGCACAGCACAAACTTAGTAGTCTTTACTACTTCTTTCTAAGCATGACCTTTCAGTCTAACAGATACAGGCCTAATAGGGCTTGGCTTTGTGTCCCTACCCAAATATCATCTTGAATTGTACCCCATAATTCCCATATGTTGTGGGAGGGAGCTGGGGGGAGATAATTGAATCATGGGGGGCAGCTTCCCCATACTGTTATAAGTGAATACTGTCATATAGTGAATAAGTCTCATGAGATCTGATGGTTTTATCAGGGGTTTCCGCTTTTGCATCTTCCTCATTTTCTCTTGCCACTGCCGCGTAAGAAGTGCCTTTCACCTCCTGCCATGATTCTGAGGCCTCCCCAGCCATGTGGAACCGTAAGTCCATTACACCTCTTTTTCTTCCCAGTCTCGGGTATGTCTTTATCAGCAGCGTGAAAATGGACTAAAACATGGCCACAAACACAGAGGGAATTAGCAACAGAGGATGTAATCTAAAGCTCATAAAGTCATCAAGAGGCTAAATTCTCTCCAAGTTCCCCGAACACCAGGTGTGGACACAACAGACTATTTTAGGATCCCACTCACCAAATACCCTGCAAGCCACACTCTCAAGGGTTCAAGGACTTGGCAGGAAGGAGTCCACAGGTGGTAGACCTTTAGAACTCTCCACCGGGTAGGCCAGAGATTGACAGATTCTCCAACAATACACTAGTCCTCTTGACTTTAATTTAAGGCAATATTCTAAAATGCATTACTAAAGTAATTGTTAGCACTTACATGGAAAAGAAGTGAAGACCAGGGGCCACCTTACATTTTTTTATCATTCTTTTATAACAGACTAACCTAATTTATTTCTTTGATTGTCTCCCTAGACCCTAAATTTAGGTCTAAAGAAATAGAATAACTGACTTCAAATATTTGAAACACTTGTGTGCATGAAGATTACATTCATTCAACATGACCCCAAAATCCAGGGAACCAAAGCTGCTGAAAAACAGATTTTTCTGTTTGATAATAATAATGAAACCTTTCTAACAGTCTAAACCACAGGGTTGCAAACTTCCTACCGGTGGGTTGAATTTAACCCTCATGCAATCTTTTGTTTGGCTTACAAATAGTCACAAGGCACTGCATGCTGCTGTGCAGCTGTACTTTCACAATCTGTGCAATTGTGCTCAGTGACCCAGAAATGTTCACATTATAATCCAAATTTCTCTCTTTTCTTCAGAAATCTAATGGTGTACAGCACAGCCAGCATTCCCTGATAGTATTGTGGATGGATATGTACATTCCAGTCACCTGGAATGTCACTAGTTTATATCACCTGTGCCTAGAAGGCATCTGAGTTAAAGTCTCAGATAATCTTCTTAATAGATGCAAAGAAAGACCTTCTTCCATCATTAAGATTCTCTGATTCTCTAATCCTCTAAGCCTAAATGTCATTCAACAATCTCTATTTTTGCTTTTAGTTGTTTATGAGGGTAACAGGCCTTGTGTGTTCTTTTCAGTAAGAATCTAGCACCATTCTCTGCTTTAAACGTATGTCTTATTTGGCAGCTCTTTGGCCAGCAGCTGCAATGCCCCTCCCTCTCAAATTTCAAAGTAACTTTAAGAATAAGGACAGGAAATGCAAGTGCTTCAAAAAGAGCTTTTTGATGCACTCCTGTGCTGATAAATGCATGTTGAAAAGTAAATTACTACAACGGCTATCTATTTTTAACTGACTTCCGTCATATTACTTCAATACATGCTCCAATTACATATATTGAATTTCCTGACGTTCAATGACACCAAAAATCTTTTCTTGCACTTTGGGGACTTTACTGATTTATATTCTTGAGAAAATAAAGATCACGAAAGAAAGAGAGTTTAATTAATGTGTTAGGGCTGACCATACTATTATCATTAATCAGAAAAAAACAGAATCACAGTAACATTGTTCAAAACAAAATGGTGATAAAAAACAAAAACAACAGCAAAAAGTAACCTAGTCAAAGTATGTGGGTATTAGGTAAAGAAAATAGTAAGCTTGTTTTTATGAAAGCTAAAACTGTTGACTACAACTTGGATATAACATGTGGGAGGTTATGTTTCTAAATATAATGTAAATTAATCCACTCGGTCACTAGATATTATGCAGTCTCACTGCCCTTAAAACTCAATAGGAGAATCCTCTTAATAAGAGGAAATAAGAAAATCCTCAGGGAACTACTCAGAAGAAATGTGATATTAGTTTGCTTTCATAAATGTGTCTGCTAAATATTATTAAAGAAAGCACTCATTTTTGTGATCACTATCCAATAAGAAAATATATAGTAAACTATAACTTTATGGAAAGCGAGCTACCTGATACTTTAAAAAGGAAAAAACCCAATTTTCTTGTTTAAAAATGTCTAGATACACCTAATACCAAAAGAAACCTATTTCTTTTATTTCTATTATTCAGGAAATAAAATTGTATTATACTGAAAACTTAGAAAACAAATATAGTTTGAGAGATTAATAGGATTTCCTGATTAAGAAAAAGGATGCACTACTTAGAAACATCTAAACATGTGATCCTTAAACATTTTCAGATCAATTTAACATGAGTAAATTCTGCAAAAATATTTCAAATATTTTTGGTTCGAAGGCATTGCTAACATAGTTAACCCTCTGTTAAGCTTAAACTATTCTAAATAAAATGAAGGAAACTTACAAATGACAACAACCTGACCTTTTTCCTCCACTTTCTTCCCAATAAATGTATACAAGAGCTGTTATCTGAGATCATAAAGAACTGTCTGTTTCCAGGGGCAAGGTGGTGCCTGGGGAGCAAAAGTTAGGGGCCTGAGTTTGGATAATTGAGTTAAAGTTTGCAATGCACAGAAATGAGTGAAAACATTACAGACAGAAGCCTAGACTGTGATTAGAATAATATGATGCTAGGAAAAGCATATCTTTGAAATCATACAGTCTTAAATCCTTATGCGGGTATTAACAAAATGATCTGCTTTTAGGTGAAAAAAAAAAACATGACAGTAAGGGACAAGATACATGGCTTGACAGTTGCATGAGAAAATACTTGTTAATCATGTCTGTTCCAGGTTCTTCATTCTGAGGCAATTATTAGCAGCTTATAGAGAGCAGTTAAGAGAGAAGAGGATGTTTAATTTAAAGTAAGGACCATCTTTTGACTATTTGGAAGACTTTCTTTTAAAAGATAAGATCATTTATATGATCTCTCTGAGAGTGATAGATTGTGCCAATTGGCACCTCGATCAAATGAACAAGCACTTTATAGCAATCAGAACTGCCTTATAATATTTTACAAGGAGATAAGCTGCTTCTCTCTGGAAAGAAAGTTTAAATGCCACCCAGCAGAGATGCTGTAATGGCATGACTGTGCTGGGCATTGAAGAACTCTCTTTGACTTTTCAGGGCCCCTCAACTTCTAACATTCAATTGGCTTTATAATTTTAAGTGTTGGCTTACAGAAGTCAAGGTAGTTCTCATTATTTTGCTTCTTCTCTTTATTCATAAAATGGTTTAAAAATGGTTTTGAAATCTGTTTTGTTGTTGTTGTTCTTACCTTTCTCCTTTTTATTATGTTAGAATTCTACTTGGGTCATTTTTTTCCATTGCCATCCTATCTAATCTATTATATTGGTACTCATAATGATAAGTTATTCTCCCTAAAACATGTACCTGCATCAGAAAATTTCACTGCACCCCTCCATTTCCATCATTATCTGAAAACCTAAGAGAAAATAAAACCACCAAATTCACCTATACAAAAGCAAATAAATTTTTATAAATGACAAATTGTTTACTACTTCAAACCAAAAAAAGATGAAATTATACTTTTTTAAAATTATTAGAATAATAATAGCTGAAGTACATAGCCCAAGCAGAGTGCCTTAGTGGAGCAAGGCCCTGGCTGGAAGTTTTGCCTTTTCTGCTTAATTTAGTCACTCAACAAACCTGCAGGGTGGAAATTACTATCCCCATTCCAAAAACAAGAAAACTGAAGTTCAGCTCTGTTAGATGACTTGCTAGAGGTCAAAGAGCTGTGAGAATTCCCCTTGAACTAATATTATGATTCTAAATTCTGTGTTTTTCAGGCCATACAGATTTCTTCCCCTTAGCAGAAGCAAAGTGGCATTTGGGACAGAAATTGTTTTTAAAACTTAAGGAAATAACAGTGAGCAGGACATTAAGTGAAAAGCTAAAAGGCTTTGAAATCACCTTTTGAAAAATTATAGTAGTAAGGGAAATTTAACATAATTGACTCCATTTTGCTTCTACCAGGCAAAATTGCTTTTGCCCACTCTTGTGCAGAGAACATAATAGCCCTTTCCTTGAACTGATCCATTCGTTTTTCAAAGATTGAAACTGTATTTGTGAAAACTAATAAAAAGCCACAAGATTAGAATAATGGCAGAAGCCTGAACTTTGTTAAAGAACATGCATGGTTAAACAATAACTATTCATTGCTTGCTTAGCTTGCTTTTCTATAGTTGCTTATTGCCCTAGAGTCATGTAACCGGAAGTCACAAGATTTGTTAACTTCCCCAACTGCTCCTATAAATAACATCACTATTGTTAGACCTAAAGGACTGGTCTTTGAGATCTTTCTCAGATTTAGCATTTTGGCATATTAAGAGACACAGACCTGTGACCCATACCAAGGAACTGACTCAACTGGTCCTGCAGCCCCTGGCCGGGAACTGACTCAGCTGTAGTTTCAATATCTCTGTGATTCCATCCCCAAACAATCAATTGTTTCAGTTCCCCAGTCCCCTGCCTGACAAAGTATCCTTAAAAGTTATTGCCTCTGAATTCTCAGGAAGGTGAATTTGAAAAATATCTTCTGTCCTCCTCCCACATCTGTCCTGTGATTATTAAACTCTTTCTCTGCTGCAATACCTGCTGTTCTCAGTGTATTGGCTTTTGGGGGGCAGCTGGCAAGAAGAACCCATTGGGCTGTAACAGCTTTAGTGCACAGCTTCCTGATTAAAAGATAAAGCACCTCAGAGTCATATGTGTGAGAAAGTTACAAGATATGTGCCTGAAATTTAGCCCAAAGAAGCTAAATGGCGTGATATTACTAGGCATCACCAAATTGCAGAATTAGTCCCTTTCAAGACACTGAAATAAGCTAATTAGAAAAAATTGCTAATATAGAATATTTTAAAGTTGTTTAGTGCTTCTTTAATTTAAGTACAACAAATCTATGAGCCTTTTGTCAAAGAGATATCTCTACATCACATACTGGAGCACTTGGCGTGGTGTTGGTACATTAAAAATGCCATGCAAGGCAAGACTGACTGGCTGAAAGAACGAATGAATAAATGAAATTATGTAAGGCAAAACGATGGGGTCATAATAACACATATAACAATGTTTAGCAGTACAGAATGCTCAGTGCTATCCTAGACTTACAGAATCTCTCATTTGCCCATTTGTAGGGTTTCCTCATTAATAATTCATTCATTTTTATTAAGCATCTCCTCTGTGCCAGGTGCTATACTAAGAACTTCACATGTATTTTATCAGCTATTGCTCGTAAAAACCCTTTGAGACAGTATAGCATGGAGGCTATGAACACAAACTCTGGAGCCGTACTGGATGGATCTGCCATAGCACCTACTAACTGTGTCAGTTTGGGCAAGATATTTAACCTCTCCGTGCTCAGTTTTCTAATCCGTAAAATGGGATAAAGAAAGTTCCTATCTCATAGACTTCTTAGATAAGTGCCTGGCATAGAGTATAGAAAGTATTTGCTGTTATCATTCAGATATAGCAACAGACTGCCTGTATTCTAATCCTACCTTCACCTCTACTTATGTGATCATGAAAAGTAACTTAATCTCTCAGCGGCATGGTTTTTTTCATCTGCAAACAGATGAAAATAAAACATCTTGAGGCTATTTATCAATTAAACAAGTTAATATAAGTGGCTAAAACAGTGTGTGGCATATAAAAACACTCAATATTTGTTGATTATTATAACCTTTATTTTATAGATGAGAAAACTGAGGTTTAGCAAAGGTAAGCGAATATTCCAAACTCACGTGCCATGTGAGTGTGCCCCCAGGCTCAAATCCAGACAGACTGTGACTTAATTCATTTTAGGTGGTCTTAAAATAAATGTTGACATGTTAAATACATTCTACCTAGCAATAACATTTTGGATTTTACCATAAATATTCTGCATATGTTATTGGATGAGACCTATATGTGTTGGATTCCAGTCATTTTTCTTACCACCTTTCAGAATGGGAATACCTAAGTCTTGAAGACAACAGCATAAAATGTGGTGAATACTTCCATTCTCCACAGCAGTAATACTTGGCATGAGCACTTTCAGAGCATCTTAAACATCTTAAATATGTCTTTCTTCCTTCCTCCTTTCTCAGTGCTTGTGACCAAGTCGCAACTGGTTTGAAGCTCTTTATAGCCTCCAATTTCTGATTTTCTTTTCTTTTACCCAGAAAGACCATAGACTTACCCAGTGCCAAACACTGTACATTGGGAAAAAAGTATGGCTTTTGTAGTTACACAAACATTGGTAAATTAATATGGCAGACATTATTTTGCAAATATTAAAACAATGTTCTTAATTTCTACCCCTTTTAAGTCCTTGGAGCTTTTCCTCACCAACTGAAGCCTTGAGGTTTATTGCTCTAGAGAAAGAAAGAGACAAGAATAAAGGTGCTATTGATTAGCTCTGATTCTCAGAGCTGACCTCTTTACGGAGACAGTGCACTTGGAAGATAGGCTGTCAGGAGAGAGAGATATTTAAATCACAAAACCCCACTTTAAGCCTGTGGACAGGTAAGGCTGGTACTGCAGATCACAAAACCCACAATATGACAGAAAGGAGGTACAAATCCTGCCCTTCCAGCCTGGGTGAAGAAAAGTGAAAAAAATGAGACATATGCATTCTGCTGTCCTGCCTCTCCATAGGGGAAGATTTAGGGGGATGCCTAATCCACATAGGAGAGGTGTGGTAGCAATAGCGTAAAAGTTGAGCACAAAGTGTGATTAGATATGAGAAGGGTCTTAGTTGAGTTCTCCTAATACAGACTTTCCCACTTGACCCCAAGATGGCACACAGAAGTCAGTTCATCATAGGACTTGGGTCTCTAGAAAGTGAGTGTGATATCAATATGGTGAGGGCAAAGTGTTCCAGGAACTGATTGGATGTCATAGACATCTTAGAGCCAGTAACCAAAGAGAACTGCTTGGCCTTGATCCTACATTTGTAAAGAAGAGACAACAACCTCACCTTCTAAGGATAAGAGGCAAGCAATAGTCATAGTAAAACAAGAGGCATTTCCATAAGGACCAAGGAATCATCCACAGCCTTGAAAATAAATCTGAAGGAGTGTCCCTTCCTCTTTACCACAGGATCTTCCTCTCAAAAAACCCAGATTCCATGTTGGAGAGAAGCAGGTTGAGAAGAGGAAAACCAAAATACTGGGATTTAGACCAAAAAAACACTAAGTGCCTAAACACTCAAACCACTGTGTTGGACTAAAGTTATTGGATTAGAATAAATTGTTTTACCCACCTACTCAGTAGATTAGGCACAAATGAAACTTCAGCCTAAACTATATTTTCTTTTTACAGCTATGTATGGTGTATGTAAATTGGTGACCGTTCTCATACCAGTAGATTTTCCCTTTGAACAGCAGCTGGTAGTCTCCAGAAATTTTATTAGCACAAAAGTAAATCATTAAGAAAGGAATTTTCCTTTATTGTTGGAGCCCTTGTATCTTATCGAATACAAATGCTGAAGACACTGAAACTCAGAAGTAATAATAACAAATACATACGTATGTGCCAGTCATTGTGCTAAGTACTATACATGCATTATCTCAATTAAACTAATATTAGGCCATTTTTATGGATGAAGAGACCAAGGTTTTTGAGGTTTTTCATAATTTCACCAAAGTACATATGAGATTGGAATAGAAGGCCATTTTACTTCAGAGTCTGAGCTCTTAACAGCCACACATCCTCCTTAGAGTATGAGAGCAGAGCCGCCTGTCTATCATGTTGGTATTAGTACTGCTGTATGAAAGAGATCTCACAGTAACTGTACAATATGTACACAGAAGTTCACAGAGTTTCTCAAGCTGAAAAATAAAAATAAAAAGGAAGGTAGGAGTGATGTGTGATTATTACTTCAGATTCATTCTCAGATGAATCATTCCTACCTTCCTTTTAGTCCTACTTCTAATCCATCACTCCTACCTACCTACCTAATAATATCACTCTGTTGCCTAGGCCAGAGTGCAGGGATATGATCATAGATCGCTTTAACCTCAAATTCCTGGGCTCAAGTGATTCTCCTGCCTCAGCCTCCTGAGAGCTAGGACTACAGTCACACGCCACCATGCCCAGCTAATTCTTCATTTTTTTTTTTTACCATAGAGATGAGGGTCTCACTATATTGCCCAGGCTGGTTACAAACTCCTGGCCTCAGTCATTCCTCCTGCCTCAGACTATCAAAGTGCTGGGATTACAGGCATGAGCCACAGCTCAGTGCCCCAAAATAAACGTTTTGCAATGAATGAAAGACAGGAAAGAAAGAAAGAATGGAAGGAAGGAAGAGAAGAAGGGAGGGAGGGAGGAAGGAAGAAAGGAAGGAAAGAAAGAAAAAGAAAAACTTTAAAAAGAAGAACTTTACATAGCAAGGACTGTGGTCACAAAACATTTCCATTTAACTTTGCTGCCACATTGGCTATTGCTACAGAATTGTTTTGATACCAAAGTTCTACCTGAGAGGGAAAGTAGATATTGGTTTAAATAAACAAATGAAATTAACTCTGTGGAGTATAAGCACAAAGAATAGATTTTAAATTAATTATAAAAATCATTTTAATAAAAGCATATTACTATACATTTATCACTTCTACATTTCACCTTATTTCTCATTTCTATGTACCTGGCTAATATTATACATTTTAAAATATTTTGTGAATGAATAAGTACTGGAAATTTTTACTTGTTTTGAAGGCTCATTTTCTAGTATGGTATTAATTTGAGAACTGTGTGTTTTTTGTCTCTGGAAATCGTTTTTGTATAGAGGAAAATATACCGCTGTTCCCTTTCAGTAGCAAAATTGTATTAAAACTTGCAATCTGTCAAGCCATTAAAATTTTATGTCCCAAAATGTGTTTTACTTCCTTCACTTTACTTCTAGTGAAAAATGTTTGACCTCTCCCTGACAACTAAAAAGTCAGATGAGGATCTAGATCAGTGCTTCCAAAAGCATAGTACATGGACCCCTGGAAATCCCTCAGACACTTTCAGGTATAAGAAGTCAGAGTCTTTTTCATAAGAATATAATGATGTTCATGACTCTTTTGCAGTGTTGACATTTGCACCAATGGTGCTTAAGCAATCATGGGAAAAATTGCAGCGCTTAAGCAGGAAGGCAGTGGCACCCAATGTTCTTACAGTGTTTGCAATAAAAATAATGACAGTGAGTGGAAGTTTCACTTGAAGTTCTTCATAAAACAGTAAAAATATTAAATTTCAAACCTCAAGTATCTGTATTATTAATATTATTCTGTGGGTAGACATGGGAAGTATATGTAAAGTACTTCTGTCACATACCAAAATAAAATGTTACTCCAGGAAAAGCCTTGGGCCTTTTGAGTTGAGCTGAAATAGCCTCTTTTCATGGAACATCATTCTTACTTGTAAGATCAACTGAGAGTTCTGATTATGATTATTCAGACTTGGGTATTTGGCAGATATTTTCTCAAAAATGAACAAAGTAGGCCTGTTACCTTAAGGAAAACAACCAATTGAATCTGTTGCCAATGACTAAATCTGCATATTCAACAACATTTAGAATTTTGAAAAACTCATATCCAACACTGAGGTTGGCAGTTTCTCCCTAATGATAGGCTTTTCTATGGGATCTGTGGTGATATTAATAAATGTGGTGTCCAATTAAAAGAACTAGAGAAGCAAGAGCAAACAAATTCAAAAGCCAGCAGAAGACAAGAAATAACTAAGATAAGAGCAGAACTGAAGGAGATAGGGACACAGAAAACCTTTCAAGAAATTAATGAATCCAGGAGCTGGCTTTTTGAAAAGATTAACAAAATAGATAGATTGCTAGCCAGACTAATAAAGAAGAAAAGAGAGAAGAATCAAATAGACACAATAAAAACTGATAAAGGGGATATCACCACTGATCCCACAGAAATACAAACTACCATCAGAGAATACTATAAACACCTGTATGCAAATAAACTAGAAAATCTAGAAGAAATTGATAAATTCCTGGACACATACACCCTCCCAAGTCTAAACCAGGAAGAAGTCGAATTCCCAAATACACCAATAACAAGTTCTGAAATTGAGGCAGTAATTAACAGCCTACCAACCAAAAAAAGCCCACGACCAGACGGATTCAGAGCCAAATTCTACCAGAGGTACAAAGAGGAGCTTATACCATTCCCTCTGAAAATATTCCAAACAACAGAAAAAGAGGGACTCCTCTAACTCATTTTATGAGGCCACCATCATCCTGATACCAAAACCTGGAAGAGACACAACAAAAAAAGAAAATTTCAGGCCAATATCCCTGATGAACATCGATGCAAAAATCCTCAATAAAATACTGGCAAACAAAATCCAGCAGCACATCAAAAATCTTATCCACCACAGTCAAGTTGGCTTCATCCCTGGGATGCAAGGCTGGTTTCACATACACAAATCAATAAATGTAATCCATCACATAAGCAGAACCAATGACAAAAACCACATGATTATCTCAATAGATGCAGAAAAAACCTTTAATAAAATTCAACAACATTTCATGTTAAAAACTCTCAATAAACTAGGTATTGATGGAACATTTCTCAAAATAATAAGAGCTGTTTATGACAAACCCACAGCCAATATCATACTGAATGGGCAAAAGCTAGAAGCATTCCCTTTGAAAACAGGCACAACACAAGGATGCCCTCTCTCACTGCTTCTATTCAGCATAGTATTGGAAGTTCTGGCCAGGGCAATTAGGCAAGAGAAAGAAATAAAGGGCATTTAAATAGGAAGAGAGGAAGTTGATTTGTCTCTGTTTGCAGGTGACATGATTATATACTTAGAAAACCCCATCGTCTCAGCCTAAAATCTCCTCAAGCTGATAAGCAACTTCAGCAAAGTCTCAGGATACAAAATCAACGTGCAAAAATCACAAGCATTCCTATACACCAATAATAGACTAACAGAGAGCCAAATCATGAGTGAACTCCCATTTACAATTGCTACAAAGACAATAAAATACCTAGGAATACAAATTACAAGGGATGTGAAAGACCTCTTCAAGGAGAACTAAAAACCACTGCTCAAGGAAATAAGAGAGGACACAAACAAATGGAAAAACCTTCCATGCTCATGGATAGGAAAAATCAATATCATGAAAATGGCCATACTGCCCAAAGCAATTTATAGATTCAATGCTGTCCCCATCAAGCTACTATTGACTTTCTTCACAGAATTAGAAAAAACTATTTTAAATTTTATATGGAACCAAAAAAGAGCCTGTATAGCCAAGACAATCCTAAGCAAAAAGAACAAGGCTGGAGACATCACACTACCTGATTTCAAACAATACTACAAGGCTACAGTAACCAAAACAGCAAGGTACTGGTACCAAAACAGATACACAGACCAATGGAACAGAACAGAGGCCTCAGAAATAATGCCACACATCTACAACCATCTGATCTTCAACAAACCTGACAAAAACAAGCAATGAAGAAAGGATTCCGTATTTAATAAATGGTGTTGGGAAAACTGCCTAGCCATATGCAGAAAACTGAAACTGGACTCGTTCCTTACACCTTATACAAAAATTAACTTAAAATGGATTAAAGACTTAAAGGTAAGACCTAAAACCATAAAAACCCTAGAAGAAAACCTAGGCAATATCATTCAGGACATAGGCATGGACAAAGACTTCATGACTAAAACACCAAAAGCAATGGCAATAAAAGCCAAAATTGACAAATGGGATCTAATTAAACTAAAGATCTTCTGCACAGCAAAAGATATCATCAGAGTGAACAGGCAACCTACAGAATTGAAGAAAATTTTTGCAATCTATCCATCTGACAAAGGGCTAATATCCGGAATCTACAAGGAACTTAAACAAATTTACAAGAAAAAAACAAAGAACCCCATCAAAAAGTGGGTGAAGGATATGATCAGACACTTTTCAAAAGAAAACATTTATGCAGCCAACAAACATACCAAAAAAAAGCTCCTCATCACTGGTCATTAGAGAAAGGCAAATAAAAACCACAATGAGATACCATCTCATGCCAGTTAGAATGGCAATCATTAAAAAGTTGGGAAACAACAGATGCTGGAGAGGACGTGGAGAAACAGGAACACTTTTACACTGTTGGTGGGTGAACAATTAGTTCAACAATTGTGGAAGACAGTGTGGCAATTCCTCAAGGATCTAGAAACAGAAATACCATTTGACCCAGCAATCCCATTACTGGGTATATACCCAAAGGATTATAAACCATTCTATGATAAAGACACATGCACGTGTATGTTTATTGCGGCACTATTCACAATAGCAAAGACTTGGAACCAACCCAAATGCCCATCAATGATAGACTGGATAAAGAAAATGTGGCACATATACACCATGGAATACTATGCAGCCATAAAAAAGGAAGAGGTCATGTCCTATGCAGAGACATGAATGATGCTGGAAACCATCATTCTCAGCATACTAACACAGGAACAGAAAACCAAACACCACATGTTCTCACTCATAATGGGAGTTGAATATGAGAACACATGGACACAGGGAGGGGAATATCACACATCGGGGCCTGTCAGGGGGTCGGGGGTGCTAGGGGAGGGATAGCCTTAGGAGAAATACCTGATGTAGATGATGGGTTGATGGGTGCAGCAAACCACCATGGCATATGCATACCTATGTAACAAACCCACACGTTCTGCAGAACTTAAAGTACAATACCCCAGAACTTAAAGTATAATATCCCAGAACTTAAAGTATATTTAAAAAACTTAAAGTATAATAAAAAAAGTGATGTTTTAATATCTTATAATAAATGTGTCAACACTGGGAAAATGTGCATGTGAACCAATATTTTCCAAGTAATCTATGCAGTATTACCAACCAAGCATGATTAAAAGAATCATTCACATTGCAAGATAGACAAAAGGATTTTAACATAGCTTTCAGGTAACAGTGCACAAAAAATTAATTGATATGGCTTCAGAATCTACATTGCAACTAACATTTAAAAAACTACCACATGCCTAGTTATAGTATAATATCAAAGAAGGTTTTCCATAGTTTCCTTTTTAAGGCTATTAAAATATCCTTTCTAACTACCTATCTGTATATACTTTAATAAAAATAAAATATTGCATCAGATTGAATTCAGAAGCAAATATGATAATCCAGCTGTTTTGAACAGTTCAATATTAAAGAGATTTCAAAAATGTAAAACAATGTTGCTCTTCTCACTAAATTGCTGTTTTTATTTTAGAAAAGATGAATATTTTTAATATAAATATTTATATTAACATCCAACTCTATTATTATTTTAGAATTGTAAATAATTTCTTTTTTCCCAATTTCTGTTTTAATTTCTAAAATGATAAATCTCAGTAGATTCCCTTTCATTCATGGTTTCACTTTCTGCAGTTTCAGTAACACTGAGGTCAACCATAGTTCAAAAATATTATATACAATAAGATATTTTGAGAGAGAGATCATATTTACATAACTTTTATTTCAGTATATATGTATTAGTTCATTTTCACACTGCTAATAAAGACATACTTGAGACTGGGCAATTTACAAAAGAAAGGAGTTTAATAGAGTCACAGCTTCATGTGGCTAGAGAGGCCTCTCAATCATGGTGGAAGGTGCAAGGCATGTCTCACATGGTGGCAGGCAAGAGAAGAGAGTTTGTGCAGGGAAACTTTCCTTTATAAAACCATCAGATCTTGTGAGACTTATTCACTCTCACAAGAATAGCACGAGAAAGACCCGCCCCCATGATTCAATTATCTCCCGCTGGGTCCCTCCCACAACATGTGGGAATTATCAGAGCTATAACTCAAGATGAGATTTGGGTTGGGACACAGCAAGACCATATCAGTATAATTTTATAATTGTTCTATTTTATTATTAGTTACTGTTATTAATTATCAGTGCACCTAATTTATAAATTAAACTTTATCATAGGCATGTATATATAAGAAAAGACATAGTATATATAGGGTTTAGTACTATCCAAGGTTTCAGGCATCCACTGGGGGTCTTGGAATGCAACCTCCATGAATAAGGGAGTACTACAGTAAGCAAAAACTCCTTGGGGAACATCGATGACTTTTAAAAGTGTAAAGTCACTCTGAGACAAAAAGTTTGAGAGCTGTTGACCTAGATATCACCAAATATTCAAATATTTAAACATAACAGAACAAAATATTCATTCCAGATACATCAGTGGCCACATTTTGAAATCTGAACCCACTCTTCACTGTTTCATATGGTGTTCCTCACATGCTGCAAGGATTTTCAATTATTTTGCCATGATCTGGCTCTAAAGGCACAATTATAGCTGTTAGGACTAAAAACACCCTTCAAAACACAAAACATCAATTCAACCTCCTCTACTAGGCAAAATTAGAAAAAAAATAAATTGGAGGGTAGAATGAAGAAGACAGAATTCAAACACATAAGCCAAATGGTTGGCCTCACAAATTATTTACTTCACATAAATTCTCTTTATTTGTACTCTAAAATTATTTATGGGTACAAATAAAATATAATAAAACTTGGAATCTAATAAACTGGGGGGTTTGTCCACACTGAAAAAGAAAAGAAGCAAAGAGCACCTTTTCTCCAAGGCCTTTCCCTTGCTCTCTGAGGACACTGGCAGCCCTGAGATGATTGATCCCACGGGACTCAATATATTCCAGCACCTCACTCTTAACCCCTTCCCTGGTTCAGAGGATGGACTATGTGCTGCAGAGCTAATGAATGTCATACCGAAAGCTGTGGCAAGCAGAGCTCTGGAATTAAGCTGCAGTGATTATTCAGGAGTGTTTTCTGGCATTTTTTTTTTCAAGAGGGACAACTAGGAAATACAAGCCCTGTACTTTAGGTCAGAATACATTTCTAAATTAGTCCTTTCAAACTTTTGCAATAATATGTACAGTATACTTTTCTCCCTTAGGTAAATGGATATACATACTCAAAGTGCAATTTCAAAACAATACAGGCCAAAATAATCCACATTCACCTGAAATAGAAAATTGAGGCAGTTGGAAATTGTTCTGGAGTTTTCTTTGGGAAATCAGAATTGAAAGATAACTTGAAATACCTGAAAAGTAGCTTAAATTCTTTATGCACGCTGAAATCACGAGTAAGACACTTTCTTTTCTACCTAGATCATCAGTGAAACGGAAATTATCTAATTTTTTTTTAGTTTTTTGGGGAAGATGTAAAGAAATAGAATGGTAGATGAGAAGAAGCCTCAAAATGCCCCTGACCTAGTATGAGACGCACCAAATTTTTTTCACTGGGTTTATAAACCATTTATGTATATCTTAAATACAAGATATTTTCTCTCATTTCCCTTTCATTGGGTTATATAACTATCTAACTGAACTTTTTGATGGATGGATGTTTTGGGCTATCTCCAACAGCAAAATTGTTCAGTCTTATGACCTAATTCAGTTATTTTGGGAGCTCTCAGCTCCAAACCAACTGCAGCTCTACATCTATTATTAAAGAGGAATTTTCTACAAACAGATTTCATTGTTAGAAGCTTTACTACCAGAAGTTAAAATCAAATAAGAAAGCATTCTAGATCATGGGGTGAAAACACAATTAAATACTAACTTAATTTATGTTAAATACATACCAACTGGTTATAACGACCATGTGAGAATCCACAAAAGGCATATAAAGGCATAAGTTACAAAGTAAGAAAAAAAAAGTGTACTTCCAAGCGATTAAAACTATTTTATGTTTATAACTTTTTAGAAATTATGCTTACAAAAAAACAGAAAGGAATTACTATCTAGATAAAATGTTGGACTTCTTTTTTTACATTAGAATGGTGCATATTTATATATTTTTTCCACTTTTTTCTCTGTTTTCCAATTTTGAGTCATTTTATTGGTACTATTTTCAAATGTAAAATAAATAAATATAATAAATCTGAAAAAAAATATGCACTTTGGAACAAGGAGGTAAAGAGTGACAGAGATTAAGAGAGAAGATTGACCTGAGTTTAAACTAGAGATGTAAGGACAGGGGAAGTTGGAAGGACAGTCACTGGTGGTGGAGGGGACCCAAGTAACTCCAGGCTTAGCTCCAGGTCCTCAAGGAGCACATGACGATGAACACTTACTTCACTCTTGAAGCTCCAAGAAAACAACCTCAGGGGGATTCAGGGGACTCCCTCATTTTCTCTCCAGGGAAAAAAGGAATCTTGAGAGAGGAAAGGGAATAGGGTTCATCATTCATCTTTAAATCTAGCCCCCTTTTAAAGGCTTGAACTCTGGTTGCCCTTGGGGCTGACTTCAATCCTACCTTCCCTCCACTTCAACCAGGAACTGAAGACTATCTCCCCTTCCACTGTCTGGAACCAATTAAATGAATCCCCCTCCCTCAATTGTATCAGCAAGCAATCATGTTACACTATGGGATCAGAAGTTTAAAAGGTTAAAAATGCAAATACCTAAGTGCATTTATGCCTTAAGGCAGAAGAAGATCATCATCCAGAGGGGGATAATGGTCACAAGATGGGAAAGTTGAAGCCAATAAAGACACTTTCCCAGCTTTCACCAACATACCTAGGCTTGGTCCTGTTTACTATCCTGGGTGGGGGTTTGAAATAGATAAATGGAAATTGTGTGTTATGCCATTGCATCCTGTTCAGCCAGACATCCACAGGAGTCGTGGTTCCAGCCTAAATTATGTATGCCTTGAGATTTGGACATGTCAAGGTTGTCTAGAGGTAGAACAGACCCACCATAGCAGGAGATGCATGAAGAACACAGGCCACATGTGGAAAATAACTGATCCTAAGCAAAGAGTTACTCAGGAACACGAATTTGACTCAGTCTGGATGCCCCAACTTCAGAGGAAAAAGGAATTATTAGCCAGCAGAGCATGACGCTGAGGTCTAAGACTGCCCTCCAGCAATGAGCCCATGAGTCTCAGGGAGTAAGGCATGCAGGTGATACTGAAAGAATACATAAAATTTTCAAAAACTTTAGAATGACAGGACAGCACCTCTGTGGGGCCTGCACCTCAAGAACAAGAGAGAGTTCTCATTTAAACAGATGATCCTACATGATCTCTGTGAAAGAGATGCACAAGCATCTGTCATATACTGTTACTCTCCACATGCCTGTGACTTAACATGGAAGAACAGCTCCAGCAAAGCCTGACCTCAGCAGCTGTGAACAGAGACCATGGCAACAGTAGCCATGAATAAGAAATATTTTTTACTTCATTGAGGCACAGAATATAGAAGAAACTACCACAAGATCTTGCAGTGTCAGAAATCAGCATGATGTTGGCACTGTGGAATACTTGCAGTTTGGTTCAGTGTCATCACTGTAGGCATCAACGGGAAGTGACAGTAACATGAGCACATAGGAAACCCTTGGTTTTCCTACTGACCACCAGTCTACGATGCACACACACACCCTATGCACAAACATGCACACTCATAACCCATTCATCCTGCAGTTTAAAAAATACCCACTAGGGACTGGGTGTGGTGGCTCCTGCCTATAATCCCAGCACTTTGAGAGGCCGAGGCAGACAGATCATTTGAGATCAGGAGTTCGAGACCAGCGTGGCCAACATGGAGAAACCCCGTCTCTACTAAAAATACAAAAATTAGCCAGGTGTGGTAGCGGGAGCCTGTAATCCCACCTACTCAGGAGGCTGAGGCAGGAGAATTGCTTGAACCCAGGAGGCAGAAGTTGCAGTGAGCTGAGATTGCACTGCTGTACTTCTGCCTGGGTGATGGTCAATGCTATGTGCTCAGTATTTAGTGGTCAGGAAGACTGGTGTGACTGCTGACCACATATTGCTTAGTGGCCATGTTACAATGTCAGCTTGCTCCCTGACCACTATGGATTGGTCCAGGAGTGGGCACATGGCTCCAGCTGGGCCAGTCATGGTGTTGTTACCCTTTTATGTCCAGCTGGGCCAGTCATGGTGTTACCCTTTTATGTTCGTGCTTGATTGTACAAGTGGAGAGCACCTGACCAACACTGAGCCAATGAGAGCCTTGCCTGGAAATTCTAGAATTGACAGAGTTGGCAGTGCCTTGTGGATGCCTAGTTCACAAAATACAAAGATCAGAAACTATCAGCATGTGTCTTGGAAAGAGCCAACCTGAAGAAAGAGGTGAGAATAAAGCAGATGCAACAAGGTGAAAAGGGAGGAGGAGACTCCTGTTCTGGTTGAATTCACGGACTCTTTTGCTCCTAAGACCACTGCAATCCTGCCATGGGATTTCATCAGCTAACCAAGGTTAACTGGGTTCTGTCACTTGCTGCCAAAAAACTCCCAACATATTAATGACCACTGTGGCTGCAATGAAAGAGTTCTTATAAGACTTATTGAGAATTGAAGCCCTCAGTAGCAGGCACCACAGGAAGAATGAGAGCAAAAGAGGAAAAAATTGCTGTTGACCTGTTATAGCTGTTAGTGAGCTTGGACGTGCCTTGAATATGTCTAGAAATATGAGGGTGAGAGGAGATTCTGCAAGAAAGTGTAGACCTAATTAAATAATTTGTTATTGCCGATGTGATTCAGTATTTAGCTCCCAACTGGTATGATCTGAAGAATCAGCGGTTACTAGGGTAGGAGACATAGTAACATTACTTTACGCAGTTTATGAAATTTCTATTTGTTACTTATTATAGCACAGGCATTTTTTTTTATAAAGAAGCTTTAGTCATCAGAGATTTATTCATCAAAGCATCATATTTTTCTAACCAAAACTTGGGGTCAACTAGATATATCCTTACCCTCTTTCCTCTCATCCTCTTAAGGGATGTCTCTGTTGCACTTAATTCTCTGTCATTTTTAAATTCTAACTTTGTGTCACAATTTGATAAAAGCTCGTGGCTAGAAGCTCTTGGCAACTGTCACAAACCCACAACCACAATAGTGTCTGTATCAGAGAATCAAAGGTCCTTTCTCTCCATTCCTGGTTCAGTGTTTTCTCATCTGCTAGGCCTCTAAACCAGACTTAGCTGCTTTTCTTGACACCTGTTGTGTTTATTGAGAACCAACTTTTACCAGAATTATTTCAACACAATAAAAATATCAGATCTGGTTTTCATGGGCTTTCCAGAGAAGGCAATAAACACTACCAAAGAAATAAAGAGGAAAGAGAGGGTTCTAGGCATACAAAGCTATACAAGCCAATTATCAGACTGTGCATACAATGTTTTCTGATGGCAAGAAGTTGCAGAAGTTTATTCATTAATTTGGCTTAATTTTCCACCCTCCTTCTTAACAGGGCAGTGCTATGAAATTAAAAGTAACTCCTATTTTTGTGTGAAAGCCAGTTTCATAATTAAGTAACACACTCTGGACCTTGTCAGATAATGAAAAGTAAACATGTTGCTTGTGCACATAGAGCATAATTATTCACGCATAAACACACACATTTTACTTTCTCAAAGACAGGAAACAGCCTGCTACCTTATATGTCTTGCTGTTCACAGAGGTTTTTCATATTTGTTTCCACTTTACTCATATCATTGTTCAACCAAAAAGGGGATATCAATAATCTGAGATTATAATTTAGAAGTCCTTGTAATTTTTGTTAAAAGTGTAACTGTGGCATGAGGAATCAGATTGAAAGAAATCACATTTTATTTTATTTTACTTATTTGTTGGAAGCAAAAATGAACACTGTTTAATAACCAGAGTTTTGATTTTAATGAGCACAGTGCAAATTTCAATACCTTGTTCATCCTAACAGAAATGCATCTGTTCAGAAAGTGATTAAAATCCAAAAAAGCCCAAGGGCTTCCATGGCATAAACACAGCTTGGGCTGCAGAGTTCTTGGCTTTGGGACAGAACCAAACCTTCCAGAGTGCTGGCAGGAACCCCACTCAGTATCTCCCTCTAGACCAAAGGGAGAAGATGTAAACAAACCCATTAATCACCAGCAACTGGGAAGTGCTAAGATCCATAAGTTTCAGTCATCAGTATAGAAAGAAACTGAAAAATTGCCATCCATCACCCCTCCTGCTAGGCACACATATGGATTCTTATTTAGCTGTGAACTTGCTAACAGTATGGAATATAGAATACTAAGCAGAAAGAAGAAGAAGGCTTTCTTAGCCCATTTTCTACTTCTATAACTGAATACCTGAGACTGGGTGGTTTATAATTAACAGAAATTCATTTGGCTCATGGTTCTAGAGCCTGGGAAGTCCAAGATTGAGGGGCTGCATCTGGTGAGGGCCTTTTTGCTCTGTCATAGCATGACAGAAGGGCAAAGAGAGAATAAGAGAGAGTACAAGAGTAAATTCATAGCCTCAAGTCCTTTTATAATCAGCACTAATCCATTCATGAAGGTGGTACTCTCATGACCTAAACACCTACCATTGGGCACTGCCTCCCAACATGACTGCATTGGGGATTAAGATTTTAATACATGCTTTTGGAGGGAGATATTTAAACCATAGCATTCCCCCCTTTACCCTCAAAATTCATGTTCTTCTCACATACAAATTACATTAATTCCATCCCAATAGCCCCAAAAGTTTTAAATTGCTCCAGTATCAGCTCAAAAGTCCAAAGTCCAGACTTTCATCTAAATCAGATACAGGTTAGCCTCAAGACATGCTTCATCCTAAGGCAAATTTCCCTTTAGCTGTGGGCCTGCAAAATTAAACAAGTTATCTACTTCCAAAATACAATGGTAGGACAGACATAGGATAGATAGGATAGTAGACATTTTCATTTCAAAAGGAAAAAATCGGCAAGAAGAATGGGGTAACTGGTCCCAGGTGAGTCCAAAACCCAAGAGGGAAAAATAACATTAAATCTTAAGATGCCAGAATAATGACTCTGTGACTTGCATCCTGGGAACACTGGAGTGGGGATTAGACTCCCAAGACCTCAGGCAGCCTGGCTCCTATGGCTCTGCTGAGCACAGGTCATGCTGCAGTTCTCATAGGCTAGAGTTGCATGCCTGTAGCTCCCTCAGGCTGGAGTTGCATGGTGGTGGCTCTACAGTTCTGGGGTCTCTGCAGCAGCCCGAAACCCACAGTTCTGCTGGGCATTGCTTTAGTGGGGGCTCTGTGTCATGGCTCTGTCCCTGTGACAAATTTCCTTTCCTGAACCCCCAGACTGTCTAATACATCCTGTGAAATCTAGGTGGAGGTTGCCATGGCCTCACAGCTCATGCACTCTGCTCATTTGCAGAGTCAGCATCATGTGAATGCTGCCAAAGTTTATGGCTTGTGGCCTCCAGAGCAGGAGCAGGAGCCACAGCTGGGCCCACTTGACCAAGGCTGCGGTGGCCAAGAAGCATTGTGCTAAAATATGGGGAGCAGAGATTTGAGGTGGCACAGGCCAGTGAATGCTGAGGGCCTATTGGCACCTCTCTGGAACCCTTGCTTTCAAGATTCTAGCCTGCATCCAAGAGCTCTAAAATGCCTTTAAAGTCATTGTCCCATTGTCTTGATGAATAGCATCTGGCTCCCTTCTATCTGTAATAACCTCTGTAGTAAACAGTTACTTGACTACACCTTTGGTTTTCTCTTTTAAACATGTCTTCACTCTTTACAAGGCCAGGCTGCATATTTTCCAAATCTTTCCTTTCTTCTTTCATTTTCATTATAAATTCTGTCTTTAAATAACTTCTCATTTCTCTCATTTTCCTATGAATAGCCAAAAGAAACCACGTACCGCCTTGAATATGTTGCTGTTTAGATATTTCTTCTGCCAGATATCTTAGTTCATTACTCTTAAATTCCACCTTTGATAAAGCCCTAGAGCATGAACACGATTTAACCAAGTTCTGTGCTGCTTTATAACAAGGATGGCCTTTACTCCAGTTTCCAATACCTTGTTCCTCATTTCCATCTGATACCTTGTTATAATTGCCTTTACATAGTTCCACCAATATTCTGATTTCAACCACTTAAGTAATCTCTAAGAAGTCTCAGACGTCTGGTCACAGTGGCTCACACCTGTAATCTCAGCACTTTGGGAGGCTGAGGTGGGCGGATCACTTGAGGTCAGGAGTTAGAGACTAGCCTGGCCAACATGGTGAAACCTCATCTCTATTAAAAATACAAAAATTAGCCAGATGTGGTGGCGCATGCCTGTAATCCCAGCTACTCAGGAAGCTGAAGCAGGAGAATCACTTGAACCCAGGAGGCAGATGTTGCAGTGAGCTGAGATCATGCCACTGCACTCCAGCCTAGGCGACAGAGTAAGACTCTGTCTCAAAAAAAGTAAAAAAGAAAAAAGAAGTCTCTACAAATATTCTCTTCTTCTGAGCCCTCACCAGAATGACCCTAAACATTCATTCACTGCAGTTTTCTAGCTTGCTCTTCCAAATTTTTCCAGCTTTCTGGGTTTTTTCTAGCCTTCTCTTCCAACCTTTATCCATTACCCAATTCCAAATTAATTTCCACATTTTCAGTTATTTGGTATAGCAACAGCCGCGCTTCTCAGAAGCAACTTTCTTAGTCTGCTTTGCGCTGCTAAAACAGAGTATCTGAGACTGAGTAATTTATTTATTGATTTAGTAATTTATTTATTTATTTTTATGGGGTTTTTTTTTGAGACAGTCTTGCTCTGTCACCCAGGCTGGAGTGCAGTGGTGCAATCTCAGCTCACTGCAACCTCCACCTCCCAGGTTCAAGCAATTCTCCTGCCTCAGCCTCCTGAGTAGCTGGGATTACAGGCACTCGCCACCATGCCCAGCTAATTTTTGTATTTTTAGTAAAGATGGGGTTTCACCATGTTGGCCAGGCTAGTCTGGAACGCCTGACCTCAAGTGATCTGCCCACCTCAGCCTTCCAAAGTGCTAGGAGAGACTGAGTAATTTATAATGAACAGATATGTATTTGGCTCATGGTTTTGGAGGCTGAGAAGGCCAAGATCAAGGGGCTGGCATCTGGTGAGAGCCTTCTTGCTGCATTATCCCATGGCAGAGATGCAAAGAGAGGGTAAGTGAGAGCAAGAGTGTGAACTGACAGCATCAAGACCTTTTACAATTGACTTTAATCCCTTCATGAGGTTAGAGCCCTCATGACCTAAACATCTCCCATTAGGCCCAACACATACTTTTTGCGAGGAACATTTAAACCATAGCAGATATTACTAGTGGGATTTATTTTGTTTGTTTATTTTTAACACAACTTACCATCCTTGCTTTTATTTTTGTACTTAACATTCTTAACACATTGTCTTAGGATATTTACAATTCTAAGGACATATAATTACATTCTGTCATCTGAGATACAAGGATCAATTGTTCATTTATTCATTTATTATTTCTTTTAAAAATATTTATCAAACATTTATTAGATTCTTGGCACTGTTTCTATTCTGATGAAATACAAGAGAAATAAAAGATATAGAGACATAAAAGACATAGTTTCTTCTTTCGATAGCTAATAATCTAAGTGCGTGGGTAGGTGAGAGAGAGATAGAGATATATGAATTTTACAATTGTGCAAGATAATATATAAAATTAAATTAGAAAGATAAGAGAGTTTACAATAACTAAGAAGTTCTGCTGGTGGTTAATACCGAGGTCCTAGTGGTTATTGACTGTGTAACACTACTCATGATTCTCACTTTTTGACTTACCTAAAACCCAATGAACTTTTATTGGACTATGTTTAATAATGGTTTTCTAACTTAAGTTCTAGTGGGTGTTGAATGATCATGAGCTCAAAAGTACATCCCCTGACAAGTACTTGGGCATGACCAATGCATTCCATGTTTCTGCTTAAGTGTGAAAATTGAGTAAAACATATGGGCCTAAGAACAAATGGGGCTTGTGCCTGTATGACAATATAGGAAAATTTAGGCACCAAATTTCTAAGCCACAGGGCTGTAATTCTCTACTTGGGCTGCATAGTAGAATCACCGAGGAAACTTTTTAAAAAATTGAATGCCTAAATCCCACCTTAGACCAATTTAATTCAGAGCATCTGGAGGTGGGACCTGGATATCAAATTTTTTTGAGTTCCTTGGCTGAGTTTTCAAGTTGAAGGTAGGTTTGCAAAACACCGCCGCAGAGCATAACCACAATAAATAAATCCTTCACAAAATCTTTAACCTTGAGCAGTGTAACTTCCTAATGTATCCTCTGGGATTTTCTGATGACAAACAATTCGCTAGGTAATTAACAATGTTACTTGCTACATGCAGGATAATTGTCAGGGTCTTTCTAAAAATTGAGGAACTTCAGTCAAAAATTTTCTCATCCTTTTTGAAATTTTGGTCTATTTTTTTTCTACTAAGGCCAATATAGTTTGTGACAATATAACCATGCCATGTATATAAAAGACTGATAATCTTTTATTCTATATTGTATGGGGCACATACACAGCTCATCTTAGACTGAAATCATTATACATCCAGTTTAGGTGGTTATAAGAACAAATCACATCACTGTGGTGCTTAACTGTAAATTGCTACCTATTCCATCAAGACACAGTTCTGCCTGATTCTGACCTTCAAAGTAGTATTGAGGCACTGTAGGAGGTCTGGTAACTGAAGTTCTATATTGAGGTCATGAAGCTTGTTCTCACCTTTGCCTGCAGATAGAGAGATGAAGGATGAGGGAAACCACAAATTATGTTCTACTCCTAATCAATTTCTCCATGTGCTAATAATAAAGAGAATAAGTGTGTCTAAAGTCCTTTTTGTTTCTAATGTAGCTGCAGTGATTCCTATCCTGGCTGCATATCCAGCGACCCGGGGAAAACACTCAGAGGCACACATACTCAGCCCTCAGCCCTGAAGATTATGATTTAATCCACCTTGAGTGGAATCCAAGAATCTATATGTTTAATGGAAACCTCCAGAAAAATCTGATGCAGTCAGTCTGAGTAATAACTCTCATAGAGTTATCATCTTAAAATAAAAATAAGCTTTGTGATTTATCAAAATGATACCTGAAATACCTTTTAAAGAGGATGTCTAATAATTATATAATTTGAAGTAGAAGGTTATCATTCTCTAATAATGAGGTTAGTTACACTCTGGGTTCTTGGCAAATAAACTGACATTATTTTCCATGTCTATTTGCTTACTTTTAAATTACTGTGGGTTATCCTTAAAAAAATGAACATTCCAAAAAGGCAGGAAATTGGTCGATTTTGTTCACAGATCTTCCCCCAAATCTTAGAACCGTTCTTAGCACATTGAAGTTACTTACCAAATAATGAATGAGTAAATAGATAATGAATGAGTAAATACTTAGGACATGCTAAAAAAAGTTGATAGATTTATAAGAAAGAGAACCTACCTATAAAAGTAGGGACAGAAAATCTTCCTTAGAACTTTAATTTCACCTGAGTATTTTAATTTTTTATCAGCTTCACAATATACAGAAAAATTGCTAACCCAGTCAGAAATTTCCCTAAAATATAAAAGTTCAAGAAAATTGAATTGATTTTATAAATCTCAGCTAAGCAAGCTTCGATGTCCGGTAGACTTGATTTTATGTGATCTTCCTCACTAAATAAATACTATAAGGAAGTGTCTTAGAAGCTCTTCTGTTTATAGGATTTGATGGCCAAACCCAGACCTTCCAAATAGATATATTGCACTTAAGGTTTTTTAAGGTGTTAAGTTTAAACAAGATTTAAATAGGATACAAATTCCTAGTTGGTCTCTTCTGATATTTTTATATCACTTATATCAACAATGGCTAAAGAAAATTCTCTAAACAGAAAGAAAATGACTAAAGAAGGAAACTTGGAACAAGAGAAAAAAGAAAAAGCATGATAAACAAAAATATAGGTAAATACAATAAACTTTTCTTATTCCTTTGAGAATTCTAAGTTATGTATGATGATTAAAACAAAATATAAGACACAGTTTAACTCTAGAACTGTGGTTCTAAATGCATTGAGAGAAGACAATTACTCTATAAACAGGAAGACTAAAAGGAGTTAACTTTTCTATACTTCATTTAAAGTGGTAAAATGGCAACACCAGTGAACTGTGATAAGTTATGTACAGATGTTGTCATACCTAGGACAACAATAAAGAAAACTATACAAAGAGGTACACTCAAAAACACTACATATAAATCAAAATTTAAAAACTTTAAATGTTCAAGTAAGCCATACAAAAAAAAAAACCGAAAGCAAAAAACAAAGTGGCAGATGTAAACCTTGACATATTCATAATTAAATTAAACGTAAATGGTCTAAATACACAAATTAAAAGAAAGAGATTGGTAAAATGTATTAGAAAATATAACTCAACTATGTGCTGTATATAAGAAACTCACTTGAAAAACAATGATGTAGGTTGAAAGCAAAAGGGTAGATGGAAAAGGATATATTATACAAACATTATTAAGAGGAAAGCAGGAGTGGTTATATTAATATCAAAAATGTGAACTACTGAATTAAGAAAATTACCAGAGATAGAGAGGACTATATCATGATAAAAAGGTCAATTCACTGAGAAGGATAGCAATTCCAGATATGTATGTACCAAACAACAGAGCTGCAAAATAGGTAAAGCATAAGCTGACAAAACTGAAAAGAGAAACAAATAAATCTGGAGATTTCATCATCCCTCTCTCCCAATAATGGATAAAACAACTAGACAAAAACTCAGCAGAGATATAGAACTTAACAACAGCATCAACCCTAACTACGTAATCAACATTTATAAAACACTCCATCCAACAACAGCAGAATACACATTCTTTCAAATGCCCAAAGAATATATACCAAGATGGGCCACATCTTGGGCATAAAGCAAATCTCAGAAAATTAAAAGAATTGAAATCTTACAGTGTATTCTCCAGCCACAATAGAAATTAATAAGAGAAAAATACCAAAAATTTCCAAACACTTGGAAGCTAAGTTACACATTCTAAATAATGCATGGGTCAAACAGAAAGTCTCAGAGGAAATTTTAAAAATACACTGAACTGAATGAAAGTATGAGATATCAAAGTTTGTGGGACACAGGTAAAGTAGTGCTGAGAAGAAACTCTACAGCACTGAATGTATACATTAGAAAACAGAAAAAATCAATGATTTTTTTTATTTTTTGAGCTCCTACTTTAACAAAGAACAAGATAAACCTAAAGCAAGGAGAAGGAAGTGCCTAATAAAGATAAGAGTGAAAATCAGTAAAATTGAAAACATAAACACAAGTAAAAATCAACTAAATTAAAAGATGTTTCTTTAAAAAGATCAATAAAACTGACAAAATTCTAGATATACTGACAATGAAAGAAGAAAGAAGACACAGATTACCAAGTCAGGAATGAAACAGGGGATAACACTATGAATAAAAATTAATACATAAAAATGGATGCACAAAGATACAGTGGTGTAATGCAAACAAAAGAAAATAGGAAGAGCAGTATGAATACCAAATAAGCAAGAATGTAAGGCCAGACATTAATTTGGAACAAATTATTTTTTAGGCTGGGCACAGTGGCTCACGCCTGTAATCCCAGCACTTTGGGAGGCCAAGGTGGGTGGATCACCTGAGGTCAGGCATTTGAGACCAGCTTGGCCAACAAGGTGAAACCCCATCTCTACTAAAAATACAAAAATTAACCGGGCATGGTAGTGCATGCCTGCAATCTCAGCTACTCAGGAGGCTGAGGAATGAGAATTGTTTGAACCTGGGAAGTAGAGGTTGCAATGAGCAGAGATCACGCCACTGTACTCCAGCCTGGGCAGCGGAGAAAAACTCTTTCTCAAGTAATAGTAATAATAGTTTTTAAATTATAAAATCTACAATCTGCAAAGACGATATAACAATGTTTATATGCCAAATGTGAAAAACTTCATGCACATACTCATTCAACAAGTCTATATTGAGCATCTAAACTCTGCTCAGCATTATTCATTGAGACATGTCAGTGAACAGACCAATTCTCATAAGACAAATTTCTCACATAGACCTTACATATTAGTGTGAGCGATAATAGTCAATAAAAAAGGAATACATAATACAACAAAATAAAGCAGGAGAAGAGGCTAGAGAAGAGTACTGAAGACTAGGATGTGATTATGAAGGAGGGCCTCTGGGAAAATGTGCTGTTTAAGCAGCGCTGAACGAAGCTAGAAAGCAACCTGGGGGTCCGAGAAAACACATTACAGAGGTCACGAAGAGCAGGCATGAAGACCCTCAGGCAGGGACAAGTATGAAATGTTCAAAGACCAGTGAGAATGGCATGGCTAAAGTTCATGGAGCAACACAGAGTAGGAGATGCAGTTGGAGGTAGTCAGAGCCATGCAAAGTATTGCAGGAAATTTTTATTTTCTTAATGAAATAACAAAATAAAGATTTTAAGATTTTATTTTAAAAAGATCACTCCAACTGATGTTCTAGAGAACTGGCTGAACGGAGGCACACGTGGAAGCAAGGAGGAGAAGTTAAGAGGCTTGTTGTACTAATAAAAAGGAGAGATGATGTCAGCTTGGATCAGGGTGGTAGCAGTGAAAGGATTAAGAACTGACTGGATTCAGGATATAGTTTAAAGATCATAGATTGATGTGAGATATGAGGGAAAGAGAGGAATTAAAGATAATTTTTAAGTTTGTGGCACAGATAATAAATTAAATGTTAGTGTCCCAGTGATGGGAAAGACTGAGAGAGCAGCAGATGTGAACAGAAAATCAAGAGTTCTGTTAGAAACACCCATCAGACTGATAAGTAGTATATCAAGTAGAAAGCTGGACATGCAGCCTATAGCTCAGAGGAGAAGCCAAGCCTGGAGAGGCTACTTTGGGAGTTGTCAATGTATAAACCATTATGAAAGCCTTGGTTGAGAAAATCAGAGAAAGCTTGTATATGGAGAAGAGCAACAGGCCTAGTCCTGAGCCCTGGGGCTCTCCAACATTTAGACCGGAGAAAGAGGAGAAAAGCCATCAAGGAGACTAAATAGGAGCTGTCACAGAGGTAAAAGGAAAATTAGGAGAGTGAAGTGCCCCAGAAGCTAAGTGAAATATTTCAAGGAAAGAGCAATTTATTGTTTTCAAATGTCACTAAAGGCCAGGCATGGTGGCTAACACCTGTAATCTCAGCACTTTGGGAGGCTGAGGTGGGCAGATCACCTGAGATGGGGAGTTTGAAACCAGCCTGACCAACATGGAGGAACTCTCCTTTACTAAAAATACAAAATTAGCCAGACTTGGTGGTGCATGCTTGTAATCCCAGCTACCCGGGAGGCTGAGGCAGGAAAATCTCTTGAACCTGGGAGGCAGAGGTTGCAGTGAGCCGAGATCATGCCATTGCACTCCAGCCTGGGCAACAAGAGGGAAACTCCAACTCAGTAAATAAATAAATAAATAAATAAATAAATAAATAAATAAAATGCCGCTGAGTAGTTAAAGATAGTGTATTAATCTGTTCTCACACTGCAATATAGATACTACCTGAGACTGGGTAATTTATAAGAAAAGGAGGTTTAATTGACTCACAGTTCTGCATGGCTGGGGAGGTCTCAGAAAGCTTACCATCATGGTGGAAAGCGAAGGGGAAGCAAGTACCTTCTTCACAACGTGGCAGGAAAGAGAGAGAGCGAAGGGAGCAGTGCCACTATTAAGCTATCAGATCTCATGAGAGCTCACTTACTACCATGAGAACAGCATGGGGGAACCTCCCCCATGATCCAATCACTCCCCACCAGGTCCCTCCCTTGACACATGGAGATTACAATTTGAGATGAGATTTGAGTGGGGACACAGAGCCAAGACATATCAGATGGAGACTAAAAACTAATCACGGGGGGTCATTTGGAGTCACTAAGAAGTCAAATTTTGAATCCTAAAGCCAAGTTTGCAGCAATTATATCACTTTATATGGAAAATAAAGAAATCGTAAGATAGGAAAATCTGTCAGAATATTCATACTAGTGGTGAAAACAGATGCTTCGTCTTATATTTGACATTACTTATCTAGCTTGTTCCTGCTCTATTACACTAAAAAGCAGAACTTTTTATAGTCATAGTCCCAAAATAGTATACCATATGTAGGAATTTATCACAGAAATTATTTCAAATTTAAATGGCCATTGATAACTTGTTATGTAATCTCAAACACCCAGGCATTTTATTTTCCAAAGTTATTGTTTACATATGTCCACCTTGTGAACATTGCACAATGATTATTCGTATTATTAATAAACGTTGTAACAATAATTAGAGCTACTTCACTGCTTGTAAAATTGTAAGAATCCTGAGGCAGAGTTTCAAGAGTTCTTTGACTGCTTTAGACAAATGCAGGTCTGGAAATGTAATGTCAGAGTATTATTATCATTTCACTTACTTTAAGTAAACTGTAACAATTCAAGTAGTGCCACCAATGTATGTGGTACTTTGTAATAGCACTAAAGAAAGACAATATGCCCTTGTTCCTCAAAGCTATTACTAATTTCTCAAAAACATAAGCAAAAAAATAGAATACTTACTTACAAACTCTGAAGATTTACTGTCTTTACAAGATAAAGATGAAGGTACTCTAATGATGACACTAAGGACATTTAAATTAGACTAATGTGCCAAAGTGCTTTTTCAGCACTACAAATTTCCCTTGACCACTTTGGCTATGTCCTCAAGAAGGGAAATTGAAGAATCTATACTAAGTAATACGGTGCATGATAGCTTTTGCTGCAGAACAAACAGTGTAATAGCTCAGCAGCTTACAACAAGCACCCATTAATACCTTTTGTTACTCAAAGACTGTGGGACTAGGCTGGGTCCTGTGAACTCAGCTGGGCTCATCAGACCTCTTGTGTCTTCTCATTCCAAAACCTAGGTTGAAGGAGTAGCCACTATCTGAGACCTGCTGTTCTCATGGTAAAGGGCAGGAGGCAGGAGTCCTAAGAAGCACCCAGGTGCATTGAAGCTAATGTTGGATGGGACAGCTGATATACACTCACATATCATTGGCCAAAGTGTCACAGAGAACAAACAATTGAGAATAATCCAGCCTATCAAAATACTATGCTGCAGTGATATCTCCCATCCACCCCCAAGAATTCTTCAGACACAGTAGGAGCTAAAGCTAGACATGACACTTTCCTATACAGCTTTCTCTTGTAGAACTGGGTGCAGCCATTTTTAATACTTCCTGAATGCTTTTAGTGCTACTTTGGGGGAACCAACAGCTTCTTTCTCCAAATATCTTTTGCACTAGTATCCATCTCTGGGACTTTAGGGAAGTTTGTGGCCATTCAAATTCAGGTGGGTTGCTAAAACAATCTAGATGTCCTATGATTAGGGCAAAGATTCAACAGTAGTATACCCTAGGAACCACTACTGTCAATTTGCCGTTATTCACTTTATTTTTTAAAAATCCTATATGCAAATTGAAAACAGAAAATTTTAATTTTATTCTTCAAACTACATAATATTCACATTAGAGTAATAAACACTCACATAATAAGCACTCATGTATGAAGTATAAGCCCTTAACATAAAACTGTCATCAAGACTATTTGTTTAAGAGTTGATTTTGAGGCCGGGCGCGGTGGCTCACGCCTGTAATCCCAGCACTTTGGGAGGCCGAGGCGGGCGGATCACGAGGTCAGGAGATCGAGACCATCCCGGCTAAAACGGTGAAACCCCGTCTCTACTAAAAATACAAAAAATTAGCCGGGCGTAGTGGCGGGCGCCTGTAGTCCCAGCTACTTGGGAGGCTGAGGCAGGAGAATGGCGTGAACCCGGGAGGCGGAGCTTGCAGTGAGCCGAGATCCCGCCACTGCACTCCAGCCTGGGTGACAGAGCGAGACTCCATCTCAAAAAAAAAAAAAAAAAAAAAAAAGAGTTGATTTTGAGGAATTGCTACACTGTCTTCCGCAATGGTTGAACTAGTTTACATTCCCACCAACAGTGTAAAAGCGTTCCTATTTCTCCACATCCTCTCCAGCATCTGTCGTTTCCTGACTTTTTAATGATCACCATTCTAACTGGTGTGAGATGGTATCTCATTGTGGTTTTGATTTGCATTTCTCTGATGGCCAGTGATGATGAGCATTTTTTTCATGTGTCTGTTGGCTGCATAAATGTCTTCTTTTGAGAAGTGTCTGTTCATATCCTTTGCCCACTTTTTGATGGGGTTGTTTTTTTCTTGTAAATTTGTTTAAGTTCTTTGTAGATTCTGGATATTAGCCCTTTGTCAGATGGGTAGATTGCAAAAATTTTCTCCCATTCTGTAGGTTGCCAGCAGTCCCATTACTGGGTATATACCCAAAGGATTATAAATCATGTTACTATAAAGACACATGCACATGTATGTTTATTGCGGCACTATTCACAATAGCAAAGACTTGGAACCAACCCAAATATTCATCAGTGATAGATTGGATATACCATGGAATACCCTGCAGCCATAAAAAAGGATGAGTTTATGTCCTTTGCAGGGACATGGATGAAGCTGGAAACTATCATTCTGAGCAAACTATCGCAAGGACAGAAAACCAAACACCTCATGTTCTCACTCATAGGTGGGAATTGAACAATGAGAACACTTGGACACAGGGTGGGGAACATCACACACCTGGGCCTGTTGTGGGGTGGGGGGCAGGGGAAGGGTTAGCATTGGGAGAAATACCTAATGTAAATGATGGGTTGATGGGTGCAGCGGGCCAGCATGGCACATGTATACCTATGTAACAAGCCTGCATGTTGTGCACATGTACCCTAGAACTTAAAGTACAATTAAAAAGAAAGGAGTTGATTTATCTCTCCTCAAAATATATTTATTTTCATAGCATGCAGTATATGCCAGATGCTAAGCATTGTACGCGGATTAGCTTATTTAATCTTTATGACAACACTATAAAGTAAGTATATAAACTTAATAAGTAAAGTAACACACTACCATTAGTGGTACGGTTTGGATGTTTGTACCCTTCACATCTCATGTTGAATTGTAACCCCCAGTGTTGGAGGTGGGGCCTGGTGGCAAGTGTTAGGGTCATAGGGGTGGATCCCTTATGAATGTCTTGGTGCAATCCTCATGTAATGGCTGAGTTCTCACTCTGTTAGTTTGTGTGAGATATGGCTGTTTAAAAGAGTATGGCATCTCCCCCACTCTCTCTTTCTTCCACTCTTGCCATATGACACAACTGCACCCACTTTACCTTCTACCGTGATTGTAAGTTTCTTGAGGCCCTCACCAGGAGCAGATGCTGGTACCATGCTTCCTGTACAGCCTGCAGAACTGTGACCCAATTAAACCTCTTTTCCATATAAATTACCCAGACTGCCATATTCCTCTACAACAATGCAAAAACAGCCTAACACAATTATCATGGCTATATTATAGAAGAGGCTACTGAGGAACAGAAAGGTGAGTAACTTGTTCAAGATAACATACCAGATAAGTGGTAGAGATGGGATTCAAATCCAGGCAGTCTGGCTCCAGAGTTCATGCTCACATCCATTATATTATGCTGCCTTGACCTTCACTCAGAATGTCCTCTATTCTTCAAGACGCTATATTTAATTTCTCCAAGCAAGTCTCATTTCCTGTGCTGTTTTAAACTTTAAACCCCTGCATTTTCTCACACTCCTGATTAGAAGGAAACACAATGGAGTTCATATTTATATCACATTTCACAATTAACCATGCTGAAATTCAAGGATGTTAAAAAAGAACTTGCCTAAAGCCACACATCTAGCAAGTGAGTTAGAACTTCTTAAAGACATACATCTGTATTGACCTACATGTGAATTGTGCAGTTCTCCTTCCATTGTATCTGAATGTCCTTACAGTGTAAGTATTCTTTTCTCTGAACCAACTGGTCTTTTTAAATTGATGGTCCAACACACACCAGGGCCTGTCAGGGCAGGGCGGGGGTTAGAGGGGAGAGCATTAGGGAAAAGAGCTAATACACGCTGGACTTAATACCTAGGTGATGGGTTGATAGGTGCAGCAAACCACCATGGCACACCTTTACCTATGTAACAAACCTGCACATTCTGCACATGTACCCCAGAACTTGAAATAATAAAATAATAAAATTTAAAAGGCAACAATTTCCTACAACAGAAAAAATAATTGACGGTCCATGTCTATTTTACAACCTAGCATTTGCTCAACTTTTTTCTCCTCCTCCTTCTCTCTTTTTAGATACACTATTCAAAGATGGATATGTTTTCAAATATACTGTGTCAATTTTATAAGGATAATAGTTTAAAACAAATGAAATTCACATATTTCAAGACCTTGTTATAAACGATCGTTTCAAATTTTACTTTATAAAAATCTCTTATATGAGTAGTTAGAAGAAAGAGTAAAATTTCAAACAGTGAAACTGAAAGGAAATAGGCAGCAGAGGGAGATAAAAAATAAGGATAAGCAAAAAAATAGCTACATAAGCTATAAACTATGTCTTTAATTCCTGTAAATCAAGAATTGTTTCTAAGTGGATATGGTTAGAAATTTTGTTGGCACATGAAATGATTTGGTAAAGTTACCAATAATGTATGTATATTCCCTTTTCAGCATTATGCCAGTTTTAATGCAAATCATGTTCTTTGATCAATAATGCCTACCTTTCTGTGGCAGGACAAAGCCTTAAGACCTTGGAACTCAACAACTGTGAGCCAAGCATCTGCTGGACTATTCCATTGATGCATTCCAGTGGCCTGTCTTCCTTGGCTAGTATTCAAGGGAACGCCACATGACTAGCGCAAAATTGTTTAGTATTTTTGTTGAGGACTTTTTGTATCTTTCCTGTGTGGGAGACTTTCTGTTTTCTTAAGAGACCATTATCATATTGTGCTTCTAGGGAAAGCAGGTTAATAATTTTATTTTAAAAATGTACTCTAATTGCCACTTACATATGCGAATAACTAAATACCTGTAATCAGTTCCTATACAATTTGCCTAGGAACATGTTTGCATGCTAACTTATATGGGTAAGGTGAATACGACAGGAAAATTATTTATGGTATATTGTTAAAATAATTACATGTGAGTGCATACAATGGCATATATCTTTATCATAAATATAATTTTCTAAAAGTATTCAATAAGACCATCTTGTTTACCAGCCTTAGGAATTTCACATGCACTCAAGAAATTCAAAGAAATTATCTCCTATCATACTTGTAATAATCAGTTCTGGCTGCCATCCATTGAATATTTATGATACGCCAAATACAATACTAAGTGCATTCCTCACGACAACCCTATATGGTAGATACTATTATCTCCATTTTACATATGAAAAAATTGAGGCTCAGTCTGATTGAGCAAGTAGCCCAGTGTTACAGAAAGTACTATTACCTACATTTAGATCCAGGTCTGTTTGACTTCAAAGTCTATGCTATTAATCACTGTGCTACAGAGACTGTGCTCCTGAAACTGAGCCTGGGCTATGGGAACAGGAGCTATCTCTGTTTAATTGTCTTTTGCAATAAAAATACAAACATATTTCTGTTAAATTTACTAATGTTTTTTATTTTCACAAACACTACTAGTACAATTCTTCAAAATCAAATGAGATTTAATGAGAAACAGGAATACAGATTAGATGTCTGGTCTGCTGTCTCCCATAAAATATCCATGAAGATAAAAAAGAGACAAAAACTGACAATAGCAAAGAAAAAGAGAAAAGATGTACCAAATTTTCCAGGCAATTTCCTCTAAATGCATTGTCAGTGAGGACAGATTGAAAAGCAAATTACCAGTCTCTATACCATATCATCTGACTCAGAACCAAAAGATATTCACACACACACACAAACACACACACGTGCACCAAAAAAAAAAGTCTCTGGCTCATTTCCCCTTTGTACACCTAATGACAGAATAGTGTCTGAAACCTTAAAAAAAATTGTTATTTTCAGAAGTAGTCAGAGTCCTGTCCTCTCCTTATATCACTTCTATCAAGTTTTTCCTTTTTTATTTTTCTATTCCACTAGTATAAAGTAGAGATGAGTACTAAATTAGTATCCTAGGATGTTTTGTATTTGAAAAAAAAACTAAATTAGACACAGGAGAGCTGGGAGTGCTGAAATGGGTATACTCGTTCACGTATGAAACTGTTCGAAGAACTTCAATTGGCTCCTTAGCACAACTGAAAGCACAAGATTCCATTTAGTACTGGCACAGTCACATCTGATGAATGCCAACAGAATAAAAGTAAAAGGCTACATCCTGGCTTTCAGGTTTAGATGTGAAAGAGAAAAGTTGCCTGAGCCCAAATGAACAGAAAAAGGGAACTAAGGAGACCACACTTTGTAGAAAAATGCAATCCTAAACAGTTCTTCCCCAGTCAGGCAGTGCATCCAGGAAATAAACAATGGAGCCTACTAATATATGAGAAGGAAAACATTGGCGAGGGGATGGTTAGAGAAGGAGAGAGTTCCTTAAAGACTAAGAGGGAGTTTATGGCTCTGAAAATTCTTTTCTTCAAAATTATATAAGAATTTTCCAAGACACTATTTCCTGACAAAGACCTAGGAGCCTCTAAAAAGCAGGAGCAGGCATCCCTATGAAAGAAAAAGGCTGAATTAAATACAGAGATATGAAGAACATTGGCTGAAATAAGAAAATACTATAATAGTATAATGCAAATCTTCTTTTGGTACAGTGAAAGAATGGACACTGCAGAGAATTAAGAAAATTATGCAGAATGACAAATTTGAAAAACCCATGTAAAACATAGAGGGCAAATGCAGAGACAAGACACAAAGAACAAAACAGATACAGAGAGAGAAAGTGTGCCCACTCTAAGACTTGAAGGTGTCTGTGAAGCACAAATGTGAATACTCTGAATGAAATACATTTAAATGGTACTTCTCAACGTACTACTCTGAACAGAAGTATTAGGCTGGTGCAAAAGTAATTGCAGTTTTTGTTGTTACTTTTAATGGCAAAAACCGCAATTACTTTTGCACCAAGTTAATATTAAGACACTACCAAACGTATGGCATAAATGAAGAAAAGTATGGTTCTTACAGAGCTTGAAACAGTTTACCACGTTCAGGCTCAATTATTATTTGGATGAGAAGCAATATAAAGACATTTAAGGTATATTCTTTCTGTTAACAGACCCCTACTCAAGTATGCTTATGCAAATAGAAAGATTTTATGAAAGGATACTTAGGCATCAGGCAGGACAACCAAGCTGGGGAAGGTCATGGAAACAGCCAGACCTCAGGAATAACTGCAGGCCAGATGAAGTCCAGATGAAGTTAGAAACTTTCTCCATCCTCCTTGTTGAATCTCAGCATTTCGCATCATTCTTCTCAAAGAGTACAGAATAACTTTCTTCACACAGCAAAAAACTTAGCTGCAGCAAGTCCCAAGAAAGAGTTTGAGTTCCATCATCACAGGTCATTAGAGAAATGCAAATAAAAACCACAATGAGATACCATCTCAGGCCAGTTAGGATGGCAATCATTAAAAAGTCAGGAAATAACAGATGCTGGAGAGGATGTCAAGAAATAGGCACCTTTTACACTGTTGGTGGGAACGTAAATTAGTTCAATCATTGGGGAAGACAGTGTGGCAATTCCTCAAGGATCTAGAACCAGAAACACTATTTGACCCAGCAATCCCATTACTGAGTATATACCCAAAGGATTATAAATCATTCTATTATAAAGACCCATACACATGTATGTTTATTGCAGCACTGTTCACAATAGCAAAGACGTGGAAACAATCCAAAAGCCCATCAAGGATAGACTGGATAAAGAAAATGTGGCAATATACACCATGGAATACTATGCAGCCATAAAAAAGGATGAGTTCATGCCCTTTGCGGAGACATGGTTGAAGCTGGAAGCCATCATTCTCAGCAAACTAACACAGGAACAGAAAACCAAACACCACATGTTCTCACTCATAAGTGGGAGTTGAACAATGAGAACACATGGACACAAGGAGGGGAAGGTCACACACTGGGTCCTGTTGGGGGATGGGGGGCAAGGGGAGGGAGACCATTAGGACAAATACCTAATACATGCAGGTCTTAAAACCTAGACGACGGGTTGATAGGTACAGCAAACCACCATGGTACATGTATACCTATGTAACAAATCTGCACATTCTACATATGTATCCCAGAACTTAAAGTAAAATTTATAAAGAAAGAAGAAAGAAAGAAAAGAAAGAAGGAAGGAAGGGAGGGAGGGAGGGAGGTAGAAAGAAAGGAAAGAAAGGAAGAAAGAAAGGAATTTGAGCTCAAGGGCAAGATCAAAAGCCATGGAGATGGACTCAGATTCCGTCAGTTGTCACCCAACCTGCCACCAATAATTATTCAGAGATAACTACATACAGCAGCTTCCAAGCAAGTATCTGAATGACAGGTTGTAGAGTTAATTCCCAGAAGAGGGAATGGCATCCAGACCAAACAATGGATGTTTCCTGAAGAATTTAACATACCTCTGCTAGCTTATAACAATGATTCTAAATATGAAAGAACAACGCAAATCAGAAGTAGAAGAACTCAGATAAAGCTGAGGAAAATAATTTAAAATAAAAAATTTTTCAGAAATAAAGACTAATAAGGATTATAGGAATGAATATATACAGCAGCAAATGTATTAAAAGTAATAGAGGATGAAAGCAGAAAAAATTAAAATCAACAGATGCAACAAAAGAAATAAAAAGGATTTAAGGGAAAGGGACAAATTTTGAGAATAGACCAAAAAAATCACATATGGATAATTGGATTCTCTAGGGGAAAAAAACAATGGGACAAAATAATACAAAAGACTGTAATTCAAGAACACATCTCAGGAATAAAGATTTGAAACTATTTTGAAAGCATATACCATGTATTTGAGAATATCAACCCAAAACAATGAACCCCAAGACATATTTTAATAAAATTACAGGACATTTAAAAAGAAAAGAAAAGAAACAATTTTTTTGACATCTGGGCAAAATGAACAAGTGATTTATAAGCTAAAAGAAAATTCTTTTTTTTTTTCAAAAGCAAAACTTTTGCCAGAAAAAAAAATGGAGTAACATATTTAAGATAATCAAGAAAAGAAAATGTGAGGCAAAGATTTTATATCCAGAGAAAATGGACTTTCAAGTATAAATGATACAGATAAACTATTATCAACATTCAAGAACTCAGGGAATATTGTTCTCATGCATCTTTCCCAAGAATTCTACTAGAAAACAGGCCTCAAAAGACTAAGATGACTAAAGAAACATCAACATAAGAACTGGTGGGGTTGATTAAATAGAACTATTTGTATAACTAAGACAAAAATGAAGGCAAAAAGGAAGAGAATATTGAACATAATGGTCATATGTTTAGAAAATGTAGACATACTGTAACTCCAAAAAAGAATGTAAAATGGGAAAAACGTTAAAAAAATTGACAGTTCTTAGTTATTATATTGCCATGGTAATATTATTATTGTTATTGAGACTGCCATATGAAAAAAAGTTAGTGACATTCAAATTCTATTATTCCATGTGTTTTCAAGAATTGGGGATTTTAGTGTGGAAGAAAGGAGATACATAAACTGAGAGACTAAGTAAAAAATTCTATAGCTCTAAATGTTATTGAATTGCTAAGGTATTATAGTATGTGTGTTTGTGTGCATATATGGTGTTTGTGTGTTTGTGTGTGTATCTTTGTCCTCTAAGAGATCTAGAAACAATGACTGAACCAGTAGCAATGAGCACATCTTGTACTTGTGCTCAAGTAAATACCATTTACAACTAAGAGAAGCCAAGGTTTTTTGAGCAATAGCCGACTCCAGGTATGGGATAGGACAGGCACAATATAAACCTACAAAAATTTGTTATGCTAAATAGCTATCAGAAGGAGCCCTGATTAGAGGGGAAAAAATAATGAAGATGTCTCTTGTCTGATCTTAGGTTTCTTCTATTATTTTTTTCCAGAGCAAAAGATGTCCAGCTTCCATCCATATCTTGGCTAGATCTATTCTAGTTTTTCCTATCGCTTTACTTCCTGAGTTTTGCTCATTTTGGCATTTGATAATTTTCTGATATTGAATAACTAAATGTCTAAATTGGTTTTAATACATATAAGGTTATCCCTAATATGAGTTTCTTTACAAGCTGCCATACAAGGTTTAGGTCATTTTTTTGTCATAGAAAATTACCAATTTATAATAACTTCTATTCATCTCCCAAGGTGATTAGAGCCTGTTCATCTTAGCCTCATCTGAGAAACCCAGTTCACACTTACTCACCTTACCTTTAAGAATAAATTACAAGATTTCCAGCTTCAACTTATGATGTAGAAAGCTGGAAAGGGCATTAATTCCAAATTCTATCAAAAAAATTATTAGATTTCTGCAAAATCACAACTTTTCTTGAACTTACCAAAGAACTGAGATCCTCACTGTGGCTACCAAATAAACTGAAGTTTAAAGTAAGACACCTGACTCCAAGGACAAATGGAAAACCAGCACATGTTTTCCGTGGCACAGCACAATTAGGGGGGAAAAGGTCACTATTAAGGGCAGTAAGAATTCAGCTAGATTTTTTTTTTTTTTTTAGACCCTCTCTTGTTGCCCAGGCTGGAGTGCAGTAGCACGATCTCAGCTGACTGCAACTTCCACCTCCAGGGTTCAGGTGATTCTCCTGCCTCAGCCTCCCAAGTAGCTGGGATTACAGGCACTCGCCACCACGCCCAGCTGATTTTGGTATTCTTAATAGAGATGGGGTTTCACCTTGTTTGCCAGGTTTGTCTCGAACTCCTGATCTCAGGTTATCAGCCCGCTTTGGCCTCCCAAAGTACTGGGATTATAGGTGTGAGCCACCGCACCTGGCTCAGCTACATTTTTGAATTAACTACTTAGGCCAAGTGCAGGCTAGCATAAAATTATTATAACCTGGAAGCTGCAGGGATGTGTGGAATTACAGCCTCTTCACGTGAACCTAACTCAGTGCTCACAAAACAGATTGGAGGCATATTGAGAGACCTGAGAAATTCACTCTTAGATTCATGCTGGGAGAGAGAAAAGAAGGTGCTGCCAGAAAGGCACAAAAGGTAGCTTGGGTCCTTCTCCCCTCTCTTCCCTATGGGAGCAAAAGCCTTGAAGCACTAGGAGAAAGATAATAAATCTTATCACCCCTAAGGCACAAGTCAATACCCATTATAGCTGGGGGAAAAGAACACTATCACCACCACCAATGAAAAAACGACCAATCTCTTGTAAAGGTACAAGCCTGCAATTAAATATCTCCAAAAGTAGGCAAAGGAGTAAGATTCTTAAGAAGACCAAGGGACCAATGCCTGCCTATGACTAAGCCTAAACAGAAACAACTGAGAATGGCCCCTGCCTACCACCACGAGATTAACATGCATTAAAAAACAACAGTTCACAACGGAGATGATTCAAAATAACAGAGAGATACTTTCTCTGAGGTGCAAGCACAAAGGGACGACTTAAACTCAGGATGAAGCAGGTATCAAGAAAAAAAGAAACCCTGGCAAACTGCCTCCATCCTAAACTCAAAGTAATACTAAAGAAATTTGAAGCCAATAGTGCACTGAAAGTAACCAAAGCAACAACAAAATCCCAAATCAAGTCAACTTCTGACTAGATTAATGCAACTTGCCACACATGAAAGCCTAGTGAAAAATGTGGTATTCCCATTCCCAAGCATAAGTACTATTTATTTTAGACTGTACTCTTCTATATAAGATGTTTGGTTTTCAACCAAAAATGGCAAGATACACAAAGAAGCAAAGGAAAATGATTCATTATCAAGAAATAATGCAGGACCAAATTTAGCTATGACACATTGGTATAGAAAGTATCAGACAGGAAATCTAAAATAACATTATTACATTAAAGGCTCTGACAAAAAACATGAATAACATATATGATCAGATGGACAAATTCAGCAGATATATAGAGACCATATGAAAGAGTCAAATAGAAATGCTAGAAATAAAAAATACTTCAACAGAGATAACGAGTTTCTTGGATTGACTCATCCATAAATGCAATGCAGCTGACAAAAAAATAGCAAACTTAAAAGCATGTCAATAAAAATTACTCAAACCAAAAACCAAACAGAATAAAAATAGAATTTAAAAAACACAGAATCCAAAAGCTGGGGGAAAATATCAAACGTTAAAACAATTGTGTAACTGGATCCTGGAAAAAGAAGAGAGAACAGAGCAGAAGAAATATTTGCAGATATAATGGCAAAAACTTTTTCAAAGTTAATAAAAGATTTCTAAAATCACATACTGAAGAAGCTCAGAAAACATTAGGATAAACCAAAATAACAACAAACAAAAAAGCAAAAACACTAGACACATCATATTCAATCTTTTTCCTATATATATGCACTTACTATGTACTCACAAAAATTAAAAATAAAAAGTATAAAAATTTTAAAACCTCTGAAAAACAAAAATAAGGAGAAAAATCCTGAGGACAGTTAGTGTAAAAAATCACTGTACATACGGAACAAAGATTAGAATAACAGCAGACATTGGAAATTAAGCAAGGCTGAAGAAAATGAAATGACACCTTAAAAGTACTGAAAGGAATGAAATACTGTCACCATAAAATTCTGTATGCAGTGAAAATATATTTCAAGAGTGAAAATTAATTATAAATTACTGACTGGCACTTGATTTTCCCCATGGACTTTTTACTTATAAACCATCACTTTGACCAAAAATAGCTTATACCATAAATTCAGGCTAAAGAAAGTGTTCTCAGTGGGAAAAATTATGATTCCTTCCTTCTAATCATTGCAGTAGCATGGGGTTCATCCTCTACAAATATTTTTTTGTATGTGTGAAGGTCAGAGGAGAAGACTACAAAAAAATCTTTAAAATAATTATGCAGATAAGCCATGTATGACTGAGACCCTAAAGCAAATTACCACACCTTTTCTATGTAATGGCCTAAAGGATAATGTGCATAGCCAGATATCAACATCTATCACATAATCATCTGAAGGTCGATTTGAGTCCCCTACTAGACTCAGTTATGCAATTCAATCTCTGCCATTCATCTATTTTGAGACAGGACTTAAATTCCCCTAACCCTACCTGATATCCTCTGCTTACCAGGTGTGATGGTTAATTTTATGTGTCAACTTGACTGATCCATGAGGTATCCAGGTATTTGCTCAAACATTATTCTGGGTGTTTCTGTGAATGTGTTTTTTTAGATGACATTAACATTTTCATCAGTAGACCAAGTAAAGCAGATTGTTCTTTCTAATATGGGTAGGACACATTTAAGCAGGTAAGGGCCTGAATAGAACAAAGGACTGACCCTGCCTCCCTCAAGTAAGACAGAATTTTCCTGACTGATGGCCTTCAAAATCAGATGTCAGCTCTTCCTGGTTCTATAGCAGCCCTGGCCTTCAGACTCAAACTGGAATATCAGCTCTGTAGACTTTGGACTTCTCAGCTTTAATAATCATGCGAGCATATTCCTTATAATAAATCTTTAAATATCCATATAGGATAGTCCTGTTTCTCTGGAAAATTCTGACTAATATACCTGGAAACTTGACTGAACCAGTTCCTAAATAAATGTTTGAAGAAGCATTCCTCCAGTTAATATTATTTTTCATCTACACCAAAAACAACACTGTGCTTTTTAATGACATCTTATCATAAACTGTTTTAAAATAAGATAATAAATATAAAAAAGGATCATTCATAACTAAAATCTTTCATTCTAAGTGATTTGGAACTAATTAATGTAACACAAGAAATGACTTATTTATAGTGGGAAAATAGCAAAATATCACCTTTACTAATGAAGAGTTATGCAGTACTTTTGTAAAATTGATGATGGTGCTGCTGCTGCTGATGATGGTGAGATAAAGATTATGATGGTGATTATGTAGTTGGCTAAAAACTTAAATCTCCATGGTATTTTTTTCTTGAGGCATCTTTTATTAGTACCTAAAAAAGTACTGACAAGTTCAGGAATGAAATGAACAAATTCCTTGATGTAACTATGACCCCATTACCAGCTTTATACCAAGTAGTCTTGCATGTAAAATTACTTATTCTGTAAAATGTTGGTCAGTGAACTTAACTCGAACTTTCACTTAAGTGTGAGGATTAGTTAGGAGACTTACTTTGACAAATTTGTGTAATTGGCTAGGTAATTTTTAATGATTAATTATTTTAATATTTCATGGCAACATTCTCAGCCTTAGATTTTCACCAGTGTGGAAGCACAATTTTCCACTGAAAAGAAGAAACAGTATCTGATTCGTGACTATGTTTCATGTTTCTTGTTTCTTTTTTATGTGGAGCTTTTATTCAGTATCAACAAGAATGGGTCAGAATATAAATCTGCATAATTAACTTTTGCTTTGTTTTTAAAGAGAAAATTGCTATGAATGTATGAAGAAGTCGAGAAGTATCTCAGTCATTTTCACAATATTCACAGAAAGCTTAATGAGATTCTAACTATGAAAGCAGGAATAATAGTAAACATAATTATGTCTATTAGTTATACCAATTATCCTTTCCCACCTTCATATGAAAGAATAAAAATGGTCATGTTACTTATTTAAAAGTTGAATTTAGTCACCAAATTTTTATTTAACAACAATATCAAGAAAAAATGATTGTAAGCTTCACAACATGTTGTATGGTTTATATGGATAACTACTCATTTAGTCTGGAGGAAAAAAAGTCTGGAAAAAAGTGAGCCATTCCTACACTGACCACCAGCTTTTGTTTCTTTCCACTAGATTTTATTTTGTATAGCTAGGGCAGTTATTTCTTCATTCCATCTGAAATAATGTAGCCTTAGTCTCTAAAATGTGGGGATTGTATTACTTTAAGAAATTATCTCATTGATCTTAATCTTCCTCCATTTTTTAAGATCGATCTTCGTATGAAGCCACTTTCTCAATTTCATTTTAAGACTGAGATCTTAAAGCAAATCATATTTATCTAGAAGTGCCAAGCAGGAAGAATTAAAGAAAGACATTTTAGAGTCCTGTGTTTATTCAAGAACAACATCACCTGAGGTTTTCTGACAGTTGTGTCTAAATATCCATAAAAGTGCTGGGGAATGGAATAATTATCAGTCACTTGGCTATTATGTCTGCACAATATCAAACAATTATTTTAGTTTGCTTTTTAATTTATCATTCACTTCTTTACTTTTGCTAAAAGTTGAATCCACAGCTAAGATTCAAACTTTTCTGGGCAAATTGCAAAATATAATAGTTGAGGAAATAGCCAGGACTCTATACCCATGTGTGACTAAGGCACTTCTTAAAGGTTGTAGACTTAGCTTAAAAGTAAAGAGTATCAGTTAACTTGGCTCAATGACGAAACCTAAGTCATGACAGGAGACCTAAAAATTTAAGTATGGCCAAGAGTCTGTCACCTAGAATATAAGATCTATGAGAAAGGGAAGTTTTGCTCCCTGTGGCATTCTCAGCTTGTAGAAGAATGCCTGGCACAATAGTAGGTGCTCAGTAAATATGAATATTGTTAGTTGGGTGTGGTGGTGCATACCTGTAGTCCTAGCTACTTGGAAGCCAGAGGCAGGAGTATCACTTGAGCCCAAGAGTTTGGGGTTACAGTGAGCTATAATTGTGCCATTTCATTCCAATCTGGAAAACAGAGCAAGACCCTGTCTCTAACACACACACACATGAATATTGAATGAATGAATATATGTCCTTAGTCCAGCTTCTCATGGAATTATATTTGAATCAGGGTACCTTGACTGTGGGAATCTGTAAATGCGGGGACAAAGAAGGGAAGGATTGTGAGGGGAAACATAGAATTATTTTTTCATTTTAAGAAAAAACACCATAATTGCAGCAAAAGGCAGGAGTGCACTGGTGCCCTTCTGTAATAGATGCTAGGGTGCATCACCTAGATTTCCCCATTCAGGACAGAGGTACTCATTCCCCCAACTGCTGATAATGTTGTCTGCTGATGGCTCCTACAGATGAATTGGAGAGTTTCAGCTGCCAATTCTTTCAGTCAAAGGGAGCTGTCTCATCCAAAATTCTGTTTCCTGCCAGAGAAGCCCACATCCAATGACTGATCAAGACCAGTGTACAAAGCCTGCTTCCCTTGCTTGAATACAGAACATATCTGAATGGCATCCCAGCTTCAGAGATGCCCATAAGATTGGCTGAGGTCTCTGTGGCAATTGCATTGCAGTTCAACTTCTACCTCTTCTCAGTCCTGCTTCCTTCACACCAGTACAAGTGTGGTTGCTGAGAGCACTGCCTGTTAAACCTTTGCATGTAATTCCATATTGGAGTCTGTCTCCAAGGAACTCAGCCTAAGACAACCTCTAATAGGGTAAAAAATAAAAAGGAAGAGGCATTGATGTCCCTTTACAGAACACATGCTGCTGATGGCAAAAATCAAAATTCAAAAAGAAGAGATCATGCTGGAATAGGATGAAACAAATAAAATAAAATAAATTTTAATAGTGGTGTGTATTAGCTCATTCTTACATTGCTATAAAGAACTACCAGAGACTGGGTAATTTATAAAGAAAAGAGGTTCAATCAACTCATGGTTCTGCAGGCTGTACAGGCTTCTGCTTCTGGGAGGCCTCAGGAAACTTACAATCATGGTGGAAGACAAATGGGAATTGGGCACATATTCATATGACCAGCAGGAGAGCAAGAGAGGGAGAACTAAGAGGGGAAGTGCTGTGCACTTTTAAACAACCAGATCTTGTGAGAACTCACTCATTATCACGAGAACAGCAAGGGGGAAGTCCGTCCCTATGATCCAATCACCTCCCATCAGGCCCCACCTCCAACACTAGGGATTACAACTCAACATGAGATTTGGGTAAGGACACAGAGCCAAACCATATATGGGTAAGAATAACATTCCAAGATAATACTTTTCAATTAACCTCAGAAAAGAGGGATACAGGAGATTTACTGAATGCACCATGAAAAAGACTTAGGATTTTTATTGAGTGAAAGTTTAGATTGAGCCTATGGTGAGATGTGGCTATAAGAAACTCCAATGGAAAGTTAGTTTCCATTAATAGAAGTACAGAACCCAGGACAAGAATAGTCCCTTAGTGTTCTTAAATGGCCACCCTGGATCAGAAGTATTTTGTTCAGTCCAACGTTTTGTGGTTTTTTTTTTTTTCATCAACATGTCAAATTTTATTGATTTCTTCTCAATAGCGTTTTTCTTTTATTATTATTATTATTATTATTATTATTATTATTATACTTTGAGTTTTAGGGCACATGTGCACAACGTGCAGGTTTGTTGCATAGGTATACATGTGCCATGTTGGTGTGCTGCACCCATTAACTCGTCATTTAGCATTAGGTGTATCTCCTAATGCTATCCCTCCCCTCTCCCCCCACCCCACAACAGTCCCCGGTGTGTGTTGTTCCCTTTCCTGTGTCCATGTGTTCTCATTGATCAATTTCCACCTATGAGTGAGAACATGCGGTGTTTGGTTTTTTTGTCCTTGCGATAGTTTGCTGAGAATGAGGCCCATTGACTAATGCCTCCAGAAGCCAGGAGAAATAAAGTGTCTATAAAACAGATCATATAAAGAATAGGTGAAGAGACTAGTGATATTTAATTACATAAATCAAATTTAAAATGGCCTGGGACAGGGCAAAAATGAAGTGAAGTGCACAGAGATGCAACCTGGCTGTCTTTAAATATTTGAAGAGCTGTCATTTAAAAGAAGCATATAATTTATTCTATATCACAATTAATTGTAGGAAATATGCTAATACTTTTTATCAGAAAACAGAACGAGATGCAGTGAATAAAAATGCACATCGGCAGATTTGATCTCAATATTATCAGGAAACTTTTAATGATTCGAATTGCTCAAATGAATAAGATTGACAGGTCGATTTTTCTTTCCATTAAGCCACCATTGAGCCCCGTCTTACAACTCCAGCATTCAAATACTTTCTAAGCCGGTATCGTGTTCTCAGCCCTGCAATTGGTCTGTTGTGTGTAGGGACAGGAGAAATGAGGATGTGAGCATGCAGTCAGCTCCTCTGCCTGTGTCCTTTACTCTGGGCACCTTTGCTGAAAGTTACTATTTTTCTTGGGTCTTGGGAAGTGACAAAGTGCCACTTGATTTCTGTTCAGTGTTCCGTCTTCCTGTTTAAAAACTATATATTTTTTTTTTAATTTTTTTTCTGAATTCTAAATATTTTTTAACATTCATCTAGGGTCTCCTTAAAATCCAAAACCTTTAGAAAACATAGGAAGAATTCAAGTACTGTAGTCCTCCCTTTTCCGCAGTTTCACTTTCCATGCCTTTAGTTACCTGCTGTCAATTGCAGTCTAAAAATATTAAATGGAAAGTTCCAGAAATAAGCAATTTGTCATGTTATTTTTTTCTTTTATTTATTATTTCACTTAAGGCCAGCTCTAAATTTCATTGGTTTTAAATTGTGTGTCATTCTGAGTAGCATGGTGAAATCTCATGCCCTCCTGTTCCAGTGGGGAATATGAATCATTTCTTTGTCCAGCAAATCCATGCTGTAGACACTACCCACTCGTTAGTAGCTGGCTGGGCCATTAAACTGACTGTCACAGTATGGAAATGATTGTGTTCCAGTAGCCCTTATTTTACTTAATAATGGCTCCACAGCTCAAGATTAGTGATGCTGGCAATTTAGATATGCCGAAGAGAAGCTGTAAAGTGCTTCCTTTAAGTGAAGAGGTGAAAGAAGTTATTGACTTAAGGAAAGAAATTATACGCTGAGGTTACTAAGATCTTTGGCAACAACAAATCTCCTATCTTTGAAATTGTGACTAAGGAAAGAAATTGATGCTAGTTTTGTTGTTGCACCTCAAACTGCAAAAGTTATGGCTTGATACGTGCTTAGCTATAATGAAAAAGGCATTAAATTTGTAGGTGAAAGACAGGAACAGAAATGGATTCCAACTGACAGCAATAGGGCTCAGTCCTAGCCATGGTGTCGGGCATCCCCTGGTGGTCCTGGAACATATCCCCATAGATAAGAAGAAACAACTGCAATTCCATATGGTTCTACTTAAATTTATTGCTTCCTATAACACCAGACATTTATGAAATCTGCACTAATAAAACACACCTAATTTGCTCCACAACACATTAAGCAAAGGGATTCTCTACGAGTTACTATTAACAGTTACCATTCTCTTTTACATTCCTTCTGGGAACCTGCTATCTATCCCCATGCCATATATACAGCTGTGGAGTCTCATACTTTTCTGTATGTACAAAAACAAACAAACCAAAACAAACAAACAACAAAAACTCTTGGTTATAGACCTTTGTACTTTTTGAAGTATGTATAGAGTAAATCATGTTTTCTAGGCAAAATTGTATCACAAGAGGGGTCAGACATACAATGAAAGGAGATAACAAAATGTTCATTATCACTGGGCCTCTTTTTCCCTTGAAAATTGTAGTATTAAAACATTCTATGGCTGGGTATGTTGGCTGATGCCTGTAATCCTAGCACTTTGGGAGGCTGAAGTGGCAGGATTACTTCAGCCCAGGAGTTAGAGACCAGCCTGGGCAACATAGTGAGACCCCCGTCTCTAAAAGAAATAACAAACATTCTATCATTCAAAAGTAGCCTCTCAAAAACAGCCTTTAAAACTGCTCAGGGTGTTTAAAGCGGGCTTTGGGTCCCAGTACATGAATCAGAACTCCCTTCCCTTGGTTCCTCCAGGGCACTAGCCCTCACCCTCATGCCATGCCAGCAGATGGCAAGTACACATGCATGGGGGGAGGGAGTGGGTGAATGCACTCGAGTTGCATCTACAAGGCAAAGTGAATGAGAGAACTGGACACCCCATCCATTTGGTCTCTGTAAAGAGCAAAACCAGATTATTTGCTTAATTTTGTATATGTGCAGAGGTGCAGAGTATCTTTGTAAAAACAGATTTATGCGAGAAATAAAATCTGCGAAATGGCCCAGGATATTCCAGTCATCATATCCAATTGAAGACATATGAAGAAGGAAAGAGACAGAGAGACAGAGAAAATGGGCAGCCCTACTTTATAAACCGGTAAGTTTTCAAAATCTTTTCAGAAATCAGAATGTTTCTCGTAAAAATAACCTTATAAAATATATGTTGGTTTCTAGGCAAATCTGCAAAAGGCTTTTTAAACTCACTTTGAACTTGGATGTAGTACTAAAAAAGAAGAAAAAACACTAGCATGTTTTAAACATTTAATATTTTCCAGTTATCTCATTTAATCTGAACCACAATAAATAAATTATACCTAATAAATTAGATGTAATTTATCATCATCATCTCTAGTATGTAGTTGGGAAAACTGAAGTTCAAGCTCAAGCTGTTAATTGTTGGTGAAATGACACATGACAGCCCTTCTGACTTCAAAAACTCATCATTTTAACCACTACACAGTACTCCCTCCAACTTCCCCGCTGTAGTCATGTTTCTGAGATAATGTATCCTGAGCTCCAACTGGAGATATCAATACCCCATCACCTTGGCAGCCCTAAAGCTGAGTGTGGATCCTGCCTGTGCCCAGCTAGCCCCCTCTTGAGCAATTAGAGGAGATATTTCCCTATTCTGAGCCAATTCGTTGTAGGGAAAATGCCAAAACATTGTCAGGAAAGTTAGCAGGAAAAAGACAAACAGGAAAGAGGGATCTCAGGCCCTTGAGAGGGAGTTCTCCATTGTAGGGAAAATGCTAAAACATTGTCAGAAAAGTTAGCAGGAAAAAGGCAAACAACAGAGAGGGCATCTCAGGCCCCTGAGAGGGCATTCCCAGTCTGAGATGCTGCCAAGAGATAAGCCCCTGTTGCAGCAAGAAGTTGTCCCAAGTGCTCATTCAAAAGGAAATATAAAATGGGTGGGTGAAGTTAATTCAGGAACTGCTTGTGTGTTAAATACAATTTAAGCCTGCTGAATGGTTCCCATTAGACTTGCCCCTGACTTCATGAAGACTACACTCCGTGTTGTAGTTAGTAAAAGAGTTTGGAGACTTGGGTGTTACACCGAGCTCTGACACTAACTAGAAGTATGGCTGTCTTAGTCCTAGAGCTGCTATAACAAAATACCATAGACCAAGTGGTTTATAAACAACAAAAATTTATTTCTCACAGTTCTGGAAGCTGGAAGATCAAGATCAAAGCATCAGAAGATTCAGTGCCTGGTAAAAGCCTGCTTCCTCACAGACAACCCTCTTCTGGCTTCTCACAACATGGAAACGGGTAGCTAGAGTTCTGGGGTCTCTTTTACAAGGATTCTAACCTCATGACCTAATTACCACCCAACACCCCTCCTTCAAATACCATCCCTTTATGGGTTACAATTTCAACATACGAATTTGAAGGGGACACAAACATTTAGACCACAGCATGCAATGTTAGTCAAATCTCTTCCCTGAATCTCCATTTGTTTAATATTTAAATTTGAGGAAGTTTCACAAAAGCACAAACACAAACACAAGACTGTGATCTCTAAGACCTATGCTAAAAGACTTTGAATTCTAATCATCTTCCTAAATAGCACTGCTATGGCCCAGAAAACATAAATTACAAGCACAGGAAGAACTAGAAAAATTAGGAGGGAAGAAGGAGGAGAAAGGTCTTTTTTCTCAGTTATTAAAGAAAACATTACCCAGTGACGCTTGTTAAAGCACAGTAAGGCAGACTTTATTCAGGACCATCGCAATAAGCATAGGGACCCGGCTACAGGATTTTGTAGTGAAGGAGAGAGATTGGGCTCAACTCCAAATACAGCATGGGCAAGTGGAAATTTATAGTCAAGAAGGTCAAGAAGCAGGGTTGGGGTCAGCGGATGGAAAATTACTAAGAGGAAGCATTAGGAGTAAGGAGGATTCTTACTAAACTGACCTTACAAGATTCTTGCTGAAGAGAAGCCTGGGTGATCAAACATCAACTGGAATTGGCAGAAGAGAGGCACCCAATCAGATGTCAAGAGTGATCACAGCTGGGCATGGTGGCTCATGCCTGCAATCCCAGCACTTTGGGAAACTGAGGTGGGAGGATCGCTTGAGCCCAGGGGTTTGACACCAGCCTGGGGAACATAGCGAGACCCCCTTATTTCTACAAAAAAAAAAGAAGAAGAAGAAGAAGAATTAACTTATAATTAAAAATAAAAATATTATCCTGGTGTGATCACACCACTGCACTCTGACCTGGATGACAGAGTGAGACCCTGGTTTAAAAACAAAACAAAACAAAACAAAAAACAGGGTGATCAGATATTGAGGGTGGAAAGTTCATGCTAAATTCTGATTTTACAAAAGCACACAGATGGGTCTAGAAGCCTGACTAAAGTTTAGTTGAGCAAAGAATCTTTGTCACAGTCAGGCTGGTATCAATCCTACAGTAATCTGGGGGTTATTTTTCGGCTCGCTAAGTTTAGGGGTGAAAAAGTTGTGATACTTTTCCTCATCTATCATAAGGGTCTTGGCTGACACATTCATAACAATAGACAGGTTAACAAGAGAGCAGCATAACAAATTTATTTAATCAAAGTTTTATGTGATGTGGGAGCTTTCAGAAATGAAGATCCAAAGATACATTGAAAACTTTTTTTTTTTTTTTTTTTTGCTTAAGTTCAATGACGAATGGATAGCTGTATAAAAGTATGGTTGGACAAAAAGATATAGTCTAATGATTATAGATTGGGGGTGGGGGGACACCCAGCAAAGCCTGTCCAGATACTTCTTGGCCCCTCTGTGTAGCATTTCTTTCTACCAGGTATGGGGTCTTATGACCAACTGGAATGAGGATCTTATGTCCCTCTGGAATAAGGGTCTATGACCAACTATTAGACAAAGTAGGTCAGAAAATTTCTTTGTGGCCAGCTCCTAGACAGAAAGTCAGGGGAAGGTTACAGTAATATTTCTAAGTGTTATGGTTTGCTTTTGGGGGAGAGAGATTCTAGTTTCTATAACCCACATTAGGGAAGAGGAACTCTGGTGTCTGTGACTCGCTTTGTGGGAGAAGAATGGGCAGGAGACAGGAGGGCAGGAGGTCAGAGAGAACTTGCTTCTGAGGCCTTCCAATCTTCTTGAGTTCAAAGTACTCAGCATGTCAAAGCAGCATACTTTAGGGTGCCGTTTTCTGAGTCCCAACATAAGTAATCCATCACAATTATCTTACTACTGTAAGGCTCCTATTCAGATAGAAGCATTCTTATCTTAAGAAAAGACCTGAATTTGAATACCTGTAGGTAAAATATTTAGGGCAAACATTTAGAGGAAATTATATTTAATATTTTAAATCAATTAGGATTCTTTTCTAACCACCAGTAATGGAGATTTCACCTGCTGCTAATGTTCCTTTTGGTTTTGGAAGCAGCTTACTGTGAATGCAAAGGGTTTGAGGGAAAATGGTCTGTTAAGAGCAATTCACAGAGAAAAAGAACAACCAGGAAGGTTCATGAATATGAATAAGACAAGTCAGGGGTATCTGAAAAATACAAATGAGGCACCTCCCGTTAAACTTTGGAAAACAGAAGGCAGCAAAAAAGGATTCTTCTGCAGCCTAAGTAGCCAATCCTTAATTTAAAAAGCAGAGCAAAATAGAAAGCAGTTGACAAATGGAAAAATACAGAGCACAGTGAATTAGTATGCCCACTTGTGGGAGCTACTGAAGTTCCACATGATTGAGAAATGAGACAGACTTAATGACATTTGGTTTAATTTGTTAATGCTTTACCACCAGGGTATCTTTCATATGGGCATATTTTCTAAATAAAATATGGGTAGGAATCAAGAGACAGTAAACAGTTGAATGTTCCTTTTTCTTCCAATTCAGTTAAAGGATAATGCTATCTCTAAAAATATTATTTTCTCAGTTCAAAATCTTTATTTTATGAAATAAATATTGTGTTCTGAATGCTCGGGTATGGGTGGTTTTTATGCACTCATTTATTCAACAAATGTTTGTTGAGTGTCCCCTATAAAGTAGGTATCAGGTGTATAATAGCTCCTGTCTTAGTCCATTGAGGTTGCTAGAACAAAATACTGTAAACTCAGTAGCTTTTAAACAACAGAAATGTATTCTTTACAGTTGTGGAGACTGGGCAGTCCAAGAGGAAATTGCCACCAGATTTGGTGTTTGGTGAGGGCCTACTCATAGATGGCACCTTCTTGCTGTTTTCTCACCTGGTAGAGAGTTAGGGGTTCTCTCTAGAGTCCCTTTTATTGTAGCAGGACCAGCTGCAAACAAAACTCCTCAGACACCGAGTTAAAGAAGGAAGGGGTTTATTCGGCTGGGGGCATTGGCAAGACTCCTGTTTCAAGGGCCGAGCTCCCTGAGCGAGCAATTCCTGGCCCTTTTAAGGGCTCATAACTCTAAGGGGGTATGCGTGAGAGGGTGGTGATCGATTGAGCAAGCAGTGGGTACGTGACTGGGGGCTGCATGCACCAGTAATTAGATCGGAACAAAACAGGATAGGGATTTTCACAGTGCTTTTCTATACAATGGCTGTAATCTATAGATAACATAACCGATTAAGTCAGGGATCGATCTTTAATTACCAGGCCCAGGGTGTGGCGTCAGGCTTTCTACTTGTGGATTTCATTTCTGCCTTTTAATTTTTACTTTTTCTTCTTTGGAGGCAGAAATTGGGCATAAGACAATATGAGGGGTGGTCTCCTTCCTTATTACAAGGGCACTAATGTCATTCATGAGGGCTCCATCCTCATAACCTAATCACCTCCCAGTGCCCTACCTCCTAATACTATTACCTTGGAAGTCAGGATTTCAGCAATTGAATTTTGGGAGGACATAAACATTCAGTCCATTGCAGCTCCCATCAAAACACATACTACGGAGGCTGAGGTGGGAGAACCCAGGAGGCAGAGGTTGCAGTGAGCCGAGATCGCACCATTGCACTCCTGCCCGGGCCACAAGAGTGAAACTCCCATCTCAGAAAACAAAAACAAAAACAAATACATACTATGTACTGATTACATACATTAGATGACTTAATTCTCACATTGTTACAAGTGAAGCATAATACTTTTTATATTTGAGAAAAGTGAGGCTCAAAGAGACTTATTAACTTTCTCAAGTTCTCATGCTTTGATTTAATGGAGCCAAATTTAAAACTCAAATTTGAGTCCAAAGTCCATAATTTTTTCATGATGCCAAAGTGCTTCACAAATGACAGCAAAGATAGATCTTTGATTGTGCTAGGACTCAGACCTTGTGAAAGGAGCTTATGGTCTTAGGGTAGGCAGCTGGAATATAATTTTAATAGAACTTAGCTTGATGGCTTTGAAACCACAGGCATTGATGTCTTTAGGCCTCAGTTTTCTTATCTATAAAATCGGGACACTAATTAGCCTACTGCCTTGTGATAAATATAGATTAAATGAAATATTAGGTAAAATTCTTATTTCAGAACTAAATAGTAGCAAGCATTCAGTAAATGTCAGCTATTATTCTGATCTGTGATAGATGGGGACTCCCACAGTATTTTATGCAAGAATGCCCTTCCCAACCTGTTATGTGTACATGTTTGGAGGAGGAAATATTTTTAATTCTTTTTTTTTTTTTTTTGAAATGAATTCTAGCTCTGTCACCCAGGCTGGAGTGCAGTGGTGCAATCTTGGCTCACTGCAACGTCCACTTCCCAGGTTCAAGCAATTCTCCTGCCTCAGCCTCAGCCTCCTGAGTAGCTGAGATTATAGGTGTGTGCCACCATGCCCAGCTAATTTTTGTATTTTTAGTACAGACGGAGTTTCACCATATTGGCCAGGCTGGTCTCAAACGTCTGACCTCCAGTGATCTGCTTGCCTTGGCCCCCCAAAGTGCTGGGATTACAGGTGTGAGTCACCGTGCCTGGCCTTAATTCTTTGTATAACTTCCCTCCTGAAATTTCTGTGTTTTCTTATGGCTTGATATTCTGGGTATGATTTTAACAGGCTATAAACTCAGATAGAAGAATTGATATCTTTTTTACTTCAAATTTAAAATTTTCAATAAATAGATTTATTTTCCTCATAAGCCTCAATTTTCCCCTGATGGCAGAAAACTTGATTCACTCATTTCTAGGTAATACTCAGACATATTCATTGATGTCTTGGTTTAATCAGGATCTTGGCAAATCTTAGTCTTTCAGGGTTTCTTCCTTCCTCCAGTCCTCCTCTGTGGTCCAAGGATGCCAAGGTCTTGGCCCTTGATTCTTGAAAAGTCTTTCCTGTCAAAGTGATTGCCTTTGCCATGCATTTGTGGGAACGTCTACTTGATAAATTCAAGTGTTAAGCCTTGAATCTTTTTCTTACTTTCTATTTCTGAGGTTAAAACCCCTACCCATGGATATGAACATAGAAGGCCCTCCCTGCTACCAAAATAGGGGGAAAGAAGAACAGGAAGTCTGGAGCAAAAATAAAACCTCAGTTACTATGTCAAAATATTATCTTACTATATAAGAACAGAAACCTTCTCAAATTAATTCGAGTTTAGAAAAAAAAAAAAAAGGAGAATACAGGGATTTCATGGATTTCAATCTCAAGAAGCAAGGCAAGCTGGCCTTCTTAGAATACGAACACCAGGAAACTCAAAGTCCTAGCTCTCTCTTCCCATCCCAGGACTTTATCATTTCTCTCATCTGCTTTTTTCTATGAGTTGGCTTCATTCTTCAGTCTCTCGATCTGCTTTCTTTGTTTAATTATCTTACATATGGCTCCAAAACAATGGCTCCAACAACTGTTCATGTGACTTTCCTGCTCAAGTCCTGTAGCTGGCTTCAGTTGTCTCTGGGTTTCTTAATACAAAACTATCACCAGAGAGAATCTGGCTGGTTGGGCTCATCTGTTACAGCCAGCCCTGACAGGCTGCTGAGCAGTCCGTGGCTTAATGGCCTTTGGGTCAGTTATCTATTTCTAGGCCAATCAGCTATTGCTGTAGCAGATGTCCTAAAACACATTGTTAATATTTTTTTTGATTATAGAAGAAAGGGTGTTAAAGACATTGCATGCTAAAAGTAAAAAGGAAAGTGAATTATTTGATCAAAAAACTGCTCTCATCCAAGACTTCAGAGGAAACTACCTTTGACTGCCCCAGTAGCCATTCTAGAAGTTTCCAAGAAATTTAATGGCAGCACGAAACTATTTATCCATATCATTTCCATCTGCCAGTGTTTTCTAGTGTTGGAATTTCTATTTACGGTAGGGTGGTATGTATGTAAACCTGTTTAATATTTTGTTACACAGCCCCTCTTAGAGATAAGGAGATGAATTTCCTTTACTTTTAGGTAATATTTTCTGTGCAAATATATTAGCTGGGTGTCCTGGAGGAGCTGTGAGACCTGTGAGTTGTCCTGATATATCACTGGAGGATAAGAGGGGAGACATCAAAGGTAGATATGCAGAGGGCAAGAGTATCTCAGTCTACTATAAAGTTTTATTTCATGTTGACTCAGCCTGAAAGAAAGGGCTCTCAAAGACTTTTCATGGTTGTATTTTGGACTTTTAGAAAAGTATATTTAACAGAGGTTTCTGTTATTCAGGAAGTAACTTAAAAGAAAGAATAACTGATTTATGTGAAGTGAAAAGAAAATAAGGTTTCTAGAAAAAGTTATCTCTAAATTTTTATGACTCCTTATTGAGTAGCATTTGTGATAAAAATTCTTTTTGTTGTTTTAAATGTAAACTTTGTGAGATTTGCACTTAATGAAGAAGATTCTCTAAATGAGGAAATTTCTCTAAAATTCCAACCAATTGCAAATAAAGCAGTAATAAGACTCAGGAAAGAGAGAAAGGAAATGAAATGAAATTAGATTCTGGTGAATTTTATCTTTGCTACTTTTTAAGGTAATTGAATTAACAGAGCTAACCAAGTGTGCAAATGGATTAAATCTCAAAACAGGGTTCTTCAAATGCTGGGTACACATTTTCTTATACTGGGACATCTGGGAATCTTCCAGAGTGGCTACACTTAAAATCTTGATGGCCAATTGTATCAGGACAGAAGGAGAAAAAGAAAAAGCTGTAGGGACAGACATATATTGGCTATAAGCAGTCAAATCATCTTCAACTTAAGTCTCATAATTTCACTAAAGTTACTTCCTATTTGTATGATTTCTTGACTATTCATTGAAATACCTAATGAGAACTGCCAAAATCAGAAAAGAAATGTAGTGGGCATGAAAAAAGCCATGGAAAACCTGAAAACCAAACACTGCCTTAAACATAAGAGCACATGCCAAGATCAGATGCAAAGTTGGTCAAGTTTGTTTTGGGGAAGGAAGCTGTTTGAACATATTTTCTGTGCTTTAGAATCAATTCTTTCCTTTTTTATCATTGCATTTCCCATCTGTAAAAATGATTATAGAAATATATTTGCAAGATGGCCACAATCTGCCATCTGCATATAATCTCTACATGTCGATAACATACACCAAAACTATGCAAGCCTTAAACAGAGTGACAACTCTATCATCTGTTAGAAAGCATGGTACTGCACAAGGATGTACCACTTGGAGTTGGAATGATGGTTCAAGTAAGTAGAGAAATTGAGCAAAATGAGACACCTGACTTTGTGATATAAAATATGCAGACATAGAAGTTGTACAATCTGGAATATTTTAAAACCTAATTGAGATTTGAGTCTGTGGTATCCTTGTTTGACAGGAAAATCTTTAATGTGTGTGCCTACGTTTCTATAAAGAAAACATTTACTGAAAAAGTAACCTTTTCCTTCCAAAAGAGGAAAAATTCTTTTTACTGTTTTAAATGTAAATATGATTGGCAGAGAAAATTAAATGAACAACAGCAAAAATTACAGTTAGCCACTCCATGGGAAGTGGTAGTTGCAGACACCGCCGGGTGATTCTTTTGCTACAAGGTAGCTTCTGGAAGGTAACCTGAGGTATAAGTAGAAGGATCTTTGTATTATTTTGCTTTATTTTGTTTTATTAATGGAAAAGTCTTCAATAAGTATTGTTTGCTAACACCATAAAGTCTACTTATCTTAAAAGAAAAATTCAGCTAAAAAATATTACATCTTTCTTTTCGGGTAGGAAAAGCAATCAAAACCCACAAGATTCTAAGAGGTCATAGGAGTATTAGCAAAGGAAATGCTAAGGTTGGTCATAAGTGGCACAAGCAGAAATAGTCTTTAAAACTAATGACACTTGAAATTTCACTGGTGACAAGCAGAATTCCATGGTCTGGGGAGGAGCAAGTTAGACTGGGGTCTAGGTGAATGGGTTTCACAGTGTGGTCCCCAAGCCAGAAACTAAAAATATGTATTATTAAACTATACTTATTATTGCTTAAATTTTATATGTAATTATCATGTTGTATCTAATTGTTTATGTAACTATTATGCTGAACAAATAGAATTCAAAAGCGTGGAAACTCCAAGTCTATTCTTTATCACAAATACCTGCTGCAAACCCTCTTACCTTTCTTCTTGTGCCTGGATAAGAACTTGAGTGGGTCACATAGTTTTTTCAGTTACTTTTAGACATAATAGCAGTCCCATTTAATGTAATACTCTTACTTCTGTTTGTTAGTTCAGACATATTTCAGGCAGAAATCTGCAGCAGGGAAGGGATTGGGATGTCTGGCCAACCTTCTTTGTTTCCATGGTACCAGTTCTTCCCTCAAGTCCCTTGCCACATTTCTAATTGTTTCACCCCATCCAACCTTTACCACAGTATCCCCACCCACTGGGGCAGGCTGGCAAGGAAGTGAAGACAAAAAAGAAACAAAGGTCTTGCTAGAGTAGTTCTGTTGTGGTCTAACGTTGGTGCTTTCTGACCACAGTGGATCACTAGAGCTGAACACTAAACTGCACCATTTCCTCAAGGGTGATACATCCTCCAACTAACCTTTCTGTATCCTCTACTTCCTACCTCCCTGCCCTAGTGTAGACCCATAGCTTCCTACTGCTTTGGTCTCCCATCCTGGCAGGCTTCCCTCTTGGGAAGGGTTTTTCACATAGCTTTCACCTGGCTGCCTTCTGTGGCAGCCACCTGGCCAGCAGGAGCTCATACATTCTTCCCACATCAATCCACGCTCCAGCACTGCCCACTGTCCTCACTCTGCCATCATAAGCAATTCCTGATATATCTGCCTTTCTTTTTTTTCAGTGCAAGTCAACCACCAGTCTCCTGTGTATCCTCAAAATTCCAGGAGACACATAGTAAGCTTGAATTCAGCCCCTTCAAAAGTATTCTCATTAGACTTGAGCTGAAAAGAAAGCACTTCCCTACCTACATCCCTGAAGGGAAGGGGAAGGAAAATGCCACAGGCCTCCGACAACTTTCCACAAAGATACTTCCTCATTCTCTTTCTTCAACCTCAACTCTTTTATATCCTTTAGGAAGGTGTTGGATTAAGGGCGCAGAACCCAGTTTTTCTATTTTCTTTGCAAATCCTGCATGAATAATTTTTAATTACTCTTTTGATGAGATGGTTGGATGGTTGGATGGTTGGAGGCCCTCATCCCAGTGTTTGTCCCTCACTCATTGTAAACTCTGGAAAGCATTTAGCTTCTTGAGCTTTACTTGTAAAATGGGCAATCCCATATGTCCAGCTTAAATTCAATACAGTAAATAAATAAAGAGATTGTTAAAACGTGAAGTGCAAAATTATATCATTTGCCTTATATATAAAATAAGGTGAATTCATAAGCAAAAAAAAAAATTGTCCAGGCATGGTGGCTCATGCATGTAATCTCAGCACTTTGGGAGGCCGAGGTAGGAGGATCACTTGAGCCCAGGAGTTCAAGACCATAATAATGCATCAACAATAAATCTAGACATCTCAGTGAGCACAGCTTTTCTGCATACATACAGATAGGAGATGTTTTTTAGACAAATCACTGCTGTTTAGAGGAAATTCATAAAGTTGGCACAAACAGAATAGCTCTCTGTCAGGTTAACTTGACATACACAGCCTTGGGGGTATATGACTTTGTGCATTGAACTTTCAAACAAACTGAACGTTGAAACAACAGCACCATTTTTTATATGCCTAATTAGGAATTTTGTATATCATCCAACGAGCAACTGTAAGCTTCCACTTGGGAAAGCTGCCTGCCTTCAATGGTTGTATTTGATAGTGCCATATCTTTGTATGTGCAACAGTGTTCCTTTGGGCAAATATTTATATATTTATTAAATGTTTCTCTCATAGTTATATATAAATTAGTGGGAAAAATTATCAAAACATGTTTGATTTTATAGAACTCCCATTCAAACTTGCTCAGAAGGAGGGGTTCAATACAAGGGCACAGAATTATCCTACAGTACACAAGTACCGAGGCCTATCCTCAGCAGCATCTGGAACTAAGAAATTTATCAGGATCCCATTCATTCAACAATTTATTCAGCAAATATTTATTGAATGCTTCTGACAAGCACTAAGAAATTGCAGTGAATGGGCCAGGCATGGTGGCTCTCATCTGTAATCCCAGCACTCTGGAAGCCCGAGCCGGTTGGGTCACTTGAGGTCAGGAGTTCAAGACCAGTCTGGTCAACATGGTGAAACCCCATCTCTATTAAAAATACAAAAATTAGCCTGTTGTGGTGGTGGGTGCCTGTAATCCCAGCTACTAAGGAGGCTGAGGCAGGAGATCACTTGAACCCAGGAGGCGGAGGTTGCAGTAAGCCAAGATCGCACCATTGCACTCCAGCCTGGGTGACAAGAGCGAAACTCCATCAAAAAAAAAAAAAAATCCAGAAAGAAATAAAGAAGACTTTGCATAATGCAATGAATGACACCCTTAACAACATCTTGATTAGAGAAGAAATTGCAGTAAGCAAGCCAGACAAGCACCCTTTCTTTGTAGAGCTTACATTCTAGTGAGAAAGACCATGGGAAAGAACAAATTAGAGCCATTGTGATTCAGGCTATGAGGGAAATAAACAGCATGAGGAGACTGAATATAACTGGGGAATTACCTTGTACAGTGAGTGGTCAGGCAAGGCCTCTCTGAGGAGAGGAGGTTAGAGCTGAGATGCAGGGAGAAGAATGAATCCCACATACAAAGAGCATATATACATATACACATATATACATATATACATATACACATATATACATATATACATATACACATATATACATATATACATATACACATATATACATATATACATATATACACATATATACATATATATACATATATACATATATATATTCCCCACCCCTATTTCTACTTCCCAGAGTTAGTCATTCTCAAAAATGTATATATATACACATACATATACATGTGTATATATATACATTTTTGAGAATGACTAACTCTGGGAAGTAGAAATAGGGGTGGGGAAATAGGAGATATTTTTTTCTCCACAACCTTCTACAGAGTTTAATTTTACAAACCAGTATATATTAACTTTATAATAAAATGTCTTTAAAACCACATTAAGGATGATAGACACATACTCTGACTCTCAGGGAATGACATCACAGAGGGGAACAACCCTGCTTTTGGTTGCTTAGAAGGAGACAGAATCTACAGCCTACTGGATAACTCTTCTGACCTACTCACAGTTTTTAGGCTCTGGAGGAAATGCTGTCATGACTGTCATTTTTCTGTCAAAATCCATCTAGGTGTCATAATTGGCAGAAGTGTCTGTCACTCCAGCTGTGTCCCTATGTACATAGATTGAAAATGATCACCTCCAGTGAAATATTGGCACAAATTTCAGCATCTCTCCTGCCACTCTGTAGAAGAACACAGTCTAAAAGTGAAACCTGTAGATGCCTATTATATGAAGCTTAGCATCAAAAGAAAGGTCACCAAGACAACTGACATTTTATTTTTTTCATATTTCTGGGGTCACATCTTCTTGACATCAGGATAATTGTTTGAAAACTGAGAAATCCAATGTGGTTTCCTACGTGGTGCCAAGTATCTCATATTGGCTTATTTTTTTTTCTGGATTGGTAAATATTTTGGTGAAATGTAGACACAACTGATCTGATAGTAACATTTGCTCCATGAAAGTACAAAATTTGATTTATTTTCATAACTTTCACATTAAGACAAGCACTGGAATATGAATCAGAAGACTACATTCCTGCCACTTACAAATTGTGCAACCTTGGGATAGGAGTATTCTTAAATCTCTGCTTAGTCTTCTCCACAGCTGCAAAGATGTGACAGTGAGCAAATAACAAGAAAGCTCTTTGAAAAGTAAAAAAGGGTTATAAAAATGAAAGCATTATTAAATAACCTCAGCTTGATTGAAAATTAAAAATAACATGTTATTTCTTTTGTATTATAATAATAATATCCTAAGTTAGACTTTAAGCTCTATAAAAAAGGTCAATACTGAACTGGCTCACCATTGCTATCTCCAAACCCAGCACAGTGTCTGACATATATAGGCTATATCAGTCAGGGATCAACCAGAAAAGCAGTACTACTATGACTAATGTAAAATAAAGTAGCTAGATCTTTCCTCTGCATCTGATGTGGGGCCTGAGATTGCAATATGCAAGCTGGAACACTAGTTGGGAAGAACAGCTGGATGCAAAGTGGGAGAGAGCAAGGATAGACTGGAACCAGTATCTGTCTCTCACTACCTCCAACCTCGACAACACAGGTAACCTGCAAGAGAAGCTAATCCCCATTGACATAGAGCTAGGAAACAGAATGTCCAGAGCAGACAATCCAGCAAGAACTGGAGAAGCTGCAGACCCAGGTGCTATCCACCTGGCCACCCAGGTAGGCCAAGCAGATCAGTGACAGCATGCACAGGTTGCCGTCATGACTGGCACCATGCACCAAATTTCAGAGCATGCAAAAATGGCTGTGCTTCTTTTCTGTTTCCCAAATCTTATGAAAATTTCTCTTGTGGACAACCCTTACCCTGAAACATACAGGAAAGTGAAGTCTGGAAAACATACTTCCAGTTTAGTGAAGCTGACATAATACAAAGCCACACATAGGCACTTAGTATGTTCTTCTTAAGTAAATATATTTCAATATACAAATATAAAATTTTAAAGTAAAAATGAATATGTATGAGATTTATATGGATATGTGGAAGAAGACACAATGTATAGTCATCACCAAGATTGGAGGCTGTCCACCTGAGGCAGGGCACCTGCTGCTCTGTTGTCCTGTTGGCATCTTCTGAAGTATGACCAGAGTGAAGAGTCATTATCAAAGGTGGTCATCCGTTGACAAAATAGAGACATAAGAACATTTGGTAAGTTTCAAAATACCCTCAAAACTAAAAGTAGAGGAGAAAATACAATGAGGTTTCCTACTTACCATCTCAGCAGGGGAGTCAGTCTACACAGGCCTGGGTGTAAAGCACTCTATCATTTCCCATGTCTTACAACTTCCCTCATGTTGTTAATTTTTTTCCTATTTTCCTGAGAACTTAAAATGAAAAACAATAGAATTTAGCTTTATTTGAGGTTCAGGAAAAAAAGGAAGCTTGGGAGCAATCAAGTAATCAACTTTTCATTCAATCTAATATCTTTTACTCTTCACTATCATTACATTATTTTTTAGACTTATATATAGTTCATGGAGATTTCCTTATTCCTTTAGGTCTTGACATAACTTTTCAATCCATGATGGGTAATCAATCAAGAAACCTAATTAAATACAAAATATAAAATAAATATATTCCATTAGCCCATAGAATAGGTCACCATCATAAATAAATTATGGGCTGGATGTGACAGTTTACACTTGTAATCCCAACAGTTTGGGAGATTGAAGTGGGAAGATCACTCGAGGCCAGGAATTCAAGAGCAACCTGGGAACCTTAGTGAGACCTTATCTCTATAAAAAGAATTTTATAATTAGCCAGACTTGGTGGTGAACTCTTGTAGTTCCAGCTACTCTGGAGGCTGCGGTGGGAGGATTGCTTGAGACCAGGAACTGGAGGCTGCAGTGAGCTATGATTGTGCCACTTCACCCCAGCCTGGGCAACAGAGTGAGTCCCTGACTCCATTTTTTAAAAAATGAAATAAAATTCTGTACTTTAAACATTCCTAATATTTTGACCACAATTAATTGATTTTGTTAACAGGAAGATGCTTTTAACTTACTGTATATATGAAAATAGAATTTGACTGGAAATGTCTTAAACAAATATTATTGGGTCTTTGTTATGTGCAGGTATATGCTAAATGTTGTTCTATTATTTAATCCCACAATAGCCCTGTGAGATTGCTATTACTATTTCTGTTTTGTAGATGAAAATTTCTGATATACTGCCAATGATTTGCCCCAAAACACTTAACTCCCTAGTAGGTAAATCAGAATTTGTACCTATCTCTGACTCATTCTAACGTGCATGTTTCTTTCACTAAACCACATCGCTTTAGAGAAGAAATATTTTATAAATATTCAAGCATAATAGGTTACATTTATCCACATAACACATTATTTTATTAAAATGCAATATACATGACTCTATTTTATGTGAGAAACATTACAGTTTCCCAAATCAAGTCTTCCAAATTGCTTCTTCCCAAATTCTATATGAAACTCTATGTAGGATTCACATAACCTTCACTGGTGAGCAAGTATTTTTCCAAGGCTGTTAGAGAGAATTGGCTCCTCTCCCTGTGGATGTGAGGTGCTCATGGAAAAGATAAGAAAGACACCAAGGGGCCCTCTGTACACCTGTGGTTAACTGTGTGAAAATGACATTTCCTTCCTCTGTAAGTTTCACTTCATGTCAGCAGCAGGACATTCCGGGCAAGAGGGCTTTGGGATCACTCTGCCTTTTGCTTTGTTCCTGACAGCAACCACGTTTGTGGTAATCCCTCAGAAATGTGGAGGCCATGGAGTTCCATTCTCTAGGGAAGCTATTCCCAGGAGGAGCTCAGACAGAGCCCCAGCAGGGCTCTCCACACGCCCATTATCTTCCTGCAGCCTTCAGCCTTCTACCTCCCCTACAGCCTAAGAAATATCACAAAGCCTATCTTAAACAAAAAGAAATGATTAGACATTTGATTCTGGAATCCTTTTTACAAATGAGAGTTGCATTCAGAACCACAAATATACTTTTTAGGACAAGCTGGTCTTTCTGGTGAATTTAACACCATATCATATTCAGAGTGGCCATATGCCAATGACTGAGGCATCTTTAGGTGTTACTGAGATGTCGCTAAGTTTCTTCTGTTTAGAAAGACGTTATCATATCCCAAGGAGGCTGTGAATGAACAGATTCACCTTAACTTCTGCAAGCTTTGACACAGTATCAGAAGCAGTTCCCTGTTTGAAAATGGGTTAAAGTCTCCCAAATTCGTAAGTCAAATTGATAGATTTTTCACTAAAAACCATTGCTAATATTGGCCATTTTCTCAGACCAGTCCACAGTTCTGATCTAAAGTGTAAGTAATAACACTCCATTAGGTTCTGTAACAAAATTCATTTGGCATTCCAAGCTAGGCTTGAGAACACACCTCCACCTATAAATACAGCCCTGGCAGGGAGAGCTGGTCCTCCCAATCCCCAAAACTGCTGCAGGGCAAGTGGATTTACCCCATTTTCAGGTTGTGCTTCCTAGTGTGTGTTAAGGCTATCAGAGGGTTAGAAGACAGGGAACTCAGGTGGGCTAGGACAGAAAGATGGGATTATGTATACACAAAGCAAGAGAGCAGAAGCTGGGAAAAGATTGAGGGTAATGGTCTTCATTCAGCAACAGTATGGAATTTACCCTCCCTTCCTCTCATTGCTGATCTTCCCCTCTCCCATGGTTTTGATGTGACCAGCTTTAGAGTAATAATACAGGAACATAGGGTGAGAAAGAAATGGCAGCCACAGGACAAAGTCTAGGGACCCAGCGAGTGCTAGATCAGTCATCCTAAGTGTTAATGTATATAAGAATTACCTAGGATGCTTATAGAAACTGCAGATGAGGACTGGAGTAGCAGCTGATGCCTATAATCACAGCACTTTGAGAGGCCTAGGCAGGAGGATTGCTTAAGCCCAGGAGTTTAAGGCTGCAGTGAGCCAAGGTCATGCCACTACATATCAGCCTAGGTGACAGAGCGTGACTCTTTCTCTAAAAAAAACAAAAATAAACCAAAACAGGTGGAGTCCAAAGTCCAAGTCATTAGCTCTGAAGCTCAGGTAGCCCAGGAGATTCTGAAGCAGACTACAGTTTGAGAAACAACTATTATAAAAGTCAAAAAGGGAAGAAATAAACTAGCCTTTATCAAATGGCTATGCTTGATATTTAGAACACACACAACATGAGGGATGTAAATGAAATGCAACTTTACTTTCATTGCCCACTTTCCCTCTAAGATTTGTTTAATGAGAAAGGCTTTCCTCTGTTTCAAGTGTTGATTTTTCTCATTCCCAGGAAGCTTTCCCCACTGCACGTCTACCAATTTGTGAACACCAACTTGGGTTTTCCATACTCCTCAGACCCTAATGCATATTCAGATCACTTGGAGATCTTGTTAAAATGCAGATGATTCAATAGATCTGGGTGGGGCCTGAGTTTCAGCATTTCTAAGAAGCCCTAAAGTGATGCTCTTACTACTGGTCCTGGGACCACACTTTGAGCAGCAAGAGGGTCTGCTCATCTCCTCTGTCTTTGAACAGAGAGAGGAGATGAAAGAGTGTAAGAAATGTGTGACTTGGACTAGTATGATCATGAGTTGTCTTTGGGCCTTCTGGACCTGGCAGGTGTTTAAAGAAAACTATCTTGTGGGGGCTCTCCTGGGCTTTTCAGAGATTTGTATCATTGGGGCCCTCTGTCCTGCAGTTATTCTAACTAAGCTTGTGAGTCTCTCTTTTGGGTTATTATTTAATTTTCCTTCACCAACCCTTGAGAACCTCAGAACTTGGTTTCTTGCTGCTGGGGTCTCTTTGGCTCTCTGGATGCTCATACTGGTCACAACTAAAAACTTCTCTCTCTCTCTCAATGCCCATGGTCCATGAAAAACTCTAGCACTACCTTTTCTTTGATAAACCTTGGGAATGCAGGCTAATACCTCAGCAACAGAAACTCGCCTGGCTATGCCACCAAAGAAAGCAGTTAGCCAGTCCATCTCTGTCCACTCAACTCCCAGAGGCAGGGGGCACAGGCAGAGCTCTCTGAGTCATCCACTTGAAATCTCTTTTTCAAGTCTTGAAGTTAAGCTATAATCCCCATATATCCTCCCTTTCAGAGATTAGCAAAGAGATAGGGCTCAGAACACAGCTTTCTCCAAAGATTCCTGCTTCAATTAATTGCTATGTTATTTGGTGACAGATAAATGACGATGCTTTTTTTTTAAGCAAGGGGATAGCCAAATTGATTATCAGGTGATTATCTCTGATTGGGCCACAGGTTTAGCTTCAATAGTTTTGTAAATATTCTAGTTCTCACTTGGGGAGTTCACATAAGTCTTGTTTTATTATCATGCATTGTAACCTACATTTTTTTCTCTTTTAATCATTACATGATAAAAAGGAATTTTAAGTAGATAAGTAAGTAAGTTAACCAATATGTACAAACCAACCTAACACTTAATGATGCAAACAGTGATTAATTATTGCTTGGATTGTGTCTGCTCTGTGTGGTGCACTCAGCAGGTGGAGGGGCTGAGCATGTCTCCAGTTGTGGTGCTGGCTCTTAGCTGGGGCATTTTGGTTCTCCCTCACACGCCGTCTCTTTCTCCGTGATTTCCCATCTTCAAGAGCTTTTCCTCATGACCTTCCTCTTCAGCAGGATGGCCTAGATTTCCTTACGGCATCGAGGACGAGATCCAAGACAGCAAAAGCAGACTCTGCCAAGCCTCTTAATGGCAAGGCCCTGAAGCAGCAGAGCTTCACTTCTGCCACCTCCTATTGGTTAAAGCCTGTCACAAAGCCTGTCGAGATTCAGAAAAAGAGAGATAGAACCCACCTCCTGATAGAAAAAAGCTGCACATGCATAAAGAAAGGAGAGGATTTGACAGCTATCTTTGAAGAGTATCTGCCCCATTAAGCCATGGGATATTTTCCCCATAAAAGAAAGGACTATGATCTGGATTGTAGAAACTGATCTATAGACATGAATCTGAACTTAAGAGAATTTGACTAATTCCATCTGTTCAAACTGTCATCACTCACACATATTTCTGTAAGTATTCACTCTCACATGTTAGCATCAATAAAGATTTCATGAAAAATAAAGAGTCTTAATTCAGAGAGGATGAAACATGCAAAAACAGTTGTGCCATCAAATTATTTGTACCTAGCAAACTAAACATCCTCCAACAAAATAAATATTTGTAAGGAGGAATGCTTGACTACAAAACTATTTACAAATATGAAAATTAAACAAGAGTTAATTCTAACCGATGTCAACTTAAGAAAGTGAAAACGTCTTCTGCCCTGGCTTTTCCATTTTACTACCCTGTAACTATTAATGGAATCACTCTATCCCCATCAGGGAAGCTCAGATTCTCTAAAGGTAGTAATGATTCTTCCTTTCTTCCCCTTATCAATTATTCCTTCATTGTATGTCTCACATTCACCCCTCCTCTTCAGCTCCTTATCCACAATATAGCTCAGATTTTCACAGCATTAAAATAAAGGGACTATAGTTTCCTCCTATCTCTGAGTTCATGCCCACTCCGAGCCCAGTACACCTGAACAATGGTATTCCAAAAATACGTCTCATCTTCCCATGTTCCCACTCAAAAACTTCAGTGGCTCTTCACTCTCTCCACCGCCCTGGTCAGGGCTGGGAGGATGGTTTTCACATGCCATGAAGGGATTTTTTTTTTCTTTCTTTTCTTTTTTTTTTTTTTTTTTTCAAAAACTAGATGCCTCTCATTGGAACTTTTTACTAGATGGCTGCCTGTGCCTGCTCTTCTCCCCTCCCCACAAAACACACTCACATGCACTCAAGAAAAGAGGATAATAATCACTGGTCAGAGTGTATCACATCCCCAGGCGCTGGCCTAGGAAAAAAAAAAGTTTAAGAACTACTGGACTATAAAAGAATGTCCAAATTCCTTGTCAGGTACTTGAACTCATATCCAATCTATTTATCTTCTTTATATTTGTTTCCACCAAGCCTGACTGAAAACCTTTTACTACTAGAAACAGGATAAAATCAGTTAGGGAACTCGGTCCCCACTATTGCCAAGTTTACAGCATAATGGGAGAGAAAAACACAACATATTCAGAACATGAAGGTAGAAAGCCAAGGTGCCAAAGGCAGCGAGGGAATGCAGGCTCATGGTTCCAGAGCAAAAAGGAGAGCTCTGGCCTCCTCAGTCATCCTGGATTAAGAAGAAGAGTTTCTCTGCTTGGGTGTCATATAATAACTTCCTCTCTATGAAAATGTTGTACAAGCAACTGTTTATTCTCTTATTCCTAGTCTCACCTCATGCCAAACAAGGGTGTGGGCAAAACAGCAGGCTCAGGATCCAAGACAACATAACAATTTTCTGACAGATCCTGAAAACAAGTAAGATATATTCTGGTAGATTTTGCTAACCACCCAAAGTGTCTAAAGTGGGAAAGAAAACAAAATAAAACAAAAAAAAAGGAGAGACTGTGGGTATGTGTCATTCATTCATATTTTGTAAGTTGCCCTACTGTTTGTTTTGTCAGCTATTTTTAATAATAATAAGCAAAACAGAAAAACAGAGTCACAAATAGAAGATGCATATTTAGGGTCTCTAGCTAAGCAACAGGAGATGACAAAGTAAGAAACAAGGTCAGATTCTCCTGAAACCCAGAAAGGGTTGACTCATACAAGGGCCTCATTGTGTACCTCTCTGACTTCCACCAGAGGGAGCGTGTTCTGTGCGAGCGAGCACGTCTGCGTTTGCTAATTATCCTCACAGGACAGCGGGGACTGGAAGGTGGAAAGAACACAGGCAAAGCTGGCTTTGATCCTGGTTTCATCACTTTCTTGCAACATAAACCTCAGTTTCCTCAGTCAACTTTCTTTCCTCTGTGAAAATTAAAAGATAAAACTTTCCTTGCAGATAATTTGGTGAAAATTAAGAGATGATAAGCGTGAAGAGACTGGCTCACAGTGGACACTCAATAACTTGCAGCTACTATTAATATTACTTTTGTTAACCCTAAGCCAAGGCCACCACTCTTTAACCCATAACCATATGCCCCAGTGAAAAAGCACAGTGAGACCACCAGTGTTAGCAAATCTTCCCAACAACTCAAGAAACCATCAAAACTCATGAGCTGTAGGAGGGTAGGCAAATACTAACTTCTTTAAGTTTTTTCCTCATACACATCAGGATAATAACATCAAACTTCTAAGGATTCAAGAGAAATTATTTTAGATTTCAGTTCGGGTTAGAACCTGGCACATAAGAAGGCTCAATAAATGGTAAATGTTGTTATTACCATTCCTCTTTTTCAAATTTTAAAAGTGAGAATAGATTGACATTGTTCTTTTCAAGAGGCTGAATTTTCAGACATCTTCTCTACCAAATGATGTCACCCCCTGTCTCCCATGAGCACAGATGAAATTAAGACCCCACCTTTGAATGTTCCTTTTCAGATCTTCTTTTTCCTTTCCTTACTTTGTTTTCCTTTGAAAGTGGCCATTGATGTTTTTAAAAAGGGTTCTACTAGTTTATCCGTTGTATCTATTTTAAGGCACTGTTGGGTGGGGAGATGGTAACGTGAGCACAAATAAATTACATCATTATCATTTTCTCCTACGTTGACCATGGTTAAGGTTTTAGTCATGCGCAAGTGACTTAAAATTACATAATATGTATTTTGGCAATCCATCCTTGCTGTAGTTCAGCTCCCTGAATTTCAGAAGAAATGGGCCACTTAATAAGCCTCATCCAAGGGACTTCAGAGTCATTTCACCTTCATAAATCCTTGGAATTTCTACATGATAAAACTAGATTATGCAGAAGGTGTAATACATGAGGATGAGGCATATTTCCAGCAAATACGTAAGCACTGGGAGACTAATAATAGCCAAACACCTTACTCTACTAACAATTAGGAGGAATATAAGAAGAGGGTGCTTTGGTGTTTGAAGCGTCTAAGCCTTGGTTTCTTATTTTACACTTTCGTTTGGAGGGCAGATTGTTTTGAGTCAACATAAAGTGACTTCAGCTGAAGGGAGACTGGGATGTTCACAGTGGGCCTATAAACATTTTTAAAAACATCATTCAACGTTGATTCTGCCTTCACGGAGAGCCTACACTACACCAGGCACTGGGTTGGGCACTGTGACAGGGCTGATTCAAATAAACCCTTATGATATTTCCCTGTTGCTAAACTTCCAGAGTATTGACTGGCAATTTTTGGCCAACCTTCAAGCCTGATACATTCTTCTTTATTTGTCAATCTACCCTTTTGGTAATGTGGTAAAGAATCAAGTGTTTCTCTTCAGCAGCAATTCATCAGATAATTGCTCACTTTATTTAGTTGATGTGGACACAGCCAATCTATGTCATTCTGGTCAAAATAATACATTTGCCCTAACATTAGTGTTTTTTGTTTGTTTGTTTGTTTTTACTCTGAATTAAGCACATGAGGCCCTCAACAGAACCTGCATTAGACATAGCACCTGGTGGACAAAATATCCCTAATAAGCATTTGCTTGATTACATTCAGGCTTTAATTTTATTATCTAGAAAAGTGCTATTTCACCTTTATAGGTTTGGATTTGGTTATGTACTTTAAAAGCTTCAGGTAAAACAATGAGTAGATTCCTTTGTGAGAGCCCTCACAGTAAAACCAGAAGGCTGAAGGATACTGAGAGCATAGCCTGGATTGCGGATCCTAATTGACCAGTGCTGTGGTCTTACCTGGGTCATTTATCAGCTGTAAACAGTAGGCAAATTGTTTAATCTGAATGTCTCCTTCCTAATATTAGCATTTAGAACAATAATTCCAACTGGATGAGGTTATTTTTGAGATTTAATAATATAATAAATGTAAAGCCCATGGCATATATCAGACTTTTAATACATGTTTATTTCCTTTTTTCCCTCTCTCCTAGCAAAAATTTAACTTTGTCTTGAAGCTTGCCAAATAAGAAGGCCCCCAAAGTTGCTTGCTCTTGCAAGGATTACAGACTCTCATATTCACTCAAGTACTTAAGAAGTGTCAGGCACATTCCAAACTCCAAAGGAAATTAAATGCTGTTCCCCTGCCACCCACTCTGTCCCCCAGGGACCCCAAGCACATTAAAATAACATTAAGGCAATGATTTAAGCTGAAAATTGGGCTGCCAGGGAAAGCACCAGGCCCCAGTTCTCAGAAGCTTAGCTATACCTATGGGCACAACAGGGTGGCTCCCCTGGCTGGCTGACGTCAGAGCTTAAAGTTGTTTTTACCCCTGGCATTTGTGGGAAGGAAAGGGAGGGGTGAGGAGCGCGGGTGCCTCTTGTTCATTAAAAAAGCCTTCTGGGGACCCCTAGTGGCCACCAGCTATCATAGGTTTCTCTGCCAAAAGAAATCATGAGGCCTCAGGAAAACTACCTGGGGCTTCAATTGTATTTGTCTTCGTTCTCTCCTCAGTGATCCAAGTTTTTTCTCGGAAGTTAGTGGTTAAAAGGTAACCACTTTGTAACAGGCCTGTACAGCTCTCAAGTTTAGAAATTGGAGTTACGGGTGGCATAGACATCAAAATGATGGCATCAAATTGAAGGAGAGCTCTGAAATCCTCTTTTAATCCTCACCAGGAAAGCAGAAGGCAGAGCAAGCAGGCTGAAGACTGACAGAGAAGCATTTGCATGTCCTCCATGAGCCCTGATTTTCATGGGAACAGCTGTCTCAGTGACTGCATACAAGGTCCCACTTCTTAGATCTGTTCCCGGAGACGCAAGAGAAGAAGTAGAATAATAAGTCAAGGCTGTCCTGCTCATAAACAAATGTCAGACTCTTGTAGCTGGTGTGTTTCTGCTTCCTGAGTCTTTATTTCCCAAACCCCAGTGAACATAAGCAATAAAGCTATATCATGCTGGGGAATAAATAATAAATGATTCAGCCTCGACTCCAGGCATGTGTGGAGAATAGATATGGACCCAGCAAGGATTTATATACACAAAGCACCACGACACTCCTGGTGAGAAACTTTTCCTTTCGGGGAGAAACTGAGAAAACACAAGTTTGTTTCAAAGTGGAACAGGGGGTGATTTTGGAAACAACATAGTGTTAGTCATTCAGATTAATCTTCAATTCAGCCCTCCAAGCCTCAGTTCTTTCCTCGCAATGATGAGGCCCAAAGCTAACTCCTCTTTCGGCAATTAAAGAAGAGAGTGCAACACCACACTTAACATCCACTAACAGATGAGGTACCAGAAGCTTCAGCGTAGCCTAGAGACAGCACACTAGGCATAGCTATTAAGGACCCACCTTCAGAAATTTGCAATCTTGTGTTGTTAAATTAAATAAGCAGGAGACCATTGGCCTGGGACTGTCTCATATTTTGAGGTCCTACATAACAAACCACAACCTAATCTAGTACATAAACAAGCCAAAACCTAACTTAGGAGTATATTTTCTTCTTGCGAGTAGCCAAGTTTCAACCAATCACAAACAGCTGACCATCAAGCCAATCACAGGGAGCCAACTGATCAGATCATGCTCAAATAAGGCAGATGCCTCAACACGCCGTGGCCCAAAAAGGCAAATGCCTAGCCGAAGCCAATCAGATGATTTTTTTTCTATTTTTCTTCTGTGTTCATCCTATAAAAGCTTACTGCTTACACTGCTGGGTGGAGCTCTTAAAACCTCTTCCGGTTCTGAGTATTGCTCAATTCACGAGTTGTTCTTTGATCAAATAAAGTCTGTTAAACGAATTTGTCTAAAATTCTTCTATAACAATATCTCTGGCTTTCTTGCTGACTGTCCTGCCTTAGTGGTCACTGGAGGTAGAGCTATCACTTGCGGCATTAGCTGCGACAGGAAACATCACCCCAGGCAGCCAGAACAGAAAAGGAAAATGGCAGACAGCACAGGTTTTCAAGGACTAGCTTGTCATTCATGAGTCCTTTGAGCATGCTTTTTGTAGTGGATTCAATGGTTACACCCCAGAAAGATATGTCTATGTCCAATCCCCTGGAACCCATGAACATGATCTTATTTGGAAAAAGGGATTTTGCTGATGTCATTAAATTAAAGGTCTCGAGATGAGATCATTCTGGATTATCCAGGTAAGCCCTAAACTCAATGACAAGTATCCGTATAAAAGACACAGGGATCAGACTGACCAACATGGAGAAACCCCACCTCTACTAAAAATACAAAATTAGCCTGGCGTAGTGGCGCATGCCTGTAATCCCAGCTACTCGGGAGGCTGAGGCAGGAGAATCGCTTGAATCTGGGAGGTGGAGGTTGCGGTGAGCCAAGATCACGCCACTGCCCTCCAGCCTGGGCAACAAGAGAAAAAAAAAAAGAAAGGTACAGGGGTGAGATATAGAGAGACAGATATGAAAGTCATATAGAGACTGAGGCAAGTAATGGAATTACACAGCCACAAACCAAGGAATGCCTGGAACCACCAGAAGCTGGAAGAGGCAGGGAAGGATTTTTCTCTAATAGTCTGTGGAGGGGACATTGGCCTGCCAACACCTCAGCTTGACTTCTGGCCTCCAGAACCATAAGAGAATAAATTTCCATTTTTTTTCCATCACCCAGTTTATCATAAGTTTTAAGGCAGCCCTAGAAAATTAATACATTTTCAAAAAAATTGACTGAACACATTCTCCATGCCAAACACTATGCCAGACACCAGTGATACAGCAGTAAACCAAACAAAGGCCCCTGCACTCATGGAGCTTATTTTACAAAGAGAAAAGAGATTATACACTGGCAAATAGACAAACAAACAAAAATTTTTTTGAGAGTGAAAAGTCCTGCAAATAAACATGTCAAACATGGCCCTGTGGTAAAGATCATATACCTAGAAAACTGTACAAAATCCTCCAAAAGACACCTAAATTTGATAAATGAATTCAGCAAAGTCTCAGGTTACAAAATCAATGTACAGAAATCAGTTGCACTGCTATACCCCAGCAAAGACCAAGGTGAAAATAAAATTAAGAACTCAATCTCTTTTACAATAGCTGCAAAAAAAAACTAGGAATATACTTAACCAAGGAGGTGAAAGACCTCCTAATACAAGGAGAACTACAAAACACTGCTGAAGGAAATCATGAACGATACAAATAAATGGAAACACATGTTCACAGAATGGAAGAACCACTATCATGAAAATGACCATACTGCCCAAAGCAATATACAGATTCAATGCAGTTTCTATCAAAATATCAGCATCATCTCTCACAGAATTAAAAAAAAAATTCTAAAATTCATATACAACCAAAAAAGAGTCCTAATGTCCAAAGCAATTCTAAACAAAAAGAACAAATTTGAAGTCATCACATTACCTGACTTCAAGCTATACTACAAAGCTATAGTTACCAAACAGCATGTATTGGTATAAAAGTAGATACACAGAACAATGGAACAGAATAGTGAACCCAGAAAGAAAGACAAATACTTGCAACCAACCGATCTTTGACAAAGCATACAAAAACATAAATTGAAGAAAGGACACCCTATGTAATAAATGGTGCTGGGAAAACTGAATAGCCACATGTAGAAGAATGAATGAAACTGGATCCCTCTCTCTCACCGTATAAAAAATCAACTCAAGATAGATCAAAGACTTAAATCTAAGACCTGAAACCATAAAAATTCTAGAAGAAAACCTAGGAAAAACTTTCTTCTGGATACTGACATAGGCAAAGATCTTACGACTAAGACCCCAAAAGCAAATGCAACAACAACAAAAATAAAAGGGACCTAATTAAACTAAAAATCTTCTGCACAGCAAAACACATAATCATCAGAATAAACAGACAGCTCACAGAATGGGAGAAAATATTTGCAAACTTTGCATCAGACAAAGGATTAATATCCAGAATCTACAAGAAACTCAAACAAATCAGCAACAGTAAAACTAATAATCCCATCAAAAAGTAGGCAAATGACATGAATAGATATTTCTTAAAAGAAGACATATAGATGGCCAACAAACATGAAAAACTGTCCAATATCACGAATCATCAGGGAAACACAAATTAAAACCACAATGAAATACCACCTTACCCCTGCCAGAATGGCCACTATTAAAAAGTCAAAAAACAATAGATGCTGGTGTGAATGTGGTGATGTGGTGAAAAGGGAGCACGTTTACACTGCTGGTAGGAATGTAAATTAGTACAACCTCTATAGAAAACAGAATGGAGATTTCTTAAAGAACTAAAAGTAGATCTACCATTTAATCAAGAAATCCCACTACTGGGTATCTACTCAAAAGAAAAGAAATCATTATATCAAAAAAACCCTTTGCCAGGTGCAGTGGCTCACGCCTGTAATCCCAGCACTTTGGGAAGCCAAGATGGGCGGATCACGAGGTCAGGAGATCGAGACCATTCTGGCTAACACGGTGAAACCCCATCTCTACTAAAAATACAAAAATAAATTAGCCGGGCTTAGTGGCGGGCGCCTGTAGTCCCAGCTACTCGGGAGGCTGAGGCAGGAGAATGGCGTGAACCTGGGAGGCGGAGCTTGCAGTGAGCCGAGATCAGGTCACTGCACTCCAGCCTGGGCGACAGAGCGAGACTCTGTATCAAAAACAAAACAAAACAAAACAAACAAACAAACAAAAAACACTTGCAGGCATGTTTATTGCAGCACAATTCATGATTGCAAAGGTACAAAACCAACCTAAGTGCCCATCAACTTATGAGAGGATAAAGAATATGTGGTATAAATACACCATGGAATACTATTCAGCCATTAAAAAAGAACAAAACAATGTCTTTTGCAGCAACTTGGATGGAACTGGAAGCCACTATTCTAAGTGAAGTAACTCAGGAATAGAAAACCAAAAACTGTATGTTCTCACTTATAAGTGAGAGCTAAACTATGGGCACACGAAGGTATACAGAGTGGAATAAGGAACTCTGGAGACTCAGAACGGGAAGGGTGGGAGGAGGGTGAGGAATAAAAAAACTACATATTGGGTACAATATACATTACTCAGGTGACAGGTGCACTAAAATCTCAGACTTCAGCACTACACAATTCATCCACATAACCAAAAACCACCTATACCCCAAAGGCTATTGAAATTTAAAAATTTTAAATAGAAACACTTACCAATATTTAAAACATAATTGAGGGATGCAACTCCAGACAGGATGATTAGGCAAGAGTAGGTGACATTTTAGCTGACTCCATCCAGAAATATCCAGAAAATTTTGAGAAGAATCTTAGGGGCATTGGACTTTTTCAAGAGGTCAGGGTAAAGCCAGAAAAAAAAGTGCCATTTTGCAACCATTACTTTGTGCCTTTAAAATCCCCAAAATTGTTTTTCAAACTATACTCCTTGGAACCCTAAGGAGTGCCACTAAAACCTGTGCGGGAGCCACACACAGCTGGAGCGGGGCTGGAGACTCAGGCAGGGTTCTTTGTCCCTGACATCTCTGTTAATCAGAGCAGCTATATGCCCTCCAACTTTCTATATTATAGCTTCCATGTAAGCTTTTGCCTAAGAAACTGTTTTGCAACTGAGAAAATTTGAAAACCACTGCCCTAAGCTGATGTAGCCTAGGAAATGTGAAATTACATTAACGTAGAGAATGTTTTATCCAGGGCCTTCTACGTTTCAAAGTACAGCCATTAGTTCATCAGGATGTACATAAACTAAACAAGGACATAGAATGTTTTCTCCTTCCTCCTGGATTCCTGTCTCCCTTTAATTGAGAGCCATTCCTCAAGGAAAGAGGATTTACTTAACTGAACGATATATATTGATTATCTGAATTATTTTTTAACTCATTATACAATAGTTTATGTTTTCACACTTTGCCTAAATATTTTTTAAGAATCCCTACCCTGTGTAACATGCTACAGTTGCTTCACAGCTGTGCTAAAATAAAGTCAAGGAGGCAGCCAAATAGAACTTCCTGTTAGCTGGTGATATGGCTTGGATGTTTGTCCCCTTCCAATCTCATGTTGAAATAATGCCCAGTGTTGGAGGTGGGGCCTGGTAGGAGGAGATTGGATCACGGGAGCAGATCCTTCATGAACGGTTTAGTACCATCCCCTTGGTGATGAGTGAGTTCTTGCTCAGTTGGTTCATGTGAGATGTGATTGTTTAAAAGACTCTGGGACCTCCCCCTTCTCTCTCTCTTGCTCCCACTCGCACCATGTGACATCATCTGCTCTCCCTTTGCCTTCTGCCGTGATTATAAGCTTCCTAAGACCCTCACTAGAAGCAGATTCTGGAGCCATGCTTGTACAGTCTGCAAAACTGTGAGCCAATTAAACCTCTTTTCTTTACAAGTTACCTAGTTTCAGATATTCCTTTATAGCAATGCAGAAACTGACTAACACAGAAAATTAGTACTGAGCAGAGGGATGTTGCTATAAAGATACCTGAAAATGTGAAAGTGGCTTTTAGTAATGGGCAGAGGTTGGAAGAGTTTGAAGGACTCAGAAGACAGGAAGATGAAGGAAAGTTTGGAACGACTTAGAAAGCTGTTAAGTGGTTGTGACCAAAGTGCTGATCGAAATATGGAGTGAAAATGAGCCTGATGAAGTAAGGAAGACGGGAGTGAGGAACTTATTGGGAACTGGAGTTAAGGTCACCCATGTTACACCCTAGCAAAGAATGTGGTTGGGTTGGATTCATGACCTAGAGATCTGTGGAAGTTCGAATTTAAGAGTGATGACCTAAGATATTTGGCAGAAGAAATTTATAAGCAGCAAAGTGGTCCAAGATGTGAACTGGATGCTTCCAACAACCTATGATTAGATACAGGAGTGAAGAAATGACTTAAAGTTGGAATTTATAATGAAAAGGGAAGCAGAGCAAAAAAATGGAAAAATTTGCCTCCTGGCCATGTGGTAAAGAAAGCAAAAGCATTTTCAGGAAAGGAATCCAGGCAGGCTATGTTGTAGAGATTCGCATGACTAAAAGGGAGGCCAAGTGCTAGTAATATCCAAGACAATGGATGAAGGGCTTTGAAGGCATTTCAGAAGTTTTCAGGGCAGCCTCCCCACACAGGCCCAGAGGCCTAGGAGGAAAGCATGATGTTGGTGGCCAGGCCCAGGGCCCCCTCCCCTGAGCAGCCTTGGGGCACTGCACCCCACATTCCAACTAGTCTAGTTTCAGCTTCAGCTCAAAGAAGCCGGGTTCAGCTTGGACCGCCATTCTGGAGGGTGCAAGCCATAAGCCTTGGTGGCTGCCATATGATGTTAAGCCTGCAGATGCTCAGAATGCAAGCATGAGGGAGGCTTTGTGGCTTCCACCTAGATTTCAGAAGATGTATGGAAATGCCTGGGTGCCCAGCAGAAGCCTGCCATAGGAGCGGAGCCCTCATAGAGAAGCACTATTAGGGCAATACTAAGGGGAAATGTGGGTTTGGAGCCCACACACAGCATCCCCACCAGGGCACTGCCTAGTGGAGTTGTAGGAAGGGGAGGCCTAGTGGAGTTGCAGAATGGTAGATTCACTGGCAGCTTGCACCCTTTACCTAGAAAAGCTACACTCTCTCAACTCCAACCTGTGAGAGCAGCCACATGGCCTGCACCCTGCAAAACCACAGCAGTGGGGCTTCCCAGAACCTTGAGATCCCAAGCCTCACACAAAGATGTGGGACGTGAAGTCAAGAATTATGTTAAAGCTCTAAAATGTAATGCCTGCACTGCTGGGTTTCTGACTTGGTTAGGGCCTGTTATCCCTTCTTATGGCCAATTTCTTCCTTTTGGAATGTATACCCAATGCCTCTACCACCATTGTATCTTGGAAGTACATAACTTATTTTTTATCTGATAGGCACATAGTTGAAAGAACTTCATCTCCAGATAAGACTTGGGACTTGGGACTTGAGACTTGGGACTTTTTAGTTAGGCTGGAATGAGTTAAGTATTGGGGGAACTATCATGAATGCATGACTGTATTTCAAAATGTGAAAAGGTCATGAGATTTGGGGGGCCCTCACCAGAAGCAGAATACCCTCAAGTATTTCTTTATAGTGATACAAAAACTGACTGACAAAGCTAGTAATCTTCTCCACTCTACAATCATTGACAAATTTAAAAAAAAGTGGCAGTAGAGTACACTCAGTGGATTTAGCTGGGCTAATTTTAGCCTGCTGAAACCCCAGGGTTATCAGTTGGGAATTAGATTTTCTGTAACAGAAAAAAAAATCATGAATAATAGTGGCATAAACAAGACAGAAGGACATTTTAATTCCCCTCCCCAAAAAGTCATGTAGTCAGGCCACATCCACCATGCACTCTAAGTGTTAGGACCCAGACTCTTTTCACCTTGTGGTTCTGCCATGCAGAGTTTCTATCCCAAGATCACCTCGTGTTTCAAAAGGGCTACTTGAGCCCCAACCATGTAATCCAAATTTCTGTCAACAGAAAGGATGAAGTAGGGGGAAAGGACATGCCTTCTCATTTTAAAGACACTTGCTGGAAATTGCAACCTGTACTTCATTTTACACCTCATTGGCCAAAACTTAACCATGTGGCCAAACCCAGCTGCAGGAAGTTGAGAAATGTAGTCTTTTTTCCAAGTAGTCATGTGCCAGCTTAAAATTAGGTGTTGTATTGCTGACCCCTGTGTACCTCAGTAGCCTCATCTCACTGTGCTCACCCCCACTCTTTGAGCTCTGCCACACTGGCCTGCTCCCAGTGCCTTGACTAGATCAGGCTCCCTTACAACAGAGGGTCTTTGTATGTTCTCTTTTGTTGTCTGAGCCACTCTTCTCCCATGGCCTACCCTCCTTATCTATCTATTAATAAACCCCATCTATCCTTCTGACTCAAAACAACACCTTCAGAGGAAAACCTTCTTTTACCTCAAACTAGGTCGAATGCCCCACTATACAGTCTCAGGGAGCATACCCTTCTTGTTTGTAGTACTTATCACTGTTATAGTTTGACATTTACTTGTATGGTTAGTTGATTAATGATTATCTCCTCCTTCAGGCAGTAAGTCAGTCTTATTCACTACTGTATCTCTAGCACTTTGCTTAATACCTGGTGCTTAGAAGGTGTCCAGTAAATATGAGTTAAACAAGTTAATACCATTTAAATGTCGCTTTACAAACATGGTGCAAAGTTCCCAAAAAAAAAAAAAAAAAATTTGGGGGCAAAGTACACGAACAGAAACTTCTCAAAAGAAGACATAAATATGGCTAACAAGCATATGAAAAAATGCTCAACATCACTAATCATTAGAGAAACGCAAATCAAAACCGCATGAGACACCATTTCACACTAGTCAGAATAGCTATTATTAAAAAAAACTCAAAAAATAACAGACTGGTGAGGTTGCAGAGAAAAGGAATGTTTATACACGCTGATGGGAATGTAAATTAGTTCTGTCACTGTGGAAAGCAGTTTGGAGATATCCCAAAGAACTTAGAAATACCATTGGACCCAGCAATCCCATTACTTGATATATACCCAAGGGACTGTAAATCATTCTGCCATAAAGACACCTGCATACATGCATTGACTGCAGCACTATTCACAATAGCAAAGACATGGAATCAACCTAGATGCTTACTAGCAGTAGATTGGATAGAGAAAATGTGGTACATATACACCATGGGATACTATGCAGCCATAAAAAAGAATGAAATTATATACTTTGCAGCAACATGGATGGTGCTGGAGGCCATTATCCTAAGCAAATTAATTTAGGAATAGAAAACCAAACACTGCATGTTCTCACTTATAAGTAGGAGCCAAACACTGGGTGCTCATGGACATAAAGATGGCAACAACAGACACTGGAGGCTTACTTGAGAGTGGAAGGTGGGAGAAGGGTGAAAAAATCCTTTGTACACCAAACTCTAGTGACATGCAATTTACTCATAACCACGTAACAAACCTGTGCACATATCCCCTTGAACCTAAAATAAAAGTTAGAAGGTAAACAAAAACATATTTATGATAAATATAAGATGTATAAGATGTATGACTAATTACAAAGGTATTTTTTTCCATTTAGCTTGCCTAAATTATGATTGTATACAAAATAAAAATATGAATATTTTCTTGTCCATAATATGGAAACTCTGAAGCCTTTTTGGTGAAGAGGGATATGGAGTGGTTGCTTATATTAGTGAATTTGGGCATGAGGCAGTTGGGGAGTTTTATTTCTATTTTTAATCTTCCCAGGTGTTTTCTCCTTCATTCCCAAGCTCCTTTGCAGCTGGCTTTAAATTTTTGCATTGAGTCATCCTTGAATACATTTCCTAAATATACTCTAATCAAAGTAGCAGGCTTCCTTTAGTATTTCAGCCAGTCTGATATAATTCTAACAATATAGACAACAATTTCACTCCTCTAACTTGAACAATCTTCTATCTGCAGCTTTATTGAAAAATCCCCTCATGTGTAATTTACCAGCACTTTCTGTTTAGAGGTGATGGTAATAGGCCTTATTCAGGGAACCAAAACTGAACAACTCCCAACACTAATCTTTTACTGGAGTTGAGTCACATCTTTCTATATTTCTTTTGTGTAAAAATACCATGAAAAATAAAATGACTGTGAAAGAGAGAAAAAATAATCAAGAGCTGACTATATTTGTGGTGTTTTCCAACTGTGGCTTCTACATGACTTCTTTGTTAAATTACCTTGAATCATATTGTCTTTAATAATGATGAAATGGTAATAGAATCATAGCAAATATTTATTGAGTGCTTACTATATGCCATGCAGAGCCATCAAAATAAAACACTAAGGAACACTATGCTAACCTAATACTGTAAAACCAAACATACTAGAACGCCCTATGTTTGAAACTCATTGTGTCTGGCAATATACACTATGTATATATAAATGACATACAAAATCTTCTACCAGCAAATTGGTAAGCATGAGTCATAAGATTTCTTGAGCTCTTCTGCTTTCACATCCAAATTTTGATATGTGTTATGGATACTCTTCCTCCTCACTTGAGTTTCAGATTGTTAACTCAAGCTACCTCCTTGGGTTTTCACTGACTTATTTCTTAAGTGTCTTTCATCTAATGCAACTCACAGCCAACAGACTGTGAGCTGATAAGCAACTCACAGCCAACAGACTTCATGCAGCCCACCTGGCTTTGTGACACTGTCCACAATACAACTTCAGAAACAATAAGCGAAAATATTAGTATTGATAAATGATATTCCCACTCATATATACATATTTGTAAAACCCTGTCCATGTTTTCTCTTGCCTTCAGGTCTCTACACACTCTGTTCCCTCTGTCTGAAACCTGCAGCCTGCTTCTGCCTAGCAAATTCTGAACCATCTATGACATCTCATCTTTCATATCTCTCTAAATCCAGGTATCTAGTCAGTAACACTATTGTATAGCATTTACCATACTATGTTATGAAAGTGCTATACATTTGTCTGTAATGCCCAATGGATTATAAGCTTTAGAACAGTGAGGACTGTGTCTTCTCTATCAAAAGCAAGAAAAATAAGTATTCATGTTCATATATATTTAAAAATGTATTGACTATTTATTATAGACCTGGACAATAACTCTGGAGGTATGCTTTCAGCCTGATTAATGTCCTGCTATAAGTTGCCCAATTCTCAAACATAAACCACAAATTCTGCTTTTGTTGCAAAAGCAACAGCTATACAATCATGTGGATATAAACAAAACCAACCTACCTATCCCAATTCCAAAATAAATTAACAGTTCTGGATTTCTTGCCATCAATTGTATCTTCAGTAAGTAATTTGTTGGAGAGAATGGTAGAATTATGGTAGTTTATTCATGTGATAATTTATTTAAATATATAAATAGACTGACCATGTTTCTTATCTGCTCAAAACTTCCAGTGATCCCTTAATATCTGTAGAATAAAAATCCATATTTCTGAGGTTGATATTTAAGGCTGGTCATAATCTTGCACCTTCCTACCCTTCCAGCCCTTTCTTCCCAACCCATCACACACTCAGTATTCTAGGCAAATCAATGTTATTCCCTAATATCTGCAATCTTTGATCATAATGATAATAACCAACCTGCAAAGAGTCGTCATTATATGCCAGCCCCTCTTCTAAGTGCTTTACATATGTTAACTCATTTAATCTTTACAACAACATTGTTAGGTGGCTATCACTATTAACCCTGTTTTAGAAATGAAGAACTTGAGGCACCTTGCTTAAGGTCACACAGTATGTAGGAAAGTCTGGCTGTGATCCCAGACAAGTTTAGCTCCAGGGGAATATTCTGAATCATTATGCTCCCTGCTTCCCTATTCTCTTACTTCTGCCTGTCCCCACCTCTGCATTTCTGAATCCCATACACAGCCTTCAAGTCTCAACTTAAATGGCACTTCCTCTACGAAGACTTCCTTGATCTCCCACTATCCTTGCTTCTCCTGAAATCCCCTAGCCTCTTGCCAATATTTAGTTTCTAATAGAGCTGACTTTCTAACTTGTCTGTATTTCAATGTATTTGCCTTTGCCTCACCTGAGGTAAGCTCCTTAAAGTCAGAAGCTTATTTCATTATTGATCTTTGTTTTAACTCCAGTACACACAGTTTGTAGTTTCATTCATAACAGGTATGTCATAATTTTTTTTTTGGAAATTGAAGCAAAAAGTAAAGAGGCAAACAATGAAAAAAGAATGTGATAAATGGATTATCCTCTGATAGTTTATTATATTTTAATACCATATTCAAAGCCACTGAACACATTTGTCCGAATAAAATAAATTCTAATAAACTGAGAAAACTATCTAAGACTTTTCTTCTCCATGCCTCTGTATCATTTTTCCCAATCACCCTTTTGTTTTTCTTACAAATATCTACCTTAAGCACTATCCTTAAGGACTGAGCTTAAATGTCACTTCCTCCCAAGGCCGTCCTTGAGGCTGTCCCTATAATAACCCCAGGGATGATGACAGATTTATTCTGTACCTCCTATGGCACTTCTGCCTAACATTACATAATCCATCGGATTGTATTGAGGTGTTTACTTGACTTCTTATTAGGCTGGGAATAGAGGGCCATGGACTTCATCTTTATGTGGCTGGAGGAATTAGCAGAGGAACCCTGTCCCCACACTTACAGCCTTTAATCAGAAAAAAAACCCATTGCTAAGTATAGACTATAACCTAGGCTGCACCCATCCCAGAGTAACAAAAAGCTGCCATTCTGTACTACTCTGGTGGTTATGAATGCCTAGAGCTGCTCTGGGCAGGATTCTCACTAATAAAGAAAATGTTCTTACTTCAATATCAGTTTAGACCTTACCATCTCTGAGAATAACATTAATACTTTCTCTTAGAAGCCGTTGCTTACATTATAGGTTAGCCAGTACTATGGTTTGAGTTTTTATCCCCTCCAAAACTCATTTTGAAATTATTTGCCTATATGACCAAATTAAGAGGTGAGACTTTTAAGAAGCCATGAGAGTTCCACCCTTGTGGGTGGGATCGGTGCCCTTGTGAAAGGAAAAGTTCGGCCCCCTCTTGCTCTCTCTCACCCTTACACCTTCTGCCATTGGATGGCACAGCAAGAAGGTCCTCACGAGACGCTGGCCCCTCTATCTTGAACTTCCCAGACTCCAGGACCATAAGAAATTTCTGTACTTTATAAATTACCCAGCCTGTGTATTCTGTCATGGCAGCACAAAATGAACTAAAACATCCAGTAAAGGAGCCAGCAGGTCTGCAATTTTGCTGGTGGGAGTTTTAAGAAGGAAACTCATGTTGAGGCCTCCCCTGACTAGAGGACTACAGCCAAACGCTTCCTTCACCCATACATCCCATTTTCCCTTAAAGCGTAGGCTTTCCTGGGATTTTTGTACTTGGCAGAGGAGAGGAGAGCTAGATTTTTTTACACTAAGAAGCTTGCTTGAGAAAGGGTTGTTTTGGCTGGGTATGGTGGCTCATGCCTATAATCCCAGCACTTTGGGAGGCTGAGACAAGAGTATCACTTGAGCATATGATTTCAACAGCAGCCTTGGTAACACGCTGGAACACTTGTCTCTACAAAAAAAAAAAGTTTTAAATAAAAAATGGTCAGGGATGCTGGTGTGCTTGTAGTCCCAGCTACGCGGGAGGCTAAGGTGGGAAGGTTACTTATGTCTGGGGAGTTGAAGCTGCAGTGACTCATGATTGTACCACTGCATTTCAGTCTGGGCAACAGAGTGAGACCCTTTCAAAAGAAAGAAAGGAAGAGAGAAAGAAAGACAGGGAAGAAGGAAAGAAGGAAAGAAGGAGACAGAGAAAGAAAGATGAAAGAAAGAAAGAAAAAGAAAGAAAGAAAGAAAGAAAAAGAAAAAAAAGAAAAAACAGGTATTTTTTGTGGGACAAGGACGAAGAAAAGCCCAAAATACCCTGAGAGTAGGCATGCTATCCCCTGGCAGCTAGGGTGGCTGGGGAGTTGTGGTCTAATTTCTCTGAGATTCAAGATAAAGTACAGTTGAGCTAAACTGTCTCTTCTAGTTGTAATTTCCTCTGCTTTCATTCTCTGATGTGGAAATTCCCAGTCTCAGATAGTGCTTTAGGGCTGCTGAAGACAGTGGGTGGTGACAGGAAAACGCAACTTGTGCCACCCCTCCATCTTTGGCCTCAGTGGAGAAAAGGTGTCAATGGTGCTAAGTGGTGCTGAGCTTCAAGTGGTATTGCAAGATGACAGGGAGCAAAGCTGGGGTAGCGGAAGACCCATGATGCTAGAGGAATAGCTGAAAGCAGACATGCACACAATAGAGTAATACAAAAACTTTGAATTTCTCCAAAGGAAAGGAAAGCACCACTCCCTGAGGACAAAAGAGAGTTATAGAAAAAAATCCTACAATAGACATTCAGTAAATGTTTAATACCAATCCAAAACCCAAAAAGAAATATTTCTACTGCTCTTCTGAAAGTCAAAGACAGAAAACTTGGACACTTGACTAAAATAATTCTTCATATAGTGAGAAGGAGGAAGTATAGTTGAATCTATAAGAGCTGTTCTCTAGGCAATGCTGTCCAATAGAACTTTCTGCAATATTGAGAGATTATGGATTACACTCTATGTCTGTGCAGTCCAATATGGCAGCCCCAGCCACATGTTGCTATTATGCACTTAATATGTGGCTAGTACAATTAAAAATTAAATTTTAAATTTTAATTAATTTAAATTTAAATTAAATACATGTGCTGATAGCTACCATATTGAACAGTGCAACTTTAGACTCATGCTGACTTAGATTTGATTCCCAGCTGTACCTTTTACAACTCATGTGCTCTGAAGTAAGACAATAAGCCTTTCTAAGCTTTAGTGTCCTAATGTGTAAAATGCAAATATTAATAACACACTCTTTGGAGAGTGTTGAGCATTAAATAAGATAATGCATATAAGTGCTTAACAGTACCTAGTACAAAGTACATGCTCAATATATGTTAGTAAATTATTTAACATCAAGATAGATGACAGTAATATGAACTACAAGCTTTTTTATCAATTGGAATAACAGAAGAATAGTTATTTTAATAAAGAAAGAGTTGCTCTCTGTTCCATTGCCATATTTTATTTTCTTCATAGCACTACCATTCTCTAGAAGTTATATTATTAATTTATTCATTTACATGGTTTTTATCTCTTTGCAATGCAAGAACAGTGTATAAGTTCCCAAAAAAATTTTTTTGTTATTGTTCTTCCTCTTCTTTTTCATAAGCCCAGTATCTTGTTAAGCACCTACCCATGATAGGTTCTTCCTAAGCAGTTACTGAGTAGATTAATAACTTAACAAATTAACCTAATCTCATTCTGACCTTCAAAAAACCTTAGGGATACTACTCCTTACCAAAAGAGAAAAGAAAAGATGCTTTTTCTCCCACAATGGAGAGTGCATAATGAAAGACTAATGATGGAAAAATATAGGATGATTTTATAAATCAGTATGAATCAATTAAGACAAAAGCAAATGCTACCTTTTTTGAGATTTGGAACTTCAGCTCTTTGGATTCTTTTACTACATAATTGCTCAAAAATTAGTGAGTAATTTAGATTACTATACGTATAATTTGCCAATAAAAATGATGTTCTATCAAAATTAATTGCCTTTTATTTTTGTCAAATCTATTTTTAAAGAATTCAATCAAAATATTAAAACGTTTTCCAGAAAATAAAGCTCAATTAACATAAATGAAATGAAGATAACTATGCTTTTATATGATGATGTGCCTCGAATGCATTTTTCATGCTTTAGTACTCAGCAAAAGCATAACATAATAAAGTTTTAAGAAACACTGAAATTGTTTCTAATTTGCCAATCCACCATAGTCAAAATATATTGTTAATAAAATTAACATTCACATAATGGCACTGCTACCAAAGTATAATTAATATAAACTGAACTAGATTATAATTTACTGGGAAGAATACTCCACTAATTGCCAAAGAAGTGCCTGAATAGTGATTGACACCTGTAGCACACAGAAATATAATCAGGATTTACAATCTCAGAGGATCTTTAATCTAATGCTTCAAGGTAGGAAGAGAAGAGATTAGAAAACATACTCTACTTCATACAGAAAAACTGGTATTTTTTATTTGATTGCTTTCTTCCTCTAAATTATTGGGTATGAACATCAGGTCTATGGGCACGGAAGTGAATAGGTTTGCATCATATATTTAGATCCAAAATAACAATCATGATAGTAGGTAACATGTAATTCTTACTATCTGTTCATCACTGTTCTAAGACTTTATTTGTAAATTGTCCAATCCACTTTTTCCCTGGCCAGATAATTCAAAGCCAACATTTCCGAACTAAATTCATTACCTTTCCCATGTTTAAAGAAAAACTTTAGACACAATAAATTTAACAAAATTTATTTGCACAGAGTGACTCATGACTCAGGAGGCACTCAAAACCAGAGCAGGTTCAGAGAGCTCCATCCAGCAGTGTGAGCAGTGAGGTTTCATAGGCCAAACACAGAAGCAAAATAGAGAAATCACCTGATTGGTTACAGCTAGATATCTTCCTTATTTGGGCATGGTGTGATGAGGCATTTGCCTTATTTGGGCATGGTATTACCAGGTGGCTGCCAGTGATTGGCTAAAGCTGTACTATTTGTGATTGGCTGAAACCTGGCTATTAGTTAGAAAGAAATATACTCCTAATTTAGGTTTCAGCTTGTTTATGCACTAAGTTAGGTAGTAATTTGTTATGTAAGAACTGAAAGTACTCAGAGAGCCTCAGGCTAATGGCCTCCTGCCTATTTAATTACACACCCATGAACTTGCAAATCATTTGAGTTATTTTCTTAACTATTTACTGATGGAAATGTACCCTCTTAAAGAAAACCTGGGTCCAGGCACAGTGGCTCACCAGTAATCCTAGAGCTTTGGGAGGCTTAGGTGGGAGGATCACTTGAGGCCAGGAGTGTAAGAGCAGCCTGAACAACATAGTGAGAGCCTGTCTACAAAAAATTTTTACAACTAGCCAAATGTGGTGGTGCATACCTGTAGTCCTAGCTACTGGGGAGGCTGAAGCAGGAGATCACTGGAGTCCAGGAGTTTGAGGCTGCAGTGAGCTATGATTGCACCACTGCACTCCAGCCTAGGCTACCAAATGAGACCTCATCTCTATAAAGAAAAGAAAACCTGAAAAATTAAAATATATATACAGAACAGATGAGTTTAATATTGGGTATGTTGAAAATGCATGCATGATACATGACATAATTAAAATACAACTTTGCTTTTGGCTCTCCATTATCTCTCTAAAATTTATTCATCTGGGTAGTCTCCTACACCAGAATAAAAACTCTATCAGGTCTAAGAATTTTTAAATTCCACTCTTCAATGACAGTTATACAATGAGTTTAGTCACACCAAAAGAAGCCTCAGTTCCAGAGAGCAGAATGGTGGTTGCCAAGGGCCCGGGGCAATGAAGAGTTACTGTTTATGCAGAATGAAAGAGTTATGAAGATGGATGATGGTGATGCTTGCACAGCATTATGAATGTATTTGATAACACCAGACTGTACACTTAAGAATAGTTAAGCTGGTAAATTTTATGTCATATGTATTTTACCACCATAAAAATAATTGGGGAAAAAGTCTAATTCAAATATTATATGTGCAGCCACATACAATAATTAAAACTCTGAACTTGACTAAATGCTCCTTCTCTCCTTGGCTCCATCATAAGGCTGGAAGTCTGCAATGAGAAAGGCACTTGTGGTAGCTGCTTCTCTGTTTGTTCACAATGCTTTCCCCAGCTGAATCATGAGCCCTGGCCCTCTTGTGTGGGTTCAGAGGAGGGAGAAACGGAAAGGGGCAAGAAAGGACTAACTTATCATGAACTGGTCTCATATTGCATGCTCCTGGCTAGTGAGTTCAGCTGACCTCCCTCTCTGGTGGTGTTTTACTGGGTTTCTGTCTCTGTATTTTACCACTGTGCCACTCTCCCCTGCAGTATCTCTGACCCAGAAGGATGACTTTCCCTTTTAGGTGGTCACTTATAACTCCTTTCTCAGGCATACTTCCATACTCTTTCTGCTGAGGACTTCATTCAAGGAGGTCTATGGGACAGATGAGAATTCCACTGGATCACTACTCCTGTGCAGCCCACATCTAGTCCATTTGAAACATGCATCCCTTGCCTTGACAATGTATTTGAGGCAGGCTGATCCCAGAGTGGCAGCAACCACTGCCAAAGCAATTAGTCATCCCTTGTCTCTCCTTCTAGACTTTCTGGACAAGAATCAGACCCCAAACCACAGTTTACCTTAGTTCTCTCAGAGAGAGTCAGGCACCAGTTCTCATAACTGCAGGGAACACATTCCAAAGTCCACCAAATATCCCTTTCTTTCACTAAGCTTGGGCAAGAATGTAAAAATCCCCTGCCACCTCCCTCCCAAAGGCAGGTGATGAGATTTTAGAGCATGAAGAAAAGTATTCCTAAATACACTTATTTAGCAGTCTTCTCTCTCTTCCCATCCTCTGAACACTTTTGATTTCTTTGCTCTGCTAAGTCAGGGAATTGATTCTCAGAGAATTCCTTTACTAAGTCTTTATTTACAGATACATCCCACTCTCCATTTGGCTATCAATAGCTACTATCTTAGTGCCTCAATTGAAACTGAGGCATGAAGAGTCTCACTCTAACATGAATATAAAAGCCAGTTGAAGTCTAAGCTTCTGTAACAGAGAGACCCAATCAAAATAGATTAAATAAGACTGAGGCTTGACTTTTCTGGATCAGAAAGGCTGTTCTCTTTATTAATTTAGCACTCAATTTCCTTCCACGTTGATGCTCAGCCATCCTCTAAGGATGTAGCTCTTAAATCTGTTGGCCCCTGAACCCTTTTATACTCTTAAAAATTATTGAGAAACCATGAAATCTAAAACGCTACTACCACCAAATGCTGGCAAGGATGCGGAGCAAGAGAAGAGCTCATTCATTGATGGTAGAAATACAAAACTGTACAGCAACTTTGGAAGACAATTTGGCAGTTTCTTACAAAGCTAAACATACGCTTACCATATGATCCAGCAATCGTGCTCCTTGGTATTTACTCAAATAAATTGACAACATGTCCACAAAAAAAACCTGCACATGGATGTTTATAGCAGCTTAATTCAAATTGCCAAAACTTGGAAGCAAGATGTCCTTCAGTAGGTGAATACATAAATAAACTGTGGTACATCCAGACAATTGAATGTTATTCAGTGCTAAAAAGACATGAACTATAAAGCTATAAAAAACATGAAAAAACCTTAAATGCATATTATGCAGTGAAAAAAGCAATCTGAAAAGGCTACATACTGTATGGTGCCAATTACATGGCACCCTGGAAAAGGCCAAACTGGAGACAGTAAAATGATCAGTGGTTGTCAGGGGTCAGGGGGAGGGAGGGATGAGTAGGCAGAGCAAAGATTTTTAGGGCAGTAAAACTACTCTGTATGATACTATAATAGTGGATACATGTCATTATACATTTGTCAAAATCCATAGAATTCACAATGCCATGAATAAACTCTAATGTGTGGACTTTGGGTGATAATGATGTGTCAATGTAGATTCATTGATTGTAACAACTGTATCACTCTGGTTTGGGATGTTAATAGTTGGGGAGGTTGTGTGCATTTGGGAAGGAAGTGTATATGAAAACTCTCTATATTTTCCACTTGATTTTACTGTGTACCTAAAATGTCTGTAAAAAAAATCATGTCAAAATAAAATTTCTGAGGACTCCAAAGAGCTTTGGATTTTATGAATTATATCTATCAATGACTATTGCATTCAAAATTAAAACTAAAATTTTTACAATAATTATTAATTCTTTCAAAAATAGTACTTAACCCATTATATATGAAAATAAGTAATATATTTCTGGGAAAAACAGATCTATTTACTAAAACACAAATGTAATGAGAAGAGTGAAATTGTTCTGTTTTTGAAAATCTCTTTAATATTAAATACCTGGGTTAATAGAAGTCAGTTAGATTCTCATATATTCTTCTGCATTCAGTCAGTTTCACTGTATTGTTTTCATTAAAATGGATGAATAGAAGCCAGCCACACAGAGTTTTGTAGTTGGAAAAGGAAGGGCTACTCTAATAGTCTTTTGAGATAATTATGGCTATTCTTGTTGGATACTATACCAAAATTTGACAAGTTATAGGATAGTTAAGATAGAATATCCTATAGGTTTATAGAGGAGTTATACCAAAACTTAATAAGTAATAGGATAGTTGCAGGGTAGAATCTTAAATCTGATATTAATGAACTGTTCATATTCTATTATATTAAAATCCATTGGTTTATCATGCAATTTGCATGGGTTTTTTTTTTTACTATGTGTGAGGTTGTAACATCCATTGGTCATTTAGAAAACACTGGTTAACTGAGTTAATGTAGGTTCAAATTGCATGATAAACCAATAGATTTTAATATAATAGGACATGAACAGTTCATTAATATCAGGTTTAAGATTCTACCCTGCAACTGTCCTATAACTTACCAAGTTTTGGTATAACTCTCCTATAATCCTATAGGATTGACACACTTCATTATGCAATATTTTAAAAACTTATTAATTAATATACTGCCAACATCATCAACAGAAGTATTTAAATATTGGGAAGCTATTGAGGTCACAGCAGCAAATATAAGTTTTTTTAAACATATTTTTGCTTACCTGCTCAAATTTTAACATTGGCTGACTTCGTTCATTTTCAAAAAATGTCTGCTGAAATCCCCAAGTCTAAATAACCATAGTTTTTCTGTCTACCTATTTAAATACAAATGGTGGTACACCACAAAACAACAAAAAGCAAGTTCATCTATTCAAACACACAGAGGCTTTGAGACACCCACCGTACTTAGGCATGCAGCAGAAGAATTGGATGCACACTTGCCATTTTGTCACACTGAATGTTAAAAAGATGTATTCTCAAAGGCCAAGATTTAATAAAATGAATGATTTTTACTACTTCATCAAGGAAAACTTTACGTGAAACTGGCACTTTTCACGACTGTGTAGTGATGAATCAAATGACTACTTTTTCAATAGAGTGAACTGCCTAGATTTGTGCTAAAGTGACAGTTTTACCCACCATTAATTTTGCACCCGCAGAGCCAATGTCAACATAATGTATAAAGCAAATAACAAATTAATATTGCAGTGAAAATAGTTTTGACCTCTCAGACCCTCAAAGTGTCTTGCAAACTTGCAAGAGTCTGCAGACCACACTTTGAGATCAACTGTCTTAGAGCTCTGTCTGCATCTCCATGGTCCAAGTTAGCTGACCTCCATATCGGCCTGTTGTATGGGGAAAGCTATTGAAGCAAAATGAGTATGTGTCACTTCTGCTTACATTATACTGGTAAGAACTTGATCACATGGTATTAATTAGCTATTTCTGAGTAACAGCCCACCCTGAAAACTTAGTGGCTTAAAGTAACAACCATTTTCTTCAGCTCATTATCCCGTGGGTTGGCAATGTAGACTACATTCAGCTGGGTAGTTTCTGTCTCTATTAGAATCCCTCATGCATCTTTCATCATCTGCAGGTCAGCTAGGTGGTTTTGCTTCTGGAGGGTTCACTGACTGTCAGCTGAAGAGATGAGCAGACTAGCCATGTGTCTCTCACCAACCAGCAGGCCAGCCCAGTCTGTGACGGTAGTCACAGACAACCGTGAAATTCTAAGAGAGGGCAATGGTACAAAAGGCCTATTGAGGTCTAGGTTCAGAGTTGACACAATATCACTCCCACTGCATTCTACTAGGCAAAGCAAGTCATGAGGCCAGCTCATACTCAGAAGGTGTGAAATAGACTCTGCATAATGAAAGGAGAAGCATCAAAGTCACATTGCAAAAGAGTATGAATACAGGGAGCGGAATAATTGCAGCTATTTACAAGTACTCTACCACACATGGCCAAAATTAGCTGCCAAAAAGGGTGATAGAGTCTTCAAATGGCAGCCATAAACTTATGAGCAGGAAGAACATATCTCTTGGGAACAAATCAGCAGTTTGTAAAGATTTCCATTGTTCCCCAATTCCAATCAAAATTACCACCAATTTTTTTAGGGAACTTGACAATTTGATTCTAAAATTTATGTTGAAAAGCGTATGGTTTTTCTACATGAGAAGTACCAAGACAATGCTAAAGAGGAACAAGATGGAGACATTTTCCTTTGCAGATATCAAAACCAATGTAACAGATTACAGGCCAGAAACAAACCCATGCATATACAAAAACTCTATTATAAATATGTATTACGTATCTGTGGGAAACTAAGGACTATGTTAGTCCATTTTGTGCTGCTATAGAATACCACCGACTGGGTAATTTATAAGAAACAAATGTATTGGCTCACAGTTTTGGAGACTGGAAAATCCAGGTGTTGGCATCTTGCCAGGGCTTCCTTGCTGCATCATCCATGGCAGAAGGTGGGAGAGTAAGAGAGAGTAAGAGAGAAAGAGGGAGCCTAACTTGCCATTTTATAAGCGAACCAATCCCACCAATGAGGGTGGAGCTCTTCTTGTCTAATACCTCTTCAAAGTCTTACTTCTCAATACTCTTACGATAGCAATTAAATTTCAACATGAGTTTTGGAGGGGGCAAACATTCAAACCATAACAAGGACTAAAGACTTCAATGTAAAAGGCAAAACCAGAACAATTTTAGAAGGCAATACCAGGCATATCTTTATGACCTGGAGGAAAACAAGGATGCTTTATGTAAGACCCAAAGTTACCATAAGGGGAGGAAATAGCCACATTTAATTATACTAAATTTGGGCTTTCTGTTCATCAAAAGACAGAATAAAGAACACGACAAGACAAACCAGCGTGAAAATGAACAGAGATAGGTAAGTAGATGAATGGAAGAGAACAGCAAGACAGAAAGGTCTTATACTGGTCATGAACCATAAACTGCAAGAGAATATTTGCAATACAAATAACCAACAAAAAGTCATTATCTAAAATGTATGAAGAACTATTAAAAAGGGCAAAAGATGACATTTCAGGGAAGAGAAAATACTTATGGTGAATACACACAAAAAAAGATGTCTAGTCTCATTAGTAATTAGGGAAACAAATTGAAACCAAAATCAAATGGTATTTATACTGCCCTGATTTTGCAAATATTAAAATATATGCTGTCAAGTATCTTCATATGAGGATGTTTAGCAACAGAAACACTTTTAGTCTGCTAGTGGGAGTGTATCAGCACAAGCCCCTTTGAAAACAGTTTGACAATATATAATAAAGTATATATAGCATACCCTACTCCTCAGCAATTTCTCTCCTATATGTATGTATTAAAGACAGCCTTGCACAAGTGCATGAAAAGACATACAATACTCAGAAGAAACATTACTCATAAAAGCAATACTTGGGGGAAAAAACAAATATCTAATTCTATATAGATAAATTATATATTTATATTTTGGAATATCATATACAGTAATTAAAAGTGAATGAAACAACAGGAAGGATTCCCCAAATTTTATGTTAACAATAATTTAAAAAGATACAAGCAAGTGATAGAAAAAAATATGCTGCATATTTCTTATTATGATAAAATAAAGCCAAAACTAAACAATATACTGCCTAAGGATTTATTTATAGATGGCAGTGCTGGTTTATTCTATTGACAACCTGACTAAGCTAGGAACTATATATCCCAGAGTTTTCTACCCTGTGCAGATTAAAGTAAAACTTGGTCAAAAGAGGAACTTGAACAAGATATTGGAAGCAGAGTGAAGCAGCATCCAATTTTCTCAAAAGATCTGTGCCATCAAATGTGGTGACAGACATGCAGAAGTGCCAGGAGGTTGCAGCTTATACTTCCTCTGCTCAACTCAGCTCCCAGCCCTTCTTCCTCACTGGGGGCCTGCTGACCAACAGTAGACCTACAGAGGGGGCAGCTACAGTGGCAATCACTTCCCGTAGGATTCTTTTCCATCTCCCTCTTTGTGGCCCCACTCCCGTTGCTAGATGCACTTGGATTCTTAGCTCCTCCTTGAAATTCCGACTTACCCATCAACATGGTGCTTCAGGAGGGCTGGTTAGTGGTTTTTACTCCATTTTTCGCACTTCCCCTTTCAGATCTTCACTGAAAGGTATAGGAGGTATAAGGTGTAAGTCCTATAATAACCCCTATCTTAAATCTTTTATAGTGAGTCTTCTTTCCCGATGAAATTCTGAGTGATGTAATGACAAAGCTACAAAGGAACAACTTAGCGTCTGGTGGGGAGGAAAATGAACAGAATTAAGGCAGGGCACACAGGGGATTTCAGAGCCACTGGAGTGTTCTTTTCCTTAAGATGGGTATGGGTATGGATATGCAAGCATTCATTTTATAATATTATTTAAATTGTACAAAATATAATATATACTCTTTATGTTGTGAAGTTTCCAACTAAAAGTTAAAAACAAACAAAACCATAGCGAGATGTGTTAAGCCAGAGAGTTCAAATCTTCAAGAAAAGTCCAAAAGCCTTAAATGAAAAGGAGAGAAAGAATTGCCCCTGGTCAAAGAGAAAGGCATTGTTAGCTCCCTGAGACTTGGTCTCTGTGCAGCCAGAGGCAGAAAGAAGCAGTCAGATCCAGATTGCTGGGTGTTGAGGCAGCAGACTGCTGGCTTCCCAGTGTTTGGAGTGTGGGTGGAGTGGTGACCAGTGAAAGGTAGGGGATTGAAGGGAACTTTTCTAAGAGGACAGCAATGTGCTAAAAGCAGGAGGGTGCAATTGATTCTACCCAGGATGGCCGGTGCTGTCAGGAAAAGGCAATGTGATCCCAATTGGATGACCATAGCTGGAAATGATGTTTTCAACTACAATACCGTCCTCTAGAGAAACTGAAAGACACAGCAGAGGGTGAGTTTTTCCAAAGGGCCTCTTAGAGGAAACATGGAGAGCTGGTGGAAGCTGGGATTGACCGTGAGCTAGATTGATGGGTGGACCTCAAGTAGGGGGAGCTGGGGAAGCAATTGTGATGGTAACACTAGCAGCCACCATTTACGGGATACTTACTTATCTCCCTGACTTCTAAACATTGGATTTCCTCTTTTCCAACTAAATTCCTCTGATGATCCCATTGTCAGAGGATGCAAACTGTGGGGTTTGTCTTATTATTATGCTGCCAGCGCCCCTTCAATGGTCCCTGATATGGTTGTGTCTGTGTCCCTACCCAAATCTCATAACTTTCAATACTAGCTACAGGCTACTAATTTCTGTTTTAGCCAGACCTTTCCCCTGAACTCCAGACTTCCATATCCAACTGGCTTCTTGATACGTTAGCTTAGGTGAAGGTGATTAACTGGCATCTGGTATGTCCAAATCTGAGGTTGATGTCCTTAACCACATTAACCATCCCCCTACCCTAGCCCCAAACTCACTTCTCTCACCAGCCTGCCCACCTCAGTAAATGACAGTAAATGACAATTACATACTGACTATAGTTTAGACAAAGAAGTTGGTGTCTTTCTTGACTGCTCTCCTTCTCTCACATCCTACATGTGATGCCTCAGCAAATCCCGTTATTCTGCTTCAGTGAGACTTGTCTTCCTTCTGTTTTCTTAATCCACCAGATCTTGCTGCCTCAGGATTTTTGCACCCATTGTTCCTTCAGCCTGGTATTCTGTGTCCTGAGAAAACTGACTAGCTGGCTCACTCATCCCATTTAGTCTTTACTCAAATATCTTAATGAGGCCCCTTTAACTAGCGTAGTTAAAATTATAGACCAGCCCTCCAACATTTTCCAGTCCTTTTTTTTGCCTTATTTTTCCTCTTAGCCCTTATCATCATTTAATATAATATAAATGTTCTTAGTTAACTTATTTTCTGCTATTATACATACACACACACACACACACTCACACACATACATACACACACCCAAATGTACGCTCCAAAAAAGTGGAGATTTTTGTCTGTTTGGTTCATTTTAGTGGTCTCAGAAGTAGAACAGTGCCTGGCACATAAGAGGCCCTCAGTGGGCTGGGCGCGGTGGCTCACGCCTGTAATCTCAACACTTTGGGAGGCCGAGGCGGGCTGATCACCTAAGGTCAGGCGTTCGAGACCAGCCTGGCCAACAGGGTGAAACCCCTTCTCCACTAAAAATACAAAAATTAGCCGCGTGCCATGGTGTGCGCCTGTAATCCCAGCTACTTGAGAGGCTGAGGCAGGAGAATCACTTGAACCCAGAACGCAGAGGTTGCAGTGAGCAGAGATTGCACCACTGCACTCCAGCCTGGGCGACAGAGCAAGACACTGTCTCAAAAAAAAAAAAAAAAAAAAAAAGCTCTCAGTGAATACTTGCTGAATAAATGGGTGAGTGAGTGAGTGAGTGCAATCTGTCAGGCACTGTAAGTGCTTTACATGAAATCTCACAATTTCCATTTAATTATTCCCATTTTACAGATAAGGAAACTGAGGTTTTTAGCTATTTTTATTGGATTTGCCCAAGATCACGTGGTGGTGAGTGGCAGATCTGGGCAGTGAACTCCAGCAGCTTGATTCCAGAAACCTCACTCTTAAATGTAATGCTAGCCTTTCCCAGGATGAAAGTCCGTCACATGGTCCTACAAAGAAGCTGGAAGTCAAGTACCAGAGAAACCAAATGTAAATCCCAAAAGCAGGAACAGAATGATAAACAAGAGATGGAGCCAATTCTCTAGAATTAGATGCAACTGGGTAACAAGGGTGCATGGGAGGGGTAGGAGTGGAGCTGTGACCAGGAACAGACACTCTCAGTTGACCAGCCCACCCTTAGAGGCCAGGGTAGATATACCTCTGTGTGTGTCAGTAAAACAGCTAAAATGAACCGGATTCCAAAATTATGAGAGATGGGAAGTGGATGCAGACTGTGGGTTTTGTCTCATTATTGTGCTGCCAGTGCCCCTTCAATGGTCCCTGATATGGTTGGTTCTGTGTCCCTACCCAAATCTCATCTTGTAGCTCCCATAATTCCCGCATCTGTGGGAAGGACCTGGTGGTAGATGATTGAACCCTGGGGGCGGGTATTTCCCATGCTGTTCTTGTGATAGTGAATGGGTCTCACGAGATCTGCTGGTTTTAAAAAAGGGAGTTTCTCTGCACAAGCTCTCTCTTTGCTTGCCGCCATCCAAGTAAGATGGGACTTGCTCCTCCTTGCCTTCCACCATCTTCGTGAGGCTTCCCCAGCCACGTGGAAATTGTGAGTTCTCCATTAAACCTCTTTCCTTTGTAAATTGCCCAGTCTCCAATATGTGTTTATCAGCAGCATGAAAACGGACTAATACAATCCCTTATTAAGCTGGTGGCCAGGGGAGAATCTGATACAGAAAAACGATTCTGTTGACATACAAGTGATCAAAACCAGATGTGGAATGAGATATAAGGGATTAAGATTATATTTCTTCTTTTGATTTGTTTTAAAATAGCTTTAATTTAGGATATAAAATTTCAAAAGCAATTAATATTTATTACACATACATTTCTTCTGCTGCTTCAAACTATGTGACTTTGGGTGAATTGATTCATTTCTCCATGCTTGCATCACTCTTCTCCTCTATGGAGGAAGTATGAAGTATTTTATGATTGGAGACGATAATAGTAAAAATCTTATAGGGTTGTGAATATTAAATGAGACAGACACATAAAGCACTTAGAACAGTGCCTGGCATATAGTAAACATGCAATAAATATTTATCATTACAGATATAAAATATAAGGCTATTTTGTTTATTATTACATATGGACAGACCCTCCGAGCACCATGAAATAAGTTGAATCATGAATGAGAAAAAAAAGTTTGATGAAGATCAATTTATGGGACAGTAGTTAAAGCAGCATAATAAAAATGCAGAATAAGATATGTAGCTAAAATTTCAATAGGGAACCTTTATTCTGAAAGAATGTCAAAGGTCCTTTGGAAAATCAGAACCAGCAAACAAGGTCATGTTGTGTCCAGCATGCATTAGAGAAAGAGACTGAACATAATCCTAGAATGATGAAATATCATTTGGACATACTAAACCCCATCCAATCCTGCACAACAGTGTCTGTTACCAGTATAAGAGTGTCATGTTAACAGCCAAGTGGCAGGAAATTAAACACTTGAATTTTCCACAAAACCAAAAGCAGAAAATAAATGTACATTAAAATAAATTCTGTGGTTAGTTTACTTTAGCATGATGTTTTGACCAAAAATTGTCTAGAGGGGTCCCCTATTATGGTTATCAGTGAATGATTTAGGTATAGGACTCCTGGCACTTTGGGAGGCCGAGGCGGAAGAATCATTTGAGCCCAGGAGTTTGAGACCAACCTGGGCAACATAGTGAAACCTGTCTCTACCAAATATAAAAAACTTAGCCAGACATGATGATGCATGCCTGTAGTCCCAGCTACTTGGAAAGCTGAGATGGGAAGATTGCTTGGGCCCGGGAGGTCTAGGCTGCAGTGAGCCATGATCGCACCACTGCACTCCAGCCTGGCTGACAGAGTGAGACCTTGTCAAAAAAATAAAAAACAGAAATAAAGAAAGAGAGAAAAAGAAAGAGAGGGAGGGAGAGAGAGAGAGAGAGAGACAGAGACAGAGAGAAGGGAAGGAGGGAGGCAAGGAGAGAGGCAAGGAGGGAGGGAAGGAGGGAGGGAAGGAGTGAAGGAAAGAAAGAAAGAAAATGGGACTCTCTCTTTGGTCTAGGGAAACATTTTTTGCTTCCAAGTTGATTATCAGTCCAAGTGCTGTCAAAGACTGGAGATGTACTTTTTTCAGTAGAAAAACAGTACAACTTTACTACTAGTACCTGGCCCAGGATAAATGAAGGACATCTCATGATCCCTAGGTTTTCTTTCCAAACAAATAAGAGAAAGTTATATTGAATGAGGTATAAGAAAAATTAAAGAAAATGCAACTTCTGGAAGATTCCTTGAGCTGTAAGGAAATGATTTAGAAGGAAGAAAAAACTGAAGTACATACACTGGGCATCCAACCTAACACTTTATTCACTCACTCATTGGGTCCACCAGCCCTCCAGTCCACAGCTGAGTAAACTTAAACAAGGCATCTTGTCACTGTAAGACTCGGGGCTTTTTTTTTTTTAATTTGTAAAATAAGAATAATAATGGCCTCTACTCATAGGATAGTTTGAAATATGAAATAATGCATGTAAAGTGTTTAGAACATGGCATGGCATATAAATTAGGACTCCAAAGGATTAGCCATTAGCATTGTTGTTATTATTTTTCAGACTTATTATTTTCCACTATAATAGAATCTAGGTCCTAATGGTTTAGGGTAGACAGCATGAACAAAACTTACCCTTGTGAAACCTGCCTGCTGTCAGCCTCCTAGTCACAGAGGCTACGTCAAACTCCAAACAAGGACACTATTGCCCGCTATCTCCCCGAGCCCCATGTGGACCCTGCTTATCCAGAGATGCTGACCTGAGATGGTCAAAACCAGGCGACACATGAGCACATTCTGTCATAAGCACCCTGCCTGATCTTGCTTGTGCCTTTTATCTCGCCAATAAGAATGCTGGAACTTAGTAGAAGTCTAGAAGATCAGAAGAGAGGACATCCAAGAAAGGAAATCCAAATCTGGGTTCCAGCGGAAAGTATCTGTAAGTATTCCAAATACAGAGAGACAACCAAGGAAGTCTCACTGAAGCTATGATAAACTGTTACTGCCCAAGCATCCACTGAAAACCCACTGAGGAAAGAAATAAGGAGATAATTGAGGAGAGTCCTTTAGAAAAATGTTTTGTGAAATCTCACAATTATAAACTGTATGCTACTGCATTGTGGAACATGCCAGTAAAGCAAAATGCTGCTAAATATGTGTGTATTATGGTGTGCCTGTGTTAACTGAGGACTGATAAAATCTGAAACCGTGATCCATGATAAAAATAAAAAACGTGGTTTTGCAAATGGATTTTTATCTAGAAAATAAATTTGCCACAGGATGGCAGTAAAAGGTAAGTGATAAGGATAGGACATGTATTTTTATTAACCCTTAAAAGTGCTTTAAGGTATACAGAAACTTCAAGTATTTGAACATAACCTGTATGCCATTCTTCAAACCAGATACAGACAAAAAACAAACATCCTGGAGTTTTAAATACTGGGGTTATTAGACTAAAATTGGTTTCCTCAGGAAAATAATGATGCCCAACTGATGATTATGACATCTTAAGAAGTCATCCTATAACTCTATCTTCAAGTTTGAACCAATATTATTACAAATAAATTCTAGAGTAACTAGGTTATATTTTAAAGAGAATTAAAAAGCATAAGACAAGCTTTTCATCTCAGTTTCCCTGCATTCTCAAGTCCTGATGCTCTTCCTCTGCTTTTATCTCTTCCAGTTGAAGTCATTAATCATCTCAAAAACATTTCAAACTTTCTGTGCTCACTTTGAGAATGATACTTGGGCCTCAAATTCTTGGTGGAGGTCATCTGCTTGGTGAATTAATCACAATCATAAGTGTAAATAAAACTCACTAATGTACATAAAATTGTAACTCTTCTAAAGTTATCACTTCAGAGTTGATGGGCTTCATAGCCAGTGACAGAGCTTTAATACAAGCGAAAACTTGTCAAAGCAGCCTCAAGGATAGCATTGATCAAGGGAGCCATGTATTATAGGACAAGGGTTGGAGGCAACATATTTGTTCATTCATTCATTCTACATAAACTTGTTAGTGTATACAAGGTTAAAGGGTTCCAGGCAGTATAATATACACTGGAAATAGTTGGGCAAAGGAGTATTTGCCCTCTAGGAGTTTAGAGACTAGTTGGGATGACAGGAAGGTAAATAGTCAAATACTGTACATTGAGACAACTGCTAAGGAAAGAGATGAGTTTGCAGTAAGCACGAAAATGTGAACTCTACGAGGGTAGGAATTTGGGTCTATTTTGTACCTTGCACCCCCATTGCAGGATTGGCTACATGATTTGTGAGGCTCGGTATGAAATGAAAATGTGAGACCCCTTGATAAAAAAATATTAAGATGTTCAAGGCAGCAATAGCAGAGCGTTAAACCAAGTGTGGGGGTCCTCTGAGCACAGAGCCCCATGAAGGCAGCCCTACCCCCATGCCTAGAACAGTGCCTGGCATATAGTAGGCTTTCAATAAATAGTTGTGAAAAAGGAAAAAAAAGAAAGGGAGGTAGGTGTGGAGAACAGGCAGAGAGAAGGCAACGAAAAGTCAGAAATAGTGCGTAAGCTGGACTTGAGAAGTTAACAAAGATTCCCTGAGACTTTCTGGTTGAGACGGAAAGTAGAGCAGGAATTCCCTGGCAAGCAGCAGAGCAGGAAGAAAGTGCTTTACTCAGAAGTAAGCACATGTGCAAAGTCTCAGACAAAAAGGGAGAACTGGCTCATGAAAGAACTACTGAGCAGAGTGGGTCATGAAGTCAGTTTGGTAAGTGTAAACCCACATTTATAAGAAAGAAAAGGGAAAATACTAGAATTCCTCCTCCATTGCTCCATAAAGCTTTTATCTGATATATGTATATGTGTGTAAATGCATACTGAGTCACACTGTAAAATGCTAAGAATTATTTACTTGGTCGAGGTCAAAAAAAAGCATGAAAGGTCCTGGGCTGGAGCAGGGGAGGAGTGTGGTGGGAGCAGAAGTAGGAAGAAAAGGGCAGGGGAGGGGCGGCGGGGGGGCCATGATAATCAAAGATGAGCCTAGGAAAGTAGGAGGGATTAGTTCAAGAGGGGCCTTGTAAACCTTATTAAAAGTTTAGAAGCCATTCTGACAGCGGGAAGAAGTCACTAAATGTTTTTAAACAGGAGAATGACAATCAGATTGCACTCTTAAAAAAGATTAGGGCAGGGTGTGGTGGCTCACGCCTGTAATCCCAGCACTTTGGGAGGCCAAGGCAGGTGGATTGCCTGAGCTCAGGAGTTCAAGACCAGCCTGGGCAACATCGTGAAACCCCATCTCTACTAAAATACAAACAATCAGCTGGGCGTGGCGGCATGCGCCTATAGTCCCAGCTACTCGGGAGGCTGTGGTAGGAGAATTGCTTGAACCTGGGAGGCGGAGGTTCAAAAAAACAAAACCAAACAACCCAAAAAGATTAGCTGCCACTTGGAATGAATTCCCCACCCAGAGCCAATCTTATTACTCCTAAGTTAAAATCTTTAATTGCCTTCAACTGTTTTTAGAATAAAGACCCAAATACTTACCAGGCTTACAGGGCCCTTCAAGATCTGAGACTGAGGGCAGAACTCACTTGAGCTGTTCCCAGCCAGTCCCACCCATACCCCAAATGCTAGTACTCTGGGGCACCACTCAGCCTCTCCGTCTTATACTAGAAACATTCTCGTCCCACTGCTTTTCTGCTTGCCCTTTGCTTGGTGACTTCTCTCTCAAGTGGCAAGCCTCAGGTTAAAGACCCTTGTGCTCCTCTGGGAGCCTTTCTCTGAGCTCCCAGACTTTCCTTTCCCTTGTAATGAGATTCTCAAGCCCTATCACACTTGTCATTTGCATGATTACTCATTTCATGTCTCTGTTCTCATTTGGCTATAACCTCTGCAAAGGCAGAGACGGTGTCTGTGGGGCTTATTACAGCATCTAACTTGGTGAGCAGCCCATAGCAGCATTCAAGAAATACATACAGTGAGTGGATTTAAACAAAAGGAAAGCATACCACCTGGCAGCACAGGTTCCGGTTAAAAACCATTTTAACAATACAAAGGAGATGAGCGGGAATAGGGATTGAGATGAATGGGCTCCTGCAAGAGCTATCTGACATATAAAATGGACAGGATGCTAATTATATTTTCTGTGCTGAGCTAATTGCATTTTACCTGGAGGCTAGGTGTCTTCTGGGGCATAGGTTTCTTCCTACAGGACAGCACTACCACAGAATTCCATTTAGCTAATACAATGGAAGAATTGGAAGAACTTATGAATCTTAAGTTTACTGAAGACCACAGTATCTCTCGTATTATTCTGATAAGTCTCCCAGACATAGCAAGAGAGAAATCAAATGCTAATTTTCCTATTCTAGAAAATAATGGCAGCTTAGACTTCGGATTGAAATTGGTGCTTCTTACTTGACAGAATATTTTAAATATTTTATTTCTCAAAATGAGAATGGATGGTAGCTCCCAATTTAATGTCTGTCCTCAAGAGATTTGCATGTGCTTAATTTAACTGGCCCATAATTAGAGAAACCATCATATCAGCAGCTCATATTGATGAAAATATCAAAAGACCCAACCCCAAGGAATCCTGTCTTTTTTTTTTTTTTTGAGGCGGAGTCTTGCTCTGTGGCCCAGGCTGGAGTGCAGTGGCGCGATCTCGGCTCACTGCAAGCTCCGCCTCCTGGGTTCACGCCATTCTCCTGCCTCAGCTTCCCGAGTAGCTGGGACTACAGGTGCCCACCACCACGCCTGGCTAATTTTTTTTGTATTTTTAGTAAGTTGGGGTTTCACCATGTTAGCCAGGATGGTCTCGATCTGACCTCGTGATCCGCCCGCCTCGGCCTCCCAAAGTGCTGGGATTACAGGCGTGAGCCACCGCGCCCGGCCTTTTTTTTTTTTTTTTTTAACACAAAGTCTCACTCTTGTTTCCAGGAGTGCAGTGGCGCCATCACGGCTCACTGCTGTCTCAACATCCCCAGGCACACACCAGCAAGCCTAATTTTTGTATTGTTTGCACAGACAGGGTTTTGCCATGTTGCCCAAAATGGTCTCTAACTCCTGAATTCAAGTGATCTGCTCGCCTCATCCTCCCAAAGTGTTGAGATTACAGGTGCGAGCCACCGCGCTCAGCCTCCTGTCTATCTTTGAGCACATACGAGCATGTCACAGGAATGGTTCATTTACATATGTAGCCTACTTCTGTTTTTTCTTATCAGCCTGTTATGACTGAAGCAGTACTGTTTTGTGCCAACGTAAGTATTAACACAAATACAAAAGGAGGCCAAGAAATCGAGAGGTGGTTCTCAGAAGATGATGCCGGGATCCTAAATACATTAATAATAATTTTTTAAGATTAACATCAAAATGAAAACATAATGTTTTTAAATTTTATAAATAAGTTGCGATTCCTCAGAAGTCTTGAGACTCCACTCAAGAAACATGTCTTCAAAATATTGCATGGTGACTACCTTCCCTAACATTCAAATGACTCCTCTATTTCAACCTCCTCTGTTTTCACTTCTTTAGCAGTAAAAGTAACCAGGTCTTATCCAGTTGTGATATCCAGAGCTTTTTGGAGAAATGTCTATCCTGAAAATATTTCCAAAACCTTCTAAACTTCCATGTGGTCTCTCACTCTCTGAACTCAAAGCATTTATTGACCGTAACATTCATTTGGCAATTATCACGGAAACCTTTTATACATATTGCATCTCCAACTGTTATTATTTAATGCTTGTATTTCCATTCAGCCCCTCATAAATTTATGCTTGGTCTCCACCAGATTTTGTTCCAATACTACTCCCAAAGACCAGCCACCAGTATCTTGTTCTATTTTTCATTTTTGTCCTTACACTATCTAGAGACAAAATATCCATGCTGATAGGAAAGTTGATCTTTGATCATTTGCTGTTCTTTTACCTCACCCGCATAGTCCTCCTCAGGTCTTCAGCATGGATTGTTTTATAATTCCTCTTGATACCTGCTAATAATACTTAGCCATTTACCATGTGTCAATTTGGATTTCTGAGAAGCAGATGCCAAAACAAGACTAGAGGTGCAAGAGATTTATTGATGGAAATGCCAGTGAAGGAAAAGTTGCAGGAGAAGTCAGGGAGAGCCTTTGGACCCTTAACAGTGCCTCTCCTCTGGAGAATAAGGTCTGGAGACAGATTATTCAACCTTTTTCCACACTGATTATACTTACAGAATAAATTCCATGCCTCAACTTGATTTTGCTGCATTCTTCAGGCCCAACCACAATGTCTTCCCAGCTGAGGTAGTACTCAACACTCAGGAAAACTCAAACTTTCCATTCAAGCTAGCCTCAAGTACAAGTGGAATTTCTTTGGCATATTTATACATATATATGTGCGCATGCATGTGTGTGTATGTGCGTGTGTGTGTATGTGTGTTTGTGCTAGAAATATAGATATAGGTGCTTGGGTTTTTTTTTTCTTTTTAGAGATATGGTCTTTTCTGTTACTTAGGCTGGAGTGCAGTGGCACTATCACAGCTCACTGCAGCCTTGAACCCCTGGGCTCAAGCAATCCTCCTGCCTTGGCCTCCCAAGTAGCTGGGACTACAGGCATGCACTGCCATACCTGGCTAATTTATTTACATTTTTTAAAGATGGGGGTCTCACTATGTTGCCCAGGTTAGTCACAAACTCCTGGCCTCAAGTAATCCTCCTGCCTCAGCCTCCCAAAGAGCTGGGATTACAGGTGTGAGCCACTCTTCCCTGCCAATAGTAAGTTTTTTAGTGAATGCTTGAAGGAAAATATATTGGAAATGCATATTTTGTTTATTTCCTTTGGTGTGTTTACTTTCTGATAATATCCCGGAGAAGAACACGGGTAGAAACAACAGAAGAGAAGAGACATGGGAAAGTCTTAATGTTCTGAGAACGCTCCCAGAGATGAAAGTAAACCCAGGCAGAACACGAAGCAGATGCCTTATCATCAGCTTCTGAATTGCACAGTTATTGAGGCTACTCTGTTTTTTTACTTACGAGGGTTGGGAGTGTAAGTAAATGAGTGAGGAAGGCCTAAAGGACTCTATCTGAAGTCAGGGTGGGAGGGCTGGAAGCTGTGACAAATTAGAGAGAATGTGGCCCACTTAAATAGGACAGCAGCTATTCAGCTCCAGTCCTGTGAGGATTTCATTCTGCCACATCCCCTATTGTTTAAAGGTAATAGAGTAATGTAGGTTTTTATGTGAAGTCTCCTTATGATTAAATGTTGGTTCAAAAACATATATAAGATAGTCTTCAGGCCAAACACAGCTACCAACCAGTTTGATTTCACAGGCCACTAAATTTCAGCCTCTCCCCTACTGTGAAGCCTTTCCAGAGATGCTTACATTGTAATGGCTTACAAACCTTTAAAGGGAAAAACTCTGGCAAGTTGGATTTTCACACTAAAGAAAAGGGAAGATATTGGACACCCTCCTAGTGCCCCCTAAATCTCGCAGTGTACACTTCTGCCCATTCTAACTAGGTCTAAGACTAATCTTGGAAAACATAGTCTATATGAATACTTTGATTTTTCTGCAAGATTCACATTCGTCTTCCATTACAGTTGTATTTTGTCACCCTCAAAAAGAGTACACGGTCATTATTTTTGATAAGTACTTCAATTTTATTTAAAAAGTAAAACTGTTGACTTAAAGGAGCTTTTCCTCAGTCTGTGTATAAGAATGACAAGCCTCCCTGGTTTGCCCTGAACCTCACATTTGGCTCGTCATGAACTCTATGTGCCGTCTGTCAGCACCCCTAATTTAAAAGGTACCAGTATAAAGTAAAACGTAATTATCTGTTCAAGGCCTGATTCTATTGCTTAAATGCTTGAATGCCTCCCCAAAATTCCATGGGGAAACACAGGCACAGAAGTGCTACAGCATCTCATCTTTTCTGTTGAAAAGTTAAAATAGGGCATCTTATCACCATGGTTACAGCATTCTGTGGGTAGTCTTGATCCCTTACTACCCAAAAAGATCAGTTAAGTGACCAATAGGGAATCTGAACTGGAGTTTCACTGACAAGCTGAAAACAGCAGAGGAGCTCACAGGCAACCTGAGGCATCTTGGAGCTGACATTTCCTTTCAAATAACAGGTCTACACAAGGAGAAAACATTGAAAATGTGTTTTTCAGTACTCATAATTGTAAAAATCAATGTGATTTGAGCTTATTTTAAAAATTAATTCAAATATACCATTGCTCATTATAAATATGTATAGAAAGCTAATAGGCATTAATATTTATTAAATATATTTAAGAGTAACAAAATTAAATTGAAGATGAGAGAAGCAAAATGTATGCTCTTCCTTTAAAATATATAAATTTAGATGAATGCAGCCATTCAGTTAATCTCTATTGAGCACCTTCTACATGATAGACATTGTACTACAAGTTACCTGTGATACAAACAAGATAGAAGCAATGTACCTATCTTCAAATCACTCATAAGCTAATAAGAAATTTATAAAAGCATTCAGGCACAGTAACTCATAACTGAAGTCCCAGCACTTTGGGAGGCCGGAGGCAGGAGGATTTCTTGAGCCCCAGAGTTTGAGACTGCAGTGAGCTATGATTGTGCCACTGCACTCCAGCCTGGACAACAAACAGACTGTATCTTTAAAAACTAAATAAGTAAAGCCATTTATAAATGGAAATATAACTAGCCAGAATAGTAAGTGCCTTACAAAGTTATATATAAATTGTCATGGGACCCCAAAGAAAAAAATAATTGCTTAAGCTTGGGGGAGTCCAGGGAGGCTTTAGAGAGGAAGGCCATTTGGGCTGGTTCTTGATGGTGAGCAGGCAGAGGAAAAGACCTCTGGAAAGAACCCGCGGTGAAAGGGCATCACCTGGGGCAGAGCAGCTGGAGCTCCTGGAACCCATGCTGCAGGGGCAGAAGCTGAGGTTGGAAGTTATTTGGGGCCAGATCAAGCAAAGCCTTTCATCCCAGATTTAATGTTGTGGGCAATAAGGAGTCAGTGGGATTTTAGGCAGAAAGCAAGATGATCAGATTTAATCTCAAATGTTTCCCCAACTAACATATGGAGAAAGAACTAGAATAAGTAGAGACCCATATCAGATGTAAAATGAGCATACTTCTTTGATGGACCAGCCTCCTTGTTGTTCAAAGCACTCTTCTTTTATTGAGTATATATTAATAAGAAAATTTTTCTGAAAATACAGATTAACTTTCCAGTTATCTTGTTATTTCTAGTTATTTAGTGAATAGGAAAAGTATCTCATGTGATAACTTTGTATCATCTTTCATGAGAGAATTGGCTTCATTAATCACTTTTTCAGAATTCTGACACTCAAAGATGTTTCTGTTTGACTCTCAGGCATTTTGCAATTCAAGACCTTGAAAATATGCCCCTGCATACAGCAACAAAGAGGTTGGAGGTTATTTTAAAATGTCTGAAAGTGAAATAAAATCAACAGAACTCCCTTAAAAATAAATTAATTCTGGTTTCTAAAATGTATTCTTAGGAAGAGAAATGTAAAAAAGAGAAATAATGCTATAAAATAAAAAGAGGGGAAATAAAAACAACAAAAGGGAATCCAAGAAGAGTTTGAAACTGTGTTGTGCAGTGTTCCCTGGGTAACAGCAAATATTTCTTACCTTCCTCCTCTGCCATCATGATAAGTCATGAAATCTAGACAATATTTAATCACAGCTACATTCACCACAAATCATCAATAGACACAACCCCTGCAACTCCGTCAGTCAGGGGAGCCCAGAGGCAAAAACTGTCCTTGAGAATGATAGGAACAGGACTTCATTCATAATCCTGTCATAATTCCCTGCTGATTCTACAGGAGAAGGTTACTGAATTTGATTTGGAAAAAAAGGCACAGTTATCAACTGTAATATGCTAAACATCCACATATGTTATCTATGTTAGCAATACAAAACTCAGTTTCCCCATTTTACAGAAGAGGCAACAGCCCTAGAGAAGGTAAGAAAGTTTCTATAGTCACACAGCTGGTAAGTAATCCGAATAGTGTTGGACCAATAACTTCTTGATTCCAAATCTTGTTCTTTTTAATCAAGGATAGCTACCATCATAAAGAGAAATGTCAAGTGCCACCTGAATAAGACACGTAGTGAATTCCGTAGTTCTTGGAGAAGGGAGCCCCCTGTCTGGAACAAAGGTCAAGAAAGTCTTCAAGTGGAGGGTGACACTTGATCTGGGTCTCTTTACTGGACAAATCAAAAGGATAAAGAAAGCTCATTCCAGGTTTGAATTTAACAGCAAGCATGAAGAGATGTAAATGGATGTGATATAAATTTTTACATACCCATTCAAGAAATGTATTATGCATCTATTATGTGTAGCATATTATGCTTGGGATATAATGATAAAAAAAAAAGAAGGCAATGTGAGGAAAACAGCATTTCTTTAAAAATTGTCTTAAGTGCCCCTACCTTACAAGGGTTATGACATTGACCAATATGACTCTACCAAAGGGTTGGTAGAAAGAAAAATAAGAAAAGGCTGTCAACGTAATTTGGACCAAAAGTTATGGAGTAACAAATTTGTAATTGTGATTACTAATTTATTGTTACGTCATACTCAATATAAAATGATTTTGAAGTAGCTTACAAAGATACAATGGTAAACATAAAATATTAAAATATAAGAAAATTGAGGTGGAAAAATATAAATATAAATAAGATATCCCAGCACTTTGGGAGGCCAAGGTGGTGGTGCCTGCCTGTAGCCCCAGCTACTCCGAAGGCTGAGGTAGGAGGATCACTTGAGCCTATAAGTTTGAGGTTACAATGAGGTATGGACACACCACTGCCCTCCAGAGTGGGAGAATGAGTGAGACTCTGTCCCTAAAAAAGATAATAACAATAATAAGATGGGCCAGGCACGGTAGCTAATGCCTATAATCCCAGCACTTTGGGAGGCCAAGGAAGGCAGATCACCTGAGGTCAGGAGTTCAAGACAAGCCTGGCCAACATGGTGAAATCCCATCTCTACTAAAAATATAAAAATTAGCCAGGTGTGATGGCATGTGCCTGTAATCCCAGCTACTCAAGAGGCTGAGGCAGGAGAATCATTTGAACCCAGGAGGCAGAGGTTGCAGTGAACCGAGATGGTGCCACTCCAACCTGGGAAGCAGAGTGAGACTCTGTCTCAGATAAATAAATAAATAAATATAATAATAAGAGGAAGCTGGAGTAAGATCAGTTAAAACGTCAAATACTGGCTGGAAAGGGGTATAAATTTGGCTCTATGCTTCCTAGCAGTCATTACCCTGCTCCCCCCAAAAATAATCAGTTATTATTATTTGATAAGACAATACCATTCAATGAAGAAAATAATAATTTATTATAGTAGTAATAACAATGATAATAGCTATTATTTGTTCTCATATGCAAATACTGGGGCTTGATTAATTTACATGTATTTTCTCATTTGATGACCACAATAACCCTACAAGGTAGATCATATTATGGTCTTCATTGTACAGAGAAGAAAACTGGGAGTTAGAGAAGTTAAATAGATTTCCCAAAGACACATGATACAGTTTGGCTGTGTCCCCACCCAAATCTCATCTTCAATTTTACTCCCATAATTCCCACATGTTGTGGGAGGGATCCAGTGGGAGATAATTTGAATCATGGATGCACTTTCCCCCATACTGTTCTCATGGTCATGAATAAGTCTCAAGAGATCTGATGGTTTTATCAGGGGTTTTCACCTTTGCATCTTCCTCATTTTCTCTTACTACCACCATGTAAGAAGTGCTGTCACCTCCCTTCATGATTCTGAAGCCTCCCCAGCCATGTGGAACTATAAGTCCAATTAAACCTCTTTTTCTTCCCAGTCTCGGGTATGTCTTCATCAGCAGCATGAAAATAGACTAATACAGTAAATTGGTACCAGTAGTGTGGGGCGTTGCTGAAAAATACCCACAAATGTGGAATCAACTTTGGAACTGGGTAACAGGCAGAGGCTAGAACAGTTTGGAGGGCTCAGAAAAAGACAGGAAAATGTGGGAAAGTTTGGAACGTCCTAGAGATTTATTGAATGGCTTTGACCAAAACCCTGATAGCAATAAGAACAATAAGGTCCAGGCTGAGGTGGTCTCAGATGGAGATGAGGAACTTGTTGGACACTGGAGTAAAGGTGACTTATTATGTTTTAGCAAACAGACTGGTGGCATTTTGCCCCTGCCCTAGAGATTTGTGGAACTTTGACCTTGACAGAAATGATTTCGGGTTTCTGGCAGAAGAAATTTCTAAGCAGCAAAGCATTCAAGAGGTGACTTGGGCACTGTTAAAGGCATTCAGTTTTATAAAGGAAGCAGAGCAAAAAAGTTTGGAAAATTTGCAGCCTGACAGTGTGATAGAAAAGAAAAACCCATTTTCTGAGAAGAAATTTAAGCAGGCTGCAGAAATTTGCATAAGTAACAAGGAGCCAAATGTTAATACCCAAGACAACTGGGAAAATGTCTCCAGGACATGTCAGAGGACTTGACGGCAGCCCGTTTCCTCACAGGCCCAGAGGCCCAGGAGAAAATGATTTCATGGGCCGGTCCCAGGGTCCTCATGCTGTGTGCAGCCTAGAGACTTGGTGCCCTGCATCCCAGCTGCTCCAATGATGGCTGAAAGGGGCCAATGTAGAGCTTGGGTCACGGCTACAGAGGGTGCAAGCCCCAAGCCTTGGCAGCTTCCATGAGGTATTGAGCCTGCCAGTGCAGAGAAGTCAAGAATTAGGGTTTGGGAACCTCCAGTTAGATTTCAGGGGATGTATGGAAATGTCTGGATGCCCAGGCAGAAATTTGCTGCAGGGGTGGGGCACTTATGGAGAACCTTTGCTAGGGCAGTGAGGAAGGGAAATGTTGAGTTAGAGCCCCCACACAGAGACCCTACTGGGGCACTGCCTAGTGGAGCTGTGAGAGGAGGACCACCATCCTGCAGAACCCAGAATGGTAGATCCACCAACAGCTTGCACCATGCCCCTGGAAAAGATACAAGCACTCAATGCCAGCCTGTGAAAGCAGCTGGGAAGGAGGCTGTACCCTGTAAAACCACAGGGGTGGAGCTGCCCAAGATCATGGGAACTCATCTCTTGCATCAGTGTGACCTGGATGTGAGACCTGGAGTCAAAGGAGACCATTTTGGAGCTTTAAAATTTGACTGCCCCACTGGATTTTGGACTTGCATGGACCCTGTAACTCCTTTGGCCAATTTCTCCCATTTGGAATGGCTGTATTTACCCAATACTTGTACCCCCATTGTAACTAGGAAGTAACTAGCTTGCTTTTGATTTTACAGGCTCATAGGAAGGGACTTTCCTTGTCTCAGATGAAACTTTGGACTGTGGACTTTTGGGTTAATGCTGCAATGAGTTAAGACTTTGAGGAACTGTTGGGAAGGCATGAATGGTTTTGAAATATGAGGACATGAGATTTGGAGAGGCCAAGGATGAGATGATACAGTTTGGCTGTGTCCCACCCAAATCTCATCTGAATTGTACTCCCACAATTCCCACACGTTGTGGGAGGGACCCATCGGGAGATAACTTGAATCATGGGGAAGTTTCCCCTACACTGTTCTCAGGGAAGTGAATAAGTCTCATGAGATCCGACGGTTTTATCAGGGGTTTTCGCTTGTACATCTTCCTCACTTTCTCTTACCACCGCCATGTAAGAAGTGCCTTTCACTGCCCACCATGATCCTGAGACCTCCCCAGCCATGTGGAACTGTAAGTCCAGTTTAACCTCTTTTTCTTTCTAGTCTCGGGTATGTCTTTATCAGTAGCATGAAAATAGATGGATACAACACAAAATCAGTAATTGGGGCAAGCACCCTCCAAATCAAGCAAACTTTCTGCCTACCTCAAGCTGAGGAACTTAACCATTAGGTTATTTCTGAAGTAAATTATCCTGCAAGTCCTCAAGAAAATAGACCGAGCAATGTAGAACAGTACATCTCAAACTCCATTGCACATATAAACCACCTGGGATCTTACAATGCAGATTCTGATTCACTAGCTCTGAGGCGGGATTTGAGATTTTGCATTTCTAACCAGCTACCAGGTGACCCCAGAATTTCTGGCCTGAACCACACTGTGATTAGCAAAGCTAGAACGAACAATATCCCTACGGTTTAAAGGGGTTCTATTTTATAGCATCCCTCAAAGGAAGTAGATGACACAAAACCACAGCATTTCCATAAAAGCATCTCTTTTTAAAAGAAAAGCTATACAAGGAATGTAGCACTGGAATGATTTGGACTAAACAAGGAATTTAAAGTATCAAGACAAAAAAATGGATATTCTATTAATAATTTACCTTATGTTCATACTAGGCAGCATTTAACTGCAACTAAATTATGTCTAATCCCTTCAATTATAGACAGGTACTGTTGATTAGATCTCAATGAGGGGGTGTTAAGTGCTGATTATGCACGTGACTCTGATTTACTACAAGAAAGTAAAAAAGGCCAAAGCAGAGGGAGATTCAGAGGAAAAGGGGAATGGCCTCCTGTTTTCCTGCCTAGAAAATAGATTTTTCTAAAATAACTGCTACATGGCAGTATCCAGGAATAAAACTTTTCAATTAACAAAGAATGAGGAATTTCTGAGGCTGCTGCTTCAGAGCCCACAATTTTTTAACAAAACTGCATATGTTCAATCACTATTTTGCTCTTAATTTAGAACCTGTTGCCAAGGAAACATCAATATCCAAGTACATTCAAGGTAAATCTTTCTTCTTTCATGTTTTTGAAGTGAATCATTGAAGTGAATCACTTAGCAAGGCAGCAGCAAGTTGTAGAACTGAGTTAATCCAGAGTTGGACTTAATTCCAATCACTATGTCCCTGATAAATCAGCTAGACCTCAGTTTCTTTACATATAAAGTAAAAATGATTATGAGGTTGTTGTTTCTAGCAATTTACTTCTGGGGCATAATCCCTCTATCTGATGTATAGTTTGTCATCTCATTATGCATGGTCAGGGATCTATAGAGTCAGCTTCTTTTATGTAATTACCCTGGAACAAAAGAGGACAAAGAACCCCCATATTCTCCTTCAGTAATGCAAAGGCAATACATACTTGGCTTGCCTAAAAGAAGTGAAGCAATGTGGAATGAGGATGAAATTTAAAAAAATTCCTGTCCCTGCAAATACTATGTAATGCAGGTTTCTCAGTTTCATGGTACATCAGAAATCACAGCCAAAGATAACCACAAACTGAAAGGTGTGTCTACAAGGTCCTTCTGGGTCACTGGCAACAGGGTATATGATCACAAACAAGGGTGGATTCAGGTAGTATGTGGCCAGAAGTTTTCACAATCTGAAGATTCCCTTAAGAAAAAAAACATGCAGAGGGAGGAGCCAAGATGGCTGAATAGGAACAGCTACGGTCTACAGCTCCCAGCGTGAGCGACGCAGAAGATGGGTGATTTCTGCATTTCCATCTGAGGTACCGGGTTCATCTCACTAGGGAGTGCCAGACAGTGGGCGCAGGTCAGTGGGTGTGCGCACCATGCACGAGCCGAAGCAGGGTGAGGCATTGCCTCACTCCGGAAGCGCAAGGGGTCAGGGAGTTCCCTTTCCTAGTCAAAGAAAGGGGTGACCTGGGAAAATCGGGTCACTCCCACCCGAATACTGCGCTTTTCCGACAGGCTTAAAAAACGGCGCACCACGAGATTATATCCCGCACCTGGCTTGGAGGGTCCTACGCCCACGGAATCTCACTGATTGCTATTTGCTTAAGTAAACAAAGCAGCCGGGAAGCTCGAACTGGTTGGAGCCCACCACAGCTCAAGGAGGCCTGCCTGCCTCTGTAGGCTCCACCTCTGGGGGCAGGGCACAGAAAAACAAAAAGACAGCAGTAACCTCTGCAGACTTAAATGTCCCTGTCTGACAGCTTTGAAGAGAGCAGTGGTTCTCCCAGCACGCAGCTGGAGATCTGAGAACGGGCAGACTGCCTCCTCAAGTGGGTCCCTGACCCCTGACCCACGAGCAGCCTAACTGGGAGGCACCCCCCAGCAGGGGCACACTGACACCTCACACGGCAGGGTACTCCAACAGACATGCAGCTGAGGGTCCTGTCTGTTAGAAGGAAAACTAACAAACAGAAAGGACATCCATGCCAAAAACCCATCTGTACATCACCATCATCAAAGACCAAAAGTAGATAAAACCACAAAGATGGGGAAAAAACAGAGCAGAAAAACTGGAAACTCTAAAAAGCAGAGCGCCTCTCCTCCTCCAAAGGAACGCAGCTCCTCACCAGCAACGGAACAAAGCTAGAGGGAGAACGACTTTGACGAGCTGAGAGAAGAAGGCTTCAGACGATCAAATTACTCTGAGCTACGGGAGGACATTCAAACCAAAGGCAAACAAGTTGAAAACTTTGAAAAAAATTTAGAAGAATGTATAACTAGAATAACCAATACAGAGAAGTGCTTAAAGGAGCTGATGGAGCTGAAAACCAAGGCTCGAGAACTACGTGAAGAATGCAGAAGCCTCAGGAGCCAATGCGATCAACTGGAAGAAAGGGTATCGGCAATGGAAGGTGAAATGAATGAAATGAAGTGAGAAGGGAAGTTTAGAGAAAAAAGAATAAAAAGAAATGAGCAAAGCCTCCAAGAAATATGGGACTATGTGAAAAGACCAAATCTACGTCTGATTGGTGTACCTGAAAGTGACGGGGAGAATGGAACCAAGTTGGAAAACACTCTGCAGGATATTATCCAGGAGAACTTCCCCAATCTAGCAAGGCAGGCCAACATTCAGATTCAGGAAATACAGAGAATGCCACAAAGATACTCCTCGAGAAGAGCAACTCCAAGACACATAATTGTCAGATTCACCAAAGTTGAAATGAAGGAAAAAATGTTAAGGGCAGCCAGAGAGAAAGGTCGGGTTACCCTCAAAGGGAAGCCCATCAGACTAACAGCGGATCTCTCGGCAGAAACCCTACAAGCCAGAAAAGAGTGGGGGTCAATATTCAACATTCTTAAAGAAAAGAATTTTCAACCCAGAATTTCATATCCAGCCAAACTAAGCTTCATAAGTGAAGGAGAAAAAAATACTTTACAGACAAGCAAATGCTGAGAGATTTTGTCACCACCAGGCCTGCCCTAAAAGAGTTCCTAAAGGAAGCACTAAACATGGAAAGGAACAACCGGTACCAGCCGCTGCAAAATCATGCCAAAATGTAAAGACCATCGAGACTAGGAAGAAACTGCATCAACTAACGAGCAAAATAACCAGCTAACATCATCATGATAGGATCAAATTAACACATAACAATATTAACTTTAAATGTAAATGGACTAAATGCTCCAATTAAAAGACACAGACTGGCAAGTTGGATAAAGAGTCAAGACCCATCAGTGTGCTGTATTCAGGAAACCCATCTCATGTGCAGAGACACACATAGGTTCAAAATAAAAGGATGGAGGAAGATCTACCAAGCAAATGGAAAACAAAAAAAGGCAGGGGTTGCACTCCTAGTCTCTGATAAAACAGACTTTAAACCAACAAAGATCAAAAGAGACAAAGAAGGCCATTACATACTGGTAAAGGGATCAATTCAACAAGAAGAGCTAACTATCCTAAATATATAGGCACCCAATACAGGAGCACCCAGATTCATAAAGCAAGTCCTGAGTGACATACAAAGAGACTTAGACTCCCACACATTAATAATGGGAGACTTTAACACCCCACTGTCAACATTAGACAGATCAATGAGACAGAAAGTCAACAAGGATACCCAGGAATTGAACTCAGCTCTGCACCAAGTGGACCTAATAGACATCTACAGAACTCTCCACCCCAAATCAACAGAATATACATTTTTTTCAGCACCACACCACACCTATTCCAAAATTGACCACATACTTGGAAGTAAAGCACTCCTCAGCAAATGTAAAAGAACAGAAATTATAACAAACTATCTCTCAGACCACAGTGCAATCAAACTAGAACTCAGGATTAAGAATCTCACTCAAAACCGCTCAACTACATGGAAACTGAACAACCTGCTCCTGAATGACTACTGGGTACATAACGAAATGAAGGCAGAAATAAAGATGTTCTTTGAAACCAACGAGAACAAAGACACAACATACCAGAATCTCTGGGACGCATTCAAAGCAGTGTGTGGAGGGAAATTTATAGCACTAAATGCCCACAAGAGAAAGCAGGAAAGATCCAAAATTGACACCCTAACATCACAATTAAAAGAACTAGAAAAGCAAGAGCAAACACATTCAAAAGCTAGCAGAAGGCAAGAAATAACTAAAATCAGAGCAGAACTGAAGGAAATAGAGACACAAAAAACCCTTCAAAAAATTAATGAATCCAGGAGCTGGTTTTTTGAAAGGATCGACAAAATAGATAGACCGCTAGCAAGACTAATAAAAAAAAAAGAGAGAAGAATCAAATAGACGCAATAAAAAATGATAAAGGGGATATCACCACTGATCCCACAGAAATACAAACTACCATCAGAGAATACTACAAACACCTCTATGCAAATAAACTAGAAAATCTAGAAGAAATGGATAAATTCCTTGACACATACACTCTCCCAAGACTAAACCAGGAAGAAGTTGAATCTCTGAATAGACCAATAACAGGATCTGAAATTGTGGCAATAATCAATAGTTTACCAACCAAAAAGAGTCCAGGACCAGATGGATTCACAGCCGAATTCTACCAGAGGTACAAGGAGGAACTGGTACCATTCCTTCTGAAACTATTCCAATCAGTAGAAAAAGAGGGAATCCTCCCTAACTCATTTTATGAGGCCAGCATCATTCTGGTACCAAATCCGGGCAGAGACACAACCAAAAAAGAGAATTTTAGACCAATATCCTTGATGAACATTGATGCAAAAATCCTCAATAAAATACTGGCAAAATGAATCCAGCAGCACATCAAAAAGCTTATCCACCATGATCAAGTGGGCTTCATCCCTGGGATGCAAGGCTGGTTCAATATATGCAAATCAATAAATGTAATCCAGCATATAAACAGAGCCAAAGACAAAAACCACATGATTATCTCAATAGATGCAGAAAAGGCCTTTGACAAAATTCAACAACCCTTCATGCTAAAAACTCTCAATAAATTAGGTACTGATGGGAGGTATTTCAAAATAATAAGAGCTATCTATGACAAACCCACAGCCAATATCATACTGAATGGGCAAAAACTGGAAGCATTCCCTTTGAAAACTGGCACAAGACAGGGATGCCATCTCTCACCACTCCCATCCAACATAGTGTTGGAAGTTCTGGCCAGGGCAATTAGGCAGGAGAAGGAAATAAAGGGTATTCAATTAGGGAAATAGGAAGTCAAATTGTCCCTCTTTGCATACGACATGATTGTATATCTAGAAAACCCTATTGCCTCAGCCCAAAATCTCCTTAAGCTGATAAGCAACTTCAGCAAAGTCTCAGGATACAAAATCAGTGTACAAAAATCACAAGCATTCTTATACACCAATAACAGACAAACAGAGAGCCAAATCATGAGTGAACTCCCATTCACAATTGCTTCAAAGAGAATAAAATACCTAGGAATCCAACTTACAAGGGATATGAAGGACCTCTCAAGGAGAAATACAAACCACTGCTCAAGGAAATAAAAGAGGATACAAACAAATGGAAGAACATTCCATGCTCATGGGTAGGAAGAATCAATATCATGAAAATGGCCATACTGCCCAAGGTAATTTACAGATTCCATGCCATCCCCATCAAGCTACCAATGCCTTTCTTCACAGAATTGGAAAAAACTACGTTAAAATTCATGTGGAACCAAAGAAGAGCCCACATCGCCAAGTCAATCCTAAGCCAAAAGGACAAAGCTGGAGGCATCACACTACCTGACTTCAAACTATACTACAAGGCTACAGTAACGAAAACAGCATGGTACTGGTACCAAAACAGAGATATAGATCAATGGAACAGAACAGAGCCCTCAGAAACAACACCGCATATCTACAACTATCTGATCTTTGACAAACCTGAGAAAAACAAGCAATGGGGAAAGGATTCCCTATTTAATAAATGGTGCTGGGAAAACTGGCTAGCCATATGTAGAAAGCTGAAACTGGATCCCTTCCTTACACCTTATACAAAAATCAATTCAAGATGGATTAAAGACTTAAACGTTAGACCTAAAACCATAAAAACCCTAGAAGAAAACCTAGGCAATACCATTCAGGACATAGGCATGGGCAAGGACTTCATGTCTAAAACACCAAAAGCAATGGCAACAAAAGACAAAATTGACAAATGGGATCTAATTAAACTAAAGAGCTTCTGTACAGCAAAAGAAACTACCATCAGAGTGAACCGGCAACCTACAAAATGGGAGAAAATTTTCGCAACCTACTCATCTGACAAAGGGCTAATATCCAGAATCTACAATGAACTCAAACAAATTTACAAGAAAAAAACAAACAACCCCATCAAAAAGTGGGCAAAGGGCATGAACAGACACTTCTCAAAAGAAGACATTTATGCAGCCAAAAAACACATGAAAAAATGCTCACATCATCACTGGCCATCAGAGAAATGCAAATCAAAACCACAGTGAGATACCATCTCACACCAGTTAGAATGGCAGTCATTAAAAGTCAGGAAACAACAGGTGCTGGAGAGGATGTGGAGAAATAGGAACACTTTTACACTGTTGGTGGGACTGTAAACTAGTTCAACCATTGTGGAAGTCAGTGTGGCGATTCCTCAGGGATCTAGAACTGGAAATACCATTTGACCCAGGCATCCCATTACTGGTTATATACCCAAAGGACTATAAATCATGCTGCTATAAAGACACATGCACACGTATGTTTATTGTGGCACTATTCACAATAGCAAAGACTTGGAACCAACCCAAATGTCCATCAATGATAGACTGGATTAAGAAAATGTGGCACATATACACCATGGAATACTATGCACCCATAAAAAATGATGAGTTCATGTCCTTTGTAGGGACATGGATGAAATTGGAAATCATCATTCTCAGTAAACTATCGCAAGGACAAAAAACCAAACACCGCATGTTCTCACTCATAGGTGGGAATTGAACAATGAGATCACATGGACACAGGAAGGGGAACATCACACTCTGGGGACTGTTGTGGGGTGGGGGGAGGGGGGAGGGATAGCATTGGGAGATATACCTAATGCTAGATGACGAGTTAGTGGGTACAGTGCACCAGCATGGCACATGTATACATATGTAACTAACCTGCACAATGTGCACATGTACCCTAAAACTTAAAGTATAATAATAAAAGAAAAAAAAAAAAGAAAAAAAACATGCAAACTTGTGAATCCAAACTGACTACAAAAGTATCAGGGATGAGAAAAAAAAACACAACAAATACATTAAAAACTGATAAATACTACAATCAACCAAAAGGCCAGAAAAATAATATAATTTTATTAATTAATGTCCTGATATACTTCTAGTTGTCTCTTTTTCCTATGTTTTGGACTTCATGCTCTTTGAGCACCTTTATGGATGATAATTATTTCATAATATCTATTATAGAATAGGACTTCAGTGCATCTTTGAAATTTATTTTATCAATAGTTTAAAATAGATTTATCAATGTGTTAAAATTTATTTTATCAATAGTTTAGAATAAAGTATCTTTTGGTTTCACAACAAATGATTGGTGACTTCACATAAAGTTTCAGGATTGTGGTCAAATATTAGAAACACTTCCATCCAAGTGTCTTTCACATGTGAGCTCTAAGGTTCAGAAGAATTTTCCACTAGGTGCATCTAAGGAATATATGAAACCATTCCCTTTCTACCACCCACATTCTTCTGAAGCTGGATACTGTGCACACGTCCAACCATTTGGCCACAACTCTGGCCTTTGCATCTGCACATAGCACAGTGGGCAGTCAGAGGTTTTCTAGAAGCCATTCCAACACCAAGACAGCTAGAAGTAACCCAATTATGTATAGAAATGTGAGTCAAACATATCTCATAAGCCCAAACTGAACATATTCCCTACTCAACTTTCCCACAGCTGAAAGCCAAGAATGCCTACAGCCCTCCAATACCGGTTGAAATAAAGGCAAATGTGATGGAGATGAAATCAAAATGAGAAGAGTCATCCTAGCCAATTGTAGTTAAAATATCTTATTTTGAGTATACTTACTTGCAAGGGGCCCTTAAACTTCATTAAAATTTAAACTGCATTTGCTTCAGTGTAAGTCCACCTCTGACAGAAAGTGATTATTTTCTCGTTTTCTCATGCCTGACAACTTTAACATAACTACCTTCAGTTTCATTACTTCATGTGAAGGATTGTGCTATGTGTTTTTTAAACATTAGCTAATCCATCCTCAAACCAACACTATGAGGTAGTAGTTATTGCACAACTGGGGAAACTGGAGCTCTGAAAGGTTAAGCCACTTGTTCAAGATAAGTAAACTGGTACAATGGTTCCAATGCTGGTATATGCAAATGTGCTGTCCTGCTTCCTTGAGAAAACTGAGGTGGGGAAAGAGCATGAGAAGAACTTTCTATGCTTTCCTAGGCACAGAAAGAACACGACTAGATACAGAGTCTCATTAAGAATATAAACTGTGTTAGATGTACCATGGCTCCAGTAGTGAACATAGCTTCCAGAGGGCCTGAGCCATGCTAGCACCTCCCCAAGGAGACTACTCCAGTTGACCAGCCTCTGCTCCACAGTAACCATGTGAAATTGAAAGGCTGTGATAAAAAATGCAGTCACGTTGGAAGAGATGCATCAGGGCTTAGTGGTGTGAGCTACGCAGGCATTGGAGAACATAAAAAAGACTATTTCAGCCCATATCGAGAAGCAGTTTGACAAGAAGTACAATCCCACCCGACATTGCATCACGGGGAGGAACTTTGGTAGTTGCCTGACACATGAAACCAAGCACTTCATCTACTTCTACCTGGGCCAAATGGGCATTCTTCTGTTCAAATCTGGTTAAAGGCACAGACTGTGCCACACACACAGAGTGACTCATCCAGAAATGAGGACTGCAGCCTAAATTACAAATACCAGAGACTAAAATTTTCAGCCTTGCTAAGGAACACCTCAATCTTTGAAACTTTATTGTGTTTTGTACAGGGCATTCTCTGTATTAGTTTGTTGTGGTTATAAGATAATTAGCAACACACATATATTTGTATTCCATACTTCTGTCCCATGTTTCTTTCCCTCAAAATCCATTACTTTAAAAAATAAATCTGTTACAGATATGAAAGAAAAAAATGTAAAACACTGCATCAGTACTTTCTTATAGTAAGTTTGGGCACGGGGCTAAGAATCCAAAAAGTTAATTCAGATAATATACTGTCATTGGGTAACTTGTGTAAGCCATTCACCAACAGTTTAACTCTGTTTTATCACATGCCAAATAACAGCTTGTAGTAATAATAAAAATATTGCCATATTTGAATCACAATTCAAATGGATTTTACCAATAACATATATGTAGCATAATTTGATATTGCTTACTAGGGCAAGGTTGTATAGACTGCAGCCTAGAAGATTATTTGTAATAAAGCATGATTATAAGAAAATTATCCTATTTAAATTCAAATAACTCTGAGTTCCTGGCTAAGTTTACATCTCTTATACAAGAAAATCACAGGGTGACAACCTACAATTAAAACCCTAGTTCTGTTCAGATCATTAAAAGCCATCTATTTACAATTTAGGTTTGAACACTAGTCTATCTCAAGTCACTGAGAATGTGGCCACACCAGAAAGTTCACCTCCAAGAAATCAGGCAGCCTCCTTTTGGAAGTCTTAAGTGCAGTACATGCTGCACTGTGTACCCAACTCCCTTTCTCAAATACCTCCAAACAGATATACTTCCCATTATTACTTGCCAGAGAAATTCAAATTTCTATGATAAGATACCACTCTACACTGACTAGAATGGCTTAAATTTAAAGACTGACAAAACCAAGTGTTGACAAGAATGTGGAGCAAATGGAATTCTCATAAATTGATGGTGGGAGTGTAAAATGACACAACCCTTTTGGAAAAATGTTTGGCAGACCTAACCAAAGGTAAACATATGAATACCCTATAATCCAGCATTTCCATTCTTGGGTATATATTCAAAAGATATGAGTGTATCCATGAAAATACATGAACAAGAATGTTCATAGGTACTTTTTTTTTTTTACCAATAGCCAGAAACTAGAAGTAATATAAATGCCCATCAAAAGTAGAAAGATAAATTGTGGTGTAATCATACAACAGAATACTATACAAATGAGAATGAACTCATTCCAGCAGCAGGCAACAACAAGGATAAATCTCACAAATGATCATGAGTGAAAGAATCTAGATACAAAAGAATGTACAGTATAATATGTACAACCAAATTTACAAACAAATATGATAGCATTCACAAGTGGGCAAAACTAATCTGTAGGAATATATATCAGGATAGCAGTTACCTGGGAGTATTGACTTGGAAGGAATATTGTAAATCTGCATCTTCATCTGAGCAGTAGTTACATGGGTAATATATACGTAAAATTCATTTAGTTGTAGATTTAAGATATGTGTACTGTAAATATATGTCATATTTAATGTAAAATATTTTTATATTAACATTAAGGCAGACCTTGAGAAAAAGGATCAAGACATCAAATGGCTAAATAGGAAACCTGGGGCATCTAAAAGAGTGCAGAGGTTCTCAACCTCTGTGGCCCAGAAGGAGCACAGGGAAGGAAGAAAGCAAGCAGAACCTGGGGTATCTGAACCGGCCAAACACATGCAAATCCATTCTCATTCTCTCATGCTCTCACTCTCTTTATGATCCAATTTCTTTCTTATGTCTTGCTTTTCCCCTGAATTTTTGCCCAGATACAGCAAAGGAAGTAGAAGCAGAGCTTTGGATTCAGGGGAATCCTCATCCATCACATTTTCTGGTTTTGCATGAAGCATTATTTTTCAACCCTGATGGACTGGTAGGTTATTCCCGATCTTAAACCCAAGTATTACCGAAGTTAAAAGTGAAGGGGTTTTATATGTGAGGCTTTACAAAGTCTTTCTAATTGTTGTTATGCTTTTTCAACTACTCTATTACTTTATTTCAACAACAAAGAACTGTTAGAAGACATTAGAACCCTAAAACAACCTAAATCAATGTTAGTTGGAGATGTTTATAGAAGACACCTAAAGGAATTTTTTAAAATAAAAAAACACTATTTAGTGATCATATTCCTATGGTATATTTTCATACTTGTAAGTTTGGGTTGTTACTGTAAACAAGCATTTAAATTACAAGACAGTTAAGAGGATATTACTGTGAAGGTTAAAAAAATGCACACTAACACGATGATTGAAATTATTGTCCTAGTATTTTATAAGTGTTTGTGGCACAGAATAAAATTTCCAGAGTTGTATCTTGAACAACATAAACTGAAATGAAGACTGGTTTCTCTGGGAAAAATGTAAGAAAAATAAAGTGCTTCTAGAGAAGATAAAAATACTATTACCAAAGGTTCACGTGAAGAATTTAGTTTATGAATTTGGGATTTTCTACATTAAAGAATTTAAAATTGCATGTGACCATTTCATGTACATCTTTAAAGGTTTATGTGTTCACGTTGGACAAAGAGAAGATTGCTGAAGGCTTACAGTCATATTCCATATGTATACAGTGTAAACAAGGCAATCAAAAGGGAAACAAATATTTTAAACACAGCTTAATCATCATATTGAATTCCAGTTTGACACTTTTGTCACCCTCAATTTGTGTTTCTGTATGTATATTCCAAGGAGAAAATTGCGCTATAATCTAAATGAGATAAATACAGCTAATTATAATTAAGGTTAAAAACATCACTTTTGAAGAATAGGACTACGTGGTTTGTCCTTAAAAAAATCATAGTCAGAAAATGGGGCTGAGTTATTTGCTAAGATAAGTGTTCACCATATGCCAGTAATAAACCCAGTTATCTGTTCTTAGAACATCTTTGTTGTTAGGAAAGAGATGTTAATGACTTGGGAGAGTAATGTTGGTAGAACTGGTTAAGAATGTTGACTCTAGAATCAGACTGCCAGCACTAAAAACCCCACTCTATCACTCACTCTGTGACTTTGCACATATCACAACTTCTCTACACCTGTTTTCACTCTGTAAAATAGGAGTTATAAGATCCACCTTATAAGACTTTTATAACTAGTGAATGTTAAAATATTTGTTAAGCAGGCCAGACGTGGTGGCTCACTCCTGTAATCCCAGCATTTTGGGAGGGCAGGGCAGGTAGATCACCTGAGGTCAGAAGTTCAAGACCAGCCTGACCAACATGGTGAAACCCCGTCTCTACTAAAAATGAAAAAACTAGCCGGATGTGATGGTGCACGCATGTAATCCCAGCTACTCAGGAGGCTGAGGCAGGATAACATCCTGAACCTGAGAGGCTGAGGTTGCAGTGAGTAGAGATCATGCCATTGTACTCCAGCCTGAGCAACAAGAGCGAAACTCAGTCTCAAATATATATATATATGTTAAACAGCTAAGAAAATATCTTGCATGTGGCAGATGGTCAATAATTGTTAGGTCTTATACTTTATCCTTTTCCCTTTAATTGACAACAATAACAGCCTTTTTACCCCTATAAAGGACTTTCTATAATACAAAAAGTGAGTGTAATAAAATACTATAGAAACCTAATAGAGCAGAAAATTGAAATGGAGAGAAATGAAAACAGGCTTATTTTAGGCAGAACATCACATGTCATAGATTAGGCTAATGATGAGTCTAGCTCTTTCAGTGGATCTGTGAGTGCCAGCTAACACATCCAAGAAGCCAATCTCTGGTATGACAGGTTTCTTCGTTATTTTCCACTTACCACGTTATAGAATGCTCACTGGCTTGAATGAAACTTTAGCTGAAGTGAGCAGTAATGAAACCCAAATAAAATATTCCTCTATCCAGAAGAGATCAAACTCAGATCCCAGGAAAACATATAAGTAACACTTCATTTAAAGGATTTTAACCAGCAAATTAATGCTGCAGCAGCATATGAGACTATAAGTAAAAGGAGCTTCCATTGAAAATGCCACAAAGCATTGCAAGGCCACAGTGGACAAGTGAGAGCAGAACATCCCATGTTCCAGGAAGAGCATGCAGGCACACATTATGGTTTATAAGAACTCCTGGTTCTTTCAGTTGGCAAGAGCTTGCTTTTAGTCCAAATAACATTCTCCAGAAGTTCTTGGGCTTCTTGGATCCCCCATTTTGCAGCAACATTAAGGAGCATTTCTACATCCCTAGAAGAAACAGTTATTTAGTAGTGCTAAGAAAGAGTAAACCAAAAGCACCTGCACATTCAAGAGTTTGAGTTAAGGGCCAGAGTACCAGCTGTTTAAACTCATTGTAAGGTGATGAGGGAAACACTTGCCATTTCACCTGGGTTTCATCATGAGTACTGATATAGTTTGGCTGTGTCCCCACCAAAATCTCATCTTGAATTGTAGTTCCCATAATCCCCATGTGTCATGAGAGGGACCCAATGGGAGGTATTTGAATCATGAGGGCAGTTTCCCCCATGCTATTTTCATGATCGTGAGTAAGTTCTCGTGATAGCTGATTGTTTTATAAGGGGCTTCTACCTTTGCTCATCTCTAATTCTTCTCTCTCCTGCTGCCTTGTGAAGAGGATGTGTTTGCTTCCCCTTTTGCCATGATTGTAAGTTTCCTGAGGCCTTCCCAGCCATGCAGAACTGTGAGTCGATTAAACCTCTTTCCTTTATAAATTACCCAGTCTCAGTTATTTCTTCAGAGTGGCATATTAACAAACTAATATAGTAAATTGGTACCAGGAGTGGGGCACTGCTGTAAAGATACCTGAAAATGTGGAAGCAACTTTGGAACTGGGTAACAGGCAGAGGCTGAAACAGTTTGAAGGGCTCAGAAGAAGACAGGAAAATGTGGGAAAGTTTGAAACTTCCTAGAGACTTGTTGAAAGGCTTCAACCAAACTGCTAATATTGATATGGACAATGAAGTCTAGGCTGAGGTGGTCTCATATGGAGATGAGGAACTTGTTGGCAATTGGAGTAAAGGTCACTGTTGCCGTGCAAAGAGACTGGAGGCATTTTGCCCCTGACCTAGAGATCTGTGGAACTTTGAACTTGAGAGAGATGATTTAGGGTATCTAGCAGAAGAAATTTCTAAGTAGCAAAATGTTAAAGAGAAAACAGTACATAAAAGTTTGGAAAATTTGCAGCCAAACAAAGTGATAGAAAAGAAAACCCCATTTTCTGAGGAGAAATTTAAGCCCACTGCATAAATTTGCATAAGTAACAAGGAGCCCAATGTTAATTACCAAGACAATGGGGAAACTGTATCCAGGACATGTCAGAGACCTTCATGTAAGCCCCTCCCATCACACACCCAGAGCCCTATGAGAAAAAAGTGGTTTCCTGGGCTGGTCCCAGGGACCCCCTGCTGTGTGCAGCCTAGGGATTTGGTGCCCTGTGTGCTTGCCGCTCCAGCCATGGCTAAAAGGAGCCAAGGTACATGTCAGGCTATGGCTTCAGAGGGTGCAAGCCCCAAACCTTGGCAGCTTCCATGTGGTGTTGAGCCTGTGGGTGCACAGAAGTCAAGAACTGAGTTTTGGAAACCTCCACCTAGATTTCAGAAGATATACGGAAATGCCTGGACGTCCAGGCAAAAGTTTGCTACATGGCAGGGCTCCCATGGATAACCTCTGCTGCGGCAGTGTGGAAGGGAAATGTGGGGTCAGAGCCCCCACACAGAGTCCTCACTGGGGCACTGAGTAGTGGAACTATGAGAAGACGGCCACCATTTTCCAGACCCCAGAATGGTAGATCCACTGGCCGCTTGCACTTTGTACCTGGAAAAGCCACATTCAATGCCAGCCCATGAAACAAGCCAGGAGGGGTGGCTGTACCCTGCAAAGCCACAGGGGCGGAGATGCCCAAGGCTGTGGGAGCCCACCTCTGGCGTAAGTATGACCTGGATATGAGACATGCAATCAATGGAGATCATTTTGGAACTTTAAGGTTTAATGAGGGCCCTATCAGATTTCAGATTTGCATAAGGCTGGTAGCCCCTTTGTTTTGGTCAATTTTTCTATTTTGGAATGGGTGTATTTACCCAATGTCTGTACCCCTATTGTTATCTAGGAAGTAACTAACTTGCTTTTGATTTTACAGGCTCATAGGCAGAAATAACTTGCCTTGTCTCAGATGAGACTTTGGACTTGGACTTTTGAGTTAATACTGGAATGAGTTAAGACTTTGGGGGACTGTTGGAAGGGCATGATTGTATTTTGAAATGTGAGGATGAGATTTGGGAGGGGATGGGGCAGAATGATATGGTATGGTTGAGTCTCCCTCTTTACTGGTAGTTCCCATAATCCTCATGTGTTATGAGAGGGACCCAGTGGGAGGTAATTGAATCATGGGGGTGGTTTCCCCCATGCTATTCTTGTGATAGTAAGTTCTCACAAGATCTGATGGTTTTATAAGAGGCTTCCCCCTTTACTCAGCTCTCATTCTTCTCTCTCCTACCACCTTGTGAAGAAGGACGTGTTTGCTTCCCCTTCTGCCATGATTGTAAGCTTCCTGAAGCCTTCCCAGCCATGCAGAACTGAGTCAATTAAACCTCTTTTCTTTATTAATTACCCAGTCTCGTGTATTTCTTCATAGCATCATGAGAATGGACTAATACAAGAATCTTCATAATACAATCAGAGCTACCCAAATAAATATTCTTAAAAGACCAGAGCCTAGCTAGATTATTTTGCCCTATTTAGAGAAGTTTTTCTAGCCAAGAATCTCATGTAATGTTGGAGGCACCCCTCTCTTGCAAGCAAATTCTATATTTTGGTTTGGGAGTGCTAACTGGAGAGGGATTCTATACAACCTCCCATCTGGTAACCGTCAGTTGTAAAGTAGAACATATTGGCTTCGCCATTTTGACTTGGCTGCCTCAAAATGGTCATTTCAAAATTTTATTACCAATTGTGCAGGCAACATCCCTGACTATTGTACAAATTCCAAAGATTCACCCCATCCTCAGCCCCTTACTGAACTTTTTTTCTAAACCTGGTCTACCTCTTAGCCTGAGGTAGAAGATTAAATGCTGGAGTTGCAGGAGGTTGTTGTACACATTAATTGGAAATGAAGTAGATGTCAGTTGCATTACTTTAAAAAAAGAGAAAACAAGCTGAAAGTTTAATGGTTTGTTTTCGGGACCCTATCAAAAAATGTGTCTGACTCAAAATAGCTGAATAAAAATGTCATAGACTATGAACTATTCAAAAGCATTAAGAAAATCTTCTCCAGAGAAAGTAGTGGTATATTTATTTTTATAACTGTGAGTAATCAAGAGGATTAGTCCAACAGACACTAAAGATATTTGTGCCCAAAGAGAGTTCTCTACCTTATATTCGTGTCTGCTCTATTCTGTTTATAAGAAAATGTGGTAAGGCTGTAAAGATGATATTTAAGGGGGCCATAAGAATTCACAGGAGAGTGTGAGGACCATGAAATAACCCAGCATTTCATCTCAGGCTCACAGAATGCCTGAAGAATTTAGTCAGTGGGATATATGCACATATATGAATATTGCATTCCCTTGCTTTGTGACTTTTATTGTAACTCAGCAATGTAAGAACATAGAAAGGCAAGAGCAGAAAGTGAGCTATATAAAAAATGTTTTTGCCTGTGAATTGCAGGTAGTATATGAGGGGCATCTTTGGAAAGAATGACATGTCAGCTAGAAGGGAAAAGACAGCAAATTTTATTACCCTGCTTCCATGGAGGCAGTCATGTTTTTCAGTGTTCCTACTGCAAGGTTAAAGGCAGCACCAGGATGGTCCTGCTGGGAGGCTTGTCTGAAAAGGAGGAAGAAGAAAGGGAACTGGTGATGGGGGGAAGCATGCTATAGAAAACAAAGAAACAACCTTATAAAAAAGCATCCCCTTCATAAAACCAAGGACAGCACCAATAAAGACTATTACTAGAAACCATTACTTCTATCTTACCATATATCTAGCCAAAAAATAATAAGCCTCCTTCATTAAAAATGTTTTTCTTGGCCAGATATGGTGGCTCATGCCCATAATCCCAGCACTTTGAAAGGTCTAGGTGGGTGTATCATTTGAGGTCAGGAGTTCGAGACTAGCCTGGCCAAATGGTGAAACCCTGTGTGATGGTTAATACTGTCAACTTGATTGGACGGAGGGATGCAAAGTATTGATCCTGGGTGTGTCTGTGAGGGTGTTGCCAAAGGAGATTAACATTTAAATCAGTGGGCTGGGAAAGGCAGACCCACCCTTAATCTGGGTGGGCACAATCTGATCAGCTGCCAGAGCAGCTAGGATAAAAGCAGGCAGAAGTGCATGAAAAGGCTAGCTGACTTAGCTTCCCAATCTACTCTTTTTTCATTCTGGATGCTTCCTGCCCTCAAACATCGAACTCCAAGTTCTTCAGCTTTGGGATTCAGACTGTCTTCCTTGCTGCTCAGCTTGCAGATGGCCTATTGTGGGACCTTGTGATTGGGTGAGTTAATACTGCTTAATAACTCCCATACACACACACACACACACACACACACACACACATATATCTCCTATTAGTTCTTCCCTCTAGAAAACCCTGACTAATACAGATTTTGGTACCAGGAGTGGTTCCAGAGGAACAGAATATTAAGGATGGTTTTGGGGTTTATGGAGTTCACTGCTTAATATGATTAGACCCCAAAATGCTAAGGACTCTACTTCTAAAACTATGGAGAACACTGATAGTCCTTGGCATGAACTGTTTAGAGAGTTATGCAAAATACATGCATTTGACACTCCTGATTCACTGCTCATGAGAGGCAAGGAGTCTAGTGACTCTATACATAATACCTTTGACCATATGTGAAGGACCAAGGAACATAATGAAGTTGGTTGGTTGCTCCTAAGTTCAGTGGACAAAGTGATGAAAGAAAATTATGAAGTTAGAGATTCTAACTCCTGGCTTCAGAAGCAGATACTGAGCCTCAAGTCTGCCAAGATTGTCCTGAGTCTTATCTCCTGTAGAGAAAGAGCTGAAATTGCAAAAAAACAGACACAAGCTCTTCTCATGAGTGGCTGACCTGCAATGAAAGGTGCATGCACGGCCTTTCCAGGTGTCTACTATTAAAATGAGGGCATTGATTGGAAAAGAATGGGACCCTGCAACTTGGAATGAGGATGTGTGGGAGGACCCTGATGAAACTGGGGACACTGTGTTTGTAAATTCTGATGAAACTTTTTTGCCAGAAGAAACAATTGCCAAATCCCCAGTAGTGGCAACATCCCCTCCCCAACCCATGCTGCCATCAGTCTTTCCACCTTTGTCTGAGGAGGTAAACCCTATGCTGCCTGAGGCAACAGTGATGGCTTCCCCTGAGGCAGTTGCCAGGCAAGATAATGTTGATTCTCCTCAGGAGCCACCCCCAATACCCCTGTTTGCCTCTAGACCTATAACTAAAGTCCTGGCAGGCCTCTAGATGTGAGGTTCAGAGTGTGATCCAGGAGGCGGTGTGCAACATTCAAAAAGAACTGCTTGAGTTTTGTAATTTATGTAAACAGAAATCTGGAGAACAGGCATGGGAATGGATAGTAAGCGTGTGGTGTAATGTTGGAAAAAAATAGAGTTGTATCAGGCTGAATTTATTGATTTGGGTCCACTAAGCAGGGATTCTGCATTTAATGTTGCAGCTTGGGGAGTTAAAAAAGATTCAATAGTTTATTTGCTTAGTTAGCTGAAATATGATTAAACGATGGCCCACTGTGAGCGAGCTGGAAATGCCTGATCTCCCTTGGTTTAATGTAGAGGAAGGGATCCAAAGGCTTAGGGAGATTAGGATGCTGGAGTCACTTTAGACCTATATATTTCAATTGGGAGGGTCCAGAAGATATACCCTTGACCAATGCATTGCAAAATAGATTTGTGAGGGCAGCATCTGCACCTTTGAAGAGTCCTGTAATTGCTCTTCTCCGTGTGGCAGATCTAACAGTGGGAATGGCAGTCACTCAACTACAAAATTTAAATAGAATGAGAATAATTGGATCCCAAGGTGGCAGAGGCCAAGTGATGGCACTTAACCATCAAAGGCAAGGTGGGCATAGCTACTATAATGGACAGCAGAGGCAAAGCAGAAATTAGAATATTCTGACTTGTGTAGAGCTCTGGCAATGGCTAATTAATCACAGTGTTCCTAGAAGTGAAATTGATGGGAAGTGTACTGCATTCCTACTCAATTTAGACAAGCAGAAAACTTCCAGATGGAATGGACAAAAGACTAATTTGAATTATAAAAACAGAGAATCATGATCCCTCAATCAATTTCCAGACTTGAGCCAGTTTGCAGGCCCAGAGCCCCTTGAATGAAGGGGAGGACATGTCCCCTTAAGGAAGGACCCCACTACACTACTGACAACTTATGCTGTTAATTTTTCTCCCATCCTTCCCCAAGTCGACCTCTGGCCTTTTGCCAGGGTAACTGTGCACTGGGGAAAGAGAAATGATCAGACATTTGGGGAACTACTGGACACTGGCTCTGAGCTGAAGTTGATTCCAGTGGACCCAAAATGTCATTGTGGTTCTCCAGTTAAAGTAGAGGCTTAGGGAGGTCAGGTAATTAATGGAGTTTTAGCTCAGGTCCAACATACAGTGGGTCCATTGGGTCCCTGGACTCATCCTGTGGTTATTTCTCCAGTGCCAGAATGCATAATTGGCATAGACATACTTAGTAGCTGGCAGAACCCCCACATTGGCTCCCTGACTGGTAGGGTGAGGGCTATTATGGTGGGAAAGGCCAAATGGAAGCCATTAGAACTGCCTCTACCTAGAAAAATAGTAAATCAAAAACAATATCGCATCCCTGCAGGGATTGCAGAGATTAGCGCCACCATCAAAGTCTTGAAGGACACAGGGGTGGTGATCCACACAACAACCTAATTCAACTCTCCTATTTGGCCAGTGCAGAAGACAGATGGATCTTGAAGAATGACCGTGGATTACTGTAAGCTTTACCAAGTGGTGACTCCAACTGCAGCAACTGTACCAGATGTGGTTTCATTGCTTGAGCAAATTAGCACATCTGGTACCTGGTATGCAGCCACTGACTTCGCAGATGCCTTTTTCTCCATTCCTGTCCATAAAGCCCCCCAGAAGCAATTTGCCTTCAGCTGGTAAGGCCAGCAATATACCTTTTTCTGTCCTACCTCAGGGGTATATCAACTCTCTGCCTTTGTGTCATAATCTTATTCGGAGAGCACTTGATCGCCTTTCGCTTCCACAAGATATCAAACTTGTCCATTACATTGATGACATTATGCTGATTGGATCCAGTGGGCAAGAAGTAGCAAACACACTGGACTTATTGGTGAGACATTTGCATGCCAGAGGATGGGAAATACATCTAACAAAAATTCAGGCAGCTTCTACCTCAGTCAAATTTCTAGGGATCCAGTGGTGTGGGGCCTGTCAAGATATTCCTTCTGAGGTGAAGGATAAGTTGCTGCATTTGGCCCCTCCTACAACCAAAAAAGAGGCACAATGCCTAGTGGGCCTATTAGGATTTTGGAGGCAACACATTCCTCATTTGGGTGTGTTACTCTGGCCCATTTATCCAGTGACCCAAAAGGCTGCCAGTTTTGAGTGGGGTCCAGAACAGGAGAAGGCTCCACAACAGGTCCAGGCTGCTGTGCAAGCTGCTCTGCCACTTGGACCATATGACCCAGCAGATTCAATGGTGTTTGAGGGGTCAGTGGCAGATAGGGGTGCTGTTTGGAGCCTTTGCCAGGCCCCCATAGATGAATCACAGTGGAGGTCTCCAGGATTTTGGAGCAAGGCCCTGCCAACTTCTGTAGATAACTACTCTCCTTTTGAGTGACAGCTCTTGGCCTGTTACTGGGTTTTGGTGGGAACTGAATGTTTAATGATGGGTCATCAAGTCATCATGTGACCTGAACTGCCTATCATGAACTGAGTGCTTTATGACCCATTTAGCTATAAAGTAAGTCATGCACAGCAGCATTACATTATTAAATGGAAGTGGTATATACGTGATTGGGCTCGAGTGGGTCCTGAAGGCACAAGTAAGTTACATGAGGAAGTGGTTCAAATGCTCATGGTCTCCACTCCTGCCACCCTATCTTCTCTCCCACAGCATACACCAATGGCCTTATGGGCAGTTCCCTATGATCAGTTGACAGAGGAAGAGAAGACTAGGGTTTTTTTAAGAGAAGACAGATGGTTTTGCACGATACACAAGCACCACCTGAAAGTGGACAGCTGCAGCACTACAGCCCCTTTCTAGGACATCCCTGAAGGACAGCAGTGAAGGGAAATCTTCCCAGTGAGGAGAACTTCAAGCAGTTCACCTAGTTGTACACTTTGCATGGAAGGAGAAATGGCCAGATATGCAATTATATACTGAATCATGGGCTGTAGCCAATGGTTTGGCTAGATGGTCAGAGACTTGGAAGAAGTATGATTGGAAAATTGGTGACAAAGAAATTTGAGAAAGATGTATGTGGATAGACCTCTCTAGGTGATCAAAAACTGTATTTGTATCCCATGTGAGTGCTCACCTACAAGTATCTCAGCAGAGGAGAAGTTTAATAATCAAGTGGATAAGATGACCCATTCTGTGGTTACCACTCAGCCTCTTTCCCCAGCCACTCCTGTCATTGCCCAATGGGCCCATGAACAACATGGCCATGGTGGCAGGTGTGGAGGTTACACATGGGCTCAGCAATATGGACCTCCACTCACCAAGGCTGCCCTGGCTACGGCCACTGCCGAGTGCCCAATTTGCCAGCAACAGAGACCAACACTAAGCTCTCGATATGGCAAAATTCCTCGGGGTGATCAGCCAGCTACCTGGTAGCAACTTGATTATATTGGACCTCTTCCATCACGGAAAGGGCAGAGGTTTGTCCTCACTGGAATAGACACTTACTCCAGATATGGGTTTGCCTATCCTGCATGCAATGATTCTGCCAAGACTACCATCCATGGGCTCACGGAATGCCTTATCCACAGTCATGGTATTGCCTCTGACCAAGGCACTCACTTTATGGCTAAAGAAGTGCAGCAGTGGACTTGTGCTCATGGAATTCATTGGTCTTACCATGTTCCCCATTATCCTGAAGCAGCTGTATTGATAGAATGGTGGAATGCCCTTTTGAAGTCACAATTACAATGCCAACTAGGTGACAATACTTTGCCAGGGCTGGGGCAAAGTTCTCCAAAAGGCCATGTATGCTCTGAATCAGCATTCAATATATGGTACTGTTTCTCCCATAGCCAGGATTCATGGGTCCAGGAATCAAGGGTTGGAAATGGAAGTGGCACCACTCACCATCACCCCTAGTGATCCACTAACAAAATTTTTGCTTCCTGTTTCCATGACATTACATTCTGCTGGCCTAGAGGTCTTAGTTCCAGTGGGAGAAATGTTGCCACCAGGAGACACAGTGATTCCATTAAACTAGAAGTTAAGATTGCCAACTGGACACTTTAGGCTCCTCCTACCTTTAAGTCAACAGGCTAAGAAGTGAGTTACAGTGTTGGCTAGGGTGATTGACCCGGGCTATCAAGATGAAGTCAGTCTACTACTCCACAACAGAGGTAAGGAAGAGTATGTATGGAATACAGGAGATCCCTTAGGATGTCTCTTAGTATTATCATGCTTTGTGATTAAGGTCAATGGGAAACTACAATAGCCCAATCCAGGCAGTTGGCCCAGACCATTCAGGAATGAAGGTTTGGGTCACTCCACCAAGAAAAAAACCATGACCTGCTAAGGTGCTTGATGAAGGCAAAGGAAATACGAATGAGTAGCAGAAGAAGGTAGGAAAAAAACCATGATCTGCTAAGGTGCTTGATGAAGGTAAAGGAAATACGAATGGGTAGTAGAAGAAGGTAATCATCAATGGCCCCGTGACCAGTTGCAGAAATGGAGACTGTAATTGTCATGAGTATTTCCTCCTTCTTTTGTTAAAAACATGTGTGTGCATATATACACTTGTACTAAGAAAATAACTTCATTTTATTTCCTTTTTCGTTTATCATGTGACATAAGATTTATTTACTTCATATCAGCATTCGAGCATCATTAACTTTATGTAAGAGTATTTGGGTTGGGGAGTGGTGCATTTCTGGCTGTATGAAGGATAGTTGCATTATGTTAGGCATAATTATGAGCTTATTATTGCTTTTATTTGAAGATTATGTATGATCTCAGGAGATGTGTATCGGTTAAAGTTGACAAGGGGTGGACTTGTGATGGTTAATACTGAGTGTCAACTTGATTGGATTGAGGGATGCAAAGGATTGATCCTGGGTGTGTCTGTGAGGGTGTTGCCAAAGGAGATTAACATTTGAGTTAGTGGGCTGGGAAAGGCAGACCCACCCTTAATCTGGGTGGGCACAATCTAATCAGCTGCTGTCGCAGCTAGGATAAAAGCAGGCAGAAAAATGTGAAAAGGCTAGATTGGCTTAGCCTCCCAGGCTACATCTTTCTCCCATGCTGGATGCTTCCTGCCCTTAAGCATTGGACTCCAAGTTCTTCAGCTTGGGGACTCAGACAGGCTTCCTTGCTTCTCAGCTTGCAGATGGCCTACTGTGGGACTTGAGATCATGTTAGTTAATACTACTTAATAACTCCCCTTTATATATAAATATCTATCCTATTAGTTCTGTCCCTCTAGAGAACCCTGACTAACCCCCAGTCTCTACTGAAAATAAAAAAAAAATTAGCCGAGCATGGTGGCACATGCCTATAATCCCAGCTACTTGGGAGGCTGAGGCTTGCTTGAACCCAGGAGGAGGAGGTTGTAGTGAGCTGAGATCACGCCACTGCATTCCAGCCTGGGTGACAGAGGGAGACTCTGTCTCAAAAAAAAAAAAAATGTTTTTCTTACTTGAAACAAGTACAGTACTTTTAAAAAAATTAGTTGCGTATTTGTTTCAATCAATTCATCAGCTTTTCCAAATATTAATATAATTATACTCTTTTCTCCAAACTATACAGGCAATCAAAATGCTGGAAAGGACTATCTGGGAATGTTAGAAATTCAATAACACGTAAACTGACCCTTAAGCACTATTTCCAATTGCTGAAACATAAATGTAAATTGCTAGTACTTTCCAGTAGAATTTTTACCAAAGATAGAATCGATCTATATTTGCACTGTCCAGTACAGTAGCCAGTACTGGCTATTGAATACTTGAAATGTAGACAGTGCAACTATGAACTAAAATTCTGATTTTATTTAGTTTTAATTCATTTACATTTATATGGCCACATTGTGGCTGTTGGCTACAATATCGGAGAGTGCATATCAGTCACCCCAGGAACTTATTAAAATGAAGATTCTACTTCAGTGGGTCTGTGTTAGAGCCTCAGAGACTGCATTCCTACCAAGTGCCCACCTGGCGATGCCAATGCTCTGGGTGTACGGACTATACTCCCAGTGGCAAGCACTTCAGCCAAGTGCAGTTAATCACCAACGACACTTTGCCACTTTGGAACCATGTCACTCCCTTCCTGATTCTCAAAGGTGTTTCTTCTGTTGTCAGGTGAACTTTATCAGAATATCGATTTTAAGCTTTAGAATATGTTCCTGAAATGCCTTCTTCTGCTGGTTCATGTTTACTTTATTAACCATTATAGACTTCTGGAGTAGTTTGAGCTGGCAGCATATTACACTCACCTAGGAATCATTTTCTGCTCATTTAAATCAATCTGGAGCTGGGCATCAGCATTTTTCAGAAGCTCCCCAGGTGATTCTAACATGTAGCCCAGTTTGTAAATTTCAAATTAGTGTATGTTTTATAGTCAAGAGCTCAAAACCTTAATAACCAAAGTAACGTTAACACAGAACATTGTTAATAAACTTATTGATATTCTGAATCTTGACCTAGATTGGTCCACGTTCCCCAGTTTGGCTCTTTTGAATCTAATCTGCTCTTTGCTTACATTGTGTAGACTGTTTTAAAATGCATTGGCCCCGCCCTCTCCATAGCTCCACCAGTACTCCTACCTCATCACCAAGTGGAAAAAGTAAAAAGGGTACCAAGACTTTAATATTAAGATCTCTAGCTTATTTTTGCTCTAGGGAAAGAGCACCAAAATTATAAGGTTTTCTATTTCAGCATAGGTTGAGCATCCCTAATCAGAAAATCTGAATCTGAATGCTCCAAAATCTGAAAGTTTTGGAGCACCAACATGACCCTCAAAGAAAAATCTCACTGGAGCATTTCAGATTCTGAATTTTCAGGTTAGGGATGCTCAACCAGTTAGTATAATACAAATATTTCAAAATAAAAAAATTAAAAAAAATCCAAGATCCAAAACACTTCTGGTCTCAAGCATCTCGGATAAGGGATGCTCAACCTGTACTTTCTGAACAGGTAACTCTGAAGCTTTGCTTTTGGGCAGATGTCATCATCTTACCTAAACCAATGCATTGCCTTCTCTTCATCCTTCACTACACCAGCTCCTAGGTAAACAAAAGATATTATATTTTTAAAAACGGACTCAATTAACTGCTTAATGCTAAAACCTATAAGCCTACAGATATATTAGGTTGGTGCAAAGTTAATTGTGGTTTTTGCCATTACTTTTAGAACTCTAACCAGCAAATCTCTCCCCACCTCTTTTCCCCCAGTGGAATAGCACCAGAGAAACAAAGTTACCTTACTTTTCACGTATCTTTGCCTAACAATATGCTGAGCACTGGGGTACCCAAAATGAGCATAAAAATGTGCCACATGGAAATGAAAGCTCTGGGAATACAGCCACATGTAAAGGAGAGAGATCATGGCTCCCACTGTGGCCAGGAGCTACAAAAAAGAAAAATGAGACAGGAGGAAAAGCATGGGAATCTACTACTTCAGCTATGGTTCAGATATGAAAGAAATGAGTATATTCTATGAGAAAAGCATTCCAGGATGAATTTCACATGATTTAAAGAGGAAGTGTATCCTTCAATGGCCTCTGTTGGGCAAAAAATCTTTATTGTCACTAGTCTTTTATTTTAAGACAGTCTTATATGTACTTTTCCTAGGTGATACAAGATAACTGGATTGCATAATTAAATGAATTGGATGCTGATCAATAGGATCTTGACAGTTTGTAAAAGAAAAACAACTGATGCAGAAGCAAAAGCGGAAGTGAAAAAAAGAATGTATGTGTTTGTTGTTTAGGCAGGGACATGGTGAGGGGCTGAGATTTGGAGCAGAGAAAAATTCCTGTCCTGCTCTGTTGCAGTCTGGAGAAGCCACAATCCTGGCCCATTTTCCCAATATCTCCAGCTGCTTCTATAGAAATGACAGACCCTCAGACTGCACTTCCTCAGACTGCTTCGTTCCTAAAGAGGTCTTGGCAAGCCAGTGGGTCCACAGAAGATGAAGGAAGATGAGATCTCACAGCCCAAACCATAGCCTGAGCTGACAATATGAGGATAATTCCTAAAAGAACCAGGGCCTTAGCAGGAGCTTTGTCATCACCCTTCTTAGCAGTTTGAGCATGCTGTCTACTTCTCTTCAGGAAGCCCTCTTTTCCCATCATGAGAAGCTTGTAGCTCAATGGATTGATGCCCAGAACAAGTTGACATTGTCCAACCTAATCAGCATGGGCATTAGCATTTCCAGAGACTTGGCAGATACCCTCTGAGATGTCAATTCATACAGCTGTCCATGGCTGACAGGGAAATAAATTCTGTGGGGCAACTATGAAATACAGCAAGACTGCAAACTGCACTAGCACCATGGAAAGCTCAGTAGCCTTAACCCATCATCTGGGCATGCTTGGCTGGCTTCTAAGGAGGAGCTCATAATCTGGAAAAAATACAGTGGGGTTGACCATTTTCCCTTTCAGGTGCAATGTATTTCTAAGAGAAGAAAGGAATGCTGCATCTACCCCAAAAACCCAGGTCTCTTGTGCTGTCATGAAGGGTACAGATCTATCATTGACTCCAAGACCAAGAACTGAACTTGAAAATTGGTGATTATTGGTGGTTATACATAACCACATATGACAAAATCTGTATGACAGTCTTTGTGTTTATGTGTATATATATTAAATACTAATAATATTCTTTGTATATTGCTGAATTTTTGTTTGCTTTTTGGTGTATGTTTGGTAGGACTGTTCTAATTTTTTTCTTCCTATACAGTAATCTCTGGATTCTGTTTCATGAATACACTACAGCCTTTTACAGTAATTCTGTATGTTACAGGGTTTCATAGCAGATGGATGTCTGTTTTTGAGATTCCTCAAATCTTTTCTGAAATGATTGCATTTATTCAGTATTTGTTTTGAATGTGTTTAACACTGTTCTGATCACTGTAGATAAAATAGTCAGTGAAACAAGCAAGATGTCCTGCTCTATTATAGCTTATATTGTAATGAGGATAGAGAAATGAGGAAACAGACAATGAGTAAAACACATGAGATATTGGATACAATAAATGCCATAGAAAAGTATAAAGACTCAAAAGACATTAGGGAATATCTGTCTTTCTCTCCCTCACACACACAGCCCTTACTCTGGGGGAAGCAAGCTACCATGTTGTAAACAGTCGTATGGATTGGGCCACATGACAAAGAACTGATGTCTCCAGCCAACAATCAGCAGGGGACCGGAGCCTGACAACAGCAATGTGAGCTTGAAATCAGAACCTCCCTCAGTCAGGCCTTTCAACAATTCAGCCCCAGCTGATAAATTGATTGCAGCCATACAAGAGAGCCTGGGCCCAGATGCCTGACCCACAGAAACCATGAGATAATAAATGTATGTTTTGACGCAACTAAGTTTTGAGTACTTTGTTACATAGCAACAGATAATGAATACAGGGCCTGTTGGCCATTTAAAGCACTTTGGCTTTTACCCAGAGTAAAACGGAAAGCCACTGAAGGGTTTTAAGAGAGAAGTGATGTGATCTGGCATTTTTTAACCGAATTATTCTGGCCTCTGTGAAAATAGAGTGAAGGGAGGCAAGGGCAGAAACTGAAATAACAGTTAGGGAACTATCGTGAAAATGCAAGCAATACTGAAGATATGATGGGAGCATGATCCATGGTGGGAATAGAGACAATAGCAAAGTAATCCAATTCTGAAAACGCTGATATTAGATCTAAGAGCATCTTCTGTTTGGATGTGGGTGTGATAGAGATAGGAGAGTGTATACCTTTACTTTCTTCATTTTCAATTTGTTTTGAAATTCTAATTTATTCTTTCAATTGGTGAATATTCATTAAAAGTCTACTATGCTGCTATGTCCCCTTCAAAGTTCAGGTTGAAGCTTAATCCTCAATGCAACAGTATTAAGAGATGTGGACTTTGGGAAGTGATTAAGTCATGAGGGTCCTGCCCTTCTAAATGGCATTAGAACCATTATTAAAAAGGGCTCTAGGTTGAAGAAAGCCTTGCCTTTCCACCTTCTGCCACATGACGACATGGCAACAAGGTGCCATCTTGGAAGCAGGGAGCAGGTCTTAACATGCACCAGTGCCAGTACCTTGATCTTGGACTTTTTAGCCTCCAGAACTGTCGGAAATAAATTTCTGTTGTTTGTAAATTGCTCAGTCTGTGGTATTTTGTTATAGCAAACAGATTAAGACATGTGCCTGTTATATAGTCTGTTTGCTTTTAAGACAGTCCAATCTTTAGTTTCAAAGATTTTTTTTTCTAACTTTAGTGGGAAGCCATTGGCACACTTTTAGCAGAGAAGAGACATATGATTTATGTTTTAGAAAATCTCTCTAGCTTTATATAGGGAATTGGCCATATGGGAGCAAGTGAAGAAGCAGGGAAACCAATTAGAAGACTACTGCAGTTGGGCGCAGTGGCACATGTTTGTAATTCCAGCTATTCTGGAGTCTAAGGAGGAAAGATGATGTGAACTCAGAAGTTCAAGTCCAGTCTGGGCAACACAGCAAGACCCTATGTCTTGGAAGGAAGGAAGAAAGAAAGGAAGAAATGGAGGAAACAAAAAAGAAAAAAAAGGAGGAAAGAAAGAAGGAAGAGGGAAGAAAGGAAAGAGGTGAAGATATTAAAAACTATATTTCTTAATATCTGAGAAGGAATTTGCACCATGTAAAGGAAGCAGACTAAAATGAATCTTGGCTGGGCACAGTGGCTCATGCCTGTAATCCCAGCATTTTGGGAGGCTGAGGCGGGAAGATCACTTGAGGCCAGGAATTTGAGACCAGCCTGGGCAACACAGTGACACCCGATCTACATAAAATAAAAAACATTAGCTGCGCATGGTGGCACATGGCTGTAGTCCCAGCTACTGGGGAGCTGAGGCAGAAGGATCGCTTGAGCCCAGGAGTTCGAGACTGCAGTGAGTCATGATCGCACCATTGCACTCCAGCCTGGGCAGCAGAGTAAGACTCTGTCTCTAAAAATAAAACACATAATAAATAAAAAGAACCCCAAGGTATACGATTAGAATTAAAAGTATCAGCATCAAGTCAGGTATGAAAACACACACACACACACACACACACACATACACATGTACATAAATAAAAATAGTTACAATCATATGCTCGTATACATACACATGTACATGCGTATATACATACAACATTTTCTAGCTCTTTCTACTGAAAATTCCCAATGCAATGACACCTCGGTAATGATGAACATGAGCACCCAGATCATTGTTTCATTCTTTTAATAAATGGTATCCTTCATTAAAAGAAATCAAGGGTTGGCTGGGCATGGTGGCTCACGCCAGTAATCCCAGCACTTTGGGAGGCCAAAGCAGGTGGATCACTTCAGGTCAAGAGTTTGAGACCAGCCTAGCCAACATGGTGAAACCCTGTCTCTACTAAAAATACAAAAAGTACCTGGGCGTGGTGGCACATGCCTGTAACCCCAGCTACTCGGGAGGCTGAGGCAGGAGAATCACTTGAACCCAAGAGGCAGAAGTTGCAGTGAATGGAGATCGTGCCACTGCACTCTAGCCTGGGTGACAGAGCAAGACTCCATCTCAAAAAATAAATAAATAAATAAACCAAGGGTTCTTTAAGAAATGGCTAACTCCAGGTGACCCAGGTCATTGTTTCATTCCTTTAATGAATATTATCCTTTATTAAAAGAAATCAAGGGTCCTTTAAGAAATGGCTAATGCCAGGGCTGGAATATGGAATGAAAAAATGTACCTGGTGCATTTTGTTATCTCTAAAAAACATATACAATGAGTGATGGAGATATGTCAAAAGGATACAGAAGCCAGTTTAACAGGGATAAAACTGGTCAAATCTGGGATAATATCCACATCACAATAAATAATAATATTATCAAATGAAAACTCAGTAACTAAAACTGGAATCCATGAATCCACACTAATATAAATAATAAAGAAATGTGAGAAGAGAAATGTACTGTTATAGTAGAGTATCAACTAATAATTGTAGAAAGAAGCAAATAAGCAGCCATTTGGCAACCCTCATTATGATGGTTGGCTCAGGTGGAAATTGTCAATGAATGCAATTGCTGGTGTGGGAAACTCGATGAGAAACGGGATATTAGTGTAAAATCTTAGAAGTCTTGCCTTCAAATGTTAATTGGTCTTAAAGAAAAATTGAGCCTTTGGAAATCTAGTAAACACTAACATAAACAGGCACCCAAGATCAAGCAGTGGAACAGATCAACATTGTGTGGTGCCTCCGGATATGAGGCACTAGGAAGAGCACAGCATCACTTCTGTGATATTCCTGCCACAAATGCATGACTTGTGTCTGGTCATGAGGAAACATCAGACAGACCTGTGTTTAGGGTTGTCCCATAGAATAAAAGGAATCCATTCTTTAAAACCCAGGGACTTGAGAGAGAGTGAAATAACAAAATGTTCCAAATTGAAGGAATCTAAAGAGGCATGACCACTAAATGCAATGCAATTTCCTGTATAGGATACTGGACCAAAAAGAGGAGAAAACATTGTTGGGACAGTTGGCAAAATATGATCAAAGTTTGTGGATTCAATGGTAGTGTTCTATCAACTTTGATTTTCTTATTGGCAGCCAAGTATATTGATACTATTACAGCAGAGTGTCCCAGTTTAGGGCATGTATATACTGAAGTATTTAGGGAGTAGAGGGACATCAGATTGGGGGAGAGAGAGAGAAGCAATAAATATATATACACATAGTAAAATATTAAGCAATCATCCAAACAAAAACGATTGCTTTGTTCAAGCCGGGCAAGGTGGCTCACATCTATAATCCCAGCGCTATGGGAAGCTAAGCTAGGAATATTGCTGGAGGCCAGAAGTTTGAGAACAACCTTAGCAACAAAGTAAGACCCCATCTCTATAAACTATTAAAAATTTGGCTGGGCACAATGGCACCAATTACTTGAGAGGATGAGAGAGGAGGATAGCTCGAGCTCAGGAGGTCAAGGTTGCAGTGACCCATGATCACTCCGTCTCACTTCAGCCTGGGTGACAGAGCAAGACCCTGTCTGAAAATAAAAAAATAATTTTGTTCTATTCCGGCAACATTTCTATAGGTTTGAAACTAGTTTAATTTTTTAATTTAAAAAGCAAATTGCAGTTCCTTAAATACATATGTATATACTTATATATATATATTATTGGTTTATAAAATCCATCTGCTAATTTTTTCTGTTCCTAAAGTTATAATTCATCTTGGCCATATATATATGTATGGCCAATATGTATGTATATATATTGTGTGTGTATATATATATATAAAGAATCTATAAAGAACAACTATAAAGAACAGCTAGGCAATATTTCATAATCAGCATATCTAAATGGCAATACTGATAAAGAAATAAACATTGAATAGTTTTGTCACTGTCATCTATAATTTTATACCATCAGCTCAAAGTGGTGGGTCTGAGCCTTTCTCCAAAATAAAGTTATGGCCATTTTTTATTATTTTTTCTAATTTTAAAAAGCCTAAAAAAAAGTGGAAATAAGATATTTTTTAAAGCCTCTATTTTCTTCTTATAAACAATAAATATTATTTTTTATATTTTCCCATCGTTTGACCCTTTGGTGTTTTTACACATGATCTTTTATCTAGGTTCATTGGCCGATGTCTTGTGAAAATATCAATCTTTTGAGAAATTGCTTTATCTTCTTTCTCATTTTGATTGTTTACTTCTTAAAATAACTTACATAGCTTGTGGTATAGGAGGTAGATACTAAACAAACAATAAAATATGCAAGTAAAATTACAACTGAAATAAGTGCTACGATCAAACCATAGGGAGGTGCATTTCTTCATATCTTTGTATCAAAGAGCAAGGGTTAGCTTTTGGTAAGGTGAGGCTGAAGAGGGAGATAGAGGACAAATTGTGAAAAGACTTGACCAAACGCCATGCTAAAGATTTTGGTCTTCATATTTAGAGCAAATAGGAAGTCTCTGGAAGGTTAATATATGAAGGATAGGGAGGAAAGAGAAACATAATCATTTTGAGTTTCAAAAATATTCTGACCACAGTATAGAGTTGCAGTCTCCAATATGGAGTATACAAGATGTTCCACTGGACAGCAAGGACAAAGTGTTCAAACTTGTACAAACACATATTAAAAACTTAAGCTTCATTAATATTTATCCTAGGGATTCACTTAGTCAGTATGACAGGTGTCATGACTCATTTAGGGTAGCTGAGGTAATGTAAGGAAAGGATGAGCGTTCCACAGTGTTGACTTTCACATATTGACTGTGCCTCTGTTTATGTATGCCAGGTTAAGTAGCTTTATGAATATAGTGCTAGTTTAACTGAAATAATCTTCATAAAATAGACATAATCTTTAAAAGACTGCTGTAAAAAAAAAACCCATGTGATGAAGTAATATTAACATTGTAAGGCGTGGCAATTAAGAAACTTCCCTGGGTTTCTGACTTGCATGACTCCAGTCACTGGAATAAGAGAACTAGGTTTATGTGTATTACATTAAAGACAGTGCAGGGGCCCATGACTTTCGTTTGGATCATATGGGGCTCAGAGAAAAACTGTAAAGCAGACTGTTGGGTGTGAGTGTCTGGAATTTACAAATGTCTATACTAAACATTGAGTTGTCTAAGTACAGGTGGTAATTTAGGATGCATAGGCTTTAATGAAATCTTAACTTTAAATATCAAAATTTCAATTTTTGAGAGCTTCAAATCTCTCTTGATCTGTCTTTTTCTATTGTCTATAATTAGAATTCTATATTTACTCTGATGCTTTTAAAGTTTTTCTAAAGTTAAGGGCAAATGTTTTCAATCTTAGAATTTTTTTTAACTTTTTAAAAATAAGTAAATGTATTAATGCCATTTTACATGGGTGCTTGTTTAAAAGAGGCATTTGAAATCAGCTGTTTCACTTTTTAAAGTATGAAATTTTCAAACATACAGAAAATGAATTAGATAGATATGTACCCACCAGCCACATTTAACAGGTTTATATTTTGCCATATTTGCTTCAGATTTTTTCTTAAAGAAATAAAGCATTACAGAAATAGAAACATATCTACCCTCATCTCTGCCCTCCTCTCTTCCCAGGTGTAACCACTAAACCTGTATTAGAGGTTTGACATTCTAATGCATGTTTTTAAGGAAGAATGGGCTTAAGTTTAGCTATATCAATAGGGATAAATCTTTAAAATAAATGATACAGTTAAAAAATGAAGTTGAATGATACTTTAGTAGTTCACATGGTTAAATAAGAATACTAGTTAACCACAATAGCATTACCAAGGCTAACCAAAACATCACATTTCTTCATTCTTGGTTGGAATTTTTCAACCAGTATTGTATATGTATGTATCAACAATGAACAGAAGCCAGAGATTATTTTTAAAATTGTAGTTTGCTTGGTAGAAGTCTATTAAAACATAAAATTCTTTAACAGTAAAATTTGTACAGGATGCTAAGTGGGTAGGTGTGGTGGCTCACACCTGTAATTCCAGCACTTTGAGAGGCTGAGGCAGCAGGATCACTTGAGCCCAGAAGCTGGAGACTAGTCTGGGCAACATAGCAAGATCCTGTCTCTACAAAAAATATAAAAATTATCTAGTAATGGTGCATGCCTGTAGTCCTAGCTACTCAGGAGGCTGAGGTAGGAGGATCACTTGAGCCTAGAAGGTTGAGGCTGCAGTGAGCCATTATCGTGCCACTGCACTCCACCCTAGGTGACAAGAGCGAGACTCTGTATTAAAAAAAAAAAAAAAAACACCATATGTGATCCTAAGTGAAGTGAGGAAAACACTGGGACAATTTCTGGTTTAGAACATATGCCTGGCTACACAATATTTGAGTCCCTGACTATGGTTAGTTAAATCTGTAAACTTGAGGACATAATTTGTGCTAAACTCTGTGGTTACAAAGATAAACATATGACCTAAACCTTGCTTTCAAGCATTTCAAAGTTGCAGAGCAGAGATATAAACAAATCGTGAAACAGCATCATAAGCATTTTAGTAAAAATGCGGAATGTATAAAGTTCCAAGGGAGAGGGGGCAGTATCTACCTAATTCTGCGTTGTGGATTTCTTTCAGGTTTTGCCATCAATATAACCAACATTTTTGGTCTACAGAACAGTTAACACATAATATTGCAATGCTCTTTTTCAACTGGTTTTTGAGGCACAGAGAAAAGCTCTGTCTTGAACATAGAGCACTGCTGTCCTTCTAAGTAGAGCTTCGGGCCGGGTGCAGTGGCTCACACCTGTAATCCCAGCACTTCGGGAGGCCGCGGCAGGTGGATCACTAAGGTCAGGAGTTTGAGACCAGCCTAACCAACATGGTGAAACCCCATCTCTACTAAAAATAAAAGAATTAGCCAGGCATGGTGGTAAGCGCCTGTAATCCCAGCTACTTGGGAGGCTGAGGCAGGAGAATGACTTGAACTCAGGAGGCAGAGGTTGCAGTAAGCCGAGATCATACTACTGCACTCCAACCTGGGCAACAAGAGCAAAACTCCATCTCAAAAGAAGAAAAAAAAACAAAGCAGAGCTTTGACATAAGTAACTCCAGTTCTGTGTCATAAATCATCAAGTAGATGAGCACTCAGGTTTTGTGTATGGGAAGCAAATAATTTTTATATAAAAATGAAACAAATTATGAATGACCACTAAGGTATCTTATTCTTTATGTCTAAGATATATTTTATTTTACTTAATTATCCATCAATTTTATTCTCAATTATTAGTCTCAAATTACAAACTTTGATATACACAGTTAATTATATTTCAAACTAAATGTCTAAAAACCTTAGTTCTCAATCACACAAGCCCCTATGTGGGTATATCAGGGCACCAGAGAGTCTGGTGAACATTTTAACTGAGTTCCAAACATTACAATTACACTAGCAAAGTGCTTACCCCTTGTCTCCTCTGAATCCCAGTGCCTTGACCTATATCCCATTCCTAAAGGCCTCATTCTAAATTCACTCTTATTGTCACCTAAGAAGCAGTAGGCCAAATGAAAGAGAAGGATAGAGGAGATGGGGAAGGAGGGTTGGCTAAGGGAGGAAAGGAAGGAAGAAAGAAGAGAAGAAGAAAAGGAAAAGGATTTGAGCTAGAATGCCTACTCTGTCCTTATTTTTTTTAATTAAAAACATTTTGATATGTAATATTTGTACATATTTATAGGACCCATGTGATTCTAAAAAAATTTTTAAGGGTACAAGTGATATTTTGAAACATGCGTACAATGTGTATTGTTATTTAATCTCTGGGGGTCAGTTTTCTCATCTGTAAAATGGGGGTAAAAATACTTTCCCATTCAGGTTTGTAAAGAGTGAATAGACTACAAATAAATTATTTAGTTGAGCACCTCACCACATTGTAGGCCTTTCAAAATAACTATTATTTATTGAGATTTTTATCTTTATGCAGCCCAGAAGCATTAGTAGGCAAAAAAAAAAAAAATCAGGGAAGTCTTTGGATGAAAGAAATTCATACGTAATGATGGAATTGTTAATACGTGTGTCATACAGCAAATGGACGTGAATTCCTCTGCTTCTACCATTTACTGGTTTTATGACTTTGGGCAGGTTGCTTAACCTCTGAGCTTCCTCTACCTCATTCCTTAAATGGGGATTATAATGTTAACAAGTTTATAGTATAAGATTTGAAAATTAAATGAGATAATGTGCACAAAGCACTCAGCACAGTGCCTGCACACAGTGAGGGCTCACATTAACTGCGCCACTTTGCAGTCTGGACTCACCACTCTGCACCTGAGAAACTCCAGAAATCTGTTCAACACCCGAGTTTGCTTTTCACAACTTTTGTAATCTTTTTTTTTTTAGACAGAGTCCCGCTCTGTCACCCAGGCTGGAGTGCAGTAGTACAATCTCGACTCACTGCAACCTCTGCCTCCCGGGTTCGAGCAATTCTCCTGCCTCAGCCTCCCAAGTTGCTGGGACTACAGGTATGTGCCATCATGTCCAGCTAATTGTTTTTTGTATTTGTAGTAGAGACAGGGTTTCACCATGTTAGCCAGGATGGTCTTGATCTCCTGACCTCATGATCCGCCTGCCTCAGCCTCCCAAAGTGCTAGGATTACAGGCTAAGCCACCACACCCAGCCAACTTTTGTAATCTTGAACAAATTGCTGTGTTCCTGGGCCTCCGTTTTCTTATCTAAACACTTTTAGAAAAAAGTGGAAAAGTGAGATAGATGAACCATAAAGCCATTACAGGGATTAAGTAAGAAAATATATGCAAAATCACACATATCATAAAGCCTTATATGAATGTATGGTAGCATTTGATCATGCCAAGTATTCATTTCTTTAACCCTCTCTTCTCTTGACATATGTGGGATATTCTTCTCTTTCTAGCCTCTAAATCTCCATGTTCCCTTAGGTTTCTTCATCAAACTTTCTCTGACCTTGTTGAGTTGACACACTTTCCTCCTGTGCTCTCAATTCACATGGCTCCAGACAGTACCATATGTGAGTGACACCCAAGAATCTATTTCCAGGGCTTCTGTCCCTTCTGAGCTTCTGATTCAAATCCCCACTTGCACATCCCACATAAAATTAAACTTTTCCAAAATTAAATTCACTATCTTCTGCCTTAGAACTCACTTTCACTTCCTCTAATTCAATGAAATTCAAGTCCTATCTAATTAAACTCCTAGTGTCTCAAAATTCACTTTTCTCCTTCTTGTCACAGACCTAATTCAGACCACTACCATCTCACCTGAATTATTCATTGGTGTTTTAGTTCGTCTCCAAGACTGTCCTGAGCCCTCCAACCCATTCTATAGACCACAGACAGTGTGAATGAATTGTCCCCAAGCCAGGGTTAGATGAGCTTCCTTTTCTTCAGTAACAACATGTGTACTCACCCCCATTGCAGTAACAATGATACTCCCCTGCCCATCTATCCCCATACACATACATTCACATTTTATAATTTCCACAAAGAAAAAGACATTTTGTTTATTTTCATTTATTTTTGTGTACCTACTACCCAGCTAACTGCTTCATACACTGTAGTTCTTTTAATGTTTGAATGAATAAACGGAATAAGTTTGAGTGGAGCAGAATTTGAACTCAATTTAATGAATTTACTGATTATCTCTAGTTTGTCCTAGCTTCAATTCATCAGGAAAAAACAGTGTAGGGCACTCAAATATTTATTGAGGAATATAAAAACATAAGATACATTGATAAATGACAAAACTGAAATAGCTGAAAAAACACTAAAAATAACCAGAGATAACAATTTTGAATTTGCCTTTGCACTGCCACAATGGTTTTTACTGATCAAGTTTACAATTAGGTTCACAAGCCACGTGAGAGAGAGAGAACAGGACAACAAAAAGGTCAAAGAGAATTATGGCATTTTTTTCCAGGATATCTGACTTCCAAATAATGGGAGTCTCATAAAGAAATCAGAAAAAATAAAGAAGAGGAAGAAGGTATTCAACAAATGATTCAAGAAAATTTTCCAGAACTAAAAAACATGAGTTTCCAAACTGAAAGGTGACACCATGATACAAGGTGTCCAGCACAATGGGAAGAAAAACAGTCCTATAAATGCATATGACTGAGAAACTTCAGAACATCACAAATAGAAAAGAAGATGCTAAAAGCTTCTGGAGAGGTGGAAAGGAGAAAGCAGGTCACATACCAACAAGCATGAATCTGAAGGCACTAGATGTCTCAGTACCAAAACTAGTACCTGCAACATAGTAGAAGAATCCCTTCAAATTTTAAGAATGAAGTATTGCAAACCTAGAATTCTACACCCTGTCTAACTATAAATTACGTGCGATGGTAGAATCAGGACGTTTTCAGATGGGCAAGGTCTCAAAGTTCACCTCTCAGGCAGTCTCTCAGGAAGCTACTGGAAAATATGCCCCACCAGAAACAAGAGAGTAAATCAATAAAGAGGAAGTCTCGGGATCCAGGAATAAGGATCTCAGACAGAAGGAAGGTGAAGGAAATATCCCAGATGATGTGACAGGATATCCCAGGAAGACAGCTGAGGGGCAGATGGGGAAGACAAGCAGCCCAGATAGGAGCAGCAGGGTGGAAAGTGTATCTTCAAGACAACAGGGAAACTGAGATTTCCTGAAGTGTTAGACTATATTAAGAGGAACTCAACACTTTGTGAAGCAACACAGGATGACTCTGGTAGCCATGAGCACACAGAAAACAAAGCAAAAATTTTTTTAAAAGATACAATTTAAAGTACCCAGAAAACAAAGTGTAGAAGAAATAATTACAATCCTGATATACTACATGCATCAGCTATGAATGATATCTAATTGGTCATAATGAAAACTGAACATTGGTTTAGCCAAATAAAGCTGTAGCTATACTGAGAAGAGAAGGAGAAGGTAACTGTGATTGAGGTGGTAGGAGGGCAGGGGTTAGAAATAAGAAATTAACCAACAGTATAATAAAAATTTGAAAAAATAGCATTAAATGAGTGTTCTTAGACTTATAGCAGTAGACACCAGGAAAAAGAGCTGAGGGAATTAAAAATGGTTTTCTCTGAGGAGCAATAATCAGGGGAAGGAACAGAAGAATGCTGTTTTTAAATTATTAGCCCTGTGAAATATTTGACTTTTTAAGCTATGTATGTGCATAGCTTTGAAAATAAAAATTCAGCTTAAATAGTAGAAAAATTGATTGCTTTATATTCAGAAATTCAAATATAATTTATAAATAATGACAAATAACATCTTAGATGGTTGACCTAGGAAAACAAGTATTGAACATGTTTAGATCTATGTGATTTCCTGCTGGCACATACTGAAGGTAATAATTCATAGCTAGTAATACTATTAGCATACTTTCTGAGATGTGACATTTCCACCTTCAATTCTATCATTGTATACTATAACTATTTGTTCTGCCAAAATTAAAAGGAGCTTTCAGCTGCAGAGTCCTATATGGCACCCAGTAATCCACCTCTTGGTTTGATACCTGGAAAAATTTCGATGTAAGCAGGGAATGAAAATAATGTTTTCATCGTTCATTGCCATCATGGTATGTTTGTCACAATTGTTTCAATTTACTCCCACACTTATAGCAATGAGAACTAACACAGAACTAGCATTTAGTTAACTGCTGTAAATGCCAAAACAAAACAAAATTTTGACACTGTAAGAGCCATAAATATTTTCATGAGGTCGTTCTGCTGTACTGTAAATAGTTGCAAATTATAGATGTTTTGGAGAGATCATCAGTTTTAAAGCTCTTAGAACTCAAAAGATCTACTGCTGTTATTAATAATTGATATTTCATATGACTATTTAAATAGCCGTATAAATTTATCAGCATTGCACAGGAGGGAGATGTGTGACTTCTCCCTTTTTTTTAATCAGTGTGTTTTTAGGTGACTAGTGATAATTCACCCAAAGCAGATAGGAAACCTTGGATATAATAAAAAAAACCGAGGAGCAATCTGTTTCCTTTCACAATCCAGGGCTACCCATATTATTCAACCTATAAAAGGAAATCACACTCATTTTACATTTTTATTTCCATGCAGCTGTAATTACCAGGCAATGAACTAATGAAATAGGGCCTATAAAGAAAGGACAGCTTCCAAGAAATCAGCTATTTATCTTGTTGCTAGAGAAAAGAACTCTCTTCTAAGGAGGAATCCTGAACCATTAGTGATATAACCAGTAAGTTCTCAGTTTTCTGGACTGATAAATGGAAGTTGTTTTCAGATCTGAACCAAAGACCAGAATTCCATTGCATTGTTTTTAAGTCAGCGGAAATCTAAACCTCTTAAGTTTCAACTGAGGGACTAAAGGGAGATTAAAATCTTTCTTGTTGTATCTCTGAAAAAATATTCAAGATATTGCTAATTGTGGTTGCCTCTAGGAGGAGGATTGGGTGGATGAAGGTTAGGATAGAGGGATTTCTGATTACTGCATAACCATTCAATTTTGTACCACATGCATATATTACTATAACATTTTTTTACAAGTGCTATATGTGGCCAGGCATGGTGGTTCACGCCTATAATCTCAGTATTTTGGGAGGCTAAGGCAGAAGGATCTCTTGAGCCCAGAGGTTTGAGACCAGCCTAAGCAATATAGCAAGACCTCATCTCTGCAAAAACTAGAGAAAATTAGCTGGGTGTAGTGGCATGCACGTACAGTCCCAGCTACTTGGGAGGCTGAGGAGGGAGGATTGCTTGAGCCCAGGAAGTCGAGGATGCAGTGGACCATGATCGTGTCACTGTACTCCAACCTGGGCAACAGAGTGAGAGCTTGTCTCAAAAAAAAAAAAAAGCTATATATGCAGATTTATCTATAGTCTTATAATCTTCATATATTTAAACTCTCACTCAGACATCAGTGCTGTCTGTTAGCACAACAATTACAGTAGTTTAGTAGTTTCTGTTTAAGAATATTCAGTAGAAACTCAGGTTCTACATTTATACATTCCCTGGCTTTTTATTGTTGTTGTTTTTATGAGCTTCTCTCTAACTTCGTGAGTGTGAGTGTGTGTGTGTATGGGTGTGTGTACACAGCTGGGAGCTGAATTTTTATGCTCCTTAAAAATCCTTCTAGTTTTATTTCTTTGAGAGATATCAAGGAATGGCAATGCCTATTAGCCATCAAGTAAGAGAAAAGGAATGCAGAGAGCATAGTAGTGTACTTAAATGGAGCTGTGGAGAATAATATAAATCAAAACTGTCATTCTTGAAGAGCCTAAAGTTGTACTTCTAGCTGCCACAGATATCTAAAATAAGAATTAATCTGCACATTTTTATCTACTGATAAATACATTGTTTTTATTTGGCCACCACAAAATTGCTAGCATTCCCTCTTTTCACCATTTCTGTAACTCCTATCACTTTTATTTACCTGTATTTAAATAATCCACTCTTTAATACCTTAGGGTAAGAGTATGTTAAAATATGAGTGAGCTGGTTGAGAACTCTACTAACATTATAACATGATTTTTATTCCTTTCATGCAGCATTTCAATTTTTAAAAAGCTTTATATTTTCAATATCAAACTTAAGCTAATTTTTAAAAAGAAACGTTAACTGAAATTGATAATAGTCCTTCAATTTTTCAGCCAAATTTATAAAAATCAGACTGTGTTTATGTGATTTCTAGCAACTGGCTAAAAAATTGGAAAATGTAAAACTAGCTATCTGGTGTCAAGTAATTATTTTTGCTGAATTTTGATGAATTATTTACCTCTTGGGTTAATGTGTATTTTAAAATCTATTAACTGGTTAATTCAGGAAGTCCAAATTTGTGTGTACATATAAAATTTTGAGAGTTGTTTTGTAAAAGCAGAGATTCTCAATATTACCTGTGCTGGTCTCAAACTCCTGGCCTCAAGCAATCCTCCCAGCTCGGCCTCCCAAACCTACTGGGGTTACAGGGGTTAAGAGTTTTGTGGGGTTTTTTAAATGTATGATAACTTTGAATAAATTTATCTTCAATACATTTTCCGGGAAAGCTAAAGTGCTTCATCTACAAACACTTAAATCTAGAGCAGGGGTCCCAACCACTGGGCCACAGACTGGTACCAGTCTATGGCCTGCTAGGAACCCTGCCGCACAGCAGGAAGTGATCAGCAGGGCTACAGAGCTTTACTGCCCAAGCTCCACCCGCTGTCAGATGAGCAGCAGCATTAGATTCTCATAGGAGTGCGAATTCTATTGTGAACTGTGCATGCGAGGGGTCTAGGTTCACACTCCTTATGAGAATCTAATGCCTGATGATCTGATACTGTCTCCCATCACCCCCAGATGGGACCCTCTAGTCACAGGAAAACAAGCTCAGGTCTCCCACCAATTCTACATTATGGTTTGTATAATTATTTCATTATATATTACAATGTAATAATAATAGAAATAAAGTTCCCAATAAATGTAATGTGCTTGAATCATCAGTCAGTGGAAAAATTGTCTTCCAGGAAACCAGTCCCTGGTGCCAAAAATATTGGGGACCACAGATCTAGAGCATTACAGAAAAACACAATGTGGTTGCTGTTTTTATGTAACTATGACTTACAAGTAGTAGCATTCCTCCCTCTTGCCCAATTCTGTCTTGTGTCTTGGAATTGAACACTCACCTCCCATTTATTCCATGAATTCGAAGAGTGTGTCTTGTACTTCTGGGGCAGATTTGTTCCAAGGGTGTGTACATCAGTTGCTTGGGTTCTTCCTTGCTGTTTTTGAGGCATCAAGAGCAGCAGCATCTTTTTCTTCCCCTGCTGGCTTCCCTGTTCTGTCTTCCTCAGTAGTAGAGGACTTTTGTTTGTTATGTCTGGCTTGGTAGGGACTCTCCAGGGGTCCCTTATTCTTCCCTTCCGCTTCCCTCAATTCCTATTCCCTTTCATCCTCTCTCCAGGTCCAGAAGCTGGTTTTCCTCTTCTGATTTATGCCTGAGGCAAAGCAGCTGTCTTTTAAAGATAAGAGCCAGAAAATAGATATCAAACAGACATAAAGAATAACATAGGAAAGACAAGAAGTCCCTAAAAATAGCTTTGTCATTAGCTGTTTTTATGCTGAACACCTAGATTTATTTCCCATTGTCCTTTTGCTTGAACAAACCAAGTCAGTCAAACTACCTCACCTGATGAGAAAGAAAATGGTGAAAAGGAAATCCTCTAGGCCAGGCTGATTTAACCAAAGTAATATAATATGAAAAGTGTCTAACTTGAATCTTCTTTTTTGGTAAATATTAAAATTATAGCGTAACCACAAAGGAAGAGTTTGGGGATACAAACAAAGAATAGGATAAAAAGACTTACTGGAAGAAAATGAACTGTGAATACCAAGTAAAATGAGAAGTAAAGAAAGCACATGCATATAATATATATATTTAAATAAACATGCATAAGAAAGCATGAAGCATAGTATGATTTTATATACTACATATTCACGGGAGGATCGAGGAGGAGAAGTCAAAGTTGAATGGCTGCACTCATTGAGCAGGAGAAACCCTGAGATTCCAAAGAATAAGGTAAATTGTCAGCTGCCACTGCCACCTCTATGTTTCCTTTTGGGAGCTGTGGTCCCAGAAGAGGCAGATGTAGAAGAGAGCCTTTAGGATGAGGATGATGGTCCCAGTAATGCTTTGCTTCCCTGGATATTCCTCAAGGGTAAAATTGCATCACAAATGTATATGCATCAAGAACTAATGTAACTGTTTCATCTGTAGGAAGTAAATTACAATGTAGTAAAGAGAAAAGTCAATGCATACTCTGCATAGGGGTTATGTGCATGGGTTTCAGTGTCAGACAGGCAGTGTTAAGACCCTAGGACATGTAATCTAGAACCTTGTTACACAATGTATGATCCACAAGCCAACAGTGTTGGCCTTGACCTGGGAGCTGATTAAAAATGCAGAATCTCAGGATTCACCCCAGACCTACCAAGTCAGAATTTGCAAATTATCAAGACTCTTGGGTGATTCTTTTGCACATAAAGTTTGAGAAACACTGGTCTAGGGTAAGTTTCTTAATCTATTCATGTCTCAGCTTTCTCATTTCTAAAATGGGCATACTAGTACCTACTTCCTAGAGTTGTGGGAATTAAATGAGGAATACATGTAGAGAGATAGCAAATTTCCAATAACTGCTAATGAAGACAAGTCATAAAATATGGTTCAGGATTTTGAAATTGAATTCTATGCTCTGCTGCACACACAATTAAATTTAACTAAAGCTGAGTTTTAATTATAAATGCTAACTGACTTTTATGACCATTTCTCCAAATGAAATAGTCACTTAAAAATGAGTAGATTCTGGAGGAGCCAAGATGGCCGAATAGGAACAGCTCCAGTCTACAGCTCCCAGTGTGAGCGATGCAGAAGACGGGTGATTTCTGCATTTCCATCTGAGGTACCGGGTTCATCTCACTAGGGAGTGCCAGACAGTGGGCGCAGGTCAGTGGGTGCGCGCACCGTGCGCGAGCCGAAGCAGGGCAAGGCATTGCCTCACCTGGGAAGCACAAGGGGTCAGGGAGTTCTCTTTCCGAGTCAAAGAAGGGGGTGACGGACGCACCTGGAAAATCGGGTCACTCCCACCCGAATATTGCGCTTTTCAGACCGGCTTAAAAAACGGCGCACCACGAGACTATATCCCACACCTGGCTCAGAGGGTCCTACGCCCACAGAATCTCGCTGATTGCTAGCACAGCAGTCTGAGATCAAACTGCAAGGCGGCAGCGAGGCTGGGGGAGGGGCGCCCGCCATTGCCCAGGCTTGATTAGGTAAACAAAGCAGCCGGGAAGCTCGAACTGGGTGGAGCCCACCACAGCTCAAGGAGGCCTGCCTGCCTCTGTAGGCTCCACCTCTGGGGGCAGGGAACAGACAAACAAAAAGACAGCAGTAACCTCTGCAGACTTAAGTGTCCCTGTCTGACAGCTTTGAATAGAGCAGTGGTTCTCCCAGCACGCAGCTGGAGATCTGAGAACTGGCAGACTGCCTCCTCAAGTGGGTCCCTGACCCCTGACCCCCGAGCAGCCTAACTGGGAGGCACCCCCCAGCAGGGGCACACTGACACCTCACACGGCAGGGTATTCCAACAGACCTGCAGCTGAGGGTCCTGTCTGTTAGAAGGAAAACTAACAACCAGAAAGGACATCCACACCGAAAACCCATCTGTGTATCACCATCATCAAAGACCAAAAGTAGATAAAACCACAAAGATGGGGAAAAAACAGAGCAGAAAAACTGGAAACTCTAAAACGCAGAGCGCCTCTCCTCCTCCAAAGGGACGCAGTTCCTCACCAGCAACGGAACAAAGCTGGATGGAGAATGATTTTGACGAGCTGAGAGAAGAAGGCTTCAGACGATCAAATTACTCTGAGCTACGGGAGGACATTCAAACCAAAGGCAAACAAGTTGAAAACTTTGAAAAAAATTTAGAAGAATGTATAACTAGAATAACCAATACAGAGAAGTGCTTAAAGGAGCTGATGGAGCTGAAAACCAAGGCTCGAGAACTACGTGAAGAATGCAGAAGCCTCAGGAGCCGATGCGATCAACTGGAAGAAAGGGTATCGGCAATGGAAGATGAAATGAATGAAATGAAGCGAGAAGGGAAGTTTAGAGAAAAAAGAATAAAAAGAAATGAGCAAAGCCTCCAAGAAATATGGGACTATGTGAAAAGACCAAATCTACGTCTGATTGGTGTACCTGAAAGTGACGGGGAGAATGGAACCAAGTTGGAAAACACTCTGCAGGATATTATCCAGGAGAACTTCCCCAATCTAGCAAGGCAGGCCAACATTCAGATTCAGGAAATACAGAGAATGCCACAAAGATACTCCTCGAGAAGAGCAACTCCAAGACACATAATTGTCAGATTCACCAAAGTTGAAATGAAGGAAAAAATGTTAAGGGCAACCAGAGAGAAAGGTCGGGTTACCCTCAAAGGGAAGCCCATCAGACTAACAGCGGATCTCTCGGCAGAAACCCTACAAGCCAGAAGAGAGTGGGGGCCAATATTCAACATTCTTAAAGAAAAGAATTTTCAACCCAGAATTTCATATCCAGCCAAACTAAGCTTCATAAGTGAAGGAGAAATAAAATACTTTATAGACAAGCAAATGCTGAGAGATTTTGTCACCACCAGGCCTGCCCTACAAGAGCTCCTGAAGGAAGCGCTAAACATGGAAAGGAACAACCAGTACCAGCCGCTGCAAAATCATGCCAAAATGTAAAGACCATCGAGACTAGGAAGAAACTGCATCAACTAACGAGCAAAATCACCAGCTAACATCATAATGACAGGATCAAATTCACACATAACAATATTAACTTTAAATATAAATGGACTAAATTCTCCAATTAAAAGACACAGACTGGCAAGTTGGATAAAGAGTCAAGACCCATCAGTGTGCTGTATTCAGGAAACCCATCTCATGTGCAGAGACACACATAGGCTCAAAATAAAAGGATGGAGGAAGATCTACCAAGCAAATGGAAAACAAGAAAAGGCAGGGGTTGCAATCCTAGTCTCTGATAAAACAGACTTTAAACCAACAAAGATCAAAAGAGACAAAGAAGGCCATTACATAATGGTAAAGGGATCAATTCAACAAGAGGAGCTAACTATCCTAAATATTTATGCACCCAATACAGGAGCACCCAGATTCATAAAGCAAGTCCTGAGTGACCTACAAAGAGACTTAGACTCCCACACATTAATAATGGGAGAGTTTAACACCCCACTGTCAACATTAGACAGATCAACGAGACAGAAAGTCAACAAGGATACCCAGGAATTGAACTCAGCTCTGCACCAAGCGGACCTAATAGACATCTACAGAACTCTCCACCCTAAATCAACAGAATATACATTTTTTTCAGCACCACACCACACCTATTCCAAAATTGACCACATAGTTGGAAGTAAAGCTCTCCTCAGCAAATGTAAAAGAACAGAAATTATAACAAACTATCTCTCAGACCACAGTGCAATCAAACTAGAACTCAGGATTAAGAATCTCACTCAAAGCCGCTCAACTACATGGAAACTGAACAACCTGCTCCTGAATGACTACTGGGTACATAACGAAATGAAGGCAGAAATAAAGATGTTCTTTGAAACCAACGAGAACAAAGACACCACATACCAGAATCTCTGGGATGCATTCAAAGCAGTGTGTAGAGGGAAATTTATAGCACTAAATGCCTACAAGAGAAAGCAGGAAAGATCCAAAATTGACACCCTAACATCACAATTAAAAGAACTAGAAAAGCAAGAGCAAACACATTCAAAAGCTAGCAGAAGGCAAGAAATAACTAAAATCAGAGCAGAACTGAAGGAAATAGAGACACAAAAAACCCTTCAAAAAATCAATGAATCCAGGAGCTGGTTTTTTGAAAGGATCAACAAAATTGATAGACCGCTAGCAAGACTAATAAAGAAAAAAAGAGAGAAGAATCAAATAGACACAATAAAAAATGATAAAGGGGATATCACCACCGATCCCACAGAAATACAAACTACCATCAGAGAATACTACAAACACCTCTATGCAAATAAACTAGAAAATCTAGAAGAAATGGATACATTCCTCGACACATACACTCTCCCAAGACTAAACCAGGAAGAAGTTGAATCTCTGAATAGACCAATAACAGGATCTGAAATTGTGGCAATAATCAATAGTTTACCAACCAAAAAGAGTCCAGGACCAGATGGATTCACAGCCGAATTCTACCAGAGGTACAAGGAGGAACTGGTACCATTCCTTCTGAAAGTATTCCAATCAATAGAAAGAGACGGAATCCTCCCTAACTCATTTTATGAGGCCAGCATCATTCTGATACCAAATCCGGGCAGAGACACAACCAAAAAAGAGAATTTTAGACCAATATCCTTGATGAACATTGATGCAAAAATCCTCAATAAAATACTGGCAAAATGAATCCAGCAGCACATCAAAAAGCTTATCCACCATGATCAAGTGGGCTTCATCCCTGGGATGCAAGGCTGGTTCAATATACGCAAATCAATAAATGTAATCCAGCATATAAACAGAGCCAAAGACAAAAACCACATGATTATCTCAATAGATGCAGAAAAAGCCTTTGACAGAATTCAACAACCCTTCATGCTAAAAACTCTCAATAAATTAGGTATTGATGGGACGTATTTCAAAATAATAAGAGCTATCTATGACAAACCCACAGCCAATATCATACTGAATGGGCAAAAACTGGAAGCATTCCCTTTGAAAACTGGCACAAGACAGGGATGCCCTCTCTCACTGCTCCTATTCAACATAGTGTTGGAAGTTCTGGCCAGGGCAATCAGGCAGGAGAAGGAAATAAAGGGTATTCAATTAGGAAAAGAGGAAGTCAAATTGTCCCTGTTTGCAGACGACATGATTGTTTATCTAGAAAACCCCATCGTCTCAGCCCAAAATCTCCTTAAGCTGATAAGCAACTTCAGCAAAGTCTCAGGATACAAAATCAATGTACAAAAATCACAAGCATTCTTATACACCAACAACAGACAAACAGAGAGCCAAATCATGAGTGAACTCCCATTCACAATTGCTTCAAAGAGAATAAAATACCTAGGAATCCAACTTTCAAGGGATGTGAAGGACCTCTTCAAGGAGAACTACAAACCACTGCTCAAGGAAATAAAAGAGGATACAAACAAATGGAAGAACATTCCATGCTCATGGGTAGGAAGAATCAATATCGTGAAAATGGCCATACTGCCCAAGGTAATGTATAGATTCAATGCCATCTCCATCAAGCTACCAATGACTTTCTTCACAGAATTGGAAAAAACTACTTTAAAGTTCATATGGAACCAAAAAAGAGCCCGCATCGCCAAGTCAATCCTAAGCCAAAAGAACAAAGCTGGAGGCATCACACTACTTGACTTCAAACTATACTACAAGGCTACAGTAACCAAAACAGCATGGTACTGGTACCAAAACAGAGATATAGATCAATGGAACAGAACAGAGCCCTCAGAAATAATGCCGCATATCTACAACTATCTGATCTTTGACAAACCTGAGAAAAACAAGCAATGGGGAAAGGCTTCCCTATTTAATAAATGGTGCTGGGAAAACTGGCTAGCCATATGTAGAAAGCTGAAACTGGATCTCTTCCTTACACCTTATACAAAAATTAATTCAAGATGGATTAAAGATTTAAACGTTAGACCTAAAACCATAAAAGCCCTAGAAGAAAACCTAGGCATTACCATTCAGGACATAAGCGTGGGCAAGGACTTCATGTCCAAAACACCAAAAGCAATGGCAACAAAAGACAAAATTGACAAATGGGATCTAATTAAACTAAAGAGCTGCTGCACAGCAAAAGAAACTACCATCAGAGTGAACAGGCAACCTACAACATGGGAGAAAATTTTCGCAACCTACTCATCTGACAAAGGGCTAATATCCAGAATCTACAATGAACTCAAACAAATTTACAAGAAAAAAACAAACAACCCCATCAAAAAGTGGGCGAAGGACATGAACAGACACTTCTCAAAAGAAGACATTTATGCAGCCAAAAAACACATGAAAAAATGCTCATCATCACTGGCCATCAGAGAAATGCAAATCAAAACCACTATGAGATATCATCTCACACCAGTTAGAATGGCAATCATTAAAAAGTCAGGAAACAACAGGTGCTGGAGAAGATGTGGAGAAATAGGAACACTTTTACACTGTTGGTGGGAATGTAAACTAGTTCAACCATTGTGGAAGTCAGTGTGGCGATTCCTCAGGGATCTAGAACTAGAAATACCATTTGACCCAGCCATCTCATTACTGGGTATATACCCAAATGACTATAAATCATGCTGCTATAAAGACACATGCACACGTATGTTTATTGCGGCATTATTCACAATAGCAAAGACTTGGAACCAACCCAAATGTCCAACAATGATAGACTGGATTAAGAAAATGTGGCACATATACACCATGGAATACTATGCAGCCATAAAAAATGATGAGTTCATGTCCTTTGTAGGGACATGGATGAAATTGGAAACCATCATTCTCAGTAAACTATCGCAAGAACAAAAAACCAAACACTGCATATTCTCACTCATAGGTGGGAATTGAACAGTGAGATCACATGGACACAGGAAGGGGAATATCACACTCTGGGGACTGTGGTGGGGTGGGGGGAGGGGGGAGGGATAGCATTGGGAGATATACCTAATGCTAGATGACGCGTTAGTGGGTGCAGCACACCAGCATTGCACATGTATACATATGTAACTAACCTGCACAAAGTGCACATGTACCCTAAAACTTAAAGTATGATAATAAAAAAAAAATGAGTAGATTCTAAAAGGGCTGTCAATACTAATTGACTTAGCTATGCAAGTCACTTTATTTTTTGAGAAATTGATTTCCTTATCTGAGCATAGGGCAGTTCAGCTAAGATCCTTTTTAATTCTAAGTTTTGAGTTTTAGTTATTTGCTGTGAAAACTAATACTCTTTTTCACTGATTAATCTGGAAGATCACAAATTAGATATAATGATGGTATAATTCCTAACCTTTCTAATTGATGACTATTTTAACTTAGAAAGAAGAGAAAAGCACAAAAAAGGAAAGGTGACCAGAATAGGATACAAAACCTGAGAAATATCTTGTGGATCTCTGTTTTCATTTCTATAAGTATAAGGTCTCTAAGGCTGCAGTTAAATATGTTGTTGGAGGTTCTTAAACATCACTGCATAAAAATCACCTGAGCCTCTTGTTAAAAAAGACGAATTGCTGGGGCCCCATCTGTAGATATTCTGATTCATGAATGAAGCCTTGAAATTCATAACAAACAACCTGGGAAATTATAATGTAGGCAGAACACAATTTGAGAAACTCCGTGCTAGGTGATTTTTTTTCTCATGTCAAACATAGTTTGATTCTTGCATATTAGATCATATAATATAAACATATTTTCTACCACCCATATATAAATATTCATAAATCTTACTATCATATATAAGTAAAACTACTGTCATTTGGGAAATATGAATATGAGTTTCAACTTTGATATAAGCTCTACATTGGGCATGATAAGCATCAGGTAAGCAAATAATTTAATGTCTGTGTTTCTCTTTGACTTTAACTACAAAATAGAACTGACCTAAAAATATTCTTGAAAGGATCACATGAAATAAGTATTTCAAAAGCTCTAAAGCAACTTTAAATGTATTGTTTTTGATAATATTTATTCAGTTCATAATTCTTTTCAAGTTTATAAACTTATTGAAGGTAAGGATTGCATCTTTTAAATTTCTTTTAGTGGATAGCTATTTTTTCTGCCTGCCTGACATTTCTTCCCCCTTGCTTTGGTAACAACATCCTTGCTTTCCTTTGGGGAACCTCTGTTCTTCCATTATCAGTTCATGTTGGGGAAGTGGGGGAGTGGTTCAAGTCTGGGTCTAGCAATGAGCCTGTGATCTGCCTAGCAGATCAGAGCACTCTATTTTTCCTAGCACTGAAAATGGTTCAGGAATTTGTAAGTGACACAAGCCTGGCCAATAGGAGCGAGCCCCAGAACTTTTGCTGAGATCTTTGAGAAAGAGAACCCCCCTTTTTTTTTTTTTGAGACAGAGTCTTGCTCTATCGCCCAGGCTGGAGTGCAGTGGCGCGATCTCGGCTCACTGCAACCTCTGCCTCCTGAGTTCAAGCAATTATCCTGCCTCAGCCTCCGAAGTTGCTGGGATTACAGGTGCCCACCACCACGCCCAGCTAATTTTTGTATTTTTAGTAGAGACAGGGTTTCACCATGTTTTCCAGGCTGACCTGAAACTCCTGACATCGTGATCTGCCCCCCTCGACCTCCCAAAGTGCTGGGATAACAGGTGTGAGCCACCGTGCCTTTTTGAAGTAGATAAACCAGTAGCCTAGAGTCGTGTTTGCTATCACAAAAGAAAGCATGGTTGGGAATACAGCCAATGCAAAAGAAAACAGAAATGAGAGTGTAAAAATGGCAGATATGTCTATGACATTGTTTAGGCCTTGAATTAATCCCATCTAGACTTTTCCAATACAAAAGCTTTCTCTCATTTTCTCTCTCCTACCTAGGCAATTATCATGCAGTTGGAGACTTTCAACAAATGTTGACTTACTTGTTTGCTAATGAAAAAAAAATCCTTAATCACAGATGACAAAGCAAAGATGTTCAAATTAATCATTGCAATGTTTTGGTGATTCATTCAAAAACACATTATATGCACATGTAGATAACTGAGAGCTCTTTTGTTTTTGTTTTTGTTTTGTTTTGTTTTTTCAGTAATCTGCGGAGCAACCAAAAACATCTGTGTAACTACTAGACATTAATTTTAGGCACTATCCATAAGTTATCATTCTGCTTTGCATAATTCACCAAATAATCCCCATACTGAATACCAAAAACTGTCAGCTTTAAGAATGAGTCAGACTGACTGTCTGGTTCTAGCTTAAAATCTAAGAACACAGAGCTCTCTGTTCTTTTGTTCCTTATTGTTTTTGAGATTTGAAACTGGTCACTTCACTTCATCTCCTGCATCTGTAAGAGTTGACTAGAATACGGGATTCACAAAGCAGGTAGATATGAGGTTTTCTTCTTTGTTCATACCAAATTTTAAAAATTAAAAGGATGGCTTCAAGTAAATAATTCTTTATTCTTTTAACATGCTGCCATCATGTGGTTGCTTTGCTCATTCACATTCAAATGTCTCAAAGTTCACATTTATAGTGACTCTTACTCAGCAAGGTACTAAGAGGAAGCTCCCAAAGAAAATGAAGGGAAGAAAATATATTCTTCCCATAATCCTAGTGCAGAGGATGGTAGAAATATATGTGTTATTTGCCAAAATGCAAGGTAGAATGTGGTAGGAACCTAAAGAGACAGAGTACAAAGGAGACTCAGAAGGGAGAGTCAACTCTCTTAGATTTCAATCTATTAAAAAAAAAAGTTTAAAGCTGTAATTTTAGCAAAACTGTTTCATAAAATGTGACAGTACAGTAATCCCTTGGTTAACGCCAGCTTATACCAAAATCCATGCATACTCAAGTCGGCCCCCACTATATGTGGGTTTTGTATCCTGTGAATACTATCTTTCCATTGTGTTTGGTTGAAAAAAATCCACCTGTCAGTGAACCTGTGAAGTTCAACCTTGTGTTGTTCAAGGGTCCACTGTATTTACATATATTATTAATTCCTTGCAACATCTCAGCAATCATCTCTGTTTTAATTCTGAAGTGCTTGAGACCAACAGAGAATATGCCAAATGTCTATGCAAGTTAAAAGTGAGAGTCTTTGCTCATAGTTTGGACTCATAGAGCTTTATATAGTTTACCTTATTGTCTCTGAGTCCTGAGTGGTGGATAAGGCAGGAAGATTTGAGATTTCATCGAAATTTTCTAACTTAAGAACTTCTTTTTACTGAACCTTGCTTTATATGTAGGTGCTAAAAAATGTGGTTTAATTTGATTGGATGAATTCATGTAAAAATACTCAAACATTTTGAGATTTTGTATATAATTTTCTATAATCAAAGCAAAATTTAGTAAAATGAGTTGGATTAAGTTCTATTATAATATTAATTGCCAAATTGTTTTCAGAATTAGTTTTAGCACCTAGAAAGAGAATTGGAGAAGTTCCACATTTTTAAATTATAAAAAAGAGAAAAGTTTTTTAGTGCTACATACAGGACACATAGTTACTAAATTCTGCTTAGATTTAAGTGCTTAGATCTTGTCCACAAATTATTCTTTAAAAATATTACAACCTTCAATTCTGAACTAAGAGAGGTCTTCCTGGTCCTGCCCACATTTAGGAATCCTATCATCTCAAACCCCTGGACCTCAGCACTACTTTTTTCCCAAATCACAAGTCAAAACAGCCAATCTGGTTGTTTGCAGCTTCCTTGCCTTCTCTCTTAAACACAAATTTTATTTAGATCACCAAAAAGATTCATGTTATGGGTACATTGTGTCCCACTGCCCCATAATTCATATGTTGAAGTACTAATCCCCAGTACCTCAGAATGTTACCTTATTTGGAGATAAAATCTTTACAGAGGTAATCAAGTTAAAATGAGATCATTAGGATGGGCTGTAATCCAGCAGGACTTGTATCCTTATAAAAAGAATAAATGTGAACACAAAAACAGTTACAGCGAGAAAACAACGTGTAGACACTGGGAGAAGGTTGCTGTCTACAAGCCAAGAAGAGAGGTCTGGAACAAATCCTTCCCTCAGAAGGAACCAACCCTACTGAGACCTTGAGCTTGGACATGTAGTTCCAGAACTGTGAGACAATAAATTTCTGTTGTTTAAGCCACCAAGTCTGTGGTATTTTGTTACAGCAACCCTAGCAAACTAATACAATTGGATTGGTAGAAATGGTTTATATTAACTTCCTTTTAGGCATGTATATCTTTGTGGCTAGCCCTAACTTACTGTTCTGATTCTAGAAAATACAAGAACAATACATTGTTATTTTCATCCAGAAACTGTTAGTGTGTTAAATCATTTTTGAGAAAAACTAAGACCCTGGAAAGAGATTGTATACTTTAATAATCAAAGTAGAAGATTAAAAATTGGTACTTACAGGCATAAATATTGGCATTGGCAGTTATTTCTCTAACTGCATCTTCCTATTTCCCATCTTCCTATTTTCCCAGCCAAAATTCTATCAGGCTATGTGAAGAGAGGACCAATTATTTTCCTCCTTAACCCTCAATATTTCAGGCCAAGAGAAGAAAAAGAATATTAGTTTTGTGATTCTCAAGTAACAATCTTTTAAAGACCATCACCTGGGGGAAAAGAACACCAATTGAGAATTATTGATGATAATTTTCAACCTTTTTTTACCAACCTTCAATGATAGTGTGTCCCCACCTATTAGAGGGGAAGATGTGCCTGCTTCTAACTATGAAGCTGAAAATGCCTAATAACGGTTTCCATAACCTCCTTTACAGGCACAGCATGGACACCCGACCAAGGCCACAGACCAGACATGGCCTACACTGACCAAATCAGATGCTGTAAGCCTAAAGAAGCAGGGACTGCTCCAATTTCATTTTGGAGAAGCCAGTAGCAGCCACATCCATTTTCTGAGGTAACAGGAGCAGTTGTGCCAGCACAGCACTCAAGGTCGGTAATCGGGAATAATCAAACCACAGAGGATAGCGCACAACAATGGTGATGCCTGTGTGATTCTGTAGCATGATTCTGAACACTGTTCATGGCTGATGAGCCTGCTCACCTACAGTTAGAGCTACCCCATTTGTGCTTCAATCAGCCATAGTTTCTGTTGCTTCCAACCAAAAACTGACTGACCTAAAGGATATGGTTTTTTTAAATTTATCTTTTAAGAAATATAGAATTATCTAATTATTTTGCTTTTTACAATAAAGGGATCAAAACATTTTACTCAGTAAATAGAAATATTAAATGTAGATTTAAATTCTTCATGAATGGTTGACAGATAGAGGTAAATAGGAAAAGAAAATAGAGAATAAGAGGCAGAAAGAAAGACAACTTATTAGATGTTCTGAAGTTTGATTTTTAGAGTTTTAAGATTAAAAACCTTCTTGATTTCTCACCATTGTTTGGCCCATACTTTACTTAACTTGAAAAATCTATATCAAATATTTATTTAAGATAACTAAATAGAAACCCTAATAGAGAAGATAATATAATATAGAATGCAATTTAAAAGTATAGTGATATAATGGTTTTCACCCCAGAAAATGACAAGACCACAAAAGTGTGATAATACACTATGCTGGAATAAATGTGGGGAAATAGGCCCTTTCATGTTGCCTGTGGAAATATAAATCAGGACAACCATGTTTTGGGAGGCAAATTCAGAAGCATACATCTAGATGACTCATGCAGCTGCCCTTTGGCCCAGCAGTTCTATTTCTAGGAATTAATGCTGCAAATAGATATATACATGCATAAAACTACAAAAGTAAAAGGATATTAATGGCAACCACAATCAAGAACTAATTAAATCAGTTCTGGTATATCAAAAAAATAGAATACTATGAAGCTGTTAAAATAAGCCAGGGAGGTCTCCAAATGCTGATATGACAATCATAGCCAGGACTTATTGGTAAGTGGCAAAAAAATGCTTACTTATATAGTATGTTACCATTAGGGGAAAACAATAATTATAATGATCTTTATGACTATATTTGTGTGTATATGCTTGTGTATGATAGAATATCTCTAGAAGGTCTCTTTTTTAAAAAACCTGTTAATACAAGTAGGGATTACTTGTGAATAGGAAAATTGGGTGTCCAGGGAATAGGGCCGATGGGTAGATTATGCCCTTTTGTATCTTTTGAATTTTATAACACATTTCTGTATTATTGATTTTAAAATCACAAAAGGTACTAAAGTAGACTATACATATATGCATGGATATAGGATGTAGGATTTCTCTTAAAGAAATATAAGTATATAAAAATCTTTTAAAAATTATAAGAATAAACCCAAAATTCCAAAAGTAAGTACTTTATTAGGAATTAGATTCACGCAGAAAATATCCATAAATTTGTTTCTAGTTAAATAACCCATGTCTGTTATTTTTGCTGATACAGTGTGGTAGATAAAACTCTTTCCCTCTGACCTAGGTTTTACCATAGGCCTGGGACAATTTGGCAAAGCAAGAATGGACTTGTTCAAAGTCTTAAGAACAAAGAGGAAGAAGGTTTGTATGTGTTCAGCGAAGAAAAAGAGATACAAATTAGAGAGAAAGAAGAGGGGTCTTGAATCCATGGAGCATCGTTACACACCTTGACAGCCCTGGCTGTCTCCAAGATTTGGGGAGAAATGTCTTTTCAACACAGAAATGAGAAAGATGGCTCCTACGGCAGATGGCAAAGTAGTTCTTTGTATGCACTGCCAGAGGTATGCTTAAAGCTAACATTTCAAGCAGAAAGAGACTTTAGACATAGTATATAAACCTCCTAACTCTTTAATTTTTACATATGAACAAACTGAAACCTAGGGAAGTTGTGACTTGCCTGAATTTACACTGCCTGAATCCAGGGGAATTAGGATAAATCTTCCCCTAACCAATGTTTCCTCAAATCCACGTTCAGTACTTTTTTTTCCACTACACACATGAATTGCTTGCTCTCCAGAAGTAATCCTTCCATATGTGGAAGGAGGTGCTTCTTCCATGTTCAGTATAAAAGCGATGAAACAAAGTGAAGGAGGCATGTTTCCCCCTTCTCTTGTAACCCCATAGCCAGAGCAGCTAAATTTCTATACATTCGGTACAACTCTTTCAGCTGGACTTTAGTTCTGCAGACGAAGGATATGTAAAGTAAGGTCAAGTTGGGTTAATGCTGTGCTCCAGCCAAGGCTGTTCTGGGTGCAAATATCAGAAGACAACTCAAATTAGTTCGAGTAAAAGGAGTGCTAATACCTGGGATGCAGAAGTACTGTTTTTGGGTTTCACATAATTCAAGGAGAGTAAAGAAGTAAGGACAGGTTTTACATGAACTGGAAAGCTGGGGCTGGGCACGGTGGCTCACACCTGTAATCCCAGCACTTTTGGAGGCCGAGGCAGGTGGATCACCTGAGGTCAGGAGTTGGAGACTAGCCTGGCCAACGTGGTGAAACTCCATCTCTACTAAAAAAATACAAAAATTAGCTGGGCATGGTGGCAGGCACCTATAATCCCGCAGACACCTATAATCCCAGCTACTCGGGAGGCTGAGGCAGAGGTTGCAGTGAGCAGAGATGGCACAACTGGACTCCAGCCTGGGCGACAGCAAGACTCTGTCTCAAAAAAAAAAAAAAAAAGCAAAACTGGGAATCAAAAATGTTTTCTGTATAATCTTTCAGTTTCGCATCTGATAGGACAAAATCTACAAAGAATAGAATAGATGAAACTCTTGCAGCGGAACCTTAAAAAGCCATTATAAGAAAAAGGAATAAGTAAAATATGGCTCAACTATCAGTTCTTGTTTTAAAAAAAAAAGCCAAGATTTTAATTAAAACTTTAATATGAACCTAGAACATATTAATAGGAGCATAAGGCTCAGCATAAGGAAAGTGATTTTTTTCCTTTAATATTCATACTGTATCTAGAATATTGGGCTCCACTCTAGACACTATGAGAAATAGAGAAAATAAAAAATTTAAATATACAATGGGTAAAATTTTTGAAAACCTAGTTTTTCCAGAGAAAAGGTCATAGCCAAAGGACTTGATAACCTTCTTTAAATATTTGAGGAGCATTTAATTAGGGATATTCTGTGTGTGTATAGGGGCAGAACTAGGATGAGTTAGTAGAAGCTGTGGAAGTGGAATAGAGTGTGGCGGGAGGCCTTCTGTGTCACAAGGGTTTGTGTGTGATCTGTGAAGGGAGCCATGTGCTTCACTGCATGATAGAGAAAAAACTTTTCAGCACATGGCCCAATTCAGGGGAAAAAAAATTTGTAGGACACATTTTTTTTTAACTCAAAATAGCTTTCCTGAATTCCACTGGGGAAAGCTTTTTACAACTTAGATTAAATTCTTTAAGAAACAGCAGGATGTTGAGAGATTTTGGCATTTCTTTGTAGCTATTAGAATTTAATATCTGGGCATGTTAGCAAAATAACAACTTTTTAAAACCCTTACATTGGTGTAGCGCTTGAGTCACAAAATACCCTCATATGAGTTATTTCATTCTTGAAACACCTCTGCAAAGTAGATAGAGTATTTACTATCCCTGGGAAACAGGTTTAGAGAGGCAAAATGACTTGCCAGAGAACCTAGCAAAGGAGAGTAACGTTCAAGCAAGATTTAGTTCTCTCCTTTTAATGTAAACTTTAATGATCAAAGTGGTTGCCGTGGAGACTTTTTTCTTCTTTCTTATCACTCTGCTTAGTATGAAGTGAAAAAGCAACCAATCACTGCCTCACAGGCTAGATGTACGTGTTCCTTCCATTCCCAAGAGAATTTTCAGATGAGAGTGTTTTGTTAAAACAAAGGAAACATGCTTTGTATAACTAAAAGAAGGTGCTGCTTTCAAAAAGTGCATAATCATTTAAATGTTAAACCTCTGCAATATGATTTTTAATAGTTTATGAGAAAATATTTTCTGTATATTTCACTTTTAATCCCCAAATACATTAAAATTGGCATTATGCATTTGGATTGCTGAATAGCTATGTCATAATAACTGCTGATTAGTTTTTGTTATTAACCTAGGTTCCAACGATATGGGCCCCATACATCCAAGAAATAAAAAAGGCATAATGATAAGCTCTAAGATCAACAGTGTGTACCCAGCACCTAGCACAGTATCTACTAAGTATTAGGCAGTCTATAAATATTCATTAAATAAGAGGGCTTTTTTGAGCCACACCACCATAAAGATGGTGGAGCAAGAGCAAAGAAAAATCCCTTTGGTTCCAGAAAATCTCCTGAAAAAGAGGAAGGCTTATCAAGCCCGCAAAGCCACCCAGGCAAAGCAGGCATTTTTGGCAAAGAAGGAGCAGAGGAAAGGAAAAGGGCTCAGGTTTAAGCGACTGGAATCATTCCTACATGATTCCTGGCGGCAGAAACGTGACAAGCTGTGTCTCAGACGACTAGAAGTGAAACCTCATGCATTGGAACTGCCAGACAAACATTCCCTGGCCTTTGTTGTACGCATCGAAAGGACCGATGGCCTGAGTTTACTGGTGCAGAGAACCATTGCAAGACTTCGCCTAAAGAAAATTTTTAGTGGTGTCTTTGTAAAAGTCACCCCCTAGAACCTAAAAGTGCTGCGTGTAGTGGAACCTTATGTGACCTGGGGATTTCCAAATCTGAAGTCTGTCTGGGAACTCATTTTGAAATGTGGACAAGCCAAGGTCAAGAATAAGACCATCCCTCTGACAGACAACATAGTGATTGAGGAGCACCTGGGGACGTTTGGCGTCATTGGCTTGGAAGACCTCATTCATTAAATTGCCTTCCCAGGGAAGCATTTCCAGGAGAGCTCATGGTTCTTGCGCCCTTTCCACTTCTCAGTGGCCCGTCATGCTACCAAAACTAGAGTGGGCTTCCTCAAGGAGATGGGCACACCTGGCTATCGGGGTGAACGCATCAATCAGCTCATCCGCCAGCTTAACTAGACCCAGGTGCCAAACTGCAGTAATTTTTATCAATGAAGTGGAAGCATGTGTTTTTGGTTTTTTTTGGGAATTTTTATCAAGTATCTTTAGAGAAGATTTCCTGCCTTATCTTCAAAAACTGGAAAGGAAGGGTCAAAGAAAAGACAGTAGCTGGCCGGGCGCGATGGCTCACTCTTGTAATCCCAGCACTTTGGGAGGCTGAGACAGGCGGATCACCTGAGGTCGGGAGTTCAAGACCAGCCTGACCAACATGGAGAAATCCTGTCTCTACTAAAAATACAAAAATTAGCTGGGCATGGTGGTGCATGCCTGTAATTCCAGCTACTTGGGAGGCTGGGGCAGGAGAATCGCTGGAATCTGGGAGGCAGAGGTTGCAGTGAGCCGAGATTGTGCCATTGCACTCCAGCCTGGGCAACAAGAGCGAAACTCCATCTCAAAAAAAGCAAAGACAGTAGCTTATGTTCATGGCAAGCACCTCTCATCACAGTCCAATTCCAAGGAAAAATTCCAGCGTTTTCTACATTGGGTGCCGCCTCATCTGAAATCAGCACATTCCATGGAGGAAGGAGTCCTGCTTTGTTGCATCTTCTATCCTAGGATTTAATGTTGGTAAATGAGTAACTCTAGCATTTGTACAAGGCTCTCTAAGATTCCTGCAGCAGTTGACCAAGCCCAGGGACATAATTGAATCTGGAGATTCCTGGGGTTTTGTTTTGAAAAAGACTTGAAATACACATAGGAAGAAAGGCATAAAAATAAACGTTCACTTGTCTCTGAAAAAAAAAAAGAGAGCTTTTTCAATAAAAACAAAACAAAACAAAACCATCAGACTTATCTGTTATCTATACACCAATGTTCACAGCAGCATTGTTGTGACAAAAAACAAAAGGTAGAAGCAACTCAAATGTCCATCACAGATGAATGGATAAACAAAATGTCGTATATACATACAATGGAATATTATTTAGCCTTAAAAAGGAATGACATTCTGACCCATGTTCCAAAATGGAGAAACTTGAAGGTGTTATGCTAAGTGAAATAAATCAGACACAAAAAGACAAGTATTCTACTTCTATGATGTATCTAGAGTAGTCAGATTTATAGAGACAGACAGAATGGGTTGCCAGGGGCTGGGGGAAGTAGGAATGGGGAGCTATTTTTTAGCAGATAATGGAGTTTCAGTTTGGAAAGAAGAAAAAGTTCTGGAGACAGATAGTATTGATGGTTGCAGAGCAATGTAAATGTACTTAATGCCACTGAACCGTACACATAAAGATGGTTAAAATGGTAAATTTTATATTATGTATACTTTACCACAGTTGTTTTTAAAAGCTAAAAAAATAAATCAATCATTTACCTTTAGTTTCATGAAATTAGAAATCACGTCCCAACTCCATAAGGGCATCTTCTCCATGTAGCCTAAGTTTTTAAATAATTTTTTTCTTTAAAATATCACTTGAATTTGAAATAATTTATTACTAAAATAAGTAGAAAGGCAGCTGTCAAGTGTGAAGGAAATGATCATCTTTATGCATAACTAAAAATTAAATTCTCAAAAGGCATAAATGCCTAAATTATTTAAAATTTTTATAATTATGAAGTTACATTTTAATGTATATTTATGGAGGAGGAGGACAGTAAAAGCTTTCTACCAGGACTCATGAAGAAATTTAGAAAGGACACTTCATTTTTAAAAACTTTTATTCAGTAACATTTGAAGAGTTCTCTCAAGTTAATAGCTGGGGGACCATATTTGTTTCCATGGGAAATAATCTTTCCTTGAAACTGTTCTATAGAAAAAAAAGAGCCGAGCATGGTGGCTCATGCCTATGACCCCAGTGCGTAGGGAGGCTGAGGTGAAAGGATTACATTATCCCAGAAGTTCAAGGTTGCAGTGAGCTATCATTACATCACTGCACGCCAGCCTGGGCAACAGAGTGATACCCTATCTCATAAAATAATAATAATAATAATAAAGTTACATAGGAGGGTGGGATCAAGTGTCAGTTTAGCCTTAACACATAATAAGGAAACACTATCCCTTATAATAATGTGAATGGTGAAAGTATGTGGCTTTGTTCATAGCCTTAAATAGACGGTATAGGTGGGAAAATATTGCTTACAAACAAGGAGTCTATAGACCAGTGCTTCTCAGCTGGTGCCATTTGACAGAACGCACAAGTACTCTCCATGCAATCCAGTGCTTTCCTAATAGTCAGAAATTGCTCTTCCTTAACATTCATCCTCACCACAAATAAGGAGCTATTTCCTGCAGACCCTAACAGCCTTGATTGATTATCAATCTGTATGATGTTTGGCTCTGCTTGCAGTAACAGTAGGCACTAGGTTATTGTCCTGATTGTGATCTTCAGCTTTCTCTGTTCAGTAGGTGTCGTTGATGTGTCCTGCTAAGAGTTACCTTTTGCTATTTAACCCTCACCTTTACCTTACCTTAGTTATTCTATTGCATAATACTTGTGTAATATTATATTATTTGGTTCTGATGAGCTATCATTGCTATGACACTAAAATATTTTTGTCATTTTCATCTTTTAGTAGAATTTCTAAATTGCATCTGAAAGGGATAGCAATAAAATACTCATTCAACTTGCTATCCTTAAAACTTACTGTAAATAATAAATAATTTCAAAAACACAATGTGCTTTCTCCATCATGCCAATTCAGGTTTTTATATGCTATAAACTAGGAGTTAGCAAACTCTTTCTATATAGTACATATTTGAGGCTTTATATGCCATATGCTTTCTGTTGTTACTACTCAACTCTGCATTTGTAGTGTGAAAATGGCCATAGGTAAGTTATAATAAAACTTTATTTACAAAAGTAGGCTTGGGGGCATGGTTTGCTGACCCCTGCTATAGACAATAAGAACTAATGGAGATTAGAGAACAGAAACTATGAATGGAGACTGGTGTAGTTAGAAATCAGATGGAGGTCAGATCTTACCTATCCTGGAAAGATAGAGAACACAAAGAGTGTATTCTAGGCAGGGGAGGCTGCATGTGTCAAGACACAGGCACAGAAGTGACCATTCATAGAACCCCCAAACAGGACTACATAAAGGAAGAATTCACTTAGGCCTGGGGATGATAAAGTTGGAGGATGTTTAGATGAATGTTATGTCATGGTGGATAGATTATTAATAGTCCTAAAAGGCTGTTTGAGATTTGGACTTTGCAGGTTATAAAATTCTTATTATGCTTTTATTTCGTTGTAAGTATTATCAGAGGCTATGGAGTCCATTTGAAATTTCTCCCCAGGCAACCTTTAAATCTTAACTAAAATCTCGAGAATTTCAACAACTTCAGGGATGTGAAGGAGTATATGGAAGCAGAGTCAGATGATAATTACTGTGCAACTGCTTTCACATTGATTTTTTAAAACCACTTTATTAAGTTATGATTAACATGCAAAAAGCTGTACATATTAATGTGCAGTTGGCCCTCCCTGTAGGTCCCACATATTTTTAAAAATACAACAATAAGAAATAATACAAATTAAAACAATACAGTATAACAACTATTTACATAGCATTTTTATATTAGGTATTATAAGTAATTTCGAGATAATTTAAAGGATACAGGAGCATGTGCATAGGTTATATACAAATATTATGTCATTTTATATAAAGGACTTGAGCATTCTCAGATTTTGGTATCCACTAGGGGTTGGGGGGGTTCTGGAACCATCCCTCCACCTACCACAACGACAAATGACTATATATAACTTGGTGACTTTCGAGATAAGTATGCACCTGTGAAACCATCACCACAATCTATGCCATGAACACATCTATCACCTCTAATAGTTTCCTCCTACCCTCTTTGTTATTATTATTATTTTATAAGAATACATAACGTAAAATCTATTCTCTTAGCAATACATGCTCATTTGATTCTTACAGTACTTTTGTAAGAAATTTTATGAAATCACACATCAGTGACCTTTTACAAACTATAAAACACAATAAAAAATAAGATATGTAGTATTAATCCTATTAAATAGGATAAGGCTCATATTTTAACCCCACTTTGCAGACCTAAAAACTGAGACTCAGAGAACTTAATGGACTTTCCCGAGGTCATGCTAACTAATGGCAGAGCCAGTACTATCAGCGCAGTGCAGTAGAAAAAGAACTAGTTTAGGTCAAAACATTAAGGTTCAAAAATGACTGTAGCAGTAATTAGCCATATAATCTTTGAAAAATCAGTCATTTACCTAAGTATGAGTCTCTTAATTTGTAAATTGCAGTTGGTGGTAAGAATATGTTACTACTACTCCACAGTAGCTGTGAAAGCAAATTGAGATCATGTACTTGTATTTTCCTCATTTCCTTTCACCTCTCTCCTCAACTTTTTTTTTTTTTTTTTTTTTAGATGCAGTCTTGCTCTGTCATCCAGGCTGCAGTGCAGTGGCACGATCTTGGCTCACTGAAACCTCTGCCTCCTGGATTCAAGCGATTCTCCTCTCTCAGCCTCCAGAGTTGCTGGGATTACAGGCACATGCCACCACACCCGGCTAATTTTTTTTTTTTTTTTTTTCCAGACAGAGTCTCACTCTGTTGCCCAGACTGGAGTGCGGTGGCTTGATCTCAGCTCACTGCAAGCTCTGCCTCCCGGGTTCACGCCATTCTCCTGCCTCAGCCTCCCAAGTAGCTGGGACTACAGGCTCCTGCCACCACTCCTGGCTAACTTTTTGTGTGTGTTTTTAGTCGAGACGGGGTTTCATCATGTTAGCCAGGATGGTCTCGATCTCCTGACCTCGTAATCCGCCCACCTTCGCCTCCCAAAGTGCTGGGATTACAGGCGTGAGCCACCGCACCCAGCCTCCTCAACTTTTTTAGTTTATCTGCAACCAATAATCAAAGCATGCATGTGACCCGTCATTTCCCACATCTACCTGTTAAGATCTCTTAATGTAGTCTTTTTCTTTTTTTTCTTTGTCAAATTATTTTTTAAATTTTATTTTATTGTGGTAAGAATGCTTAACATAAGATCTACCTTTGTACCAATGTTTATGTGTACATACATTATTATTGATTGTAGGTACAAATTATACAGTGGATCTGTAGAGCTTATTGATCTTGCTTAACTGAAACTTTATGCTGGTTGATTAGTAACTCCACATTTCACCCTGCTTTGCTCCCAATCCTGCTGGCCTCTGGCAGCCAGAAGAATTTCCTTCCTTTTTAAGGCTGAAAGTATCCTATTGTATGCATATGCCACATTGTCTTTATACATTCATCTGTCCATAGACGTTTAGGTTGTTTTCACATCGTGGGTATTGTGAATAGTGCTGCAATGAACATAGGAGTGCTTCAGGATATTGCTTTTGATTTCAGTTCTTTTGGATAAATACATTGAAGACAGTGTCTTAGTCTGTTCAGGCTGCTGTAACAAAATACCACAGACTCAATGGCCTATGAACAACAGAAATTTATTTCTCACAGTTCTGGAGAATGGGAAGTACAAGATCAAGATGTTGGCAGATTCAGTGTCTGATAAGGGCCTACTTGCTTATGGATAGCTACCATAGACTTTAGCATCACATGGTAGGAGGAGTGAAGAATCTCTCTCTGGCCTCTTTTATAAGGGCACTAATTTCATTCATAAGGGCTCTGCCCTCGTGACCTAATCACCTCCCAAAGGCCCCATCTCTTAATGCTGTCACCTTGGGGGTGAGAATTTCAACATATGAATTTGGGAGAGACATAAACATTCAGATCATAACAGCAGGATTATTGGATTAAAGACTTATTAAACATAAGACCTGAATTGAACCTAAAGGATATTATGCTAAGTGAAATAAACCAGACACAGAAAGACAATTACTGCATGATCTCATTTATATGTAGATTCTTTAAAAATTGAACTCACACACAAAAAAGTAAATAAAGAAAGAAAAACACAAAAAATAAAAATATTGAACTCATAAAAGCAGAGAGCAGAATGGTGGTTGGCAGAGCGGGAAAGCAAGGGAAATGGGGAGATGTTGGTTAAAGGGGTACAAAACTTCAGGCATTCAGGATGCATAAATTCTGGAGAGCTAATGTAAATCATAGTGACTAAAGTTAATAATACTGTATTGTATACTTGAAGTTTGCTAAGAGCAGATCTTAGGTGGCCACAGGGAAAAAATGTAACTATGTGAGGTGTTGTATTAGCCTGATTATAGCAATCATTTTGCAATGTCTATGTATATCAAAACATCATATTGTATGCCTTAAATATATACAATATTTATTTGTCAAATATATCTGAATAAAGCTAGGGGAAAAAGTATCCTAAACACTGTAAAATGTATGTTTATCTTTATAGACACTAAAATGTTTTAGATATTACTATCAATTATGTTATTATAATAGTGTAATACAAATGTTTTATTATACTATAATAAAATATTTAAAAATTTAAATATAAAAAAATTATTTTAAAGACAATAACAAGGAAGAATCATAAGACCCAAGACTGTAAAACTCCTAGAAGAAAATATAAGAGAAAAGCTCCGTGATAGTTGATCCATGAATTTCGTGGATATGAGACCAAAAGCACAGGCAACAAAAACAAAAGTAACCAAGTGGGACTGCATCAAACTAAAAACTCCTGCACAGCAAAAGAAAGAATTAGTGGAATAAACAGGCAACGTGTGGAAGTGGAGAAAGTATTTGCAACCCATATATCTGATGAGGGGTTAATCTCCAAAATATACAAATAACTCCTACAACTCAATGGTAAAAAAACAAACAATTAAAAATGGGCAAAGAACTTGAATGGACATTTCTCCAAAGAAGACATATAAATGGCCAACAGGCATAGGAAAAAATGCTCAGTGTCACTAGTTATTAGAGAAAAGCAAATCAAAATGACAATAAGATATTACCTCACATCTGTCAGAAAGGCTACAATTTTTTTTCAAGACATGTGTTAGCAGGTATTTGGAGAAACTGAAACCCTTGTGTGCACCGTTGGTGGGAGAGCAAAGTGGTGCAGCCATTGTGGAAAGTAGTTTGGAGGTTCCTGAAACAATTTTAAATGTAGTCTTTCGATTTCCACTTATATCTAAATAAGTTTCAGTATTCTTTGCTTCAACATCTCAAGTGAGAAAATATGATTGGTTTAAGTCGGGGAAAAATAAACCCAAACCTCTAAACCTTAGAGTGATATCCTTGAGCAGCCAGCTTACATAAATGGACTTGAAGCAAGAAGGGGGAAATTGGGGTGACAGATAATTATAGTAGATGTAATATACAAATCAAATGTTAGTTACTGTTCTGATTCATAGTCTAGTGTGCCTTCTAGTAGACCATACATTGGGAAAAAGAAGCAGTAGTGGGAAATTACCTTCTGGGAAATTCCAACAGCTAATCTCCAATAGCTAATGTAGGTCACAAATGGTAAATCCGTTACTTATGGACTCCATGTTCCATTATTTAAATGTACTACCAGTTAAGAGAAAACCACACCTTATTCTTAGACTTGTGTGGGCATCTTATGATTCGATTCATTTCTAATCAGTGCCTTTTGCTCCACAGGGCAATTCCTAATACAACATATAGGTACTTTATCCTTTACTGATTTATATATATTTTAAACTTTTTTAGGAGATAAAAAGCCGGTATGTTTTTCTGCCTTAAGTCATAGAATTTTAGAGTTGGCAATTATCTTTGAGTTTAGACTAACTCTAATTTTATGGGTGAGGAAACTAAAGGTCCTGAATATTACAGTGACTACCCCAAGATCCAGCAAATGGCTGGAGGCCATTACAGTCTAGGACCTTGAGTTTAGTTTGGCTTTAATACATGCAATAGCACTTTATTTTCCAGTGACACTAGGTAAATGAAATGGAGTTTTTCCATGTGTGAATTTTCCAGATAACTAAAATGTAAGCACAAAATTAATTGTCAGCCATTTTTTGAAACATTTTAAGGTGTGCATTTTGCACTTTTCTGTCTTGAAAAATAAAGTAAATGGGTCCTCACTTTGCCTTTTATAGATGGCTCATTCAGTAGTATAAACATTACTTAATGTGTTATTATATGAGGAAATCCTTTTGAAATATGAAAAGCTTTATCAATAGTGACTTTTCTGTGTCTTCATAGAAACTACATAAATATTTGTTGGTGGAGTGATTCTACACATTTGCAATCATGCAGGAGATTGAGGTTCATGGCAACTATTTTTCTCAGAGGCTTAGAAACAAAAGTTGGAGTCTGGTTCAAATTGAAGGCTGATTCCAGACTGGCATAGTGCTGTGACATACATGTATTATTTTTATTAAAATATAATAAAACTCAGCTTTCTCTTTCCCATCCCCTCCCCTTCACTTGCCCTTTCCCTCCATTTCCCTTTCTTTTTTTGAGCAATTCAGTCTTAAAAACATTAGGTGGAGCAGAGCCAGACAGGAATCAACAAAGGGACTGACTTGCATGAGGTGTCAAACCCAGGAAGAATGAGAAAGGCAACCACATTGGCAGGTGGTGTCAATGGGAGAAGGGTGAGGAGGGCATCCACACAGGAAAAGGGAGCTAGAATGAGATGTCAGCTCCCAAGTGGTGTGAGAAAGGCCCCCACACAGAGGGAGCCTGGCATGGGGACTTGGAGCCCAAAAGAGTGAGGATGACACACTTGAGTGACAGTAACCTGGCATCACGTGTCAGACCCAGAGTCACATGAGGAGGGCTTTCAAATGGGTGCAATGGAGAGGGGAGAGACTTGGCTCAGGATGTGAAAGCTTATGCAGGGTAAGGAAGGTCCTTACACAAAGGAGATATGTGGTATGGGATATCAGGGCCCGAAGAGAGTGAGGAGGGCATCTACCTGGGGAGGCAGTCCTGCAGTGAATCAGAGCCTGAGGAGGGTATCCATGCATGGGGGCAACTTATGGGTTTCAAAGCTGGAGTGGATTAAGGGGGAGTCCATATAGGAAGAAGACCCCGTTTGGGGTGTCAGAGTTCAAGGAGGATAAAGAAGTCATCCATGCAAGGAAAGTAGCCTGATGTGGTATATAAGCCTGACCAAGGAAGATGCACATTTGGTGGGAAGGAGGTAACCCTGTCTCAGGAGGGCGAGGGGAGGTGGGGGGCTTCTACTTGGGAGAGGCAGAGCAGCAGATTGATAAAATAAACACAAAAAGGAGAAAACTAGGTTGGATTCTCTGGTGTTGGATTGGAATTGAAGGTGCCAATGTAACTCATGGATTTCTATTTTTTTCTTTTTGAGACAGAGTCTCGCTCTGTCGCCCAGGCTGGAGTGCAGTGGCACGATCTCGGCTCACTGCGAGCTCCACCTCCCAGGTTCATGCCATTCTCCTGCCTCAGCCTCCCAAGTAGCTAGGACTACAGGCGCCCTCCACCACACCTGGCTAATTTTTTGTATTTTTAGTCGAGACAGGGTTTCACCATGTTAGCTAGGATGGTCTCGATCTCCTGACCTTGTGATCTCCCCGCCTCGGCCTCCCAAAGTGCTGGGATTACAGGTGTGAGCCACCACACCTGGCCATGGATTTCAATATTTAGAGATAGATGTAGAAATTAATGCAGTTTTAAATATGTACATGTGTATTTACACGTATGTGTGTGCACATATGTATGTGTCCACATACATATACTTCCTACATCTAACCACTGACAGGGCCTTGGAGCACTGACCACCCCATCCACACACCCCACCTGCGGTAGGAATCAGCACACCAAGCACCCAGATCATGGCTTAAAAATCAGTGTCCACTAAAAGGAGCCAAGTCTTCCTTGAAGAAGTGACTGATTTCAGGGATGGGCTTGACGAAGTACTAGATGGGCCTGAAATATCTTGTCTTCAAAAGCAAGGAAGTGCCTTAGAAAAATAGGGACATGTAAAGCACATGGGCATCAGCTTGAAAGAGCTCCTACTGGTCAAATCTGGGGCCCTTAAGCCTGGTAGTAACAGTAGTAAAAATTTATTATGCATGGCTTCAATTTATATAAATAAATGAATACATAGAAAATTTGATGAGAAATAGAGTGTGGAGCAAAGTTTCAAAGTATCTCTCCACAAAATACTTAGAAATTACAAAAAAAAAAAAAAAGAATAATTCACAATGGAGAAAGCTGGCAGACTATACCTTAAGTGATTCAAGTTAATAGCCTCAATAGTGGGACAAATTTAAATTATTAGCGACCTGATAGAATGAAATTCTGTGATATTCCTGCCATAGATGCAAAATCTGAATATAACCATAAAGAAACATCAGACAAATCCTATTTAAAAACATTTTACAAAATAAGTGTCCTGTAATTTTGTTTTAAATGGTGAAGGTCATGAAATTCAAAGAAAGGCTGAGGAATAATTCCAAATTGAAGAGACAAAAAAAGACAAATACAACACACAATTCTGAAATAGATCCTTTTGCAATAAAGGACATTATTGGGACAAATGGAGAAATGTAAATGGGGTCTGTGAACTTGATATGGATTTGATGCTTGTAATGTAGAAATGATAATCTCTTTATTATAGTGGTTATACTATGGTTTATGTAGGAAGAATGTCTTTGTTTGTAAAGAATATACCTCAAAGTATTTGAGGGTGATGAGTCAGCCACTTACTGTCTAATGATTTAGGAAAATAACATTCTTTGCATTGTACTTGTAATTTTTCTGTACATTTGACAGTATTTCAAAATTTAAAAAAAGTTTTTAAAAATAACCTCTTTTATGACTCATGTCATTTTCTCAGTAAGTTCTTCTCTGACAATCCCTTTAAAACTGCAACCTCTGCCCAGCACTCCCATTCCTTTATCCTAATTTATTTTCCTCATAGTATTTATCCTCATGCATTCCACATAATTTACTGATATATTTGCTCTCTACACCCCCACCCCCACTCCATTCCATTTCTAGAATGTAAGCTCCTTGAAGGTAGGATGCTTTGCTTTTGTTCATTGTTGTAAATCAATGTGTAGAACAGTGGCTGGCATATGATATGTACTCAAATAGTCATTAAGTTACTGAATATAATTGGTTGTTCAGGGACAGGTTCTATTTTTGCTCTATAAACTGATAGCTCTTTGTTCATCAAAAGCCCAGAAGGCTATTGAGTTTCACTGTTTAAGTCTAAGTATGTTAAACAAGGTAGAGAGTTAGGGATTTTTAGAACTCAATTAATTCCTTCATCCTAACTTCTAATTAAAAAAAATCCAAAAGTAAGTATATGAATGGGTATCAATGAAGTAACAAAATAGATCTCACAAGTTAGCAATAAAATACATTGCCATGCTTTGCATGTATATATATGTGTGGGGGAGGTTGATTTAAAATCATCTATATCTTGTTTATATTGAGATTCTGCCACAGAGTTGTCAATAAAAACTTCCTGAATATTAATTATTTCTTAATATTCAACAGACTACTCCTTGCTAAATCAATATTTTGCTCTTATAATGATTCATGAGTTTCACTTGTATTGAAAATGGCGGTTGTAAATATTTTTGAGTCATAGAAATTTGGCATTATTATGTACATTTAAGACTATTTTAAGTAAAGTTTTTCTAAAAAATGTTATTTAATTACAAATTAACATCAACAATTTATGGTATCTTTATATCTTATTGGTAGGCAGGTATGTGTGTTCAATTTATGATTTCAAATATCTGTGATCTTTTAAGGTATCTGCCTTTTCCTTCTATCATTAGAATCTAACAAACTAGAGATTTGGCTTTGTTTCTTACGACCTAAAAATATACTTCTTTGTTTAGAAATAGAACTATTTGTTGACAGCATCACATATCTACAAGGCAATTCTGAAACAAGGGCAATGTAATAGTTTCTTGCATAACAACAACAACAAAACGCCCCCCAAAATCCCAGTAGTGCCTAAAGTGAACATTTCTGTTTTTGTGTGTGTGTTTCATTTGTGGTTCTGAAAATACTCATAAATTAGCATGATAATCACCAAGTTGTACATGGTGGCTGAGGAACAATTTTCAATATTACATAACTGAATATATAAATCTAGATATAGCATCAGTTGACTGTGCTATCAGTTTTTTACATTAGTATACAGATTAGATCTTACTTAAAAGACTATAAATTACAACATAAGTGATAGCAATGAAATTTTAAATGTTTTGTAAAATCTCATGGGGTAATATTAGTTTATCATATGCAAACCAATGCTCAAACATGATATGTAAAATTCATGGTCCATTACTAAATCAAGTATTGCTTTAAGAATTTCATTAAAAATTCCAGATGTTATTGTTTCAGCAGAGTGATAGTTTGGCCAATTAAAATTAATTTTAAAATCTATCAAAAAGTTTTAATAAATCAAGCAATGTCCTCTCATTTAGCATGCTGTCAATACAAATTAAATGAAAATATTGATTATAACATAATTAGCAATTTTTCTAAAATGAAGAAAAAAATGCTTATGAAATAAATATATAATAATGTATTCATTATATATATCTTTGCTTTATACCATTCAAACATCACTGGCCTATCACTAGAAGGCCAGACATGCCAAGCATAATTAAAATAAATCATCTTTTACATTTACTAACTTGCAGCTATTTAAATGTAACATAGTTCTTCACATTTAAAAATGTTATAAATATAATTTTGTCAATGTAGGATGATAAAACATTTTACTCAATAATTTGTTAACTTTAAACATGTAAATATTGAGGAATATAGTATGTATGCCTCCACAAATGCTAGGGCTAATTTGGTTTTTGTTTGGTTTTGTCTGTTTCTGAACTTTTATTTGAAGCTCAGGGGTACATGTGCAGGTTTGTTCCATTGGTAATCTCATGTCATGGGTGTTTGTTGTACAGATTATTTGGCCATCCAGGTACAAAGCCTAGTAGCCAATAGTTATTTTTTCTGATCCTTTCCCTCCTCCCACCCTCCACCCTCAGGAACGCCCCAGAATGTGTTGTTCCTCTCTTTGTGTCTCATTTAGCTCCTACTTATAAGTAAGAACATGTGGTCTTTGGTTTTCTCTTCCTGCAATAGTTTGGTAAGGATAATGGCCTCCAGCTCTGTCCATCTGCTTCCAAAGGACATGATCTCATTATTTTTCATAGCTGCATGGTATTCCGTGGTGTATATGTACTACATTTTCTTTATCCAGTCTACCATTGATGTGCATTTAGGTTGATTCCATGTCTTTACTATCATGAACAGTGCTGCGATGAACATACATGTGCATGTGCCTTTATGATAGAACAATTTATATTCCTTTGGGTATATACTCAGTAACAGAATTTCTGGGTCAAATAGTAGTTCTGTTTCTAGCTCTTTGAGGAATTGCCACACTGCTTTCCACAATGGTTGAACTAACTTACACTCCCAGTAACAGTGTATAAGTGTTCCCTTCTCTCCACAACCTTGCCAGCATCTGTTATTTTTTTAAATGACTATTTAATAATAGCCATTCTGACTGGTGTGAGATGGTATCTCATTGTGATTTTGATTTGCATTTCTCTAATGATCAGTGATATTGAGCTTTTATTTCACATGCTTGTTGGCCCTATATATGTCTTCTTTTGAAAAGCATCTGTTTATGTCTTTTGCCTACTTTTTAAAGGGGTTGTTTGGTTTTTTGTTGTAAATTTGTTTAAGTTCCTTGTAAATACTGGTTATTAGAACTTGTCAGATGCATAGTTTGCAAATATGTTCTCCCATTCTGTAAGCTGTCTGTTTGCTCTGTTGATAATTTATTTTGTTGTGCAGAAGCTCTTTAATCAGATCCTATTTGTCAATTTTTGTTTTTGCTGTCATTGTTTTTGGCATCTTCGTCATGAAATATTTGCCAGTTCCTATGTCCAGAATGGTATTGCCTGGGCTATTTTCCAGGATTGTTATAGTTTTGGGTTTTACATATAAGTTCTGAATCCATTGTGATTTGATTTTGCGTGTGGTGTAAGAAAGGGTCCCACTTTCAGTCTTCTGCATATGGCTACCCAGTTATCCCAACACCATTTGTTGAATAGGGAGTACTTTCCTTATTGCTTACTTTTGTCAGCCTTGTCGAATATCAGATGGTTGTAGGTGTGCTGCTTTATTTCTGGGCTCTTGATTCTGTTCCCTTGGTCTATGCATCTGCTTTCGTACCAGTACCATGGTGTTCTGGTTACTGTAGCCCTATAGTATAGTTTGAATTCGATTAGTGTGATGTCTCCTGCTTTGTTATTTTTGCTTAGAATTGCCTTGGTTATTCAAGCTCTTTTTTTGGTTCCATATTATTATTATTATTTTTTTTTTGAGATGGAGTCTTGCTCTGTCACCAGGCTGGAGTCCAGTGGAATGATCTCTGCTCACTGCAACCTCTGCCTCCTGGGTTCAAGCGATTCTCCTGCCTCAGCACCCACCCCCACCCCCAACCCCGAGTAGCTGGGACTACAGGCATGTGCCACCAGACCCAGCTAATTTTTGTATTTTTAGTGGAGACGGGGTTTCACCATGTTGGCCATGATGGTCTTGATCTCTTGACCTCGTGATCCACCCTCCTCAGCCTTCCAAAGTGCTGGGATTACAGGCGTGAGCCACCGCACCTGGCTTCCACATGAATTTTAAAATTGTTTTTTCTATTTCCGTGAAGAATTTCATTGGTAGTTTGATAGGAATAGCGTTGAATCTGTAAATTGCTTTGGGCAGCATGGCCATTTTAAAGATATTGATTCTTACTATCCATGAGCATGGAATGTTTTTTCCATTTTTTGTGTCATCTCTGATTTCTTTGAGTAGTGTTTTGTAGCTTTCATTTTAGATATCTTTCACCTCCCTGGTGAGCTGTATTCCTAGGTATTTTATTCTTTTTGTGGCAACTGGGAATGGGACTTGGCTCTCAGCTTGGTTGTTTTGATGTATAGGAATGCTAGTGATTTTTGTGTGTTGATTTTGTATCCTGAAAATTTGCTGATGTTGTTTATCAGCTGAAGAAGGTTTGGGGAGGAGACTATGGGATTTTCTAGATGTAGGATTATGCCATCTGCAAACAGGGATAGATTGACTTCCTCTCTTCCTATTTGGATGCCCTTTATTTCTTGCTCTTGCCTGATTGCCCTGGCCAGAACTTCCAATACTGCATTGAATAGGTGTGGTGAGAGAGAACATCCTTGTCTTGTGCCAGTTTTCAAGGGGAATGCTTCCAGCTTTTGCCCATTCAGTATGATGTTGGCTGTGGGTTTGTCATAGATGGCTCTTATTATTTTGAGGTGTATTCCTTCAATGCCTAGTTTATTGAGAGTTTTTAACATGAAGGGTGTTAAATTTTATTGAAAGCATTTTCTGCATCTATAGAGGTGATCATGTGGTTTTGCCTTTAGTTCTGTTTATGTGATGAATCATGTTTATTGATGTCCATATGTCAAACCAACCTTGCATCCCAGGGATAAAGCCTACTTGATTGTGGTGGATTAGCTTTTTAATAAGCTGCAGGATTCAGTTTGTTAGTATTTTTTTGAGGATTTTTGCATCAATTTTCATTGAGAATATTGGCCTGAGGCCTTGTTGTTGTTATTGTATCTCCGCCAGGTTTTGGTATCAGGATGATACTGGTCTCACAGAATGAGTTGGGGAGGAGTTTATCCTCCTCAATTTTTTCGAATCATTTCAGTAGGAATGGTACCAGCTCTTCTTTGTATATCTGGTAGAGTTTGAATGTGACTCCATCTGGTCTTGGGGTTTTCTTGGTTGTTAGGCTATTTATTACTGATTTAATTTCAGAGCTCATTATTGGTCTATTTAGGGAATCAATTTCTTCCCAGTTCAGTCTTAGGAGGGTATATGTGTCCATGAATTTATTCATTTCTTCTAGGTTTTCTAGTTTGTGTGTATAGAGGTATACATGGTAGTCTCTGATGGTCATTTGCATTTTGGTGGTGTCAGTGGTAATATCCCCTTTGTCATTTCTAATTGTGTTTATTTGGATCTTCTGTTTTCTTCTTTATTAGCCTGGCTAGCAATATATTTATCTTATTAATTTTTTCATAGAAACAACCCCTGGGTTCATTGATCTTTTGAATGGCTTTTTGTGTCTCAGTCTCCTCCAGTTCAGCTGTGATTTTGGTTATTTCTTGTCTCCCACTAGCTTTAGGGTTGGTGTGCTGTTGCTTCTCTAGTTCTTTTAGTTGTAATGTAGTTTGTTAATTTGAAATCTTTCTAACTTTTTTATGTGGGCATTTAGTGCTATTCATTTCCATCTTAACACTGCCTTAGCTGTGTCCCAGAGATCCTGATAATGTTGTATTTTTGTCCTCATTAGTTTCAAAGAATTTCTTGATTTCTACCTTAATTTTGTTATTTACCCAAAAGTCATTTGGGAGCAGGTCGTTTAATTCCTATGTAATTGTATGGTTTTGAGTGATTTTCTTTTTCCTGAATTCTACTTTTATTGCACTGTGATTCAAGAGAATGGTTAATATGATTTCAGTTCTTTTGCATTTGCTAAGGATTGTTTTATGTCTAACTTTGTGGTTGATTTAAGAGTATGCACCATGTGGCAATGAAAAGAACGTATATTCTGTGTTTTTGTGTGGAGAGTTCTATAGATGTCTATCAGGCCTATTTGGTCCTGTGTTGAGTTCAGGCTCTGAATATCTTTGTTATTTTTCTGCCTCAAGGATTAGTCTAATACAGTCAGTGGGGTGTTGAAGTCTTCCACTAGTATTGTGTGTGAGTCTAAGTCTTTTGAAGGTCTCTGAGAACTTGTTTTATGAATATGGGTGCTCCTGTGTTGGGTGCATATATATTTAGGATATTAAGTCTTATTGTTTAATTGACTCCCTTACCATTATGTAATGCCCTTGTCTTTTTTTATCTTTGTTGGCTTAAATTATGTTTTGTCTGAAATTAGGATTGCAACCCCTGCTTTTTTCTGTTTTCCATTTGCCTTTTCTTAATCCCTTTATTTTGAGCCTATGGTTGTCATTGCATGTGAGATGCGTCTGTTGAAGACAGGATATCATTGGGCCTTGCTTCTGTATCCAGCTTACCACTCTGTGCCTTTTAATTGGGGCATTTAGCCAGTTTCCATTCAAGGTTAGTATTGATATGTATGGATTCATCCTGTCATTGTGTCGTTAGCTGGTTATTATGCTAACTTTTTTATGTAGTTGCTAATAGTGTCACTGATCTGTGTATTTAGATTTTTTTTTAGCAGCTGGTAATGATCTTTCCATATTTAGTGCTTCTTTCAGTAGCTCTTGTAAGGAAGCTCTGGTGGTAACAAACTCTCTCTGCATTTGCTTGTCTGAAAAGGATCTTACTTCTTCTTTGCATGTGAAGCTTAGTTTGGGTGGATATGGAACTCTTGATTGGAATTTCTTTTCTTTAAGAATGTTTTGAATCTAGGCCCCCAATTTCTTCTGGCTTGTAGGGATCCTACTGGTAGGTCCACCTTTAGTCTAATGGACTTCCCTTTGTAGATGACCTGTCCTTTTCTCCAGCTGCCTTTAATATTTTTTTCTTGCATTTCAACCTTGGAAAAATCTATGATTATGTGTCTTGGAGATGATCTTGTGAAGTATTTTGTGGCAGTTCTCTGCATTTCCTGAATTTGAATGTTGGCCTCTCTAGCTACGTTGGGGAAGTTCTCACTGATGATATCCTGAAATATGTTTTCCAAGTTGCTTCCATTCTTCCCATCTGTTTCAGGGATGCCAGTAAGTTGTGGATTTGCTCTCTTTACATTCCTTTTCATTATTTTTACTTTATTCTTGTCTGACTGTCTTATTTCAGGAAGCCAGTCTTCAAGCTCTGAGATTTTTTCCTCCACTTGGTCTCTTCTGCTGTTAATACTTGCAATTGGATTACGAAATTCTTGTAGTGTTTTTCACTCTATCAGGTTGGTTACATTTTTTCTATATGGGCTATTTTGTCTGTCAGCTCCTGTGTCACTTTATTGTGATTCTTAGCTTCCTTAGATTGGGTTTCAATGTTCTCCCAAATCTTGATGATCTTCATTCCTAGCCATAAATTCTATTTGTCATTCTGGCCATCTCAGCCCAGTTATGAACCCTTGATGGAGGACTACTGTGATCATTTGGAGGAAAGAAGGCACTCTGACTTTTTCAGCTGTCAGTTCTTGTGTTGCTTCTTTCTCATCTGTGTGGGCTAATAATGTTCCTTCAATCTTTGAAGTTGCTGTTTTTGGATGGGTTTTTATTTATTTTATCCTATTTGATGACCTTGGGGGTTTGATTTTGGTATAACATGGGTTCTGTCGACTGGCTTCATTTCTGAAAGATTTTAGGGGGCTAAGGCTCAGCTCAGGACTCCTGGACTCCATGCTGTAGCTCTAGGGGACTGGCACTGAGCCCCAGCTTTGTTCTCTGGCTTCTTGAGTTTAGGAACCTGCTGCACTGTAGGAGCTGAGGTGCTCCCAGACTGCTATTCACAACACTCCAATGGGTGGTGCCAGCCAAAACACTTCACAGGGTGGTGGTAGCAGAATTTACCCTCGTGTGCACAAGTCAGCAGCAGAGGCAGCAGCAGCACAGGGGCTGCATACTCATTAGCTGTGTCAGGGTGCTAGTAGGTGCCAGGGTGCTGGCTGCTGTGCCAGCATTCACAGCAGCTGTGGTGGCAACACCGCTCAAGGGGACAGGGGACCCTTGCTGGCGACTGTTTACGTGTTCACACCTGTGGTGGTATCAGCACAGGGGTGGGGCGCCAGTGGGTACAGGACTGTGTGTGCCCTCTGTGCCTGTTCCTGTAGGTGGAGGTGGTCCTCAGGGTGGAGGTAGATCCACTGTCCTCCATGCCTATGTTTCATGCCAGCGGCAGTGTCAGCACAGGGCTGGGGCATTAGCCAGGGCAGGGCTAGCGGGCTCGTGCCTGCCAATGCTCCAACGACAATGGCAGTGCGGTTGGGGGAAGGATGGGTGCACTTATGCAGGCAGCAGTGGCATGGCAGGGTGCACCTGTACACGCACGCTGGTAAGAAAGGAAAGGAAAGGTCCACCCATGCCAGCAAAGTGATGCAGAGGGATGGCCATAAGTGAGTAGCCATCACACAGGGCAAAGCACACAGGGCAGGCTGCCAAGTGGGGAGGGTGCAGGTGGGCTGGTGAGAGTCTGCCAGCCTCTCTGCTAGAGCACTCTGCTGGTCAGGCCAGGTCCACCAGCCAGAAGCTATAATGTGGGTCCCCAGGAGGTACCTGGGGGCTGCACTGCAAGCAGGCGTGGTCAAGCCGGGTCCCCAGGAGAGACCAGCAGAATGAAGGGTGCTCAGGTCAGACCGCCCTGTGTCACAGGTAAGACCACCCAGCAGAGTTCAGGTTGCACAGTACTACCAGGGCTCAAGTCTCCTATGGGATCAAGTCGAACCTAGGGGAATGGGCATCACTGGCCATTCTCCACTAAGGATGCTCCCACATCAAACCAACTGGGCTCCATGCTGGCTGTAGTTCTGCCCCAACCACTTATCTAAGCAGCTCTCCCTGCCAACGCAAGTGTCCATGGTGATCACAGGGTCTCCTCCTGCCAGGATTCCAGAGTCCTGTGGTAAAAGTGGGTTGTTCCTTGCCTGTTCAAGTCACCCCTTCCCCAGGAGTTGCTGGACACCAGGAATGAGTCTTGGTGAACAGTAGCCCTGTGCAAGGTTCCCAGTTTCCTTCCCCTTCAGCTCAGCATCTGTGTCTTTTCTCCATCTGTTCTCAATGGCTTCCCTCTGAAGTTCTGCTAGGAGTGCACCAGTCTTACCAATGTCTCGGTCACTTGGTTGCAGATGTTCCTCCTGCCTGCATCTAGTTGGCCATCTTGGAGCAGGATAAAACAGGGCTGACTTGTTAAAAATCATTACATAAATGTATAAGTTAGTATTTTTTTTACTCTAAAGAAACTGAGGATTTATATCCTATTTATCTGGCTCATTGGCAGTTTATCTGGTGATACAGTCTGTTGATTCTGGAAAGAGATGACTGAATGCTCCCCATACTAAAGAACGCCATTGAAAATGGCAAAAACAAAGCCAAAATTTGGTACCAGGATAAAAACAGAAATGGGTTAATCATTAAGATATTGGTTATTTGTATTATTTTATTTCCTGTCATACAAAAACAACATACTGCTTGCAGTTTTATTATAATCTAATATATATAATCTAAATATGACCTGCAGGTACTACTAGAATTATTAAGTAAAAATAGAATTATTGCAGATATTCTGTTAGGTCAAATTTTATTTTATTACGTCAGAGTTAGAAAGATTCTATGGGACAAGGAACAGTAGTTCACACCTGTAATCCCAGGAATTTGGGAGGCTGAGGCGGGAGGATCACTTGAGCCCAGGAGTTCAAGACCAGCCTGGGAAACATAGTGGGACTCCATTTCTACAAAAAATAAGAAATAAAAAAATTATTCGAGTGTGGCGGCACACACCTGTAGTCCCAGCTACTCAGGAGGCTGAAGTGGGAGGATCACTAGAGCATGGGAGGTCAAGGCTGCAGTGAGATATGATTGTGCCACTGCACTCCAGCCTGGGTGACAGTGAGACCCAGTCTCTAAGAAATGAAATCAAATTTAATAAATAAAATAAAATAAAAAGATTCTAACAGAACTATTAGAAAATAGTAGTTTTATATCAGGACCATTATATTAGAATCTTAGAGATGCAAATCTAATAATTAGAGAGACTATATATTGGTAATGCTAAAATAAGTTAACTTGGTGATCAAGATGCCAGCTCTGATCTTGACCCAGGTGCTTTTGGGGCTCCTGGGCTCCCAAAGAATACCAATATTCTTAAATGTGAATTATCCTAGATTCTTAGACAACAAGTCTAAGACAGACTTTATTATTTAAAATATTTGTATATTGTTTTATTACCACACCTCTTTCTTTCCCAGAGTATCTCTTCTATATCCAGCAAATTTTCAACGGCTTCCTTGCAAGGTATTTGTTCCCTATTTTGAAGCTTTCCCAGTTAAGTGAAACCTAACTTCTCAGTAATATATGCAGTTTCAATACAGGGCATCTGGAAGCTCATCAGCAAGATGTGCTTCTGCCAGAGATGAATGAAGAGGGGGGAGAATGGAACCAAGAGGCTGGAGAGTATGATTGGGGGAAAAATTATAAAGGGGCCAGGGGAAGATATAATGGTTGACCATAGATAGAGGCTTTTGGAAAGAGTGAAGATAGCTGTGAACTTGAGAAGAAATTTAGGAAAAGAAAAGAGATGTGTAAAAAGCAGATTTTCTGAAATTTGCCATATGATTTGCTATTTGAACTCACTCTTCTTCACTTTCTAACCTTAATGTGAGTTTGATTTTCAGGTTGTAGTCTTTTCTAATGCTTACCTGTCAAGGTGAAATAAATAGTGGACCCTCTGTATCCGTGGATTCCACATCCATGGATTCAACCAACAGTGGATCAAAAATATTTGGAAAACAAATTGTGTTTGTACTGAATGTCTTTCCTGTCATTATTTCCTAAACAATACAGTGTATCAACTATTTATATTGTATTAGGTATTATAAGTAATCTAGAGATTAAAGTACACAGGAGTATGTGCATAGGTTATATGCAAATACCACAACATTTAATATCAGCGACTTGAGCATCTGATGATTTTGGTATCCACCGGGGTTCGTAGAACCAATCTCCAGAGATAACCAGAGACAACTGTACTTAACTATAAAGGTAAAAAATTTTCAGTCATCTACTATCTGAAATCATCTCTACTTAAAAGTTGTACATGGAAATATGTGGAGAAAGAGGAGGGCTTAGGACCAAGCCCTGGGAAAGTGCCATCTTGAAGTCAGGTAGTGAAGAGAAAATAAATGAAAGAAAGCAATAAAAGGAGAAGAGAAGCAACCATATGGTATCCTGGAAGTCAAGAAATGGCAGTATCTGGTGGAAAGTGTGGTCATGCTGCTGAGAGGTAAAAAGAAGGAAGAAAACTGACCCTTGGGTTTGGCAACATGGCAATTAACAGTGACAAGAACCATTTGGGAGGCCTGATGGGAATGAAAGTCAAATATAAGTGGTTGAAGAGAGATTTGGAGGTGAAAAAGTGACAACCACCTGCAAAGAAAAATCCCATGAAAAGGTTTCTGTGAAAGGGAGCAAAGACAATGTGGCAGCTGGAAGGAGGCCTATGGGAAGCAGAGGAACTCTTTCTTAGCTGTAGTGGGGGAAAAGCAGAAGATGGGTGCAGATGCAGGGAGAATTGTATAACACTGGTAGGAAGAGCAGATTCTCATGGAATGAGGTCATCACTGAAATTGAGGGCAGGGAGTGGGTTAGATCACTGATTCTTAAAACATAGCTGTGCATTGAAGTCATCCAGCAGGTTTTAAATACTGTTTATGCTCAAATCTCACTCCCAAGAGACTCTGATTTAATTGGTATGGGGTGAATCCTACCATTCACGAGTTTCAAAAGCTCCCCACTTTCCACCTCCCCTCCATTCTCGGCCCCAGGATTCTGATATGCACCAAATTTTGAGAAATGCCAGTTAATAATTTTTGAGGATACAGAAGATACTAGGCACCAACTAGTTGCATAGATCCAGACTGCTACGTAGGAAAAATAAAATAAAAGTCATTTCTTGCTTTCAAGGCACTGTAAATCTGTAGGCTATTCAAAAATCTAAAATCATTCCAGAAAATATGAAAGTAATTTAGGAGCATTAGCAATTTAAAGTATATTAAAGAAAGCAGGGTACAAACCATATTCAATGATGCAGAATCAAGGGGAATAAGAGATCAATTTTGGAGATGGTGGCTCAGGGAATGTTCACTAAAGGAGAGTATTGAGCCATATTTTGAAGAAGTAAAGTGCAAAAATTGACAGCTATCTGAAGCACATTTCAGATAGAGGAAGCAACAAAAGCTTTGTAAACAAAAGCAGGTGATCAGGGAAACTATGGAGAAAACACATTGCTGAGCAACTGAAGGATAGGAGTGGGAGAGAGAATTTTCACTCTATACCACTTTTTTTAGCCTTTTAAATGTTGAAACATTGACAAGTTTAGCCTTTTCAAGAATCAATCAATTAATAAATAATGGCTTTTTAAATGGGAAAAGAATCATCTAGATTGAGACCATTAAAAAATGAAAAAATGAGAGTAAAGAGATACAGATGAGCCCATTATAAAAGTATTGAAAGTACTAGCAGTGCCCACAGGAATATAATCTATTTTCTCTACCATTCACCTGAAAAGACAGAATAACATTTTATCTAAATAAGACCTAACATCACCGTAGTGAAATGATCCTTAGCAGGCACAAAGTAAAAAACCAATGTGGGCCAGGCACAGTGGCTAACACCTGTAATCCCGACACTTTGGGATGCTGAGGCAGGTGGATTACTTGAGGTCAGGAGTTCGAGACCAGCCTGACCAACATGGTAAGAGCCCCATCTCTACTAAAAATACAATATTAGCCGAGCATGATGGTGCATGCCTGTATTCCCAGCTCCTTGGGAGGCTGAGGCAGGAGAATAGCTTGAACCTGAGAGGTAGAGGTTGCAGTGAGCCGAGATCGCGCCACTGCACTCCAGCCTGGACAAGAAGATCGAAACTCTGTCTCAAAACAAACAAACAAACAACAACAACAATGAAAAACAATGTGGAACTCTATCCTTGTGTGTCTAATTCTCCCACTGACAGAAATACTACAGCCAGACCAAATGTGTTTCTTGTTGCTGTTTATTAGGAGAAATTTTTGCTTTTGTTTTCAAAGTACTTTGTAGCCCTTAAGCCATTAATTACTTTAAAGAGATATTCATATTCTTTCATTTGGCCTCTTTTTCTAAAGAAAGGATAAGGAAAAAAGGTTATGTTTTCTTCAGTTCTCTCTTCATGACTCACAATTATGTTGTAAGAACAACTTTTCATTAACGCAGGATGTTTACGTGCCTTAAACAATTTCCAGAAAAGCTGAGTTCAAGTGCATAACAACACTGAATATTGGCTGCAAATTGAATTATAAATTACTCAGAACCATCTAAGTCACAGTTAATGTTGCCTGTGGCTTCTGAGTATAGTTCTCAATTTATCTGTAAGTTTTTGAAGAGGCGAAATTGTATTAGGTGCTGAAATTAAAACAAACAAACTTGATATATTAAAGATAGGGTATAAAACAGTAAAACTGGGGTGATTTTCTGCATTATAAAATTATTTCTTTACTCTGGTATCTTTTTAATGGAAATTTTCAGTGTAGTTAACTACACCTGAAGAGACAGAATAATAGTTTTTCTAAGTAAGACCTAATATCACTGTAGTAAAATGATCCTTAGCAGGAACAAAGTCAAAAACCAAAGTGGAACTCTATCCTTGTTGAGCAGATCTGATTCTCCTACCGATGGAAATATGTAAAGGCAGACCAAATGTGTTTCTTATTGCTGTTTATTAGGATAAATTTTGTAAATTATTTTTAATTCTTTTTAAAAATCAGTGTAAATAATTTTTCACTTTTGTAAAATGAAAATAGTCATGAAATATTGCCAGCATTCATTCTTCATGCTAATAATATTTTATCTTGGTATGATGCATTACAGTTAAAAAAGCACATGACTTAGCTCATGCAGTCTTCACAATAGTCCCATTCTGCCCAAGAGAAGTGGAATGCTCACATAGGTTGATTAGACCAACGTCTCTTAGCTGGGAAGCATAAATGTCAAATCCAGTTTGTTCTGAATTCAATTTTCCTCTTTTTTTCCACTGCTGCATCTTTGCCTCTTACCGTTTGTGTTTCATGTTCAAGTTCTCTGCATGTTATTTTAGTATAGCCCAACAAAACAAAATTTACAGTCAGAATATTTATATATGTAGATAAACTTAGCTGTTAAAGACAGCTCAGCACAACTTCAAACAATAAAGTATCGTTTATGTGGTGAAACCAGAGTGGCTAAGAAGCGAAGCTTGGTTTGTTTAAACAGGATATTGGGGTTGGTTTTTTTTTTTTTTAATTTAAGGGTAAAAACTATGATATGAAAAGGTCCCAAACAACGGCAAACTGATGACCACAAAGCAAAGTTTACCATTTTTTTCTTCCTACACAGAGACAGCATCTGCAGCAATTTCATTACCAATTTTTTCTTTTTGAACTCTACTGAAAATTTCAAATAAGTACTTAATTTCAATAATTATAAATATTTTGCCATATTGTTTATGCCTCCTGCATTAAAAAAATTTTTGGAGCATTTTAAAGCAAATTTCAGAAATCATTTTATATTAACCTTAAATATTTTAATGTGCTTTCTTTAAAAATAATAAAACAAAGGACATTTTCTTACATAAACAAATGCCATTGTTTTCTCTAACAGCATTAACAATAATTCCTTCATATTACCTAGTTCTAAATCTGTATTCAAATTTCCCCAATTATGTAAAACCTTAAAAAAACAACCACTACCACTAATTAGAGGTTTAATGACATCAGCTTCCAACCAAGGTTCACACATTTTACTGGGTTGTTCTATCTCACAATTCTTTTTAAATATCTCTTAATTTAGAACAGTTTTCTCCTCTTTTTTCTCCTTCCCTGAATTCTATTGCCTTATTGAAAAAAAACAGGTCAATTTTACACATTGTGGATATGGCTAATGCTTCTTTGCATTGTCTGCTTGGTGGCTTTTTATTTTCAGTGCCAAGAAATTAGTCCTGAAGACTTGAACAGATATGGGTTCAGTTTTTTTTTTTAAGAATACTTCATAGGTGGGGTTGTGTAGTTCATTTTCATGTTGATTACATCAAAAGGCATTTGGTTCATCTGGTTGTTTTAGTTTTACAATACTAAGATTGATGGTGGGGGGTAACAGCCATATTCCTTCATTGTAAATTTCCTAAACTTTCATCTAATGATTTTACAGCAGATTAATGACCTTTAAATGATTCATGTGAAGGTTTAAAAATTGAGATTTAAAAAAAATTCTATTAGTTCTTCTGCATTTATTAGCTGAGATTCTTTTGTTCAGAGAAATTTTTCTCATCAGTTAGTTCAGTATAAACTGAAACATAATTCATAGCATACAGACAGGATAAATGCTTATTTTTTCACCTTTATTTGTATCTATTTATTTGAGACAAGATCTCACTCTGTCACATGGCTCACTGCAGCCTCAACCTCTTTGGCTCAAGCAATCCTCCTGCCACCTCAGCCTCCAGAACAGCTGGGACCATGGGCAAGTGCCACTGTGCCCAGCTAATTTTTCTTTTTTAGAGAAGAGATCTCACTGTGTTGCCCAGGCTGATCTCTAACTCTTGGCCTCAAGCAATCCTCCTCTACAGCCTCCCTAAGGCGGGAGCCACTTTGCCTGGCCTACTTCTTCACCTTTAATTATCAGTCTTGAGATATGAGTAATGAGTTGGTGCTGTGGACACTTCCAACAGCATCCAGCAAATTTTTTTTTCTCTCTCCTCCTCTCTTTCTACCTTTTTCTTTCTCCTCCTCTGTCTTCTCTCTGAACTCTCTTCTCTTCAATTTGAACTCATTACTTTTTAAAAATTCAATAGGCTTGACTCAAACTTGTGTTCATTATTATTTTTGATGCTCAATGTATTCCATTTTGGCCAGTGAAAGAGTCTTCAAACTTGTTCTCTGTCTTCTCTCCCCTTCCATTCACTGTAATAATTTTTATTAATTTTTCATTTATTCATCCACTATTGTTGTTTTGTAAATATGACCATTTATGCAACATTTTATCCCTCACATAATTTACTACATACCATTTGCTGCACTTTATTTCTTTCACTTAATAATACATCCTGGAGATCACTCTGTATTTGTGTGTAAATATTTTCCTCATTACTTTTCAGTGCTCCATCCTACGTCATTGGGTCTATGTACCATATTTTTTTCACTAAGTTATCTATCAATGATCATATGATAATTCTTTCCAATCACTTGCTGTTGCAAACGCCACAATAAATAACCTTGTGAATAATTTTCTTCTTATTTTTGCAAAGCACAGTCTTTTTAAAAGTAAAGAATGATTAAAATAAGGGTTATTTAGGAGAAAATGTTTGCCGAAACTTCTTCTATTATATACTAATTAGCAAATGAGACTAGTGTCCTAATAATGAATTATTACATAGATATAAATCTCTTTAAAATGTCTTTACATTGATTGTGTTGTGATTGTAGACCAGGCATACTAGTTAGGGAAGGCTAACTACTATAACAAAAGAAAACAACAAAATTGTGATGGCTTAACATAATTTAAGTGTCAGTGTTCCTGATTGTCAGGTATCCTTTCATGTGTTCAATCTTGTGAATTTAACCTCTTCTGTGCTGTGGAGTCATATGTGTACAACTCTCAAATACAGAAAAAGAAGGCATAGGAGGCACACCTACTTTTTAAAAGCCTCCATGTTGAAATAACACATGTCACTTCTAGACACATTGACAAGAACCCATCACACGGCCACCCCTCATAGGAAGAAGAAATGGGTCTGGTGAACAGTGAGCCAGTCTCAGCCATTCAGGGCTTTGATTACCTACTTGATATTCTTCAGTGTTTTTCCCCAATGTTTATATACATATTTATAATCCATAATCCATAGGAAGATCATGTAAGTGCAATGGTGCCTTGTCCACTCAAAGTAGGTTTTGGAAATGTGAGAAGCAAATGGAGTGAGGAAGCTAATGACAGCTACAATTTTAAAAATGAATGGGCCAGGCACAATGGCTCACACCTGTAATCCCAGCACTTTGGGAGGCCAAAGTGGGCGGATCACCTGAGGTCAAGAGTTTGAGACCAGTCTGGCCAACATGACGAAACCCTGTCTCTAATAAAAACACAAAACTTAGCCAGGTGTGGTGGTGGGCACCTGTAATCCCAGCTACTCCGGAGGCTGAGGCAGGAGAATCGCTTGAACCTGGGAGGCAGAGGTTTCAGTGAGCTGAGATCACGCCATTGCACTCCAGCCTGGGCAACAAGAGCGAAACTCTGTCTCAAAAATAAAAAAAAGACTACATTTTTACATTAGCTATCATTCAAAACAAATTTCAGCATGTAGGGGTGACTTGGGGAGATTTGGCCACCTCCAAAATATGCAGTCTGAATAAAAATGTTGCTTGTTTATAACTGTAGTTTCAAGTTATGTCCCCAAGCATTGTAGGACAATCAAATTGCCACAGCCAACCAAGAACAGAGCTGCAATATTTCAGATACTAGTCATCTGGAATTTTCAACATGTCTTTGGAAATTTAACTATAGTTTGGACCAGGCGCGGTGGCTCACGCCTGTAATCCCAGCACTTTGGGAGGCCGAAGCAGGCGGATCACTTGAGGTCAGGAGTTTGAGACCAACCTGACCAACATGGTGAAACCTCATCTCCACAAAAATAGAAAAATTAGCCGGGCATGGTGGCAAGTGCCTGTAGTCTCAGCTACTTGGGAGGCTGAGGCAAAAGAATCGTTTGGACCCAGGAGGTGGAGGTTGCAGTGAGCTGAGATTGTGCCACTGCACTCCAGCCTGGGTGACAAAGCAAGACTCCATTTCAAAAAAAAAAAACAAACTATAGTTTGAACTATCCATAAAGAATGTTTATAAGCCAATTTAGAGAACACAAAATGTAGAAATTTTCAAACATATTATTTTTAAAATTCTTGAGCTTTGATAAATTTTCAAATAATGCTATTATAAATCTTTTTTTTTAAAAAGCAAATGTACTAGTATTTGTTCTTGACAACACTGATTAGCAGCTACTTGGAGTTTTATATATATTCATATGTAAAAGTATTATAAATTTGTTATATGTTTATATTTATACATCTCATATGTTTATACTCCATTTATGTTTAAGTGCAGTATAATTCATAATATTCATTAATTTGAGGAAGCACTTTCTGCAAATGAGTAGTTTTACTACATTGCAAAATCAGTGATGTGAAGCAAGTACTTCCACATTATAATATACAATAACACTTATTTACCAGACTTTCTCCTCTCCCTACATGTTTTGTAAAATTTCTGAATTGTCAGCTTAGCTGGGGAAAAAAGGGACTTGTTTTATTTTTGAGAATTAAGTTGAGTATACTGTTTTAATTTTAAAACAGGAAAAAAAAGGCTGGGCACGGTGGCTCATACCTGTAATCCCAGCATTTGGGGAGGCCGAGGCTGGAGGATCACGAGGTCAGGAGCTCGAGACCAGCCTTGCCAACGTGGTGAAATCCTGTCTCTACTAAAAATACAAAAATTAGCCAGGCGTGGTGGTGCCCACCTGTAATCCCAGCTACTTGGGAGGCTGAGGCAGGAGAATTGCTTGAACCCAGGAGGTGGAGATTGCAGTGAGCCAAGATCGTGCCACTGCACTCCAGCCTAAGATAGAGTGAGACTCTGTCTCAAAAAAAAAAAAAAAAAAGAAAAGAAAAGAAAAGAAAAAACTAAACAAAGAGCCAGCATGTAAATTTTTATATCTTGTGGTGAAATATGAGAAGTCCCCTGGACAGCTCTTGCCTAGAGATGTTGGACTAATCCATTAATGGAGGAAGAGATTGTCTCTATTTCCTGCTGAGAATCTGAGCAGTAGAGAAGGATTATGGAAGAAATGACTATTTCACAAACTATGAGGACAGTAGGAAACAATGAAAACAATATTCATCTAGAAAGAATGTCATTGATGTCTTAAAAGTTGTTCAATAATAGAGTTTACATATTTCATTAAAGACAAAGAAAATCACAGGTATGTAGAGACATAGGCACTAATTAAATCCTCTTCTGAGAAGTGTTTCATTTAGAAGTACAAAGTTACAGAAAGAGCATGGAGGACCTGAATCTGGTCATTGTATGTCTGAATGTCCCTTAAATCTATTTTTTCGTCTTTTAAAATAAAGATAAGCTCTGCTCATGTCTACCTTGGATGTTTTGAGATTGAAATGAATCCTCAGGAAGTCTTTTAGAGCAGTTGATCTTCAATATCATGTCTCAAATATCCTAAATCTGCTGACTCACTGATCATTATCTGATAACCATGTATCTATTCCTATGCACAAAAGCACTGCTCTTTTATTCTCTGCTTGGGCGCTAACAATATTAAATTCCAATAACAGTAATTCAATAACAATAGATACAATATTTACCAAGATAATTCTCAGATGCATTGACAGCTGTATTTGTTTCCACTAGGTTATGCTGTGCTAACCAATGACTTTAAGCTCCTCTACCCCCGCATTCCACTACAAAACAGAGTTGAGAAAGTCTAAGGGTGTAGAAAAGCCTTTATTTTAAAACATTTTATTTCAGTAGTTTTTGGGGAACAGGTGGTTTTTGGTTACATGAATAAGTTCCTTAATGGCAGTTTCTGAGATTTTAGTGTACCCGTCGCCCGAGCAGTGCCCACCAATGTATAGTATTTTATCCCTCACCCCCTCCAACCCTTCCCCAAGAGTCCCCAATGTCCATTATATTATTCTTACACCTTTGCATCCTCATAGCTTAGCTCCCATTTATAAGTGAGAACATATGATGCTTGGTTTTTTATTACTGAGTTACTTCACATGGTATAATTGCCTCCAGCTCCATCCAGGTTGCTGCGAATGCCATTATTTTGTTCCTTTTTATGGCTGAGTAGTATTTATAATATATATACATATACGATATTTTCCTTATCCACTTGTTGGTTGATGGTCATTTAGGAGGGTTTCATATTTCTGCAATTGTGAATTGTGCTGCTATAAACATGAATGTACATGTTTCTTTTTCACATATGACTCTTTTTCCTTTGGGTAGATACCCAGAAGTGGGATGGCTCAATCAAATGGCCATTCAAATTTTAGTTCTTTAGGGAATCTCCATACTGTTTTCCATAGTGATTGTACTAGTTAACATTCCCACCAGTAGCGTAAAAGAACTCCGTTTTCACAACATCCACACCAACAGCTGTTATTTTTTGATTTTTTAATTATGGCCATTCTTGCAGGAGTGAGGTGGTATCTCATTGTGGTTGCAATTTGCATTTCCCTGATAATTAGTGATGTTGAGCATTTTTTCATATGTTTGTTGACTGTTTCTATATCTTCTTTTGAGAATTGCCTATTCATGTCTTTTGATTATTTGGTTTTTTTCTTGGTGATTTGTTTGAGTTCCTTGTAGATCCTGGATATTAGTCCTTTTGTCAGATGCATAGTTTACAAATATTTTTTCCCACTATGTGGGTTGTCTGTTTACTCTGCTGACTATTTCTTTTGCTATGCAAAAGCTTTTTAGTTTAATTAGGTCCCATTTATATATTTTTGTTTATGTTGCATTTGCTTTTGGGTACTTAGCCATGAATTCTTTACCTAAGACAATGTCTAGAAGAGTTTTCTAATGTTATCTTCTAGAAATTTTATGGTTTCAGGTCTTAGATTTAACTATTTGATCCATCATAAGTTGATCTTTTTTATAAGGTGAGAGATGAGGACCCAGTTTCATTTTTCTACATGTGGCTTGCCAGTTATCTCAGGATTATTTATTGAAAGAAAAGCCTTTGGACTCTTCTCTGAGCCATTTCCATCCTATTGAAAGGACTGGGGAGTCACATACATCTGTTTTGGGATTTTAATAAAAGGTGTGATGGTCACACTTTTTATACGGTTCCTGCCCTGAGGCTGAATCTGTGGAGGGGTGTGAAGTATATGTTGTATAACTTTACACTCTATTTTGTGGCGCCTCTCTTTTAGGACAAATGTGGCACTTAGATTCCCTTTAAGAAAGCTGTATGGAATTTCAAACATAAGGAATTTAGCCCATGAGTTTTTCTCAGTTATGATTCTTTTGTAACATTGGGCACAAGAAATGTACATAACAACCAAGAGTTTTGGTAATACCCAATTTAGTGACAGAATCCATGTCAACATTTCATCTTTGGTGAACAGTCAAGTATCACAGATCAAAAACAGGTTTGAAGTTCATTATGCAAAGCTAGCAATACACATGCAGAAATGTGAACACCATCTTGTTAGATGTTATAACTAAAGAGAGTTTTCTAGTTTAGTGTAAAGTTGTTGTGCCCACTGTGAAATCACACTTTACTTTTCTAGGTCTTTTTCTTTGGCTGCCTTTTAATTTTCTTTCTTTTATTTTTAATTCAAAATTTTTATTTATTTATTTTTTTTATTTTATTATACTTTTAAGTTCTAGAGTACAAGTGCACAATGCGTAGGTTTGTTACATATGTATACATGTGCCATGTTGGTGTGCTGCATCCATTAACTCGTCATTTACATTAGGTATTTCTCTTAATGCTATCCCTCCCGCCTCCCCCAGTGTGTGATGTTCCCTGCCCTGTGTCCAATTGTTCTCACTGTTCAATTCCCACCTATGAGTGAGAACATGCAGTGTTTGATTTTCTGTCCTTTCGATAGTTTGCTGAGAATGATGGTTTCCAGCTTCATCCATGTCCCCAAAAAGGACATGAGCTCATCCTTTTTTATGGCTGCATAGTATTCCATGGTGTATATGTGCCACATTTTCTTAATCCAGTCTATCATTGATGGGCATTTGGGTTGGTTCCAACTCTTTGCTATTGTGAATAGTGCTGCAATGAACATATGTGTGCATGTGTCTTTATAGTAGCATGATTTATAATCCTTTGGGTATATACCCAGTAATGGGATGGCTGGGTCAAATGGTATTTCTAGTTCTAGATCCTTGAGTAATTGCCACACTGTCTTCCACAATGATTGAACTAGTTTACAGTCCCACCAACAGTGTAAAAGTGTTCCTATTTCTCCACATCCTCTCCAGCATCTGCTGTTTCCTGACTTTTTAATGATTGCTTTCTCTTATTGCCAACATACTTAGTAGGAAATTCCACTTGGATTCCCCTAATGTCAATGTACAGTCAATATTTCATAACTTTCCTGACTTACCTCTTTCTCTACCCCTCTTAATTTGCATCTATCCTTTTACCTCTCCTATTCTATAGATGATCTTTTACTTTATATCCCAGACCACCAACCTCAAAAACCTGGCTCTTTTCTCTTAAGTGCTTAGTATCCACCATCCCCCCTACATCTTCCTAAACAGCATATTTAATAACAAAATATTAGTGCTTTTTCTTTCAAGATGTTTTACAACCTTCTCTTGGTTTCAGTGTTATGTAAGTTTTAGGCTGTATTAGTCTGTTTTCATGCTGCTAATAAAGACACACCTGAGACTGGGCAATTTACAAAAGAAAGAGGTTTAATTGGACTTACATTTCCACGTGGCTGGGGAAGCCTCACAATCATGGCAGAAGGCAAGGAGGTACAAGTCCCATCTTACATGGATGGCAGCAGGCAAAGAGAGAATGAGTTTGTGCAGGAAAACTCCTGTTTTTAAAACCATCAGATCTCGGCCAGATGTGGTGGCTCACACCTGTAATCCCAGCATTTTGGGAGGCTGAGGCAGGCGGATCACCTGAGGTCAGGAGTTTGAGACCAGCCTGGCCAACATGATGAAACCCCATCTTTACTAAAAATACAAAAAAAGAAAAAAAAAAAAGCTGGGTGTGGTGGTGCACGCCTGTAGTCCCAGCTACTCTGGGAAGCTGAGGCTTGAACTTGGGAGGCAGAGGTTGCAGTAAGCTGAGATCGTGCCACTGCATTCCAGGCTGGGTGACAGAGGGAGACTCTTTCTCAAAAAAAGCAAAACATAACAAAACAATGAAACCATCAGATCTCGTGAGTCTTATTCACTGTCATGAGAACATCACATGAAAGAGTTGCCCCCATGATTCAATTACTTCCCACTTGGTACCTCCCACAACACATGGGAATTCAAGATGAGATTTGGGTGGGGACACAGCAAAACTGTATCATAGGCTTTATACCTAACTGATATCAACTTTATCAGCCTTCTAACAAAATTTTTCTCTTTTCTGATTTGCCCTGTAACCCATATTAGATTAGTATCCTAAAAATGAGGAACCCTGTATTCTTTCTTTCTCAGAAATATTAATTGGTTCCTCAGTCTCTCAGGGTAAAGTCTGCTATCTTTCTCCAAGTATTTAGGGTATTGACTCATTATAATAGTTAGGATTGGGTTCAGCTGCAAGTGAAAGATGACCCAAAATAAAAGGGGCTCAAACAAAATAGATGCCCATGTTCAGAGAGATCCAGGGTAGGTTTGAGACTCCATAGTATCTAAGGCCTTTGCTCCATTTATCTTGTTATTCCCTCATGTGTGGCCTATATTCCTAAGCTCATTTCATGGTTCAAGATGGCTCTCCAATTCTGTCTTCAATCCAGTCAGCAAAAATAAAAAATTGGTTTGCCTCATTTAAGGAAACTTCCTGGATGTTGCACCCACCACTGAAGTTTACACCTTTTGGTCAAAACTTATTTTCAAGACCAAATTTAGCTTTATTCTGATGAACATTAGCTATGGTTGGAATGTTTTTGTCCCCTTCAAAAATTATGCTATAACTTAGTTCACAATGCAAAAGTGTTGGCAGGTGTGGCCATTGGGAGGAGATTGAGTCATGGGACCACCCTCATGATTGAGATTAGGTGCCCTCATAAAAGGGCTTCATGGAGAGGGTTCATCCCTTTTCAACTTTCTTTGCCTTCCACAATGTAAGGACACAGTGTTCTCCACTCTAGAAGATACAACATCAAGGCTCCATCTTCGAAGGAGAGAGCAGCCCTCAACCAGACAGCCAAACCTGCCACTGCTTTGATCTTGGACTTCCCAGCCCCTAAAACTGTAAGAAATAAATTTCTGTTCTTTATAAACTATGCAGTCTCAGGTATTTCATCACAGTAGCACGAAACAGACTAAAACACTATGTGTCCTACCTTCTAAGTGCTACTTCTTACACCAATTCACCATTCCAATCAAACACTCTCCTTAGTCCATTTAAACGTAAACTCTTCAAAACGCTCCAGCTTGCAACTGTCTCTGTCCTTTAAACTAGAGGTACTGTTGATTTGGCAGCCAATCAGATACTTATTTTGTAACAGCCTTATTTATTTATTTATTTATTTAGATGCAGAGTCTCGCTCTGTCACTCAGGCTGGGGTGCAGTTGCATGATCTCCATTCACTGCAACCTTCGCCTCCTGGCTTCCAGCAATTCTCATGCCTCAGTCTCCCAAGTAGCTGGGACTTACAGGCATGCACCACCATGCTCAGTTAATTTTTGTATTTTTAATAGAGACAGGGTTTCGCCATGTTGGCCAGGCTGGTCTCCAACCCCTTGCCTCAAGCAATCCACCCACCTCGGCCTCCCAAAGTGCTGGGATTACAGGCGGAAACCACCACACCCAGCCTGTAACAGCCTTCTTAATGTGGTTTTAATGATTAAGACATTGTTTGAATTTTCCTCCCTGTTTAATCTTCTTAGCTAGATTGAGGGAAGCTCCTAAGCACTACATATCCCATCTCCCAACTGCTATTCTTGGTGTATTGCCTGGAAAGTAGAATGACTTGATGGCTATGCTCTATTTTACCTAACAGGCTGACAGCACCAATCTAGTGCTATCATATATTCTATTATTAGGGAATGGTTATGTATCATGCGGTATAATGTATGGTATTGCCTTCCATCTCAGTTGCATATATACAGACAAAAGAAGACAATACAGTAATAAAAATGTGTCAAATCTCTACAACAATTTCCTTGGTCACTATGTTAGAAATATGCAATAGGGGCATTACTGTATTTACAATTTAGCTGTGGAGATAAGTGTCACAAAAATACTAATACAATCATCCCTCTGTATCTGTGGGGGACTGGTTCTAAGATCTGTCCCCACACCCCACCGCTTGGATACCCAAATTCATGAATGCTCAATCCCTTCCATAAAATGGCATAGTATTTGCATATAACCTATGCAGATTGTATGCTTTCGATCATCTCTAGATTACTTATAATATCCATTACAATGCCTATGCTATGTAAATAGTTGGTACACTATGTGGTTTAGGAAATTACAGGAAAAAATGTCTGTATATGTTTAGTACAGATGCAACCATACTTTTTAAAATTAGAAAGTCAGGGCCTTGCTTTATTACCCAGGCTGGAGTGCAGTGGTGTGATCATGGCTTACTGCAGCCTTGAACTTCTAGGCTCAAGGGATCCTCCTGCCTCAGGCTCCCTAGTAGCTGGGAGTACAGGTGTGTACCACCATGCCCGGCTAATTGAAAAAAAAAATTTTTAGAGACAGGGCCTTGCTATGTTGCCCAGGCTGGTCTTGAATTTCTGGCTTCATGGGATCCTTTTACCTCAGCCTCCCAAATTGTTGGGATTACAGGGATGAACTGCCACACCCCAAATGCAGCTTATTATTATTATTTTTTCTTGAGACCAAGTCTCACTCTGTCACTCAGGCTGGAGTGCAGTGGCATGATCTCTGCTCACTTCAGCCTCTGCCTCCCAAGTTCATGCGATTCTCCTGCCTCAGCCTCCTGAGAAGCTGGGATTACAGGTGCATGCCACCACACATGGCTAATTTCTGTAGTTTTATTAGAGACAGGGTTTCACCATGTTGGCCAGGTTGGTCTCAAACTCCTGGCCTCAAGTGATCCACCCGCCTCAGCCTCCCAAAGTGATGGGATTATAGGTGTGAGCCACGGCGCCTGGCCACACCCAGCTTACGTTGTGAATATTTTTGATCCTCAGTTGGTTGAATCCATAGATGTAGAACACAGGAATACAGAGAAGGAGGACCCACTGCCTAGGCAAATACACTATTATTTAGGAAAAAAATTTCAACACATGGACTCCCTTCCCCTGCCCTGAAAATCCTAAAGATCGATATTGATATCAATAATAGATAATAAAAGGATATGATAAGAATCTTGATTTTTTAATTTTAAAACAATAAATTTCCAAAAATTCTGAGGACTAATGTATGGAAAAAGTAAATTAGTGCTATATTAAAAGCATGATCTTTTGTTTTCCTGAAATGGCAGTGGATCTGGGTGGAGTAGATTCTGCTGATCTTTGTCATCTATTCCCTGCATTTGTGAATTGTTACCTGTGTGCAATCTGTGATCATGAGAAGTGCAAAGCTGGGCAATTTGGAATTTAAATCGATGGCTTTGGTTTTATCAACACTGAATTAAACACATAGGCTTCTCAACCTAAACAGAATTCAGGAAGGACTATGGCCTCGGTGCCAAAAATATTATTACATCACTCTACATATTCTTCGCACTTAACGAAACTCTTTCACAATTCTATCAAGTTGGTTTATCTGGTGTTACGAATCCCTATTTAATAAATGAAACTGTGCCTCAGTGTTTTACATACTTCAGGCCATATAGCAAGTAAGTGGCTACCCAAACTCAACCCTCATTCTTTTACTCTAGTTCAATATTTTGCATAATACCACACTGGAACTCAGTTATTCACAGCTGTGTGAATCCTTGAAGGCACATATTTTTCCTAGGTGCCCTAGGTAGAGAGAACCAAGATTCTAATGTAGATTTCCTGATGAAAAGAATTTTGCCGCCATTATCGATCTAGGCTAATATCCTTGGAAATAACTTGAGAACTTATTCATATTTTCTTAAAAATACGTTTTTAAGGCAAGATGTAGTTGAGAAATTTATAATTCCCAATTGTAAGACTCTCAAATTCTCTACATAAAAAGACAAGAACAATAGTAGTTAACATACATGCTAGTGTTTCAAAGGAGATAGCAACTAGTCATGGAAAATCTGGCTTAGTTAGGAAAAGGCTATTAAGGAAAGTGTCAATAATAGTGGGTTCGCCTACCTCATCTGAGGATTTTTTGTTGTTTTTTCGAGACAGGATCTCAGTTTATCACACAGGCTGGAATTCAGTGGCACAATCATGGCTCACTGCAACCATGGGCTCAAGTGGTCCTTCCACCTCAGCCTCCCGAGTAGATGGGACCACAGGCAGGGGCCACCATGCCTTGCTAATTTTTGTATTTTTAGTAGAGATGGGGTCTCGCTATGTTGCCCAGCCTGGTCTTTAACACCTGGGCTGAAGTGATCCTCTTGCCTTGGCATCTCATATTTTTTTATGGTGAGAGAACTAATTGGGTATGGCATTAAACAAAAGTAATTACATAGCTCTGGCTAAGTACATTATATACATGCATTACTATTAACACAGGAACTGGAAAGATAAACCAACAATATTAACATATTTGCATCATACCTTTTCTGGGGGGGGCAGGAAAAAGAGTAGGAAATCATCATACCACTCTGAGAAAAGTGCAGAAAGTAATACTGTCCTGTTCTCTGAAGGAAAATTATTGAGTTATTAAACCAATTTTGGATTTTAGTTTGGATGTTGGAAGACTTGGTTGTGTATACTTTGGGCAGGTTTCAAGCTTGCTGCTTCCAAATCGAAGAAAGAAAATAAACCAAATAGCAAAAAAGATTTAGAAATAAAAGATACTTTATTTCATCCCTCTCCAGCATCCAATGTAGAAAATAATAGCAGTTATTTACTGAGGGCTAACTACGTGCCAAACACATGCTACTATGTACATTGCATACCTTTTTCCTTAATCTTTCAACCATGTGAAAATAGATGATACTATCTTTTCACAGAATAGGAACTCGAAGCTCAGAAAGATTAGTAACTAAGATGACACAGTGAGGAGGAGGCAGAACAGAATCCATCTGTACTTGCTTCTGAGTTCATCCTCCTAACCACTATTCAGCGAGGCAACAGTAAATTCCCTTTATGGGGCTTCATAGCAAAGAGCTGGCAGAGTATTATCTAAACTAGAGATGGCATTAATGTTGGTTTTTTATATATCACAAAGCTTCCCTGGAGCCATCGTTAACTATCAGGTTTCATAGCTTAATATATCATTATTATATTATCAGTAGGAAAACGGCTGAAGTCTTGCTATCGACGACATCATAAGAGTTCCTTGGTTCCAAGAAATAATAAACCTCAATGTCAAAATTGTTGGGAAGCTCTTCTCTAGAATTTATCTCACAGAAATTGGGAGGTCCTCTAATTCGATAAAATCTTTCAAATTGAAACCCAATCTAAAGTACTTCAGAGTATATGTTTGTTGTTGTTGTTGTTGAGAAAGTCTCGCTCTGTTCCCCAGGCTGAGTGCAGTGGCGCAATCTTGACTCACCACAACCGCCGCCTCCCGGGTTCAAGCAATTCTCCTGCCTCAGCCTCCAGAGTAGCTGGGATTACAGGCGGGCGCCACCATGCCTGGCTAATTTTTGTATTTTTAGTAGAGATGGGGTGTCACCATGTTGGCCAGGCTGGTCTTGAACTCCTGACCTCGTAATCTGCCCGCTTCGGCCTCCCAAAGTGCTGGGATTACAGGTGTGAGCCACCATGCCCAGCATAGAGTATATGTTTCAAAATGTTCGTCACATTGAAACTATTCAATTATGTTAAAAAATGTAATACACTAAAACACTGCAAATGAGATTGAGACACTACTGTCCCCAAGCAGCTGGAGATGTACATAGGTGTTAATAACCTACTAGTTGGAAGGATAGTACTGTGTGTACAGTACCATTACTTTAACCTCATCATTTGCAACTGATTGCATTGCATGGACCCTCTAACTGCCTGAAAATCATGTCAGAGTTACTCCATCGACATTTGCCGAACATTTGTCATGTGGCAAAATACTTACTGTAGAAAAGTTGACACATAATAGCTCTGAGGTTTCACTAAATGAGCTTTACACACCAGGCTACAGGTACAACCCATTGATGTGTAGTCTCCAAAAAATATGGTTTATGATTTGATTAAAGAATACTGCCTCGCCAGAAGCTCCCTAAGTATAGACAAAAAGGGTTTCGTGACCAGTGAGGTGACTTGGCTTCACCGTTTGCTGTCACAGAACTATTCCGTGGAGGATTTCATAAGTAGTGAGGGAGAGGTGGAAGACCCGGCTGAAAATAAAGTGGGAGCAGCGGGTCGTGATCTGTTGGTGGCTGGGGACTCGCCTAGACGGAAGAAACACGGAATCTCTACTAAGGCTGTGGAAGGCGTCAGGGCAAACCTCAGACTCCTCTCACTGGACGCGTTCGCGCCACCTGTCAGACGGGAGGAGCCGCCAGGGATTGAGAGGGTAGGGAAGGGGTGTCCGGGGCCCCGGAAAGCGGCTGCGGGTCGCAGGTCTCCGCCCGAGAGGCGCTGGGAATGGGGCTGGGAGTGGTGGGGGCGGCGTGCTACATACCGAGGAGACTTCACGTGGTCTCTAGAGCCCTGCTAGGGGACCCGGGACGCTACCGCGCGCCCCTCCCCTGAGGTCTCAGCTCCTCCTCCCAGGCACGTGATCGCAGCCGGCTGGTAACTGCGCTCCTGCAGCGTAGCTCGCTCTGTTTCTTCCCTCCCGCCGCGGTGCCCTTCTTCTCCCCCGTTCCCATCCCTCCGCCTTCCCCCGCCTCTCCCCCCACGCCCCAATCGCGGCTTGAGATTAGAAGCGCCCGCCCCTCCACCCTTTTCTTCGCTTGCTCATTGGCTGAAGTCTCAAGGACGCGTCCCGAGGGCGGGTGGCAGCCATTGGTGGGATGAGCAATCCGAGTTCCCGGATGAGGGAACATTCTGCAGTATAAAGGGAGCAGGGAAGGCGGGAGACAGCGCAGTTTGAATCGCGGTGCGACGAAGGAGTAGGTGGTGGGATCTCACCGTGGGTCCGATTAGCCTTTTCTCTGCCTTGCTTGCTTGAGCTTCAGCGGAATTCGAAATGGTAAACTTCGCAGAGACGCTCGATGACTCCGCGGGTTTTTGCCGGCGAGAGAAAAACCCGTTACACAGAGGGATGGGGGTGAAGTGGCGACGGTTGGGAACGCGCGGAGACAGGATTTAGAAGAGTGGGGGGAGGTGTTTTGTCGGCTGCTAGCGGAGCAGCCTCGGATCTCGCGGCGGGCGGCGACGGTTGGGTGGCGCGCGCAGCGCCGCTGGGGGCCGGCGGGCGGAGGCGCGCGGCCGTGGCGAGCGCGCGGCGGGGGGCGAACGGGCGGGGTCGCCCCTGCGGCGCGCCGCGGGCCGGAGACCCCGGCAGGGTGCGGGGACGCGCTCGCGGCGGGACGCGCCGCGGTGGGGGATGGGCGCGCCGCCTTGGTAATTCTATATTCTCCGTTCCTCCTCCGCTCGCGGGCGTGTGCGCGCCGCAGGCTGGCGGTAAGGCTGGAAAGGACTCCGGAAAGGCCAAGACAAAGGCGGTTTCCCGCTCGCAGAGAGCCGGCTTGCAGGTCAGTAGTTGTTCGTGCAGTCTGGGAGTCATGATGTTTTTCTTTGCATTTCCTTTTTTGTTATTCATCGCTCTCGATGGGCGTTTTGTGTATGCGTGGGTGATGCGGTGTCGCGACTTGGGCTGCCCATACGATAAATATGGGGGGGAGGAATCACGTGTTTCGATGTCGGGACGCGTTGCTGCGCCCGTGCCCCTTGCTTTGGCGCGCATATAATTTCCCCATCTCTAGTTCTCATTTTTGTGCATTTATGTTTGTGTATGCTTAAAATTTAAGTTCCCAGTGGGCCGTATTCATCGACACCTAAAATCTAGGACGACCAGTCATGGACGTGTGGGCGCGACTGCCGCTGTGTACAGCGCAGCCATCCTGGAGTACCTCACCGCAGAGGTAAATGGGTGAACGCCTATAATCCGGAGAAGGTTTGGGGGGCGGGGAGGCGGCAAGAGGGAAGGAGGAAAGTGATGCAAGAAAACTCCCAGGCCCTGAACGCGGCGAGAGGCCTAAGAGAACGCTAGAGGGAGCTGGTGTTCAACAAGGATCCTACTGAGCTTGAGTTCTCTGCTCTTGGAATTAAAATTGCGTGCCCCCTGTATATCTTGCCAGTCAGATAGTGAGGAACGATTCCAGTTGGTAGATCTGCGTTTGTGAGGGTTTTATTCTGTTCTCTGAATCTTGGCCAAAGGAAAGTTGGAAGGCAACTGACAGATTCTGCCTTTTAGGTACTTGAACTGGCAGGAAATGCATCAAAAGACTTAAAGGTAAAGCGTATTACCCCTCGTCACTTGCAACTTGCTATTCGTGGAGATGAAGAATTGGATTCTCTCATCAAGGCTACAATTGCTGGTGGTGGTATGTTAACTTCTAACATTTTAAAAAATTTCTTCAGAGGAAGGAATTTTTTGCTGCTTTTAATTAGTTTTTCCAGGAGAGGAAATTTAAGTATATTTTCAATGATGGAAGTATGGTTGTATCATGAAATTTGATTTATATGTATAACTCAATGAATTTTTACTTCATACTTGAGCTGCATGTTTTTAAAGATACCTTTCAAGTTGAACAGTATACACTTTCTTGGTTTCAAATACTGTGATTTTTTAAAAAATCTTAAGTAGAATTAATTCCTGTCACTCTCCTAGGTGTCATTCCACACATCCACAAATCTCTGATTGGGAAGAAAGGACAACAGAAGACTGTCTAAAGGATGCCTGGATTCCTTGTTATCTCAGGACTCTAAATACTCTAACAGCTGTCCAGTGTTGGTGATTCCAGTGGACTGTATCTCTGTGAAAAACACAATTTTGCCTTTTTGTAATTCTATTTGAGCAAGTTGGAAGTTTAATTAGCTTTCCAACCAACCAAATTTCTGCATTCGAGTCTTAACCATATTTAAGTGTTACTGTGGCTTCAAAGAAGCTATTGATTCTGAAGTAGTGGGTTTTGATTGAGTTGACTGTTTTTAAAAAACTGTTTGGATTTTAATTGTGATGCAGAAGTTATAGTAACAAACATTTGGTTTTGTACAGACATTATTTCCACTCTGGTGGATAAGTTCAATAAAGGTCATATCCCAAACTAGTTGTGTATTAAATTTGCTTGGTTGTAATAGGAACTTGTTTTGAGTATCTCATCTAGCAGCAATAACTAAGCACATTTCTTTGTGACTGAACTGTCAAATCTGTAGATCAACAAAGTGAGATAGCCCAAGTATATTTTTTTAATGTTATATGAGCTACTAAAGTTTTAATTTAAAAAGTTGGCAGGAGCTGGAGTGGGATTGTCAGTTTCTTAGGCTAAGTGTGACCATTTCAGTTTGTACATTGGCTTCGCTTGCTGTGTGACAGCACTGCACTAGTATGCTGTTAGCATGGTGGACTTGGGGAGGGAGAGAATAGGTAGGAATGTCCTGTATATCCACAGAATGAACTCCGAATTTAAACTTTAAAGATAATAGTGCTACGTGCCAGGCCCTGCTTTGAAGTCTGAAGTTGTTAAGTACTCAGTAACATCATTGGGGATATACTATCTCCATTTTATCGAAGAGAAGCAGGGTTTCTTATTTGAAAGTACCGAGTTATGGTAGTTAGCAGAATTAACAGCTTGGCTCACAGCATTATGTAAAAATTGTTACCTTGTGGTTGGGTTGAGCAGGTCATTTTGACAGTTTGTCATGTTTTTTTTTAAAAAATTTGCACATAGCAAACATTCCCCCCACCCCCACCGCGAAGACTAACAAGACACGGTACTTCCAAGTGGTAATGTTATCCAAATGGGACGGAAAAGGTGAAATCAAAAGTTTGCTTTCGTTAGGGCAGCCCCTGAGGGGCTGATTCCTGCCTTGTTTTGGCTACACAGGATTAAGGTCGATCTGCACCACTCGTTGCAAGCTACAAATTAAACTGCTTTGTACTTTGGATAGCCAGACATCCGGGTCAGAAAAAATGTAGCTGAAATAAGGCTGCCATACAAGCCCTAAGATTAGGTTCAAACGACGCTCTAACGTGTCCCGGAAGTGCTGAGACTGGACTGACACCTTGGTCCTCACCTGACCGCATCCTCCCTCGCTTGAGGGGCCCAGAGGCGGAACCTCCAAGTCCTGGCAATTTTACTGAAAACGAGTGTCCCCTTCCCGGACCCTGTCCTCCTGGCCTGAGCTGCGAGGGCCTCGCCTGGAGGTCACAGGGCACGGCGCTACCAATGCCGGCAATCGGGTCCCGGGCGGAACCCCTCCCCGCGATGGGCAGCCCGGCTGCTATCGTCCGCCTCCCGGGCAGGTCCGCTTCGAGCCTGCTGGCGCCGTGCGCGGACCACCGAGTCAGCTCGGACGCCCCGGCCCAGGAGGTTGGTCCTGGGCCGGGACGGATGCGGATCGCGCCCTAGGGGCCCGCGGGGGGCGGGGAGGCCGCCGTGAGGAGGCGGAGCTGCGAGGCCCGCCCGTCCGCCCGGGCCGTCGCAGCCGCTGCCGCGGTCCCCTGCGCTCCTCCCCGCTGCCGCCGCACGCCCCCAGCCGGTCCCGCCTCGCCTCCTCCGCGGCGGCGGCTTCCGCCCTTCTTAGCTGCGCTGCCGGAGGAAACGGAAGAAGGAGCAAGCTATGGAGGGGAACAGGGATGAGGCTGAGAAATGTGTCGAGATCGCCCGGGAGGCCCTGAACGCCGGCAACCGCGAGAAGGCCCAGCGCTTCCTGCAGAAGGCCGAGAAGCTCTACCCACTGCCCTCGGCCCGCGGTGAGACCTCAGCGTCCCTTCTCTTCCTGCCCAATCCCCAGACCACCGCGTAGCCCGCCCCTGCCCCCACCTCGGCCCCTCCTGGAGGCCTGCGGGGCCCCCGGCCTGTCTGAGCCAGCCCCAGCCCCAGGCCCGGTGGGGAGCATCCCGACACACCCCCGCCCTGGCCCCAGCCCCGGCTCCGGGCTGGGGCTCGGGGAATGCTGCGCGAGGTTCCTCTGCACCCGCCTGCCCGCCGGCTCCGCGTTCCGCTGTCCTAAATGTCCGGGTTTCATTCTCCCTGGAGGAGACTTGTCTGGTCCCGTCTTACCACAGTGAGGCTTTATTTGTATCTGTGTTGTTTATGTGGCCCCCTCCCTCCCCATTCTCAGTCCTACATAAGGCCTAGGCCCCTATCGAAGTGAGAGGAATGGTGTACTCTAGTGGCTAATCTCAGATTCCATGTTTCTGAGATCTGTAGAAAACTGTTCCCAAAGCAAACATCGAATACCTGAGATGACATTGCTTTTCCCTGGGAGAGAGTTCCTTTAAAAGAGAAGAGCACACTTTCGGCAAGAATGGTCAAGAGTCAGTAATGATTGCTGAAGAGTATCTGATTTGATAACACCATGATTATCGACGAACCAAATCTCTGAGGAATATGGTACTGGGTTTCCTTTAGTTGAAGTCAGCTTATTTATTTTCCTACTCGATAGGCTTCGGAGTAATAATAGCCAACATTTATTGAGCACAAAGTGCCAATAGTTGTGCCCAACATTTTGCATGGATTATTTCATTTATTCCTCAGAACAATTCTGTGTAGAGGTGCAGGATTCATTTGACCAGGTTTACCCACGTGGAAACAGACTTTCTGATAATTAATGAATGAATTAGCGAATGAATGAAAGTATCTTACCCAAGGTCACACAACAATTAGTAGCAAAGTCAGAATAGTAGCTGAACTTTCAGACTCGAAAAGGCCTTTAACCGCTACACTGTTGCCTTGCCATTAGTATTTCCAGGTTAAGAAGAAAGTTATCGATAGATTCAATTAATTGTAGAAAATTATTAATGAAAATATGGGGCCACTTGTTTTGTTGTCTCTTAAATTTTTTTCTCTACGTCGTTGAAGCCCTGTGCTCTTTGCTTTTCTCTCTATCCTTTCCATTACATTGCCTTCTAACACTATACCCATGAGGACAGGAAAATAAAATGAAAGAAAAGAGTTAATAATTTTTTAAGTTGTGGTTTAAAAACCTGCCAAATTTACGGTCTTAACTATTTTTAAGTGTGCAGTCCATTAGTGAAGTATATTGACATTGTTGTGCAAGGACTCTTCAGAACTTTTTCATCTTACAACACAACTGTGTACTAATCAGACAGCTCCCTACCGCCCCGTCTCCTAAGACCCTGGCAACTACCATTCTACTTTGTGTTTCTGTGAATTTAACTACTTTAGTTACCTCAGATAGGTAGATTCATGCAGTATCTTTTTGTGACTGTCTTACTTCACTTAGCATAATGTTCCCAAGTTTCATTTATGTTGTAACGTGAAGAATTCCTCTTTAAAAAAATACTGATTAGGCTGGGCGCGGTGGCTCACGCCTGTTATCCCAGCACTTTGGGAGGCCGAGGCGGGCGGATCATTTGAGGTGAGGAGTTCGAGACCAGCCTGGCCAACATGATGAAACGCCATCTCTACTAAAAATACAAAAAAATTAGCCAGGCGTGGTGGTGCATGCCTGTAATCCCAGCTACTAGGGGATGCTGAGGCAGGAGAATCGCTTGAACTCGGGAGATGGAGGTTACAGTGAGTCGAGATGGCAACACTGCACTCCAGCCTGGGCGACACAGCGAGACTCCATCTCAAAAAAACAAAAAAAAAAAGACCAAAAAAAAGCTACAGTAAAAAAACTGAATAATATTCCATTGTATATATACACCACATTTTGTTAATCCATTCATCTGTCTATGGACATTTGGGTTCCTTTCACCTCTTGGCTATTATGAATAATGCTGCTATGAACAAGGATATGCAAAGAGCCTGCTTTCAATTATTTTGGATACCAAGAAGTGGGATTGTAGGATCATACAGTAATTCTATTTTTAATTTTTGAGGAACCACAATACAGTTTCTGTAGCGCCTGCACCATTTTACTTTCCCACGAACAGTACATAGGGTTTCAGTTTCTCACCATCCTTGCCAACACCTATTTTCTGTTTTTGTTGGTTTTGATAGTACCCATCCTTGAGTGGGAGGTGATATCTCATTGTGGCTTTGATTTGCATTTCTCTGATGATTAGTGATGTTGAGCATCTTTTCATATGCTTATTGGCTAGTTTTATAATATCCCATTTTTGGAGAAAATGTCTGTTCAAGTCCTTTGCCCATTTTTAAATCACATTACTTGTTTTTTTTTTGTTGAGTTGTAGGAGTTCCTTATTTATTCTGGATATTAACCCCTTATCAGATATGTGATTTGCAGATGTTTTCTCCTATTTATATGTTGCCTTTTCATCACTTTGTTGATGGTGCTATTTGATGCACATAAGTTTTTAAGTTTGTTGTAGTGCCATTTTTCTATTTTTGCTTTGTTTTTTTGTGCTTTTGCTGTCATATTCAAGAAATCATTGCCAGGAGTTAATTATTTTTGAATCCTCCCCTACTGTTGAATATGATTTCATTTAGTCATTATCTAGTCCTAGAGGGACAGTTTTAACATTAAGTGAGTAGGCAGTCTAGACAGAATAACTTGGCTTTTGAAGTCTGACTCCACCTACTAGCTTGTAACCTTATTTTTGAGCAGGGTAGAGAACCTCTCTAGCCTTTAGCTTTTTCGTCTGTAAAATGGAGACAATGTACTGATCTCATAGTGCTGTTGTGAGGATTAAATGGGTTAATACAGGTAAAGCATTTAACAGTAAGCACTCAATTAATTTTGGTGTCATCCCCATTTTACAAGTGTGAAGCTCTGAGAATTCTTAAAACCCACCCAAATGTACACACTATCATGCTTCTGTCATGCAAACAATTTGAATAAATCTCCTAAAAGATATTATAAGATACCAAAGCACAACACAGTTTGTTGCTCTTAAGGACATGAATGTTGGAAAAATTAAGAAATGTAAGGGTGAAAGTTGGTAGTACAAATGTAAGGCAGTATGTGATTACCAAATAAAGTGATAGGGGATAACTGTGTAGTCCAAAAACCTTAGTTCAGATGCAGATGTTTTCTCTGACTCCTTTTTCACCAGTGACAAATTACTTAACTCCTCTGAGCCTTCTTTAGTTATATGTAAAGTGAAGATGTCATCACAGGATTTATGTGAGCTGAAATAAAGTTATATGCCAGTACTCAGAGAAGTGTATTTTATATAGAACATTCTAGAAGATGTTTATTGGTACAATTTAAGAATTCAGGAGAGAGAAAGATCTAGGACATTTGTGTGAGATCCTGATAAAATATTTCATATAGAAGGAAGTCGAAGCTATTGGTTACAATTAGATTTTAAAATTTTAGCCCTGAATTTCACTTATACTAGTCCACCACCAAATTCTTATAACTCAGAAAGTTGACTGAATGTTCGTCTGGATATGCTTAAACTAAGAGAGGCAAAAGAAAAGATCACATTTTGATTTCCATTATTCTTACATGGTAAAACATGAGACTAAATTCCTGCTAGATTCCAGGATTTTTGTCCTCTTAAAATTTTATTTTTGCCAGGTAGGAAGTCTGATACATAAGACACTTTCAGAAATTGGCAAGAGTTTTTCTTGACAAAAAACTTAATCCCCAAATGGATCTAGGATATTGTTTCTTTCCATGTTTTTAGTTGAGAATATTATTTTACAGTTTACTTATTGCAGTGGACTTCTAAGTGAATTCAGTTGTACAACTTTCAAATATTTTAAAGTATTGATATATATGAATAGCTACCACATAGAAAATATAAATATTCTAGAAAAAATGTCAGTAAGCAGAACTCAGTAACTGTAGTTTCTGAATAAACTGTACATTTATTGAGTTATTGATATGTTCTGGATTTTCAGAGAGGGGTACAATCTGTTTTAATGCTTTGCATTGCAATTTCATAATAATTGGGAAATAGTTTGTAGATTTTTTTTTTTAAGAGAAAAGCATTTTTATTGTTTTCAGGAACACTGTAGTAATTTGAATCAATTGGTGGCTTACAGCTTCAAAAAAGGCCATTCTTCATCTACTGTAATGAACGGATAAGTATGATAATCCAAATTATGTATTGAATAGTATATAATTTGCAGCATCTATCTGCACAATAGCAATTTAAACAGTCCTTTTTCTTCCTAATTTTTTGCTACATTATTTTAAAATTTATATCTAATAAAAAATACAAAGTTCTGTCTCTTTTTGTCTTACTTAAAATGGTTTAAAAAGTAGCTTTTAAAATTGTCATTATACATCTGGAGTATTATCCAACATATTCTTTTTAAGATAATTTCAGTCTTTTGTGTTTCTGACTTAATTGAAATTTAGTGACAAGTACAAATTATACATTCAAAACAATTATTTCTATAGCACCAACTGAAGTGTTACAAAAATGATTTCCAAATTTCAGCTAGTAGCCAAATTATTTCAGATATTACAGTTGAAGAAAGAATACTGATTCAGGGTTTGAATCTTAATTTAATAATGATGTGACCTTGGATATATAGCTTAATCTTTCCGAACCTCAATTTCCTCATCTATAAAATGGAGTTTGATTTATTCAACAAATTTTTACTGAATATACATTTTTCTGTCCCAGACAATATTCTAAGAACTGGGAATTCAGTGGATAGTAAGACAGAGTCCTTGTCCTCATGGAGCTTACCTTCTAGGGGAAACATGAAGTATCTATCTGGTATATGACACAATAATTCCATTTCTGTCATTACCTCTTCCTTTCCTGAGCCTCAGCTTTCTCATTTGTAATCTTCGCAGGCTTATCGTGAGGATATTTTATTATCTTAAGTGCTGTAAGCATGTCATGTATTATTTCTATAGGAAAAAACTTGAATAGTACCTTGGAGTTGATAGTATGTTTGTCTCTTCTGTCATTTGTTAAAGTAATTATTTGAGCATAAGATAATTGCTTTAAATTAGGAGTAATATTAATTTGGATTCAACTACTCATTCCATGCTTAGTTAACATTTAGTTCTTCTGCCTTGCTGACTTCATCCCTTACATTGCCTGTGTATATAGCTGTCTCTCTCCTACATTTAAAATACCTTAGCGGTCAGGAACTATTTTAATCTTAATTATCTTTTTTACTCCCATGATGCCTAACAGTATTTTACATATATTTGTGACATCTATGGGCCTGGATTTTCTGGAATGATAGCTGTTTATTTAATTTTACTCTCTTCAATAAAGATAATTTGTTAAATAAATAACTAAATGAAAATATTATAGCCATAAGGCCTTCTATATTAATATATTCACAAATGAAGCTTTTCTATAATCAGCCCAAGTGTTCCAAAAAAAAAATATATATATATATAGGGATTGTCTCTGTAGCAAAAATTTGGAAAGCGTATAAATGTCCATTAGTGGAAACTGATTAAATTCATTGCATTCATAAATTATGCACCTATTAAAAATGATGACATGGACCTGTGTTTATTGCTATAAGGTGATATCTCTAATATGTCAACAATTGAAGAAAATTAAGCTAAAAACAGGTAGATTATTATATTTTTTTAATTTAATAATGTCTAAAAAGCTAGACAGCTAGCTAACTAGAGTAACCAAAAGGCTATAGTGATTTTTTGGGGGGGATTTGGGGGAGGGTTGGAAGGGGATTTATAAGTGATTTTTACTTTGTTATTTTATTTATTTATTTATTTTTGAGACAGTGTCTCGTTCTGTCGCCCAGGCTGGAGTGCAGTGGCACAATCTCAGCTCACCGCAACCTCCGCCTCCTGGGTTCAAGCGATTATCTTGCCTCAGCCTCCGAGTAGCTAGGACTACAGGCGTGTGTCACGACACCAGCTTATTTTTGTGTTTTTAGTAGAGACGGGGTTTCACCATGTTGACCAGGCTGGTTTCAAACTCCTGACCTCAAGTGATCCACCTGCCTCAGCCTCCCAAAGTGCTGGGATTACAAGCATGAGCCACCACGCCTGGCCTGTTATGTTTTTTAATGAGCTGAACATACATGTTTGTATAATCACACAAATAAAAGCTATTTGTATTTTGTGAAAAAGAAAAAATCTATTTGTTTTTCAAATCATGTGTTCTGATATTCAATTCAGCTAATGGTGGACATTATATAGGAGTGCAACAGAAACTTAAGAATAAAAATAGATCTCAGTTCTTCCTTTTTGGATTATCAACATAAATATTTTAAATTCTATATTAACTTTTTCATTGGTCTTTAATATGGAATATACTAAATTACATGCAGATTATGTTAAAACTCCTAGTAGAGCAGTACGTCTGGAAGGTAAATGCATAAAATAAGATTGGATAAAATTTTTCATAAAAGTGAATGTTCTCTGGTTTATAAGTACTATCCCAATTAATGTTTGTAACACTGCGCATTATTGTAAAAGAGATCCCATGTGATAGCTAAGACATTTAATAAATCCAAAAGATCCAATGTGTTCTAAATTCTCATGGTAGTTGAACTGAGTCATCTTCTTAGGCATCAGTTCCAGTGATTATTAGTACTGACAACTTTGCTGATTCCATTTTTAAGATGATTAAGCTAGATTTTGAGGCCCAGAAGTAATACAGCTTGTCCACATTTTCACTTGATGGAGCCAAAGACTGTGTAGTATGAGCTCATGTATGCACACAGCTACTGTTAGGCAGAAGCCCTGTGCATGAAATTCCAGAAAAATCTTCATTATCATAGTAACTGCCAAAAATCTGTAACAACTATATGATTCTGCTTTAGCAATATCCAAAATCTAGGTGTTAACATGGAAAATGTCCAGAGGAACCATGGGAGAACATGTTTGTGCTAAAAATGAAAGGAGGAACACACAGATAACTTCTAATTAGCATGCAGTGGGTCTTCGTGGCCACGTTTATTTATTTTGTTTTATTTTATTTCATTTAAAAAAATTTTTTGAGATGGAGTCTCGCTCTGTTGCCCAGGCCGGAATGCAATGGTACAATCCTGGCTCACTGCAACCTCCATCTCCCGGGTTCAAGCAGTTCTCCTGCCTTAGCCTCCCAAGTAGCTGGGACTACAGGCATGCACCACCATGTCCAGGTAATTTTTGTATTTTTAGTAGAGACGGGGTTTCCCCATGTTGGCCAGGCTGGTCTCGAACTCCTGACCTTAGGTGATCTACCCACCTCAACCTCCCAAAGTGCTGGGATTACAGGCGTGAGCCACTGTACCCGGCTGGTGGGCACTTTTAAATATTAAACATATATAACCACTTTCATATCTGGCTCTACAATTTTTAAAAAGTTTTTTTTTTTATTGGCCGAAATATTTATATAAAGAGATACTTCCTCCTCCACCTGTCTTATGGTTATGCAGTGGTATCGTTTATATAGGAAAATCATGATAAATGCTTGATTGCTTTTATCAGTTTTCAGGAAAAGGAGGCTATTCCTTTTCATTCTCCAAAAACTAGCAAGTTATCATTTTTTAGGTTTTTGGTTAGTGGGAGCCCCTTTATATTAGTACATTTAGTTTTGGAAAATTTTGAAATAATTTCAAACTTACAGAAAAGTTGCAAGAATAATACAAACTTACACAAATATAAAATCATTCAAACTTAATACAAATAATACTAATTTCCAAATACATTTCATTTACTTTGTATTTGTTAAAATTTTTACGTTTGCTTTATCAGGACCTTTCTCTCTCCCCCTCTGCTACCCTTCTCTCTTTCTCTTTCTCTTTCTACACACACACACACCACAGTCTGTTTTTCTGGAACCAATTAACAGTAGCTGTAGACATGATCTCCCATTACCCCTAAATAACTGAGCATACATTTTCTAAGACAAGGACACTCTCTTAGATAATCACAGCGTAACCATCAAGTTTATGAAATCAGTGCTTTCACCTTACTCACATTCTGCCAGTTTTCTCAATTATGCCCCTTATGGCAAAAAAAAAAAAAAAAAAGCACATGTCCACATGTCGCATTTATGTGGCCATGATGTTTTATTCTCCAGATACCATCTTTTTTTTTTTCTTGACCTTGGTATTTTTGATGAGTATATGCCAATTTTTTTTTTTTTTTTAATTTCTGCTCACCGCAACCTCCACCTCCTGGGTTCAAGCGATTCTCCAGCCTCCCAAGTAGCTGGGATTACAGGCATGCACCACGACGCCCAGCTATTTTTTTTTTTTTTTTTTTTTTTTTTTTTTGTATTTTTAACATGGTTTCGCCATGTTAGCCAGGCTGGTCTCGAACTCCTGACCTCAAGTGATCCGCCTGCCTCAGCCTCCCAAAGTGTTGGGATTACAGGCGTGAGCCACCGTGCCTGGCCTAGGCCAGTGAGTTTATAGAATTTCCCTCAACTTTTTTTTTTTTTTTTTTTTAAATAAATAGAGACAGGGTTTCACTGTGTTCTCCAGGCTGGTTTTGAACTCCTGGGCTCAAGTGATCCTCCCACCTTGGCCTCCCAAAGTGCTGGGATTACAGGCATGAGCCACCATGCCCAGCCCTGAATTTGGCTTTGACTGATATTTCATCGTATTTGTTTTTGGTGTAATACTATGGAAGTGACGTGTGTTCCTTTTTTTGAGTCTCACTTTGTCACCCAGACTGGAGTGTAGTGGCATGATCGTGGCTCGCTGCAACCTATGCCTCCTGGGCTCAAGTAATTCTTCTACCTTAGCCTCCCGAGTAGCTGGTACTACAGGCGTATGCCACCATGCCTGGCTAATTTTTGTGTTTTTTGTAGAGGCAAGGTTTTGCTATGTTGCCCAGGCAGGTCTGGAACTCCCTGGGCTCAAGTGATCAGCCCACCTTGGCATCCCAAAGTGCTGGGATTACAGGTGTGAGCTACCGTGCCCTGCTGATGTGTGTTCTTAGTGTAACATATCAGGAGACACATGATGTTGATTTGGTCCTTACTGGTGAGGTTACTTTGATCACTTAGTTAAGTTAGTGATTGCTGTTTTCCTCCACTATGATGTTATTCTTTGAGATGGAGTCTCTCTCTGTCACCCAGGCTGGAGTGTATGGCGCGATCTCGGCTCACTGCGAGCTCCACCTCCCAGGTTCACACCATTCTCCTGCCTCAGCCTCCCGAGTAGCTGGGACTATAAGCGCCTGCCACCACACCTGGCTAATTTTTTGTATTTTTTAGTAGAAACAGGGTTTCACTGTGTTAGCCAGGATAGTCTCGATCTCCTGACCTCCTGATCCGCCCGCCTCGGCCTCCCAAAGTTCTGGGATTACAGGCGTGAGCCACTGCGCCTGGCGATGTTATTCTTTTCTTCTTTGTAATAAATACATGTTTTGTAGGGAAATACTTTGAAACTGTGTATGTGTCCTGTTACTCAACAAACTTTCACTGTCTCTTTGTAGCATCCATTGGTTATTCTTTCCTGAAAAAATTTCTGATGGTTGCCAAATGTGGTTTTCTAATTCCATAATTCCTTCTACATTTATCAGTTAGCATTCAGCCTCAATTATCTGTTACAGATTCATGGTTTCCGATTTAATCTGTCATTATCATCATTTATTTTTGTGTTCAGATTTAGTTAGTGCGAGCCCCTTCAGGCTGGCTCCTGTGTCTTTTGGACATGTTCTCATTGTTCTTTGAATTTTTAAATTTCCTAACACAAAAAAATTTCAGGCTCACATTTTACTTTCTCTGCCCTAGGAATCAGCTAGTTCTCCAAGAAGTCCTGACTCCTTTTACTGGAAAATGGTATTTAGAAACTAGATATAGATACTAAATGAACTCATAGCTTACAGAAGTGTCATTGTTTCTAGCCCTATCAGTGGACAGAGCCAGGAAATAAATGTATGCGTGAATGCATGTATGTATATTTCTGTACATATGTGTGTTATATGTGTTTGTGATCTACACATATTTATAGTAATTTGGTCAATATTAATTTTAGTATCTGTGACACATGCACACACATACAGTATATTCACACACTTCCATTTTTAGTAAAATGCCACAGGATTCATTCCAGCCATCTCCATTTCCATGTTTGTGATTCTGTTCTCTGTTAGAGAATCAGAACAGAATGAGAAATGTGGCTCCCACTTATTTGCTCATTTTCCCTTTTATGTAACAAATTGCTTCATTACATAAAATCGAGCTTTTATGTAAAATTTTCTATGTATTTTAGTACATAAAAGCCCATTGGTCCAGGCCCTCTTGAGCTCAGCCATGTTTTTGGTTGTGACTGTCTCTATTTTTAAATTTATTTTATTTTTTGATACAGTCTGTGTCACCGAGGTTGGAGTGCAGTGGCACAATCATGGCTTACTGCAACCTCTGCCTCTTGGGTTCAAGTGATTCTCCTGTCTCAGCCTCCCGAGTAGCTGGGACTACAGGTGCATGCCACCACACCTGGCTACTTTTTGTATTTTTAGTAGAGACGAGGTTTCACCATGTTGGCCAGGCTGGTCTCAAATTCTTGACCTCAAGTGATCCCTCCGCCTCAGCCTCCTAAAGTGCTGGGATTACAGGCGTGAGCCACCGCACCTGGCCATGACTGTCTCTTGAGTCCCAATAAGCTTCCTTGGTTCAGGATTCAGGCATTGCCAGCCCCAGATGCCAAAAGGAAAAAGAAGGGAAAGGAAGAAGCCTAATAATTTTTCTATTAGAAGAGGGAAAAACAGGGGAAGCCCACCATTTAGAAAATATTCAAACCGTATCTACAGTGTTAGAAGATACTGTCATTACATGCTGTATGCTCTCTCTTAACCGTCATTTAGTCTTAGTTGTATAAATAACTATACATTTAATGCTTACTACTACCAGTCCTTATGTCAGCATATATGTAATTATTTTGGATTCCTAAAGCCTGTTTTATAGTGGATTCCCAGAAGGGCTTGTGGGAACTAAGCTCCATTCATTCTAGAATGTTGAAAACAGTTCATCTGTGGCTTTACTGCTTGAAGTTATTTTGGTGGATAGAAAGTCTTTGCTGTACGTTTTCTTTCCATGTGTATCTGTTACTCCATTGTTTTATGCAAGTACTACTGATGAACAAAGTCTGATGACAGTCTAATTTCCTCTCCTTTATAAGTCATTTGCTCTTTTTGCCTAGATATTTAATTTTATTAGAATATGTCTTGGTGTTAGTTATTCTTGGTCAGTATTAGGTCTGTGATTTGCCCTTTCATTTAATAGTTTCAGATTTTTTGTTTTTATGTCAGAAAAGTTTATTTGTTCTATTTTTTTGTTTTTCTTCAGTACTCCTATTGTACATATGTTGGATCTTTACTGTTAATATTTGCTGTTTTCTCTTGAAATTTTTTTGTCTTTTTGACTTTTTAAAAAAATGTTTTAAATTTCCTTCTGGTATATTTTCTTTCTCTTTTAAGCATTATCCTGTTGTATTTATGAGTCTAGTTTCTTCTAGTTTAGTCTTTTTTTAATTGATTTTTTAAAATGTCTTATTTTTTATTGAGTTTTATCACATAAGTTTTTGAGAGATAATTTTTTCTTTTCTTTTTTTTTTTTTTTTTTTTTTTTTTTTTTGAGACAGTCTTGCTCTGTCACCCAGGCTGGAGTGCAGTGGCTCAATCTCAGCTCATTGCAACCTCCACCTCCAGGTTCAAGCAATTCTCCCACCTCAGCCTCCCGGGTAGCTGGGATTACAGGCACTGGTCATCACGCCCGGCTAATTTTTGTATTTTTGTAGAGACAGGATTTCACCATGTTGACCAGGCTAGTCTTGAACTCCTGACCTCAGGTGATCTACCCGCCTCAGCCTCCCAAAGTGCTGGGATTACAGATGTGATCCACTGCATCTGGCCAGTAATTTCTGATGTTGTAATTTTGATATATATTGTTCTTTTATATCATGCATTATTTTTTAGTCTTTTCAGCTTGTTTTGAAGTATTAAAGTGTTCATCTGTTTTGTTAGCAAGTGTTTATGGTGTGTATTTATCGTCTTCAGAGGTTTAATTCATACTCATCCTTTTTTTCTTATAATTTTGTATCAGATTTGACTTCTGTCATTTTCTTTTACTCATTTTTATGTGCTGGTAAATACGTAGAGATCCTTCTGTTTTTGTGTAATGTTTAAAAATGTCACCTTGCTAAATGAGATCTTCTCATTCCTTTATCCTTCCCTACTTTTATCTGGAGTTTCTCTTTTCATTTTTTTTGTTTTCCCTGTCCTCTTCAGTTTGGGTCCTGTTCCCAGGAGTTTCTTCTTGGTGTGGCTTTGTTGTGGAAGAGAGCTTTGATTGATTATTTTTGAGGGCATGTAGTGACTAGAGTCTTCCATGCCTTTAAAGCTTTATTGTGGACCCGTGCACTTGTGTACTATTGTAGTAGGCAAAACTCATTCCTTTTTACACACTTTTCCCAGTTTTGCCTGTTGTGCTATATAGAGAGTCCCTGTTGGTTATTTTTATTTTTAATTTTTTTTTATGTTCTGTGGGCTGGCAAATGCCCCTGTATTATACTCCACTGCCCACACAGATCTTGTGGCAGTTGGTGGTTTTTCCCCACCTTATATTTTGGGATTTTGTGCATGAGGTTTTCTCTGACTTTATGAGGGAATTCGGAGAGATTTAAAATTTAAGCTGATGTCATAGCCTTTTTTCCAGAATTCCCACAAAAGTTTTTATGTCTAAATGTTGTGAACCACTACCTCCCTTAGACCATGCTGGTTTCCGTTCATTGCGATTGCAGACTAAATACAGACTATAGTTTAAAAATTGGCCAGGCGTGTGGCTCACGCCTGTAATCCCAGCACTTTGGGAGGCCAAGGCGGGTGGATCACTTGAAGTCAGGAGTTTGAGACCAGCCTGGCCAATATGGTGAAACCCCATCTCTACTAAAAAAAAAATCAAAAAATTAGCCAGGTGTCGGGGGCAGGTACCTGTAGTCCCAGTTACTCAGGAGGCTGAGACAGAATTGCCTGAACCCAGGAGACGGAGGTTGCAGTGAACCGAGATTATACCACTGCACTCCAGCCTGGCTCAGTCTCAAAAAAAAAAAAAAAAAAAAAAAGACTGTTTATGTTATATTTCTCATTAATAACTGATTAGATTGGTACCTAGTTGAGTGTGTGTATATATATACATACTTTATTGAGACATTATTGAGACATAATATTGAGAGTGTGTGTATATATATATACATGCTTTATTGAGACATAATTCACATACCATACAATTCACTCATTTCAATTATACCATTCAGTGTTTCTTTAGTATTTTAACAGAGCTGCACAACAATTATGGAAATCAATTTTAGAACATTTCCTTACTTCAAAAAGACACCTCATTACTCTTTAGCAGTCACTCCTCATTTATTCCCAGTTCCACCCTCCCCTGCACCCCCAGCTTTGGCAATGATTCATTTACTTTCTGTCCCTGTAGATTTGCCTGTTCTGTACATTTCATATAAACGGAACCGTATAGTATACCATCTTTTGTGACTGGAGTCTTTCACTTAGCATAATGTTTTCAAGGTCCATTCATGTTGTAGCACATATCAGTACTCTGTTTCTTTTTATTTTTGAAAATATTTCATTGTCTGGATATATCATTATCCATCAGTTGATAGATATTTGGTTGTTTGTATCTTTTTGCCATTGTGAATAATGTTGCAATGAACATTTGTGAATCAGTTTTTGTATATCATTTCTCTTGGATATGTACTTAGGAATGGGATTGTTGAGTCAAATGGTAACTATGTTTACTTTTTTAAAGAACTACTAGATGATTTTTTCAAAGTAGCAGCATCATTTTACATTCTCACTAGAAACTTATTAGGGTACCAATTTCTCCCCATCCTTCTCAACATTTGCTATTGTTCATCTTTTGGATGTGGGTTTGAAGTGATACTTCTCTTTGTGGTTTTGATTTTTATTTCCCTAATAGCTAATGATGTTGAGCAACTTTTTTTTTGTGCTTATTGACCATTTGTTTGTTTGTTTTGGAGAAATTGTCTATTCAGATCCTTCACCCGTTTTTTTAACCGGTGTTTTTGATCTTTTTATTACTGAACTGTAAGAATTCTTTATATATTCTGGATACTTTTTTTTGAAAATCAGGTATGTTATTTGTAAACATTTTTTTTTCCATTCTGTTGATTATAGCCTTTGAAGTACAAAAGTTTTAAATTTTGATAAAGCCCATTTTCTCTGTTTTCCTTTTATCACATTTACTTTTGTTTCTGTAGTTAAGAATATTTTGCCTAAATCAACATCATGAAGATTTACTTCTGTATTTTCTTCTAAGAGTTTTAAAGCTTTAGCTCTTACACTTAGATTCATGATCCATTCCGAGTTAATTTTTGTGTCCAGTGTGATGGAGTCCAAATTTATTCTTTTGCATGTGGATGGCTAGTTGTTGACCCACAAGTTCTGATATTTGGTGTTTTAATTTCTATTCAGTTCTAAGTATTTTGTAATTTCTATTGTAGTTATTTCTTTGATACACAAGCTGTCTAGATTTTTTTATTTTGTTTTTTCTTTTCCAACCCATTTATGATTTTTTTAGTTACATTTTTTGTAACTGATTTCTCATATAACTGTATTGTGCTCATAGATTGTGGTATATATATATATATATATGGTAATAATTCTCTGAGATTTGAAAAGGACCACTCTATGGTCTAGCGATAATGTGGGCCTGTGAGAAAGAGATATTCACTAGTTGGGTATAATGTTATATCTCTTAGATAAAGCTTATAAATTTGATGTCTAAGTCATCTGTATCCTCAATGATTTCTTAAAATTTACCTTATATCAGTTACTGATTGAAATGTGTTAAAATCCATAATGATGATGGATTTCCCTTTTTCTCCATTAGTTTTGTTAATGTTTTTTATGTTTAGTTTTAACTTTTATTATGGAAAGTTTTAAGCACACACAAAAGGAGAAAAAAATAGTATAATCACTCCCAATCACTCACCTGTCTTGAACCATTATGAGTATATATGGCCAACCTTATTTCATTCACATTCTTTCTACCCCTACTTTTATGTTTCTCCTCCCCAGATTATTAAAAAGCAAATCCTTGATAAGAATTATTTTTTACACTCATTGTTCACATTTACTCTCATATTTACCACACTATTTGCTTACCATTCCTTTTTCCATCTCAGCCTATCTGTAAATGTTTTCCTTTTGCCTGAAATGTATATATTACAGTATCCTCTAGTGAAAATCTTTTAGTGATAAATTTTCTATTTGTTGGAAAATGTTTTTATCTTGTGCACTTTCTGGGAAATTAGTGCATAACTCAAGTTAGCAATTTATTTTTTCTGAGCATTTGGATGATAATATTCCAGTATCTTGGCTCCCATTGTTGCTATTGAGAATTAAACAGGAAGTCTAAATTTCTGTTACTTTGTGGATGATCTCATTGGCTACTTTAAAGACTTACCTCTTTTTCTTTGGTAATCTGCAGTGTCACATGATATGACAAATAAAATTATGTCATAAATAATTGAATGATTATAATCTCAAGTTACTAGCTTTAACTTAACATTCTACTTCTAGATGGTGATTAGTGTTCTGTAAACAGTTAAGTACTTAGGGGAATGCGTGCTAATTAAAAAGATCCTATGGTGAATCTTTTTGGAGAACACACTTCATAATTTGTCTGCTTTAAAACTTTCTTCTCAGGATCTTGTGTATGTACGTTGATGTAAACAGGCATAGTGTACTTTATCTTTCTACAGCACTATTGGAAATAATTATGAAAAATGGAAGCACGGCTGGAAATAGCCCTCATTGCCGAAAACCATCAGGTAGTGGCGATCAAAGCAAGCCTAATTGCACAAAGGACAGCACATCTGGTAGTGGTGAAGGTGGAAAAGGCTATACCAAAGACCAAGTAGATGGAGTTCTCAGGTAGGAATAAATATGGTTTACATCTCAATCATAATTGGTATTAATGTACTTTTTGATGTTATAACACCTGAAAAAAGTGAAATATAACATTAGAAGAATAGACATCAAGGAATTGAACTCTGGGTGTGTCTTATGCTTCATATTCTTTATAAAACTGGTCTGTAAAGTACCAACTCTATAGAATATTCTATTTTTTAAAGTAACCTCAAGTTACAAAGCTTTTTCCAAATAATTTTTTTAAGAAAAATTATTGCAGCTTTTTCACACAATATGTTGTTTATGTAGCAATATTAAAAGAGGATGAAGAATTGTTTTATTTTACATAGATGAAAATGGGAGAATTTCATGAGAGGAATATTGAGTGTAATAGCAACATTTTCAATTTCCTACTTATATTAGTGAAGGATTTTTTTCTATTTATATTCTTTTTGAAGGGCTATCTTTATATATATGCAGACACTATAATGTCCTTTCGCAGAAATGTTAGAGTTGAAAAGTTATACACTGGGTTTTGGGTATCTGGCTTTAATTTTATAAGTAAAAGGTTTTCTGGAAATGAAATGAAACTTTGAGTTTGAAACACTAGAGAAAAGTCTGTTTTGTTTCCTGCTAAAGCTTATGGAAGCTGTATTGATGTTGTGCTGATATTACTTTGCTAGGGAAACTAAAGATTAAGGATTTTGAACAGAGATTAATTCAAGAATTCTCATGGAGAGTGAATCATAATATAGTGAACTAACTCAAGTGAAGAGTAGTTAAAATTAGTTAGGTTAAGTCTTTCTCATTTGTCCTTTCTTGTCTGTTTCTCTTTTAATTTTATTTCTTTTTTCACCTTTTTACCCCATTCTCAACTTTTTATTTACCATAATTTGTAATTGAAGTGTATTTTGAGATACAGGTTTTATTTATTAAGGAAAGTGATTTGTTACCATATCTTAATTTTAAAATCAAATACCCATATATTTATATTTTGCATTTGTCCCTATATATTTAAATGCTAAAGCTTGATTGTAACATTTTATTTGAGAGTGATTACAATGAGAAAAAACGATTCTCTGACTGAGTGTGGTGGCTCACGCCTGTAATCCTAGCACTTTGGGAGGCCAAGGCGGGCAGATCCCCTGAGGTCAGGAGTTCAAGACCAGCCTGGCCAACATGGCAAAACCTCATTTCTACTAAAAATAGAAAAAGTAGCCGGGCGTGGTGATAGGCACCTGTAATCCCAGCTACTCGGGAGGCTGAGGCTGAGGAATCACTTGAACTCAAGAGGCAGAGGTTGCAGTGAGCCAAGATCACACCACTGCACTCCAGCCTGGGCGACAGAGCAAGACACCTTCTCAAACAAACAAACAAACAAACAAAAAAGGATTCCTTAATCATGGTAAAGCCATGGTAGAGTATTTGATTAGTATGAATGGTAGTGAAGCACTTTGAGAATATAAATAATGCTGCTAACCATTTTTATACTTATAGTACTGTGTCAGAGGTAGCTGAATAAGTGAAAGAAGTGAATAAGTAAGAGACTTACTTTTGAATTTATTTTGTAAAAAACGTTTATTAGTAAGCAGTGTGCTTGAAACACGTTTCTGGAAACCACATCCTAAAACAAATTGTATTTGCTTATAGGATTTAATTTATGTTGGGAGAACATATTCTCAATGAAGGATTCAAAGAAAGTTAAATGTATTTTATATATATATATTTAAGAATATAGAATCACCTATATATTTGAAAGTTTACCAAAAAACTATGGTTGAAAGTTTTGAAAAAGAAGACTCTCCTAAATCTGGTGTTATTTTAAAAAGTCTGTTTCTTCATTTCCTCTACCCTAGCCTTGAAAGAAAAAGAAGAGTAGTCCAAGGTGTGGTAGAAATAAGGAAGGAAGAGCATTGATGCCTCTTTGTTCTGGTATTGATTATATATATATGTGGGGTGGGGTTGGTTTTGTGTGTATGTGGGTGGTTGTGTGTGTGGTTCTCCAAAGCCCAGAGGAACTGGCTGTAGGCAAGGAGACACCTTGAGAATGGAAGAATGAAAGATGATGCTGAGTGTAGATACACTCTGTATGTGGCCAGAGACATACAGACATACAGGTGGAGACATAAAAGGTGGAAGGAATTTTTCTGTTTTCTCTGTCAAATTGGAGATGAGGCTGTCTTCTGAGAGTTAGAAGAAAAGAGATGAGGTTGAAAGCTTAAGAGAGTGGTAAAAGTATGGAATATTTGCAGAGGAGAAAAGCAAAGGGAATGAAGTATTGCTGATTTAGTTTTAAGGCCCAGCCACATTTGGGACCATGAATTCTTTAAGAGTGGAAGAAATAGCTTAGTAGTATACCTGTATTAGAGATTGGTCCTCTGGTCAATAATCTCATTATACCTTTTTAATTAAATGTAATTTTTTTTTCTTTTGGGGACTAAATATGATTGGAACAGTCTCTAAGAGAATCCCCAAGTTTTCAAAATACTTTAGTCTGTACTTTATGTGAGTTTCTTAGCTGAATATACCTTTTCTCTTATATTAGCCTTCATAAGTGTTGCTTTAGTGAGGGTACAGATCACCAGCAAACACTTACATGATGTATGTTTTTGTTTTTTCTTTTACCTATACACAGGGGATTTTTCTGAAGAAAGCCATGTTATCTTGTTGGTTAGCACGATTATGCAAACAAGTTGCTCAGTGACAATTTGGCTCAATGGGGAGAAGTCTTGCAATAATACTGCATCCATTGCATAAGTAAGAGCTAGCTTACAGTAAGACTGAAGAGAAAGTGTGTAACTTTGTAAACTAATATTCTGTTAAACTTGGCGATTTGTTTTTTTTGAGTTGAAGTGTATTGAAAAATAATTGAGACAAAGTTGTCATGGATCTTATTTGAAATTTTTAACATACCATTGAAAAACTTTAAAACTTTACAAGATCAGTGTGAAATTATTAACTGGAGTATCATTGTATTTATCAATTAGAAACACTGTACAACTGTTAATTATGGGGATTTGAATTTAAGATTTGATTTAAGCTTCCGTTCTTTCAGAAGAAATCATTTCGCTAAACTTATAAAATAAGTAATTCTTTTTCTCAGGAATAAATAAATGTTTCCTTAAACACTAGTTAAATTTGGAGTATATTTAAATAATTAGCTATATAGCACACATGAAAAAAAGAGAATCGAAAAATGACCTTCCTCTCCCACCAACTATGCTTCCATGCACATAAGAGAAGATATAAAGTCTGGACCAGGCAGAGTTTTCCCATTGTTGAGCTCCACACAGATCCTTTTGGCCTTGTTGTACATTATTTCCTTCCAAGATAGGTAATGGGTTACTCCTTTTTAATTTCTTTTAATTCTTCAGTGAGGCAGGAGAAGGTTTTACTCTTTTAGAAAGCAGCAGATTGTAAAAAGTGTGACAAACACATGTAGCTGATGAAAAGGAGCATGATGAACAACAGTATGAATGAAAATAATTATATGAATGATAATTTCTCATTCAGGTGTGAAAACTTAGGTGAATGGGTATATTTGGAGCATTACTTCAAATACATAGTCTTCAGGCTGTCCATTGGTGATGATGACTGTAACTTCTGGCTTCTCAAGAATTTCTTCTCTAATATATGATGAAAAATTTAGTGCAGAGGAGATATGGTGGAGCTGGATACAGCTAAGAGTTAGTGAAATAACTGTTTTTCATGTCTGGCCCCCCCTTTTTTTTTTGTTTGTCTGTGGCAATTCTTAGCTTTATGACCCTATCTAGAGCACTGCAAATTTTCACCTACTTTGTCTACAGTATCCAGCTGTCTTTTTAAGTTGACCAGGCTTTTGTGCTCAGTAATTATAAACAAGACAATTTAGAGGCTTAATCTGGAACATAATTAAACATCCTACACACTCAAACCAAGTAGTAATGGCTTTAGGATTGTTCAGTGTTTAATTTACCTTTTATTTTTTGCATTCAGGTAGTGTCTGCCATATTCGTACCTCTCCACCTTGTCTCACAGTCTGTTTCACTTCTATTAACTGCTTCTCTTCTATTCCAAATGATTTTTAGTACTAACTACATTTTCATGACAGCATTCATCACATTTGATCTGAACGTGACTTTTTAGATCCTCACCATTTCTGCTCTCAAATTGAAAGTCATTTGTCCATCCATCCAACATATATGGTGAACAAAACATAATCCCTGCCTTCAAAGAATCTGTGATCTAGAAGTGTTATCAGACAAGTAAAGAGGCAACTGTAGTACACTTTGGTAATTGTTGGGATAAGGCTAAGTTCAGAGGATGTGGGGAGGATATAAGAGGGGCAGCAAACCTAGTCCTGAGGAATTTGGATTCTTAGGAAAAGGAAGAGCTAAGTCAGGGTCCGGAGAAGTTGTAGAAACTAGCTAACCAAGAAGAGAGGCAGAGAAGGTGTGCTCAGCACCAAAAGCAATTGCAAAGATCTAGGAGGTAAGAGAGTCAGCTTCAATACTGATGGTAAGAAAGAAATAGGAAGATGATAGGTCACTTTGAAGTCTGAAGGGTATCCTTTTTTCTGTATTCCAGTTCTGAGACAGCAAGATTTTCAAGTCAGATAAACAGATTTGAATTCTTAACTGTGAGGCCTTCCTTTATTACTTATTTGAAATAGAAGGCCTGCCCTTCCTTTCTCTGTTTCTATTAGCTTCTTTATTTTTCTCCAGATATTTATCACCATATGATGTACATTATATTTTACTTATATATTTGTTTATTGCTTGTTTTTCTCCCAATTGTAAATTTAATGTGATTTTGACTGTTTTATTCACCACTGTAGCATCTGAAATTGTGCCTAACAGAAAGTAAATGGTTAGTAAATTTTTGTTGAAGAAATAAGTCCTTATTCTCATCTGTTACTTGGTTATGTGAATTTAGGCAATTTACTTAACCATTCAAAGATTGGTTTCCTTATTGGTTAAATAGGAATAATATCTACCAAATGAGGAGTAAATGAGATAATTTGTGTAAAATAATCAGTATAATAAAATTCTACAATTCTTTATGTGAAATCTTTGTGACCAAATGCAATTTGGAATTCAGAATTCTTCATATTTTAGAAAGGTACTAATATAGTCGGCTCTCCACATCTATGGGTTCTGCATCTGTGGATTTAACCAACTTTGAATTGAAAGTATTTGGTGAAAAATAACAATACAACAATAAAAAATAATACAAATTAAACAACCAATATAGTGTAACAACCATTTACGTAGCATTTACATTGTCTTAGGTACTATTTATAACCTAGAGATTATTTAAAGTACATGGGAAGATGTGTAAAGGTTGTATGTAAATACTGTACCATTTTATATCAGGGATTTGAGCATCTGTAGATTTTGGTATTCAAGGAGGGAGGATCCTGGAACTAATCCCCTGTGGATACCAAGGGATGACAGTGTATTTTATATTATACATCTTAGAGTCTAGGGCAGCAGTCCATAACAAATAGTAACATTTCTACAGCAAAACATACAGGTATTCACACTTAAATGGGATAAATGAAGATTCTGTAGTAGCTTCACATCTTTTCGGTCAGATTTTTGCCTAGAGGCAAAATCTACAGTTGAATTCAGTTTTTTATGCAGTCAAATTAGTTATAGAATAACTTTGATTTTTCAGAGCTTTATGGATATTGGAACATTGATATGGGATGGTGGACCTGTACCTAACACACAGTAGGTATTTTATAAATGCCCCCCATTTCCTTTTTTTCTATCACATAGCTTCTAAACATTTCTAGGAGAATGAGTCTCTACACAGGTGGGATCATTCTCTTTTTTTGTTTACAGATATATGTCAAATGCCTAGAACACTGTCTGGGCATAGTTAGTATTCAATAAATATTATTGACTAAATAAAGGAAATGTCATGTTTTTGGAATAAAATTGATGTATGTTAATGTTTTTAAGTATCTAAAGTAGAAAAATCCAATTTTAATTTCTGTAAATTTGTACAATTTTATATTACTTTCCCTTTTTACCCCCAAGTTCATATAACAAATGATAGATGCCTTCATTATATAAAGAAAGCTAAGGCTCATTTACTTCAAAAATATTTACTGAGATCCTTTTGTGTGCCAAGCACTGTGATAACTAATAGGTGTAATAGTAAAAAAAAAAAAAAAAAAATCTTGTCTCTTTTCTTTGAAAACTTTGAGTCAGTCTTTGCAGTTCTTTTGCTGCCAGTGTCCACTTATACCCTAGATCATTTTGCCTGTCACTAACTCTGTCATCAAGCCACCTGCACATGGAACACATCTAAAGTTGCAAAGTACTCTCCAAAAATTTTGAAAATGTACTGTGGCTTTTGTGAAAGTAAATTACTAGGTTGTGGAAGAAGGTTGGCATCCACATGTACGTAATGTTCTCTGTTCCATTCAGAGTATTTATTTTCTAATCCTAATATACTTTAAAGATTTCAGGCTTAAATCTCTTAAATCTTTAAGGTACAAACTGTATGTATATAATCTTTAGAAATGTGCTTATCACAATGAAAATCAGGGATAACATTTTTTGAGTCACGTGTTATATTTTATCATGAGATGTTATCTTTTTCAGAGAGTGATACAGATAAATTATCTTTGGCATAACGGGGATGGCCGGGTGCAGTGGTTTATGCCTATAATCCCAGCACTTTGGAAGGCTGAGATGGGAGGATCATTTGAGGCCCGAATTTCAAGACTAGCCTCAGCCCCAACATAACAAGACCCCATCTATATCAAAAATAAATAAATATTGACATTTAAACCATAGAATACTGCTGTTGTTTTGCGTGTACTAAACTGTTGCTTTGATAGTTGGTTAGATCTACATTATGCAAGAACAAAATTTTTGGAATGTAATGCATGTTCATTCTTAGCTGTGACATACTTTTGAGGAGTTTTGGAATTTATTTATCCACTTACAAGTACTAAAAAATTATTATTATTGTCTCATTTTAGTTACAATATATGCTCTGACTTTCATCCACAATTATTATGGGCTTTGTTTACTTCTCTGTAGTTGTGATACATTACACTAAGGACATTTTCATGGTTTACTCTTCTTAGATTCGGGAAGAGGTTGGAGGAATGGTCTGTGGTCGAAAAAGAGAATGAAGCAGACTAATCCTTAAAGGGATAAGCCTTCATTAGATTTTGAGAAAGAGTCCACAGATAGTTCTTTATAGTATTCTAATAAATTAAAAATTAGAGATATTACATGACCGTCTTCCTTGAAATTTACATTATAACACACTCTCTTGTTCACAGCATAAACAAATGTAAAAATTACTATGAAGTACTTGGAGTTACGAAAGATGCTGGTGATGAAGATTTGAAAAAAGCTTATAGAAAGCTTGCTTTGAAGTTTCATCCAGACAAAAACCATGCACCTGGAGCAACAGATGCTTTTAAAAGTAAAGTAAACCTTTTAAAGCAATTTTACTAAGCTGTCTTTAGAATTCACTTTACGGCGTTTCAGAATATTAAGTTCTGCTTTTGGACTGGTGCATTTAGAGACCAGCACAAGCAAGAGTCTGGAAAATCCTTTAAAACTTCAGTATTAACTGGTTATACCCGAAGGCAAACAAATGCAGTTTGGCTTCACAAAAGCAACATTCCAGTTCTGATACAGTCTCAAGTAACTTTTCTAGGCACATATGCATGCTTTCTTGTTTACCAGGAACAAATAGGGTGATGATTATGCATGAGCTTCTAGCGTATTGTCATCTGGTTCTAAATGAACTAAAAGCAAAATATAGTTTTTTTGAGTTTTTAAGGTACAAGAGACTGTGTGGAATTTGGATATTTAAGAAATAGCTCCCCAGTGTTCTTTTATTTCTATTAAACTTTGCCCAGTTTTTTCATTTTATATATGTAGTTTTAGCTAATGTTATTTTTTTCTTTTTAAAAATTAATATCTTTCCTCTTGCCTACTATTTATTTTTTTATTTTCCATCCCAATATTCTTTAAATTTTTTGCCAATTTAATAAATGTCAGAGAAGTGATTTTGTAGTTTTATATTTTGTTAAATACAATTTATTTGTAATAATTAATTTCTAATTCATAGTTAAATGCCTAAATTTGTGATTGTTCATTCTTGTGAATTTGGCATTCATAAACCCAGTGTATAATGTTTACAGTACAATGGTGGGGTCTTAGAATAACTGGAAGTAGATACTCATTTTAAACATCTTCCAAAAAGGTAGAAGAAGCAATTGGTCCTTCATGAAAATACCGTTAAGATTGTTTCCAAAACAGTTTTATTTCTTGAAGGAAGTTGCCAAGGAAAATACATTTGGGAATTAATAATATATTCCAATAAAAGCCACTGCCAAAGTGGTGCTGGTGAAAGTAAAATACCACTGTGACAGCGAGAGCTGTCTCAGTTTGTTTCCTTAAAGTAAAAGTGGCATGTTGAAAGTACAGGAAAAGCTTTACTCCAAAACACTAACTTGCAAATTACATTTCCGTCAGTTCATTACCTGAAGAATGTATCCAGAAAATAGTGCCATTATTTTATTTCCTCCAAATACACACCTTTATTAAACAAAGATAAAGCTTTCATTTTAAAAAAACACAGATAATAGCACTTAGGTTAATTTATAATTCAATAGTACAGAAAGTTGGGAAATTTCTGATGGAATTGTCAAATACAATAAATATTTGTTTAATTTGTTTTATAGCTTGAGCCTAATGTATGCAGTCACAGAGTTACCAGAAAAAGTAACTGAAATCTTTAAATAGCTAATTTATTATCATATATTCCCCCAAAAGCTAAAAGTGAGTTTAGATTTATGAGTTCCACAAATTTAATTTAAAATTTTTTGAGTTTTAAAAATGTTTAAAATATTTTGGCAGTGGGTTATTTGTATGTTTGTGATCTGCTAAGTGATTTCAATGTTAATTCTTTATTAATGCTAAGAACATTAAACTATTTCTTCCACTTCTATATTGAAGTCATGTTAGCATCTTTGAATAACACTAAATGTATGTAACATATTTCTGCAGCCTGTGTTGCGTTTTGAATAGGTTAGCAACATAGATGTCACCTAAGGAAGCCCGCTAGACACTCAGTGGGGTTTTACAAAACTGGTTACACTTTCATGTGGTACATTTCAGAGTTTAGTGCTCTGCTTTGCAAAACTAGAAACTTAATACTTACCAACATGCCGGGAAGTGATTTATATCTGAGGAGAGGATACATTGTTCAATACACAAAGAGATTACCTGTAAATCAGAATGCCAGTTTATTAGTCCCAAAGAGGATCAGAATAGGGAATTGGCTGATGAGCCCATTTTTCACTGAGTGGAAACTGCATAGAAAACTCAAGTTGTAATCCACACACGCTTGGCGAGTAACAGTAGTTAATTAGAAAATATTACAGATGGCATCATCACACAGAAATGGCAGGTTTCATTCATTTAGCACACAGGATCTTCTCATTATCTTCTGTATCATCTTATTTTATTTTTAACCAATCAGTCTGTTTTTGGAATACTAAGCCATTTATCTCTGAGCAAAGACAATACTATTGTCTTTTTTATAAAAGCTAAAGTATGGATTGATTGCTCTGTAATTACTAAAACACTTTTTACAGAAAATGGAAACTACTTGCTTTCATTTCCTTCAAGAATAGAAAAAGAAGAGGTAATTAGTAATTAAATGAAGAGATGTTTCATTTGTGTGTTTTGTAAAGCTTTAAAAATAAAAAAGATTGCTCTCAAGGAGAATGGACTAAATGAACTCATATGTTCATATAGCTATTTTGTCCTTCCAGTTAGGATTATATGTTTCCCAAGAGGGGAATATTTTATTTACATGTAAAGTGACTTGCAAAATACATGTAAACATATTTTAAAAAAATATTTTAATGAAATAAGTCCCTTTCCTTTTTTCTGATGTAGATGTCTTTAAAACATACCCATCTACATTATCTTCAAAGATTCCCAAGTATTTCAGAGACTATTTGAATAATACCTGTGTCTGTTGACATACACATGAATGTAATAATGGGGCATGGATTAGTTGTTTATGTGTTTGCTTGACAAGTAGTAGTGGAATGGGAGTTGTTGCTTGTATTAGTTCTGGTAGTTCAATATGAACATCTAGAGTATATCTCTAAGAACAAAGAGTTTAATTCTGCCATTTGGGCTAGTTCTTGTAGAGAAATACAGTGAGAGAATCTGAGATATCCTCTTCCCCAAATAATTTATAATTCATAAGGGGGAAATAAACCTTACACAGAACTTTTGCGATATAGTAATGCCTCACATTTAACAAACATAGTTTTTCATTCCCATTTTTACATTTAATGCTTATTTAAAAATCTCATCAAATAGTTAAGAGACCAGTGTCATTCTTATTTCAAAAATAAAAAAATTGAGACTCAGATTTACCCAGGATCTCACAGAAGACCAACTATATTTAAATACCAAAACAGACTACAGAAGTCCAAAGAAAAGTTAGAAAGATGAAGACTCATTGTGAGCAGAGTAATTGGGAAAGCCTTCATAATAGTTAGAATTAAGGTTAAAATTAAGAGTTTTCTCAAGAGTTAGCATGATTTCTATGGTTAAAGAGAGGGGTTGGCAAAACCTTGGCAGCGAAAATGAGGTGGGTGATCTAAAATTCCATGAGGACTTCCACTTTCAGGAAGATAGGACAGATATACTTTTCCCCATTTCTCCCAATGAGTACAACTGAAAACCCCAAACATTAATATATAAAATAAAGAAAACAAACATAGGAAGACTCTGAAAGATGGAGAGAAAAAAGGCAGACCAACTAGGTAGGGACCTCAGGATTCAAAGAACAACATATTAGTTAGTTGCTTAGGTTTTTGTTTGTTTGTTTGTTTGTTTGTTTTTTAAGATGGAGTCTTGCTCTGTCACCCAGGCTGGAATGCAGTGGCGCAGTCTCAGCTCACCGCAACCTCTGCCTCTCGGGTTCAAGCAATTCTCTGCCTCAGCCTTCCAAGTAGCTGGGATTACAGGCGCCTGCCACCAATCCCAGTTAATTATTTTGTATTTTTAGTAGAGATGGGGTTTCACCATCTTGGCCAGGCTGGTCTTGAACTCCTGACCTCGTGATCCACCTACCTCAGCCTCCCAAAGTGCTGGGATTACCAGTGTGAGCCACCATGCCTGGCCTAGGTATTTTTTTACCCCATATATATCCCAGATTAGGTGCTGGAGGAGTAGGCAACCCCAAAACACCAATACATATAGACAGAAAAGCCCCAAGAAAAGCCTGCCTTATCTAGCCAAATGATCAGGAAAGGGATAGCCTAGAAAGACAGAAAAACAGTAGCCACTCTACTGCAAACACCACAGGAAAAATTGTGGCCCCACCCTGACCCACACTAGCAAAGTCTGAGTAGAGAGCCTATACTACCACCCCCTCTGTGCTGTAATGAGATGCTACCACCCTCTCTATGCTGTAATGAGATGCTCTAAGCTCCCTGCTGGGATGGTAACAGAGAAGGTTAACTAGATAGCTTAGACTTTCATTTATGCTGGGTAGTAAGAAAGGCTTCCCTCATGATGTCAGTGGAGATCATGTGGACTTTCACCTCCACCTGGCAATAAAAGGGTGCTCATTCTCCCTGCTAGGGTAGTATCATAGGTAGCCTAATGCACAGTCAGGACTTCAGTCACCACCCACAGGTAACAAAGTCATTTCCTTATGGTATCAGGGAAGTTAAATGGAGAACAGTAATGAAGTATCTCTTCTCCTCCTAGCCAGGGAGACGTAAGTGGAGGCCTGATGTTCCCATAAGGGAACTTACGTATCTATCCAATGGGACCCCTCCCCTTGAGTGTCTTCAGAGGCCAAGGGAAAAACCCTGGACTTCCACTCCCACTTAGGAACAATGAGATGGTATTCCCCCTTCTCTGCCAAAGTGGAGTCAGAGGAATACAATAAAAACAAAATATGTAAATAAGATCCAGACTCTCATAAGATAATACCCAAATTACGAAGTTTCAGTTGAAAATTACTTGTCAGTCTAAGAACCAGGAATATCTCAAACTCTATAAATGTTTATGATCATATAAATGTTTCAATGAGCAACTACAAATAAACTTAAAAGAATCTCTGCAAAGCAATAGAAAGTCTGAGCAAAGCTATTAAAAGTATAAAGAACAAAATAGAAATTTTACAACTCAAAAATAAACAAAAACTATCAATGACTAGAATAAACAGCAGAATGGACAGATAGAGGAAATAATTGGTGAGCTAGAAAATAGAAAAATAGATGTTTTCCAATTTGAACATAGAAAATAAGCTAAGATGAAAAAGGACATAGCCTCAGAGACAGGTGGGACTATAGCAAAAGATCTAATATTTAGGTGATTGGTGTCCTAGAAGAAAGGGAGAAAGAGGGCAGAGCTGAAAAGGTACTCAGAAAATTAAAGGTTGAAAACTTCCCAAATTTGGCAAAAGATAGAAGCCTATAGATTCCAGTTGAATGAACCCCAAACTGATAAACCCAAAGAAAGCCACACCAAGACACATCGTTGTCAAACTTTTGAAAACTAAAGACAAAGGCTTGAAAACAGCAAAAGAGAAATGACGCCTTACCTATAGGGGGAAAAGCAATTTAAATGACAGCAAATTTCACATCAGAAACCACAGAGGCCAGAAAGAAGTGGCACATTTTTCAAGTGCTGAAGGAAAACGACTGTCAACCTAGAATCCTATACTCAGCAAAAATATCTTTCAGGAATGAAGGGGAAATCAAGACATTTTTCAGATGAAGGAAAAATGGGAAAACTTGTCAAGAGCAAATACAACCTAAGAGAATAGCTAAAGGAAGTTCTTTAAACAAAAGGACACAATAAAGGAAAGAATCTTGAAATATCAAGAGGAGAGAAAGAACATGGTACTCTGGTATTATTTGTGGTGCCCCAAAGTTCATATGTTGAAACCTAGTCACAAATGTGATGGTATTAGGAGGTGAGGCCTTTGGGAGGTCGGATTCTACCTTGTGAAGACACAGCTAGAAGGAACCATTTGTGAACCAGAAAGCAGGCCCTCACCAGACACTGAGTCTGCCAGTGTCTTGATCTAAGCCTTAGCCTCTGTAGCTGTGAGAAATAGATTTGGTTATAAACTATGCAGTTTATGATATTTTGTTATAGTAGTCTGAATGGACTAAGACACATGGTAAGCAAAAATATGGTTAAATACAATATACTTTTGCTTCTCGAGTTTCTAAATTATGTTTGATATTTGAAGCAAAAATTATAACATTGATAAGGTTTTAGATGTATGTAAAGAAAATATATAAGGCAATTTTTTGTTTGTTTGTTTGTTTGTTTGAGACGTAGTCTCTGTCACCCAGGCTGGAGTGCAGTGGTGCAATCTCTGCTCACTGCAACCTCCGCCTCCCAGGTTCAAGCGATTTTCCTGCCTCAGCCTCCCGAGTAGCTGGGATTACAGGCATGTGCCACCACACCCAGCTAATTTTTTTGTATTTTTAGTAGAGACAGGGTTTCACCATGTTGGCCAGGATGGTCTCTATCTCTCGATTGCATGATCCATCCGCCTCAGCCTCCCAAAGTGCTGGGATTACAGGCTTGAGCCACCACGCCCGGCTGGCAATTATGTTTTAAATGGAGGAAGATAAAGGGAAGTAAAGGGAGGTAAGGATTCTGTACTTAATTCAGACTAACAAAATGATGACACCAGAGGGTTATAAATTATGTATATATAACACATATAAATTATGTATATATAATGTATATATAATACCTAGAGCAACCGCTAAAAAGTTATACAAAGATATATACTCAGAACACACTGTTGATAAGTCAAAATGGAATTCTAAAAAATGTTCAAGAAACTAACTCACAGGATGTCAGGAAAAAGAAAACAGGAATGAAAGAACAGAAAATAAAAAATAAAATGGCAGGCTTAAACCCTAACTTATCAGTAATTACATTACATGTAAGTGACCTGTCTATGCCAATTAAAAGTCTTTTGGCATAATGCATTTTAAAAGCATGTTTTCACTAGGTGAAGTGGCTCATGCCTATATATTCCTAGCACTTTGGGAGGCAAAGGTGGGAGGATCACTTGAGCCCATGGGTTCAAGATCAACCTAGCCAACAGTGAGACCCCCATCTCTATAAAAAATTAAAAAATTAGCTGGATGTGGTAGCACGTGTCTGTTATCCCAGCTACTTGGGAGGCTGAGGTGGGAGAATCACTTGAGCCTGGGGGGTTGAGGCTGCAGTGACCTGTGATTGTGCCACTGCACTCCAGCTGGGGTAACAGAGCGAGACCTTGTTTCAAAAACAAAACATGATTTTGCTGTATGTTGTCTACAAGAAAATTATTTGATAACACTATATCCAGAATAAAAATAAGATTGAAAAAATATATCATGTAAATATTAATCAAAAGAAAACAGGAGTTGCTATATTAATATTAGAGCAAGTAGGTTTTAGAGTAAAAAAAATTACCAGAGAAGTACATTATGAACACATACATGATAAAAGGGTCAGTCCTTTAAGACATAAATGTATATGCACCGAAAGACAGCTGCAAAATATGTAAAGCAAAAACTAATAGAACTGGAGGAAGAAATAGACAAAGTCACAATTATAGTTGGAGACTCTGACACCTCTCTCTCAATAATTGATAGAACAATTAGACAGAAAATCAACAAGAATATAGAAGAACTAAACACCACCATCACTCAACAAGATCTAATCAACATTTATACAACATACCGCTCAACAACAGCAGACTACAAATTCTTTTCAAGTGCCCACAGAACACACAGGAAGAGAGACCATATCCTGATTCATAAGATAAACCTCCACTAATTTAAAATATTGAAATCATACAAGTATGTTCACTAACCACAGTGGAATCAAAGTGGAAATCAGTTACACAAAGGTAATAGGAAAACGTCCAGTCCTTGGAAACTGAACAACAAATTTCTAAGTATCCATGGGTCAAACAGGAAATATCAAAACAAATTTGAAAAAACATATTGATCTAACTTGGCCAGGCACAGTGGCTCACGCCTGTGATCCCAGCACTTTGGGAGGCCGAGGTGGGTGGATCGCAAGGTCAGGAATTTGAGACCATCTTGGCTAACACGATGAAACCCCATCTCTACTAAAAATACAAAAAAGTAGCCGGGCGTGGTGGCGGGCGCCTGTGGTCCCAGCTACTCGGGAGGCTGAGGCAGGAGAATGGCATGAACCTGGGAGGCGGAGCTCGCAGTGAACTAACTAAAAATGAAAATACAACAATTAAAATTTGAGAAGACCAGCTAAAGGAATGCTGAGAGGAAACTTGTAACATGAAATGCATATGTTAGAAAAGAAGAACAGCCTCAAATCAGTTATCTATGCTTCTACCTTACAAATCTAGAAAAAGAATAGCAAAATAAACTCAAAGCAAGCAAAAGAAATTATAAGAGTAGAAATCAGTACAATTGAAAAGAGTAACAATAGTGAATATCAATGAAACAGAGCTGGTTCTCTGAAAAAAATCAATAAAATTGAAAGACTGACCAAAAAAAGAAGACAGAAATGACCATTGTCAGAAATGGTGTCAGAGACAAGGATATCACTGCAGACATCAAACGGATAATAAGAGAATACTATGAACAATTCCATATACATAAGTTTACAAGTTAGATGAGATGGGCCAGTTAGTTGAAAAATACAAATCATCACAACTCAGTCTGACATAGATAACGTGAATAGCCCTGTAGAAATTGCTGTGGTTTGGGTATATTGAAATTTTTTAATTTTTATTTTTATTTTTTATTTTATATATATATTTTTATTATCCTTTAAGTTCTAGGGTACATGTGCACAACGTGCAGGTTTGTTACATATGTATACATGTGCCATGTTGGTGTGCTGCATCCGTTAACTCGTCATTTACATAAGGTATTTCTCCTAATGCTATCCCTCGCCACTCCCCCCACCCCACAACAGGCCCCAGTGTGTGATGTTCCCCTTCCTGCGTCCAAGGGTTCTCATTGTTCAATTCCCACCTATGAGTAAGAACATGCGGTGTTTGGTTTTTTGTCCTTGCGATAGTTTGCTGAGAATGATGGTTTCCAGCCTCATCCATGTCCCTAGAAAGGACATGAACTCATCATTTTTATGGCTGCATAGTATTCCATGGTGTATATGTGCCACATTTTCTTAATGCAGTCTATCATTGTTGGACATTTGGGTTGGTTCAGTATATTGAAATTTGATCCTCAATGTGGCAGTGTTGGGAGGTGTAGCCTAGTGGGAAGTGTTTGTGTTATGGGGGCAGATCCCTCATGAATGTCTTGCTGCTGTTCTCACAGTAGTAAGTTCTTGCTCTCTTGAGGCTAGATTAGTTCTTGAAGGAATTGATTATTTCCCGAATGAGTGGGTTGTTATAAAGCCAGGACACCCCTCAGGTTTTCCCCTCTTTGCACCTGTCTGCTTCCCCTTTGATTTTCTCCACCATGTTATGCAGCACAAAAGCCCTCACCAGAAGCCAAGGCTATGCCCACAAACTTTTCAGCCTATAGAACCATAAGCTAGTCTCAGGTATTTTTCTATAGCAACACAAAATGGACTAAGACAGAACTGTTCAGTGAATTAAAGTTGTAATTATGAAATTCCCAAAAAAGAAATATCCAGGCTCAGATGCTCTTATTGAAGAAGTCTACCAAACTTTTTAAGGAAGAATTAAAACTAATTCTACATAATCTCTTCCAGAAAATAGAAGAGGAAGAGACATTTTCCAGTTAATGTTAAGAAATGTTTTACCTTGCTTATATCAAAACCAAAGACATTACAGAAAAAAAAAAAAAAAAAAACTACAGACCAGTATACTTTGTGGGATAAACCCAAATGTCCTTAACAAAATATCAGAATTTTGCAGTATATAAAAAGAATTATATACCCCAAACAATAGAAGTTTATTTCAAGGTAGCAAAGTCAATTCACTATTTGAAGATCAATAAGTGTAATCCACCACATTAATTAAAGAAAAAAAATCCCACGATTATATTAATCAGTGGAATAAAAGCATTTGATACATTTCACCACCCATTCATGATAAAAACTGTCAGAAAAATAGCAATAGAAGGGACCTGCCTCAACTTGATAAAGAGCAACTACAGAACTCCTGTAAGCTAACATTAAATGGTGAAAGACTGAATGCTTTTCCCCTATGATCAAGAATAAAGCAAGAATATCTCTTTACCACTCATATTCAACAAAGTGCAGGAAGTAGTAATCACTGCGTTAAAGAGAGAAAAAGGAAATAAAAGGCATACAGACTGGAAAAGAAGAGCTAAAACTGTTGTTATGTGCAAATGACATGATTATCTATGTAGAAATCCAAGGAATCTACAGAAAAAACTGTGACTACAAAGCAAATCCCGTAAGATTGCAGGACACAATATAAATCTACAAAAAATTAATTGCATTTCTATTTACTAGCAATGAATATTTAGACACTAAAATTAATAATACATTAGCATTTACAATCATACATACAAAAAAATACTTAGGTGTAAGTTTAATAAAACTTTTATCACATTTATATACTGAAAGCTATACAATATTGATTAAAGAAATCAGAAAATAGCTAAATAAATGGACTGAAATATCATGTTCATGGATGGGAAGATTCAACATAGTAAAGATGTCAAGTCGGCTGGGCACGGTGACTCACACCTGTAATCCCAGCACTTTGGGAGGCCGAGGTGGGCAGATCACCTGAGATCGGGAGCTTTAGACCAGCCTGACCAACATGGAGAAACCCCATCTCTACTAAAAGTACAACATTAGCGAGGCGTGGTGGCGCATGCCTGTAATCCCAGCTACTCAGGAGGCTGAGGTAGGAGAATCACTTGAACCTGGGAGGTGGAGGTTGCAATGAGCCGAGATCGCGCCGTTGCGCTCCAGCCAGGACAACAAGAGCAAAACTCTGTCTTAAAAAAAAAAAAAAGTCAAGTCATCACAGATTGATATACAGATTTAACACAATTCCTGTCAAAATCCTAGCAGGATTTGTTTTGTAGATAGAAACAAGTTTTATTCTAAAATTCATATGAGGGGAAGAAAGAACCTGAATATTTAAAAACATTTATTTCTGTTAAAAGAATGTAGTTGGAGTAATCAGTGTTCCTGATTTCAGGATTTACTGTATAGATAAACAGTAAACAAAACTGCGTGGTAATGGCAGAGAGATACACACATAGATCAATAGAACGAGATAGGAAACCCAGAAATAGACTGATACCAATATAGCCAACTGTTTTTTGACAAAGATGCAAAAGCAGTTCGATGGAGGAAAGATAGCCTTTTCAACAGTTGGTTTTGAGGCAATTGGACACCCATAGGCCAAAAAATTAACCCTGACGAAAAGTATCATCCCTTATACACAAAATGAACTCGAAATAGATCATGAATGTAAATATAAAACATAACAATCAACAATAATGGGAGTCAATCTTTAGGATCTAGGGTGAGGCAATGATTTTTTAAGACTTAATCCCAAAAGCACAGTACATAAAAGGAAAAGTTGTTAAGTTGGACTTTAAGATTTTTTAAGCTTGCTCTGCCTTATTACGAGGATGAAAAGAAGCTCCAGGATGGAAAAAAAGATTTGCCAGGCACGTATTTGACAAAGGACAGGTATCTTGAATATATTAAATATAAAGAACTCCAAACACTCAAAAGTAAAATAACAGACAGTCCAATTAGAATGGGCAAAAAAATGAAGAGGCATTCCTTTGAAGATGATATACAGAGGGCAAATAAGCACAGTGAAAGATTTTCTCTGTCATTCATTAGTCATTAGAGAAATGCAAAGTAAAACCAAAATGGGATATCACTACACATTTATCAGAATGGCTAGAGTGAAAAATAATGACAATACCAAATGCTGGTATGGATGCAGGGAATGGATCACTCATACATTGTTAATGGGATATATAATGACACAGCTGTTCTGTACAACAGTTGGGCAGTTTCTCAAAAATCTGTGCAGCTACTATACAACCCAGCAATGCACTCCTGGGGATTTATTCCAGAGGAATGAAGATTTATGTTTACACCTAATCCTGTACATGAATATATATAGCAATTTTATTTGTAATAGCCAAAAACTAGAAAAAAACTAGATGTTATTCAGTGGTAAATGGTTAAACAGTGGTACATCCTTAACCATGGACTACTACTCACTAATAAAAAGAAATGAACTGTTGGCATATATGACAACCTGGATCTCCAGAGTATTATGATTTACAAAGCCAATCCCAAAAGGTTTCATTCCATTTATATATCATATAATATCCCATTTATATACTGTGTTATTTCATTAATATAATATTCTTGAAATGACAAAACTGTCAAAATGGAGAATAGATGAATGGTTGTCAGGGGTTGGGAAGGGAGGGAGGAGGAGTTGGATGTGGTTATGAAAGAGCAACATGAGAGTGGTGTTAGAAATGTTCTATATCCTGACTATATCAGTGTCAATATCCTGTTTGTGATATTGTAAGATAATTTTGCAAAATATTACTGTTGGGAAAAATTAGGGGAAAGGTACAGTGGATCTGTGTATTAAAAGTTTAAAGAAAAATAAATGAAGTGGAAGGTACCTTTTGGTGAAATAAGTGACAATGAGGTAGAAATGCGTTTTGTAAAACTTATGAATACCAAAATAAATTTAGGATATAATTATTTAGATAATAAGGAACTGCAAAAAAATCTTGATTATATGGGTATAGCACAAAGTAAATGAATAGAAATTTACTCTGGCCACAATATATAAATTGTCTTATGTGTACAATTATAGATTATGACAGTATTTCTCAAATACCATCTAAAATATCTTAATGTTTAGAAATTATTTTTTCTAAAAAAGGAAGCCTTAAAATAGAATTGGGTTGCCTATATATTAATAGTTTTAAAGTATTAAAACTATTAAAGTAGCATTATTGCATTACATGGGATAGCCCTTTTAGTTTATAGATGTTAAATCCTAAAATTGATATTGTTACTAAAAATACAATTTTAGCAGAGATTGATAGATATGCTTCTTTTTTTAGGTATGAGTTAATACCTTGATGTTGTTTGTAAGTACATTGTTTGGATCTTTGATTATACTTTCCCTTTGAAATAACTCATAAATGATGGCCACAGTTCTGAGTCACAGATTCTTTGAGAATCTGAAGAAAGTATCTCCTCAGATAGATGGATCATTCACCTAATTTTTCATTCAGCAGGGTATACTCACCATTTGAAAGCAATCTCTGAATCCCAGTTTTAAGAAGCTCGATTAGAAGAAAATATCCAGAGTATTGTATATAATTAATTTCAGTGTAATGTGTAATCATCCAAAAACAACTACCTAATGAGCATCTGTTTGCTTGTACAGTACCTATGGCAGCCACCACATGGGATCCAAAAACTATTTTTAAAATATTCTGTATTGCAAGAGGCTTACAATCTAGTTTAAGAAGCAAGATGTATTTATGAAGTGATTAACTATTAGAAGTGTCAGAGTACGAATAGGATAGTTCTTAGTTTTAGATTCAAAGCATTACAACTTGTAAATTGGTAAATTTGTAAATTTTAACAATTTTCTGGATTAGTTTCAGGTAGTCTTTTTTTTCAGCATGACATTAGTTTTTATGTGGGGCAGACTTTTATAATATAAAAACTTTGCTTACCTACTTTTACTCATTTCTTTTTCAGAGATTGGAAATGCTTATGCTGTTTTAAGTAAATTCTGGTAACCAGTGTAACATTACCTCTTTTGGATTTGGGACTGTGAGATGGGAAAGAGAATTCTTTTTTATAAATAAATGTTGTGAAGGTAGCAAAGTGAAATAGAAAAACTGAGGACTGTCTGTATTTATTTAAAAACTAATTCAGACTTTATGCTGGACCTTGGGGATATTGCCATGAAAACATAAACACAGTCCCTGTCTTTATGGAGTTTACTGTTTTAGGGGATAAATTGTTTGGGATAATAGAATGAAAAAATAGCTCATTCAGGCTCCAGGGTGCAAAAAAAGATTTTTGGTATGGGCTGCATAAAGAGAGTGTATTTATCGTGCTAAGAATAATTTGACTTTGCATGAGTTATTTAACCTTCTTGAATTTCAGGGCCCTCATTTGTAAAGTGAGGATAATAATGGACAATGTAATAAGGTATTGGGTGCAGAGCCTGGCAGTTCTTAGGTACTCAATAAATGATAGCTACTGCTATTGTTATTGGTTTAAACCACTTGAAGAATGGCTTAAGAGGCAGGATTTTAGGAGATGGAGCACAATATTAAAAAAGGAAGATGGATATTCCTTTGTTTTCAAGGCAGTAGAGAGACTTGTCTGGTATAAAAAGTTGTGTTGAGAGATAATATATGTAATTGCAAACAATGTATATCTTTAAAAGAACTTATTTTTAACAATTTTCTGGATAGTTTTAGGTAGTCTTTTTTTCAGCATGATGTTAGTTTTTATGTGGGGCAGCCTTTTATAATATAAAAACTTTGCTTACCAACTTTTACTCATTACTTTTTCAGAGATTGGAAATGCTTATGCTGTTTTAAGTAATCCAGAAAAGCGAAAACAGTATGACCTCACGGGCAATGAAGAACAAGCATGTAACCACCAAAACAATGGCAGATTTAATTTCCATAGAGGTTGTGAAGCTGATATAACTCCAGAAGACTTGTTTAATATATTTTTTGGGGGTGGATTTCCTTCAGGTATTTTAATGTAATTATAGATATTATATTTTATGAAGCTACATAGTCTTACCTCCAGTTAACGTTATTTAGAGATGTATCTACCTTTTCCCCTACATTTCTTGTAGTGTTACGATCCTGTAATGGTTTTTCATGAAAGCAGGAGAAAAATATTAGGGTTATTACTTTTATAATAGCCTGCCTTTTTCCTAGAACATATTTTAATTTAAAAAAATGAAGAGTACAGATATTCTGTATTTTATATAAAGCTGAAAGGGAATGTAAGCAGGAAATGTAATGGCAATGTCTTAGGTAAGTACTATTATAATTATGAATGGTTTTCTTTACTTAAACCTGGATAACTATTTGACATTGCTTCCCTAGAGATCTTTGTAAATATTTTATCAATAACATTATAGTTGGCTAATTTGGATATATGTAGAGGTACTCATCTCTATTTCCATTTAAACAGTAGAAAATCTGATTCATAGGTTATATACAAAGTAAGTGGATTTTTAAGTTTACATTAAAATAGAAATAGCTAACTTTAACTAGACTATCAAAGTGAAATATTGTAGTGATACTAAGATTTTATAGTACCAACATAAATAGTATCAAACTCCACTTACATTTACAGTAAGTGGTCACTTAACATAAGGTTTTTGGAAACTGTGACTGTAAGTGAAACAATGTTCTGTATAACAACTAATTTTACCGCAGGCTAATTGATATAAACAACAGTTAAATTGCTAAGGCATATAGTACATCATGTTTACTTGAAGTTGCAGTTTCCAAGGACCTCTTGATGACGTTAAGTGAGGACTTACTGTACTGTGAGTTGTTATTGTGGAAATCTATTTTCCTTGAATGTAGCTCCTCTAAGGTACTTAAAATTATAGCTTTAGTCTTGTTTACAAAATTTACTTCAGGTGCTGAAGTAAATCCCATTCAACATTAAGAGAATCTTCATGAATGTAGCAGTATAATTGGACCTGGTGGCCCTCTCTGAATATTATTGAGAAAGGTTGTGGTCATTTCTTTCTATTTTTTAATAGAGACAGGGTCTTGCTCTGTTGCCCAGGCTGGAGTACACTGGGGCAATCATAGCTCAGTGCAGCCTCAAAATCCTAGGCTCTACCAATCCTCCCATCTCAGCCTCCCAAGTTGCTGGTACTACTGACATGTACCACATGTCTGGCTAATTTTTTTAAAACTTTTTTGTAGAGACAGGGTCTTGCTATGTTGTCCAGGCTGGTCTTGAACTCCCAGCCTCAAGCAATCCTCCCACCTTAGCCTCCCAAATCCTGTGCTGGGATTACAGAGGTGAGCCACCATGCCTGGCAAGGTTGTGGTCATTGATAGGACGTTTTGCAAAGCATCCTTGAAGGAAAGAGGATATATAAATGCAAATTAATGACTGAAAATATAACCTGTGTTTTGACATGTTAGAATACATAATTACAGAAAAATTATTAAAACTAGTAATTTTGACTGGAAGTATACTAGGAACAATCAGAAATCTTTCAGGCAGTAGTAAATTTTCTTCTGATACTTGATTTGCAGTTATTTTGCTAGTTATAACATAGTTTGTCAATGGTAGCCATTTCTGATTGGTCATCTTATATGAAAACAACTTGAATGTTTATCAGCAAGAGAGTGTTTGAATAAATTCTGGTCCATCTATACCAAGATATATTATAGGGCTATTTTTTAAAAATGAATTTGAACACTATCTTTTGATTTCTAGAGATGTTTATGATTCATTGATAAATGCAAAAAGCAAAGTTTCAAAGTAATAATCCAACATTTATAAAAACAACTAATCACAACTAATCATAAACAAAAGAGGTTTATAAAAACCTCTATGTGTGTAGAGAAACTCTTAGTCAAGTTTTCATAAAGAAGGAACTTCTACCTGTAACGGAAGCAGATTGGGAAGAATCATTCCTATTTCTGTCCACCCTTCACTTACAAGAGGAGAGGGCAATAAGTATTTACTACTGAAAATACACATGCATTATTTTAGTAATTTTTTAAAATTAAAGAAAAATGTGAAAGAAAATGTATTTTTTCTGATCATAATTGCTCTCCCTAATTTAACCTTGCTTTTAATTTTTTAGGTAGTGTACATTCTTTTTCAAATGGAAGAGCTGGTTATAGCCAACAACATCAGCATCGACATAGTGGACATGAAAGAGAAGAGGAAAGAGGAGATGTACGTTTATGACTAGAAATCACAAAATGGCAAATTTCAGCTCAGGAAAAGTAATTAGAGTTGTCTGAAAAGAGGGCAAGTAGTTGTAGGAAATAATGAGTTTTCTCTTACTAGAGGTGTTTGGTAGAGACTAGAAAATCCTTAGGGACATTGTAGGAATAGGAAGAGAGGTCAGCCAGGGGTGGTTGGATAGTATGACCCCTTTAGATTTGTTATTCTATGATTCTAATGAAGGTACACCTGCACTATGCATGTTGTGAAGGTAACTTGTTATTGTTGGCCCTGAAGAATTTAGAGTACTGAAAAACTTGAATTGGAGGTAACTTTCCTTGTTCTAATGCAGTTATACCTAATTGCCTATAGCAATTTAATTACATGAAGTGGAAAGGTAAATGGAAAGAGCACTAGACTAGAAATTAAAAGGCCTGGCCCCCAGCTTTGCCACTCATCAGCTCCCATCTTCTACCCTCAAATCCAAGGTAAAAAATGGTTTTACAGCCTGCAGCATATTGATAGCGTCTCTGTGTGTGGGGGGGAGGGAGTCGGGAAAGAGAAAGAGAAAGAAATGAAGACTTCCTCATCTATAAAATGAAATCAAATTTTATCAGTGTTTTTCAAATCAGAATCTCCTGGTGATATGCCTGGATAATTATATTTAAGAATCATCCTATTGGCATGGTTACGCAGATTTGAAAGCACTGAACTAGATGATCTCAAATGCGCTTTCTGCCTCAAAATGTATGACAACTGTTGTATTATTAACAACTACAGTTATATTACAATTTGTTATTCTTTGATCATTTTTTATAGGGAGGTTTTTCTGTGTTTATCCAGCTGATGCCCATAATTGTATTGATCCTCGTGTCATTATTAAGCCAGTTGATGGTCTCTAATCCTCCTTATTCCTTATATCCCAGATCGTAAGTAGCCAAGTGAAGTTTTACAAAAAATGAATTGTTGCTATTTCTGACCTAGCTTCCTTTAAAGAGCTTGTGCTCTTTTAAACTTTTAAGTGCCAAATCTATTACTGCAAGTGTACCAGATTTTAAATTTCTATCTAATTTTTTAAAATAGTTACTTTAAGTAATAAATTTGTCTTATGTTGTTAATTTACATTTCTATTCTTCCACTGTGGATAAGGACAGAAATGCTATATTTGAACTTGATAACAATTTAATGTGGTAGGTAATGTGTTGACATTAAAGGCAAAAAATACTCTAAAGGACAAAACTAAAGACAGAGCAATGATTGATGTTACATAGATTTATATCATTAAGGGGAAAATGACTTTACTCTTCATTTTGCAAAATATCGATTAAATAAAAGCAAATATTACTTTTTTATGATGTATTTTTTTCACCATATACTTTATGTGTAAGAGGTCAGGACATAAAGGAAATTTAATACAGCATGCAATCTAGACAACTTTAATACAGTGAACATAAAGGAAACTATAACATCATATTGGCTGTTATAGCAGCATGAATAAATAAGAAGCATATAAAGAAAAAATAATAAAAATCAGTGATTTTACAGTATTAAAATCACATTGGTCTAAAAATAACAATTACCTTATTTCTTCCAAATAAGATTTTTATTAACAAAAAATTGAGATAACTTTATAAAAACACAGTATATTTAAAAGTGTGGTTACTTTTTGTGACATGAAATCATGGTTTTAGGCAATTTGAGATAACGTAAATAAATTACAAGTTGATTTTTGTAATTTATAATACAAATAAGATTTTTATTAACAAAAAATTGAGATACTTTACAAAAGCATAGTATATTTAAAAATGTGGTTACTTTTTGTGACATGAAATCATGGTTTTAGGCAATGTGAGAGAATGTAAATAAATTAAAAGTTGAGTATTTCTTATCCAAAATGCTTGGGACCAGCAGTGTTTTGGATTTTGGGATTTTGGATTTTTTCAGATTTTGTAATATTTGCATATATTTTATGAGATGTCTTGAGGATGGTACCCAAGTCTAAAAATGAAATTTATGTTTTATATATACCCTATTCACACAGCCTGAAGGTAATTTTATACAATATTTTTAGTCACTTTGTACATGAAACAAAGTTTGTATACATTGAACTATCAGAAAGCAAAGGTATCACTATCTCAGCCACCCATGTGGACAACCTGTGGTTGTTTGGCATCATTCCTGACTCTGAATTTATATGCTACTGATAAGCAATAATTTTCTTACTCTAATTCACATATAAGTATTTAACAGTGAAAAAATAATGTATTCAGGTTTAAATAACCACCAGCATATTAGCATCACCAGAATACCCGTGTCAGCTGTTAAACAATAGCAACGACAAACAACTACAGGCTTTTAGTTTCCACCTATGATGCTGTGTTTTGATTAAAAGGTGACCCATCACATGAGGTCAGCTTTGGAATTTTTCACTTGTGCCATCTTGTCGATGCTCAGAAAGTCTTAGATTTTAGAGCATTTCGGATTTCAGAGTTTCGGATTAGGGATGCTCAACCTGTATTACCAATATTAACTTTTCAATGATTTTTAATTGTTTTTGTTTGCTTGGTTTATAGCAGCATATTGGAATGTCCAATTTTAATTAAAATAATGATGCATCTCTTTTACAGTGGAACTGGGCAAACTATTAAAATGCAAACAGAAAACTTGGGTGTTGTTTATTATGTCAACAAGGACTTCAAAAATGAATATAAAGGAATGTTATTACAAAAGGTAGAAAAGAGTGTGGAGGAAGATTATGTGACTAATATTCGAAATAACTGCTGGAAAGAAAGACAACAAAGTAAGTTTGTCATGTGTTTAACATTTTAAAACTTATTCGCAGTCTTTGGAACTGATTAATGTAGATTTCCCTATTCAAGGAATGTTCTGGAATTCCCTGGCACATAATTGGAGCACAGTACTTAAATGAGATCATGTGTTTTATATACATGTGGCCTAACATCGGAATTGACACATAGTAAGGACTTAATAAATGGTACTTGTCTATTGTTATCAATAAATATTTGGTTGAATAAGTAATACCAAATTTTATTGTATTGATAATATCCATCATAAGACACATCATTCTTTTATGTACCACCAAGAAACAAAAAATATCCTGGCAGATAAACTATGTCATCAATTTTAAGATGCATACTGTTTTCAGAGTTAAGTTTGAAACTCTATTAATTTAGCTTTTGTATTTAGAATTTAATGTACAATGAGTTTTGTTGACATTTCTTTTTTCTTTACTTTGTACACAGAGAGACTCTTCAGAACACTTCATTTGCTTAGGCTTTTCCAGCCTCAGTTTTCTTAATTTAAGGAACAGTTCCATCTATAAAGATTGATATAAGAATCTGCTGAGATGTTGCATGTGAATTGAGTGTTGTGGTTCTTGTTTTTGTGACCATTGTTGTGAATAATAATGTAGACCATATAGTGTAGTGTTAGGAGAACTGACTTTGGAATTAAACTGAGTAAAGTTGAATCCTAGCTCTGAAATTTTTAGCTGACGAATTGTAACCTCTATGAGTTTCATGTGTAAAATGGGTGATGATGAGTGGGAGGAGGAAATAATAGCTATCATTTATATAATGCCTGTTTCAGTCACTGTCCCAAGCACATTGTAAGTATTAACTCATTTAATCTTCACAACAACCCTGTGAGATTATACTTATTTTACACATGAAGAAACTGAAGCAAAGAGAGATTACTAACTTGCCCAAGGTCATAGAGGTCGTTTGTGATTGAAAACCAGACAATTTGTCTCTAGAATCCAGGCCCTGTGCTCCAACGTCTTCTCAGAAATAACCAACTTTATGGGGTTTGTTGTGAAAATTAAATCAGGCAATAAAGTACTTCACACATAGTGAATGCTCAGAAAATGTCAGCAATTATCATCATCTCCCCCTTGCTAGGGAAAAGTTGATAAAATGTAACTTCTAAGAGAGTCCTTAACCTCTCTGGTCTTGGTTTTCTCCTCTATTTAGTGGCAGTTAGAGATGTGACCTCTTTGACTTCTAACTCAATGAGTTTGTGAAATCAGTCTGTCCTCAGTGTGGAGAAGCTTACATTAGACTAGTGATTTTTATGTTTTCAGCTGGGAGTGAGTTGCCACCCTTCCCCCACCCCACCCATCCCTAGAGATGTTTGGTAACGTCTGGAGATACTTTTGTGTGTCATCATGGGATGGGAATGGAAAGGGATTGCTACTAGCATCTAGCGGGTTAAGGCCAGGGATGCTGCTAAACATCCTACAATGCACAGACCCCCCACAACAAAAAAATTATCCAGCCCAAGCAGTACTTGAAATAATGGAAAGAATATTAGGCTAGGCATTGGAGAGTTGGACTGGAATCTAGACTCTGCCATTCGTTAGCAGTGTGAACTTCGGTTTATCTAAGTCTCAAATTTCTTCTTTGGGAAGAGTCATCTGTAAATAGATATAAGCGCATTATGTGTAAATAAAAGGCATAGGATAATATTGATTGAGTTGTTAATCCTAGTCCAGTTGATTTAGTAAAGATTATTTCTGGAGATCTTTACAAATGGAATACTGTCTTAACTGTGAGTATATCTTGAATGTGATCTTGACTAATCCATATAAACCAGATGTCTTCTACTTTGGCCATTGTGTTCCAGAAAGTAACTGATTTCTTTTTCTGTTACATCTTCTTTAAGTGCTCCTAGTCTTTACAGGTATTAATAAACAGTGAAATGACTGAGAGTAACAGGAAAAAACAAGAAATACTCCTTGAAGAATTTTGATTTGTAGTCTGTATATCATTAGTAGCTGTGCTGTCCCACACACTGAAGGAAGCCTCAGAAGTACTTATTTGCTGAATAGCAATATTACGATCGTATAACAAGCATTTTTTTTATCTGTGTTCCTTCAGTAATATTATTATATGTATTTTTTAATTTAAGTAAACTCAGAACAAGATTTTAAATTTTTTATTAAATACTTAAGTCTTGGGATAATCTGAAATCTTAACAGAAGGCCACAGTGAAACAACCACTGGCAGTATTGAAAAGCATATAATATTTTTAGGAAAAGAGTCCAAGATGATGCTTCAGAGGAATAGTTTTTAAACCACTGGGGAACAGGAGTAGAGAGAAAGGATTCCAACGTGAGTTGACAGGATTCTATCCTTATTTATTTTCTGTGTTTGTTTTACCTGCTATACTTCAAATAAAGTTTTCATTAAAATTTTTTTCCTACTAAAATGGCTTTTAGGAATTGTACTTTGATTTTTTTTAAGTCAGTTAATCAAAATATATCAAAGGGCTCCTGTAAAGCATCACTTGAGCTTAAGCAACTAGGTGACAAAAATTTTATTCAATTAGCAAAATATTTTTCTTTATTAACAGAAACAGATATGCAGTATGCAGCAAAAGTATACCGTGATGATCGACTCCGAAGGAAGGCAGATGCCTTGAGCATGGACAACTGTAAAGAATTAGAGCGGCTTACCAGTCTTTATAAAGGAGGATGAACTGGAATTTTTATTTATACCTTTTAGCGTACTCTTTATTTTTTCTGTAAGTAAGTTTGGTTTCATCATGAGGGATGAAGGAAAAGATTTGATACTGAAAACTAAACTGAATAGTTGGTTCCTGAAATCTTGGACTGTTTATGACCTACTGGCTCCTTTAAATAGTAACTGAAAACTAAAATGGAATATTTTAGTTAACGCTTCTACAAGTATTTTCATTTTAAAAGCTTACATGATTCCTAACTAAAGTGTCATGAGAAAGGATTATCACACCTGTAGCAATTTCCAGTTTTAGTGATTCTCCATTTTTTCCCTTGTCATGTAAATATTTATGGAATGATCATTTTGTGTACATACAGGTTACTGCTTTTTTATTTAAATTCTTTTAGTGTTTAGCTCCATGAGACACTTCAGTTTAAATTGATGGAATAAATGTTATATGACACATTTACATTTTCCTTATCAAGGTGTCAAATATGTGGACTTTAAACAATGAAACTTTTTCAAAAAGAAAAAACAAAAACTTTAACTTTGTGTAAAATCTTATAGTATTATCAGCTTAGAGGGAATTGATATTTTTAATATTGCCGTTATATTCCAAAATATATATTGAGATAAATGAACTGGTGTAGAATATCAGTTTGCTATTTAGTTTTATGAATTACTATACATATACATGCATAGAAATGAAATGCTATACTGATAAATTTTAAAGAAAATATGAGGAAATGGCTATAAATATTAAACTAAAAGGGTCTTCAACAGTAAAGTGCAGTTATGTCATTTAAAATTCCAATACTTTAAAGGCCACCAAATTTTGATGTATATGTCCTTGAAGGGCTGCTAAAATTTATGAAGAGGACTCACATTTTCCCCCATAGAAATTTGCAGTTTCTTGGTGATCATTTAAGCAGGATCCAAAGAAGTTCCTTTACAAATAAGTAATAAGAAAAATGAGTACTAAAATACAGCTTTGTGCCTTTTAACCCTATGCCAACTCCTAAACATATAAGTAGATTACAGTATACTTATCTGATCAGAGCATGATCTGTTTGGCCACATGCAAGTGTGAGCAGAAATAGAGCAGCACGTAGAATAGTAACTTAAAGCAAGTCATCCTTTAAAAATTCTGAGCTAAAATCTATTTACCATTGAGTAATTGAATTAATCCCATAGGAATAAGCTCCTTGTAAGTAAATCCATGATATGAATTAGAAAAAAAAAACAGCTGGAAATTGAAGTTTTTGATGCCTGTATACTGGATATGAAACTATTTGATTTCTAGTCTTCTGTGTTTAGCAGTTGTAATATTTTAATGATTTTGCTTCATACTCGGTTAATGGAACATAAACATATCTTTGATACTTCTTTGTGAGTGAGAGAATGCTAGATAGGGTGGCTTTGTTCTTTGTTTAAGTTTTTTTTCCTGAATGTAGTTAATTTATGGCATCTGTTGAATAAAACTGCTAAAATGACCTCTTAAAAATGTTCTGTTGTATCCCCTTTTCCAGGTGAATCAATAGAAATGCCTGATTGAATTAGTAGGTTAAACTAAACAACATACTGTCATAGGAAAACTGGAGAGCTTAACCAACTTGCTCTTAGAAATGTTACCTTAAAAAAAAAAAAAAAGCAGTGCTTAAGAGAAAATACAATTTTAATTATTTTGTTGAGCCTGCAGAGTAAGTTTTTAAAAATATAAGTTCATAGCATTTTAATTAACTTTGAAAGTTCATATGCATCAGAAAATTTATGAAAATTTGAATGAAAAAAATTTCATCTATTTATTTTTCTAATTTTAATGGCAAATTTACACTATTATGGCTGATAATTCTGTGAACTTACCTTCTTGTTGACTGATTCTTTTTCCCTTAATCCCAGCTTTAAGGAGATAGGTGAAGTTATTGTACAAAGTTAAGTGATACCATAAAGTATATATTATAAAGTCATACATGGCTTTTGGACAGTATTATATTTCAGTTGCAGTGCTGCATTCCATTAAATTTCATAAAATGCTAGGGAAAATGTGTTTGATAAAATTTTCTGCAGTGAGAAATGACAGACTGAGTGCCTGACAATTTAAGCCACATATGAAGTATGCAAGTAAAGATTCAGTCCTTAATGTCATCTATATCATGGTATAAAAGCTCAACAAGTATCTTATAATTTGGAGTTAACTTTATAAAGTAAGAAGAGTTTGGATATCTTGATAAAAGATTTTCATGTTTGCTGCTTTTTTTATAATAAAAATCCCAACATTTTGCCATCTTATGTTTAGCTACATGAACTTCGCAATTTCATCGGCTCATTCTAATGACCACCTAAAAGTCCTCAATCTTTGAATATTGCTTTATTAGCTCCTCTAACTGGTATTCTAACAGTTTAGCAGCACTTATATTTATTAATGCTTTACATTTTTACCCCTTTTTGTGTAAACACAAATACACCCATGCATATACACACAAACATTATTGTCCTTGTGAGGGTTTGGGGGAAATGAAAAATAGTACCTTTCTCCTCTTCTTTTGATTCCTTAGTTCCCAAATAGACTGGTGCTAGTCATTTAGTCATCTGTAAATTTCGAAATGTAGTTTGATTAAATGTGAACTGAATTCTCAGCAATGAAAAATGTCAAGTTGAATTCATCTAATAAGTGAAAATAATATATTTTGTAAACAGATTACATTTGAACACCTAAATAAGTATTTGTTTCATAATCATTACATGCTTGTTTATGATTTACAAAGATTTGGTAGAGAAAAGTACAGTCCTTAAGGCATATATATGCCAATGCATTAAACTACTCAGCTTTTGTGCCAGCTCAGGTGTTCATAGGAACAGGAATGTGGAATACCAGCTTTTTACTTTAATTATACTTTTATGCTGAATTTTTCTTCCAGTTAAACCTTTAATTACACTAGTATGTAAAGTAGTTACTGAGAAAAATAAGTTTTTGATTTCCCTTCTGTTGATCTGTAACATTTTTAAATGAAGCTATTTAACACATGACATGCTAATGTTACTTAATGGATTCCTATGTATTTCATTAAAAAAAAGTCTCCCACCTGTGTTAAGACAGCTAAATATTTCTTGATGTTGGCTTGAGGACCAAGTGAGCCATCTTGCCAGTTAAGCAAGTTTTATATCAGAGGACCAAATGGTTAAGAAGAGAATTTGTACATTTCTTGAGCTTCCCCATGTGAAGCTTGGGTTCAGTACTATCCTATTACTATCCATCTTCATAATGAGTGAAGCAAACTGAAAGGGAATTCATAATCTTTTTTCTTATCTGAACAGAAAAACTAATGAAAATCAACAATAAATCTTTATTTTAATTTTCATTCAACAGCTGAAAAACCATGTCTGTTGACCACATTGGACCATTGCCTAGTTAAAATCCATAAAATTCCCTATAAACCAATGAAAAGAAACTTGTCTGGCAATAATTTCCAACATTTTAAATTCTAATTTTTAGTTACAAAGAAAAAGGATAGAATGAGGCTTTTCAAGGAATTCTTGCTCATCCCTTCAATTATTTGGCAGGTAAAACAGTCCTAGAATTCAGCTTCCTTTTTGGTTTTATTACTATTAAATAGATACTTTCATATAAATGGAAACACTTTTCCTCAAAACATTAATTCAAAACATACTCCTTATATTAAGGATTATAGCACCATATTTTTTGTATATTCCCTATGTGTAACTTTTTCCTGTTGGTATGTGATATTTTTCATTTAATATGACTATCTGCTGGTGTTGGGGCCAATAGATTTGTGAATATTCTGTGGATGTGTCTATGTATAGGTGTATATATATATATATATATTTTTTTTTTTTTTTCCCAGCTAATTACCTCAAATGTGTGATTGTTTAATATATACCACACTATGTTTGCACAGAGCAGGGCTTCCATTAGCAGTGGATATTTTTATGTCTGACTTTGAAAATCAGTCAACACAATTTCATTGGTGTGAATTATTTGTTGCTCTTTTTCATATTTTAATGGAGAGATTCCTATTATAAGGCCCATGCTTCAAACATAATTATATCTTTCTATATCCAGCCATCTGGAAATACATAGGGGTAAGAAGTATTTCTTGAAATGTCCTTGTTTAGTAAGTTAGTAAAAACTGGGATGACTAGTTGCCAAGATGTCTTGTAACTGCATAGCAGATGACACCTGGCATGGCAAGTCTCATTCACTTCAGCACAACACTCTGTACATTTCAGTCTGATATTCTACTTTGCCATTTAAGGACACCATTAAAATCATAGAGATTTTCAGTGACATTGGAGTATTGTAATTATTACTTTCAAAAAATTATTTTTAATAGGATGATTAAACCAATGAGAAGAAACACACATAAATGATATTTTGCAGTTTATCTGTATTAAGAAATGCTTCTTGCCAATTTCTAGTTTTAGTTTTTGGATTGCTACATAAGACTTTCTTTCCATTTACTTTATGTGTTTTTAAAAGCTGCAGGTAATTTTTAAGGTTTGATGGAATTATAATGGAAGCCTTGTATAAGTTAAATGAAATTGGTAAAGGAGAGCTTACTTTGTCTATAATGCATTCAGGATTAAAAATTAGATTTCAAAATGAAATGTCTGATTTGTAAAATATTTAATGTTATATCAGACTTACATAAAATTTTCTGTGAGAACTCAAATGCATTTGATTTTTAATGAATGTTCTGAATGAAATATGAATTTTTGTCTTTCAGTCTCTGTAGTTTATCTCAATATATTAATAAAAAGGTCTGTTCTCACTGTAAAATGTTTGTTTTTATCATGTTTTATACTCAATATGGCCACTCTTTCATTCATTCAACTATTCAACAAGTATGTCAATGCTTGCTATATCCCAGGCAGTGAGCTGGGTGCTGGGAATTAATCACTGAATAAGAAAGACAAAAACCTTAAAGAGTTTACATCTAGCAAAGAAAATAAATATCAAGTAAATAATTATAATTATGATAAATTCTACAAAGAAAATTACAGGGTACAATGAAAGCATTTATCTAGAAGACCTAAACTATTCAGTGAGGGTCAGGGAAGGCTTCTCTGAGAGTGAGTTTAAGCCAAAATGCAAAAGATGAGATTAGTAGGATTAAGGTATGCTAGAGAAATATCTCAGGCAGAACGTGCTAAGTTGGTAAAGTGATAAAAATCTTTATGGAAGTGAAAACAAACTTGTATGATCATAGCATAAGGAATCCAGGGTAGGTGAGAGAATTAAGATAGGGGCCAGATCCCCATAAGAATGATATATAAACCATGATGCTGATATTGAACTTTATCCTAAGTCAATAAACTTGATTTTCAAGGAAGGAGTTAAATGATGTGATTTGGGTCTTTAGAACATCATTTTTGTTGCTGTGTGGAGACTGGAGGGCAAAAGAGAATGTAAGAAGAATAGGAGGTTGTTGTCAAAAGAGAGATGATCATGGCTTGGAGTAGGGTAGGAATATAGATAGGTGAATAGTTTTCAAAGATAGGAGGTAGAATCAACAGAACTCTGATTAGATTTGTGACATATGGAAGCAGCAATTGAAAACCAGGCTAAAGTTTTCTGAAAATTTGGCTATGAAAGGGAGTAGAGGAAAAACAGTGTGGTAGCTGAAAGAGGATGCGATTTCTAAAGAAGCTTTTCTTTTGAGGGTCTCGCTCTGTCACACAAGCTGGAGTTCAGTGGGGCGATCACCACTCGATGCAGCCTCAAACCCTGGGCTCAAGGGATCCTCCTGCCTCAGCCTCCCGAGTACCTGGTGCACGCCACGTTCGGATAATTCTTAATTATTATTATTATTTGTAGAGATGGGGTCCTATCTTGCCAGGCTGCTGTGGAACTCCTGGGCTCAAAGGATCGTCCCGCCTCGGACTCCCAAAGTGCTGCGACTACAGGCGTCAGCCACCGCACCCGGAAAGCCTTTTATTTTTTTCAATTATTATTTATTACATGAGACCTTACTAATTTTTAAAAATTCTGATGTAAAAGGGAACATAGAAGGTGCCCGTAATCAGTGTCTGCATGTTAAAAGTAGACGCTTGAAGTGCTCCAGAAAACCCATGGCTCCTCCCCATTCAATCTAGGTAAGGCCTTCAGTAAAGAGCACCCATGGGGAAGTCACAAGAGCCTAGGAAACAGGTCAGAAACCTGTGGACCTGGTACTTCCAATCACAGGCAATCTGGTGCTTGCTCTTCAGCTCATCACACCATCCCCTCAAATTTCTTCATCTACAAGAAAAGGTTTTAAGATAACAGACCCTGCAAAACTAATGACATTTATACACCCTCTCTGCACAAGAATGTCTTGTAACACATAACCTTGCTTGCATTTTCTGGGTTCCTTAGGGTCCAGCGATCTCGTACAAATCTACCCCACAGCTGACTTCCTTCGGCCCGTGACACAAGGCGCAGGCGCAAGACGCGGCCCGCGGTGGGCGGGGGAGGGGCGGGGCGCGTGCGGGGCGGGGGGGAGGGGAGGGGCGCGGCCGCCGGACGCGCCCTCGCAGCTTCCGCCGGGCCCCTCCGGAAATCCCGTATCGTAGGGCGACGGCGGCTTAGAAAGTGCTTCCTGGAGCGCAGACGAGGTCATGAATCATGTGACGGTGGCTTGAGGAGGAACCTGTCTTTAAAGCTGTCCCTGAAGTGACAGCGGAGAGAACCAGGCAGCCCAGAAACCCCAGGTAACTGGCGCTACTTTGCCTGGTTTTGAGGCCTAGTCCCGCAGGTGGCGCGGGTGGTGAGATTAAACAGAAGGAGAGGACCCTCTCTTCTTTTCTTTGGGCCTAGCTCTTTGGGGTGGAGGGGCAGGGATGGGGTGGGCTGAGGTAAGGTGTGCCAGCTGAGTACCTGTGGGGGTGCTGGGGCACTCCGACTCCCACTGGGCTCGCTGGGCCAAGCCCTAGAACCGCGGGGGTTTTACCTGGTTCTGACCAGGGCTGATCTCGCGTATTAAGTTGTGGGTGGGGAGGACGAGGAAGCCAAAGAGGGAAGAGTCACCGGGAGTTTCTCTTCCAGGCGTGGAGATTGATCCTGCGAGAGAAGGGGGTTCATCATGGCGGATGTGAGTGACACCCCTACATAAGAGGAAGGGGAGAGTGGGGAATTTTGAGGGGCATACTGAGCGGGGAGAGGTAGAACTTCCCAAACAGAAATTTGTTTTGATCCTCCCAGCCCCACCCATCCCAGTTAATTATTTTCTCTGATATCTGAAGTGGGAGACTAATATGAATGAATTTGCAGGATCCTGAGTTTCTGCCTCGAATGGGGGTGTAGGACACTAAGGTGCTTGAGACTGAGAAAATTAGGTTCTCCCTACTCCCCAGTCCAGCTGGGGCATAAGAGAGGCTCTGTATATTTACCATTTGAAATTCTGAATGATGGTTTGCTGCTTTTCCTGTCAGAATTTGGTCAGTAGGACATGTACCCACAATACTTTTTTCCAGTAAGTGATAACAATATCTCATTTGGTTTATTGTAGCAATTTACGATGATTTCTAACCCATGCCTCTTTAGAAACATGGTAACGTGTGTGTGTGTGTGTGTAGGAGGATAAAATGATCAGTCGGGTTTGGAGAATAGTAAGTGCTGGATGCTCAAAACAAGAGATACCTGATTAATCCATGTGAGGTCAAAATTGATACCTAAATTGTCAGTGAAATTCCTGGGATAAGAGAGTGTAATGAGACAAAATAAGATAGTCTTCTGGCCAATGCGGTTGCTTAGTCTGTAATCTCAGCACTTTGGGAGGCCGAGATGGAAGGATCACTTGAGGCCGGGAGTTCAAGATCAGCCTGGGCAACATAGCAAGACCCCGTTCTACAAAAAGAAATTTAAAAATCAGCCAGGCGCATTGATACCTCTGTAGTCACAGCTATGCTGGAAGTGAGGCGAGACGATTGCTTGAGCCCAGAAGTTGGAAGTTGCAGTGAGCCCCAGCTTAGAAAAATAAAATAGTCTTCTACTTCTTTAGTCTTAACTGTGTTTCGTGTTAAACACTTGACACACATTGTCATTTATTTTATATTCTGTAACACTGGGCTGGGCGCGGTGGCTCACGTCTGTAATCCCAGCACTTTGGGAGGCCAAGGCGGGTGGATCACCTGAGGTCAGGAGTTCGAGACCAGCCTGGCCAACATGGTAAAACGTTGTCTTTTCTAAAAATACAAAAAATTAGCTGGGCATGGTGGCAGGTGCTTGTAATCCCAGCTACTCGGGAGGTTGAGGCAGGAGAATCGTTTGAACCTGGGAGGCAGAGGTCGCAGTGAGCCGAGATCGCGCCATTGCACTCCAGCCTGGACAACAAGAGCGAAACTCCGTCTCAAAAAAAAAAAAAAATGTTGCCTCACATAGTCATATAGAATTTATTTTAGGTCCTTAAACAAAATATTTTAAAAATTACGTTATAATAATATGCCTTACACTGTTTCATTATTTGTTGAGTAGGTGAGTTCAACAAATAATGAAACAATGGAAGGCATATTTTTATAATGTGATAGTCACGTGAGACAACAGTCTTACAGAGGTCATATCACCTTACCCAAGACCATTAAGATGATGGTGGAAAGTCTATCTTTGAACATGGAAAGGTGTTTATAACGTCTTCTCAAGTGAACACAATAGCAACAGGATGTAAAACACTAGTATGAAAATTATGATGTAATTTTATGGCTAAAATGTGTTTCCCATTTCTAGGTATGCTAATCCATGCATCTTCTCAATAAACTTTTAACAACACTTTTATGATGTAGGTTCTATATTAGCCCTATTCAACAAATAATGAAATAAGCTTAGCGAAAAAAGGTTGGTTAACTTACTCCAAGTTGCGTGACTAGTAAACATCCAAATCAGACAGAGAAAGATAAAACACAGCAAGAAAGGTTATGAATGATAACTGAAGTTCCTTAAAATTTGGATAGGACAGGATCTAGAAAACAGTGGAAGGCCTATTATTACAACATTATTTTTTAATGCTCTCTTTCAGGACCTAAAGCGATTCTTGTATAAAAAGTTACCAAGGTAAGAAATTTTTAATTTGTTATTGAATAAATTCTATATGCCATATGTTAATTTTATGAAGCATTTTGTCTGTATTTTCCATGTTGTGAAGTATCTCTGAGATTTCCTTTAATATGAATATTTTTTGCCAGCCTCACGTCCTCTGGAAAATTTTCGTCACAACCGCTTTCCTCATTTATGTCAATAAGTTTGCCTTCACTGAGTTCTCTGTGTATCTAGAGCGATAGTGTCAGCATTCCCTTGGTCATCTGTTTCTTCTATAATTCTTTACTTTCTATTTGAAATTCAGCATTTCTATTTGAAATTTCAGCATTATTACTTTTCATTTCTTTGCTGTATTTCGTCTTTGTTGGCCAGTTTCCTCTTTTTATTATCTCTTTTTCTAAATGTCACATACTTTATCATTGGGAGACAAGGAGGTACAAAACTACATGCTTTGCTATCTCTGCATGAGCTGCATAACAGATGCACAGTGACCAACCATCAACATACTTTGAAAGAAATGATGTGGCTGGTTACTGATGACAGTGTGCATCTGTTAATTACATAATTATTTATGTAGTGATTTGTGGACTAAAGAGTTAGAAAAGTTTATACTTTACGTAGTTATTGAGGTATTATGCCATGCTAACTAAAATTTGACCTGTGCTCTTCTGCAGGGAGTGGTATTACTTAACCATAGTAACTAAAATGTGCATATTGGAACTATGCAAAATGAGGGCTTTCTGTGTTTTTCTGTAGTTACCTTAGCGTAATGAAAGGGCGCTCAAATTGGGACGGAGAGATACCCCACTACGCTGGTGATATGATGAAATAGTTAATAGTACATAGTTAATTCACTTAGAAGTCTTAGTGATTTACAGTCCTCTTTTGAGTGTTAGCATCTCTTATTGAAGAAACAGCAAAATTGCATTCAATGTTCTTAAGTTATAAACCGACCAGAAAGATACTCATTAGTCACCTGGAGATCTAATAAAGCAATAATTGATTCTAATTACATCATCTGTGATTATAAGCAATAAAAATGTTTCAGACAATGGGGATCTCATTTTAACTATTAAGTGTGCTCTCAAAATCATAATAGCGTGTGACACTGGATATGATGAAGCTGTCTGTGTAAAGGAATTAGAGAATAATACCAAAAGTATTTATTATATTACTGAGTAGTTCTAATGTTGATCAAAAATAGTTGGAAAGTAAATGCTTGCTTCTTCTTTGAATTTAGATGTCTCTTATCTTTTAACAAAAGGGGAAATATCAGGTTGTTGTGCTTATCCAAGAAATAAATTCAGTTAAAGGATATTTGTTAAAAGCTTTATGAAAATCTTTCATAATGGCAGGAAAGGTATTAGTACTGTCAGTTTTTTTTTTAATAATGAAAAAAAGCCAGTTCAACTCATTATATCATTTATTGAAAATAGGCTTATTGCATCCCAGAACAGTAATAATGAAGAAATAATAATGTTTTGAACATTTATGAAGAATAGTAGAATATACGCTTTGATTTGTTGCTAGATGTATGGGTTTGGATGCAGGCATCCTGCTTCAGAGCCATGGATTCATGCTTTTAACTGTTGTACCTCAGTGCCTCTCAGTAACAAAGTCAGCCAGCTACGGATACTAATGGAATGTGTGTTTTTGTGCGTTTTTTGAATTCTCTGCAAAATATCGTTCTTGTATTTGCAATTTAAAATCTGGTTGTGACCCAAAGCAGTCTCAGGCTTTAATAATCCCACTTTGTATGTTTTAAAACAACCAAATATTTCATAATTATGTGTATAAAACTAAATCCGATGTCTTTGATTAGTAATGCAACATTTGTTTTTAGAAAAAAATGGTTGTTTTAGTAAGCTTAAGGTTTAGATTTCTTCAGAATATTTCACAAAATTTAATTCATTTCTTCTAAAAGTGTAGTATCTCTTAATGAGCCAGTTATTTTTAATTATTAGTAAATTCTATTTATATTACTCTTTGCGCATTGTATGTAGAATTGAAAACAGCTTTTATATTTGTGACCTGATTTCTAAAATTATATACTTAAGAGTGTAAGTAATTTTTCTACTTTCTTGATTCATTTCTCTGTGAAGTCCATCAAAAAGAAAGTCCTTTTATTTTCTTTGGAGCATTAGTTGTATTTAAAGTAATTTCCATGGAAATTTAAAAAAAGAAGCTACCTGTGGTGGCACTAATTTTTCTAAACATTTTTGTGGTCCTCTTTTTACCTGCTTTTTAATTTATTTTGGGGGTAAGTAGTACATTCACAGAGTTCAGATTCAAGACTTAACTGAAGAACATAGAGTGAGAAGCTGCCCATCCTTCCTCTCCAGCCACATGCACAGTTTCCCCTCAAAGAGGCACCCACCATTACCTACAGAGATATTTTATGTACCTATGAGCAGACATGTATATACACGTATTTATACACACAACATACACATATGCCTGCATATTTTGGTACATAATTTATTGCTTCTTCTATACACTGTTCTAAACTGTGTATTTTTTCACTTAAGAATGTAACTTTGAGAGTAATCTTTCCTGGTACATAGAGAACTTCCTCTTTCTCATGGCTGCAGAGTATTCCAGAGTATTCCTTTGTAGGTGTATATCATAACTTACCTTGTCCTTCTTGATGGACAGTTGGATTTGTAATGCTTTACTGTTTCAAATGATGTTGCTTTTGGTAACTGCACAAAATAATTGGCTTATGTACAAATATCTGTAGTATATGTTTTATATAACCTAGTTTTTAACTTAGAAGAATATATTTATTTTATGTATTAATCTTTTTGTTGTTGTTGTTGAGACAGACTCTCGTTCTGTCACCCAGGCTGGGAGTGCAGTGGCGCAATCTTGGCTCACTGCAACCCAGGTTCAATCGATTCTTATGCCTCAGTCTCCCAAGTAGCTGGGATTACAGACAAGCACCACCACACCCAGCTAATTTTTGTGTTTTTGGCTGAGACGGGGTTTCATCATGTTGGCCAGGCTGGTCTCAAACTCCTGACCTCAGGTGATCTGCCCACCTTGGCCTCCCAAATTGCTGGGATTACAGGCGTCAGCCACTGTGCCCGGCCTATGTTATGTATTAATCTTAGAGATATATTTTAATCTATAAATAAGTTTAGGATTGAATGATTAGGAAATCATGCCAATAATAGGATAAAAATAGTATAAAAGTCATTTATAAAGTTATTTTATTCTTATTTTTAATGTAAGGAAGACAAATGATTTTGTTTGTAACATTTTCCATTCATATTTAATAACACTTTTCTGACTTAAAAGTTTTTGACAATGGGATTTTAAAAAATTTAATGTCAGTATTTAAACATTAGGTTAATATAAGTATTTCTTATTCCTTAGTTAATACATTAAAGTTAACACAAAGAATAGATCATTCCGGGTTGCTGTAGGGACATTGAACATATCTCTGAGTTGTAGTTTATAGATACCATAAGATAGTTACAGGACTATAAGATTTATGTTAACAATGAAAGGGTTTTGCATAAATGTTGAAAGTCGAGGAGTGTCACCTTATATTTTTTAACACAGTATATTTGTGCTCTACCATATGTTTCTTAATTGCTAATTTCCCAGGGATTCTCACTGATAACTTAGTACTTTAGTGATAAATTATGTCATTGTCAGTGTGCACAATTGACACCACTGGTATTAGTTAATAAGTGATATTTTTGAATTATGTGCCAGCCTACACTTTACATGCCTTGTATTATTAAATTTCACAGTATCTAAGTAAGTACAGTTATTCCCATTTTCAAATTGTTAATCTGAGGCTTGTAAAGGTTTCATAACTAGCCCAAGATAGCATAAATAATAAGTGGCAGAGCCTGGACTGGAACCCAGATCTTTCTAACTTTAGAGCTATAGCTTGACCGTTCTGCTTACTACTTCTTACGTAAGCATGGCTGAAAGGATTACTGCATAGCCTGCATTCCTTTTGCCCTGTTTCTTCAGCCAGGAACAGTTTTTCCACGTCTTTTCACTTAGTGCCATAACGTCTCAGCTGATGTATTACTGCCTCCAGGAAAGCCTTCTCTGGCCCACTGTCTGTCTGCATCAGCCTCCTCTTTTCTAGGTTCTCATATCCCTATGAACTTTTTAACAACACTTGCCACCAGTTTTAGTTTTACGTTTGTTATTGTGAGATTATTTTATTGGTAACACATTCACTTTTTACATTGGAAGCCATGTGAAGGCAATGATTGTGCTTATTTCTGTTTTTCATAGTATCAAAGTATTAAGTGCCACAAATACTGGCCGCTTAATATTTGCATGAATGAAAAAGGAAAAAGGCTGTTTTTTGTCACTATAGCCCCTGCTGATAATCTTTCATGCTTTTGTGTACCATGGACTGATCATTCATTAGTAGTTTTAATGGAGAGTTATCTATGTCTTAGATTCTTATTAATAAACTGCATGAACTTGTAAATATTATAAACATTTCTATAATACACATTGATTCAATTTCTGGGAGAATTTTGGGGTCTGTGGTTTTTCAGAAAATACATGAGAATTATTATGTCTTTGAGGTGCATAGTTTGAGAAAATGAAATATTTTATATTTTAACTTTTTAAAATTTTATATTTTAACTTTTTTTATATTTTAACTATTTTCTTTTTCTAGTGTTGAAGGGCTCCATGCCATTGTTGTGTCAGATAGAGATGGAGTACCTGTTATTAAAGGTAAAACTGAACATTTAAATGCAAATGTCTTCTTTGCTTTTGACTAAAAATGTGTGTAATTTACATCTGAGTAGTACAGCAGGCAAACATAAAATTCATTTTAGTAAATTTGGGAGATGGTCTTAGTATTGGGGAAAGTGTTTGCTTTTGTATGTTGAAGGTTGAATTTGAATCTACAATGTATTATATATCACATGTATCATATTAACATCTAGAGTTTAAGCATGGATTTATCACAGACCCATTTCCCATTAAAGACATTTACAGTGTAACGTAAACCATTAGTAAATCTAAGTGATGAGAGTGAGCATGTATTCAGCTAGATATACACACAGACACCCCTACTATATATATATGTGTGTGTGTATATATATACATACCACACACACATTTTATCAAATTGCTAGTTGTTTTAGGATAATACCCATGTATTTGGATCATAAGTAAACATGATGTCACAGAGAGTCAGTATGGATTCAGACAATTTTTACTATTTCTATATTATGGTATTATGAGAATGGATGTTCCTAGTTTTATTGGGACACTATAGTGGCTTTATCAAAGATTAAAGATTGGATAATGTTCTGTATATTTTGTTTACAATTTTCCACCTGGAGTTGTCATATATATCAGATAATTTTAGACTTTAGAAATGAAAGGAGGTTTAGAAGTCAACTAATGTAGTTCTTTCATTTTATAAGTGAAGGTGATAAAGTGCAAAGACACTTGGACTTCTTAGCAGTTTTAATGGAGAGTTAGCTATGTCTTAGATTCTTATTAATAAACTGCATGAATTTGTAAAGATTATAAACATTTCTGTAATACACATTGATTCCATTTCTGGGAGAATTTTGGCAAACACATTATAAGAACAAAGGAGGTCCTGTGGTTTATAATCTTCGGACATTGCCGTCCAAAGTCGGACATGAGTCAGTAACAAAACAGTAATAGAACCCATAATCTCCTGATGTGTGGTCCAGTGTGCTTTCTAACCCACTATAAAATGGCTGTTGAATGGCTGTGGACAGATTGCTTGCCTTCTCTTAATTCCGTAATGAGGGATTTGAACAAAATAATCTCAGATTTTCCAGCTCTAATATTCTTCATGAGGATCTCTGTGTTAAAGCCTTGAGCCCTGCACTCATTAATATAACAAACTCCATGCAAACCTTTTAATGAGTGAGAGAAACATGAAACAGGTAACCAGCTGCAGATTGTTAATATCTATGAGAGATACTGCTGCTGTGGGTTTTATAAGAGCAGAAGTTTTGTAACTTTTTTCATTAGTTTATTCTAGCCTAGTCCTCAGATAACCAGTTAAATGTACTTGATTAATCTGTTTTAAGTTAGATATCAAGAAAATGTAAACATTTAGTTTTCTTTTTAAAATTTAAAAAAATTGTGAGAGTCAGCATTTTTTCTCTTACTTGTGATCAGTGAACTTTTGATTGAGCAGTTTTTCCTGATTAGTGATGAGACCCCATTAGTGATATGATTTTCAATATTGTGAAACATAACCTTTGTGTTCAATTTTAAAAAGAGGTTTATGAAAAAAAAGGGCTGTAAATCTCTCTACCATATCCTCTGCATAATTTTTATTTAAATCACTTATTTTTCTAGTGGCAAATGACAATGCTCCAGAGCATGCTTTGCGACCTGGTTTCTTATCCACTTTTGCCCTTGCAACAGACCAAGGAAGCAAACTTGGACTTTCCAAAAATAAAAGTATCATCTGTTACTATAACACCTACCAGGTAAGTTCATAATTATAAAATGATTTGCTGATTTCAGTTGTCATTTTTGTGCCTTTTATATATATAAAATAGTTTGTGTTATAGTTCTCAATTTTAGTTTTGAAGAGGATGAAATTGTAAAATTTTAGCCTTCAAATTGGTTGTATTAAAATGTAGTAATTTTCTTCACATTTCATACCAGGAAATAATTACTATGGAAAAGTAATTAAGTGATTTAATAAAGTACATGTTATCCTAAAAAGAGTATGTCAGGTCACTGTTACCTCCAGTAGATGGTGCCGTTAGCTAAACAACTGTGATTTCTCAGCTGACACACTTTTTTTGTTGTAGTAACAGATAAAAAAAACTTTCCTTGAAAGTTTATTAAATTTGCTCTTGCTGCTAATTCCTTCATTTTTTGGAAATATATATATGTAATAAATGAGATTATTATTTGTGGGAAAGAAGTTAGTTTTTAGTTTTTGCATGTCTCTTGATCTCAAGCTACATTTTCTTAAGACTAAATTAATTCCTTGTGCTTTAGAGCGATGTTTCCTAATCAATTGATGTAAGTTACTCTTTTTTTTTTTTTCTTCCAAGACAGAGTCTGGCTCTGTTGCCCCATGCTGGAGTGCAGTGGCATGATCTCAGCTCACTGCAGCCTCCGCCTCTCAGGTTCAAGTGATTCTCACGCCTCAGCCTCCCAAGTAGCTGGGATTACAGGCATGTGCCACCAGGCCTGGCTAATTTTTGTATTTTTGGTAGAGACGGACTTTCACCATGTTGGCCAGGCTGGTCTTGAACTCTTGGCCTCAAGTGATCCATCCACCTCAGCCTCCCAGAGTGCTGGGATTACAGATGTGAGCCACCGTGCCAGGCCCATCTTTTATTTTAAAAGTTATATATTTTAATGTGTATTAAGTAAAAGATAACCAAACCATCTGACCTTTAATTTCATCAATAAGGATTAGGTTTAAACTAAGTTTTCTTTTTTTTTGAAGGTAGTTGATTTAAAGTTACTTTAAATTTAATTTAAATTACAGTAATACACAAGAACCAGAAAATATCATGAAGATAAAACTACTTGAATAACTGAGAAATACTGCATTTATCCATTTAATTATCAACTATTTATTAAGTCCTTACAATGTAATTGATATTCTGTTGGGCTTTAGAGATAAAAAGATGAAGATATGGTTTCACCTTAAAAACTTTCCAGGCCAAATGGTATTAATGTCTCTAAGAGATCATCACTAATTCTGTTTTATGGAAATATTCACTGAAATATAAAGTTCCTTTCTGTTTCATAATATAATACCATAATGTTGGGCTAAAACATTGATGATTTTAAAGTTTTTGAAAGATTAAGACATTTCAGTTTAGTTATACTACCTTTTCATAATGCAACATATTATTTGGCTCTTATTTTCTTTTTAGGTGGTTCAATTTAATCGTTTACCTTTGGTGGTGAGTTTCATAGCCAGCAGCAGTGCCAATACAGGTGTGTTTAATGACCTTAAATATCACTTTAATCCTTAATTTTAAAAAATTAATTTAATTACCATACCTTAATTTAAGAGGAATAGTAGATTTAGAGCCAAAAATCTTGAACTTGTGGCCCAGTTTCACTGTCTTTTTTCCATGTCTTGGGAAAAGTGATTTCTCTGAATCCTGGTTTCCATATCTGTATAATGGAGATAATATATGCTTTCTCCATCTTACAATGTTATTTTCTAGTTCAAATGAGACAGTGTATGGGTAAGTGATTTTTTTTTTTTTTTTTTGGAGACAGGAAAATTAAATGTTATCTGAGTGCTACATCTTGCTCCCATTACAGCAGTTTAAGAAAACAAGGTGAAGATAACCCAACAAAACGCATTAAAATGATCGATGAGTTACAGACCAATCTATTAAATTAGAATTTTTTAAATTTTACCTAATGGGGAAAATGAATGTGATTGAGAATTTAAAGAGCATGAATAGGATGAACATAGTCTCACTCTTCTTGAGAACTGAAGAATTTGAGAACAAATGCTAGGAAGCTGTACCCTTTATAGAGAATAGTAAAATTCCATTGTATCCAATACCTTCACTGGATATTTATGTGTAAAATAATGACTATTCACTTGGTTGTAATTTTTTTACTTCATTTTATATAAAGTAGGATTTTTATTAAAAGGTCTGTCTCCTTTAGATTTGATTGCTGTTGAGAATTGTAATATATTTTTTTCTATTTGTTTTTTCTTCCAAACTGAGCAAGTTCTTCTAGCTATGTCACTGAAGCCTGTTCTTAGATACCTCATCTTTAGAATGAGAGGTTTAGATTTGATGATCTATTAGATCTCTTCCATTTCAAAACATTTTAGGAATCTGTAAAATACTGTATGTAAAAACACTTTCTGAATTATATAGGATAGTAATGGTGTTAAGATTTTAAGTATATTTAGGAAATATACTAAATCTGAGTTTTGATAAATCACCTATCATCACATACTAAGTCACCAGTTGTTATATACTATGATAATGTACAGAACAATATTTTAGTACTTGGACCCTTTCCTTGAGAGTTCAGATGCTTTTTATATTCTATAAGACAGAGAAAGATCTTTATTTGTTTGAACATAAAACAGGCTCTGTTTGAGGCAGATAGCCTTTCACTCTAGTAAACTAAGGAGAAGCAAGATATGCTTATTTCTAGATGTTTATCTCCCAGGTTCATCATTGAACTCCAGTGTGTTTTGTACTCTACCATTTATTTTTAAAATATTTTTTCATTTGAAATATTTATTTATGTCTTAGCTTTGTCAAATTTATAAAAATAAATTTCTGATTTTCTTTGTTCAATATAGAAGCACCTATCTTTTGATATAATCTGTTAAAATTTGCTTAGAGACAAAAGTATGCTTTATTTAGTAAAAATCATATGTATTATTTCTGAGTCAAGGCAAATTTTGAAGCAGTAAGGTATAAATTAAGATTTTCCTTTCAAAACTCTTAACAAATTATAGTGCATATAATTTATTCTGTATTTCCTAATATATAAGTATTTTTCACTCATTCACTTTAGTAATAGATGCTGAAAATAAACTTATTAATGACTACAAAGTTTTTGGTTGCTTTATTTAGGGTTATAGTACAGGTTGAACATCCCTAATCCAAAAATTTGAAATCCAAAACATTCTAAAGTCTGAAACTTTCTGAGCACTAATATGGCATTCAAAGAAAATGCTCACTGGAGCATTTCATATTTGAGATTTTTGGGTTAGGGATGCTCAAATAGTAAGTATTGTACAAATATTCCAGAATTCAAAACACTTCTGATACCCAGCATTTTGGATAAGGGATATTCAACCTGTATTTTGTTTCAGTCATGGGAAATAAACTATGTTCTGATTTACTTTTGGTAACTATGTATTTTGGACATAAGGAAATCTGAGTTTCAGGCTTTGAGGAACATTTTTCTAACATGTAATTTTCTTAATCTCTTTATTTTAGGACTAATTGTCAGCCTAGAAAAGGAACTTGCTCCATTGTTTGAAGAACTGAGACAAGTTGTGGAAGTTTCTTAATCTGACAGTGGTTTCAGTGTGTACCTTATCTTCATTATAACAACACAATATCAATCCAGCAATCTTTAGACTACAATAATACTTTTATCCATGTGCTCAAGAAAGGGCCCCTTTTTCCAACTTATACTAAAGAGCTAGCATATAGATGTAATTTATAGATAGATCAGTTGCTATATTTTCTGGTGTAGGGTCTTTCTTATTTAGTGAGATCTAGGGATACCACAGAAATGGTTCAGTCTATCACAGCTCCCATGGAGTTAGTCTGGTCACCAGATATGGATGAGAGATTCTATTCAGTGGATCAGAATCAAACTGGTACATTGATCCACTTGAGCCGTTAAGTGCTGCCAATTGTACAATATGCCCAGGCTTGCAGAATAAAGCCAACTTTTTATTGTGAATAATAATAAGGACATATTTTTCTTCAGATTATGTTTTATTTCTTTGCATTGAGTGAGGAACATAAAATGGCTTGGTAAAAGTAATAAAATCAGTACAATCACTAACTTTCCTTTGTACATATTATTTTGCAGTATAGATGAATATTACTAATCAGTTTGATTATTCTCAGAGGGTGCTGCTCTTTAATGAAAATGAAAATTATAGCTAATGTTTTTTCCTCAAACTCTGCTTTCTGTAACCAATCAGTGTTTTAATGTTTGTGTGTTCTTCATAAAATTTAAATACAATTCGTTATTCTGTTTCCAATGTTAGTATGTATGTAAACATGATAGTACAGCCATTTTTTTCATATGTGAGTAAAAATAAAATAGTATTTTTAAAAATATAGTTTGAGCACTGTATAGGTCCTTTTTTTGTTCAGACTTTTTCCAAAAATCTAAACATAATTAATATACTCTTTCAGCCACATGAATAAATAATGAGTGTTTCTTGTAGGTATTGGTTTGGAGATTGTTTTACGGTAGTATGAACTGTTAACTGGAAAAGAAACCTGAGATTGCAGTCAGCCAAGATTGTGCCACTGCACCCCAGCCTGGGCAACAGAGACTCCGTCTCAAAAACAAAAAAGAAAAGAAACCAAGAAACCTCAGGCATGAACCTAATTTAATCTCCATGAAAGAGGTACTACAGTTCTAGAATATACCCTTTATGTTCAGGAATGCAGTCTATCATTCAGAGTTAATTTCTTTCTAGGCTCTTTGACAATCAGTTTTTCCCTGGATCAGTTCAGTACATATGCATTGAGCACCTGTGTGCCAGTCAGCCGAGCTATCACATTGCACAATTCTAAGAAGCACCATTCATGTCTCATCATATTTCTATGCTCTGGGAGTTGCCTTTCACATAGAATATGTGTGATTGTTATCCCTAGAATTGTGCAGTGAGGCAATTGGCTAGGTGCTGTGCTGCTTTTTCTTTCTTTCTTTTTTTTTTTAAGAGACAGAGTCTTGCTGTGTTGCCCAGTCTGGAGTGCAGTGGTGGCATGATCTTGCCTCACTGTAACCTCTGCCTCCTGGGTTCAAGCTGTTCTCATGCCCCATTCTCCCTTGTAGCTGGGATTACAGGCTTACACCATCGCACTTGGCAAATTTGTGTATTTTTAGTAGAGACAGGAATTCACCATGTTGGCCAGGCTGGTCTTGAACTCCTGACTTAAAGTGATCCACCTGCTTTGGCCTCCCAAAATGCTAGGATTATAGGTGTGAGCCACTGCACCGGGCCATGTGCTACTTTTTCTTCCTTCCATCCTTCCTCCCTTCTTCAGTGTAAATATGAGATTAATTTGTGATACCTTACTTTAAAGAACTTAGAGTTCAGTAAAGGAAGCAGGTATAGAAAGTGCTATGATAAAGCTATACATAGGATGGTATAGAACCACAGACTAGGGGCACTTAAAATGGGCAAGAAAATAGCCTTTGTAAATAAAATAGAGGCAAGAGATATAATGCTTTACCTGCAAAGAGCTATAAATACAGCCATGTACCATATAATGATGTTTCAGTTAGTGAAGGACCACATACGAGGGTGGTCAGAACAGCAGGCTATACCATATAGCCTAGGTGTGTAGTAGGCTATACCATATAGCCTAGGTGTGTAGTAGTAGGCTATACCATATAGCCTAGGTGTGTAGTAGTAGGCGATACCATATAGCCTAGGTGTGTAGTAGTAGGCTATACCATATAGCCTAGGTGTATAGTAGTAGGCTATACCATATAGCCTAGGTGTGTAGTAGGCTATACCATATAGCCTAGGTATGTAGTAGTAGGCTATACCATATAGCCTAGGTGTGTAGTAGTAGGCTATACCATCTGGGGTTCCTGTCAGTACAGTATGATGTTCACATAATGATGAAATCACCTAACAAAGCATGTCTCGAAATGTATCCACATTGTTACGTAACACATGACTGTAGTTAATTGTTACAATTGAAATACTAGATGTACTCATTGAAATCCAGAATTCCCATTATCTGGATTATTTAATATCGTTCAGGAAATTTTTGCCAGTGCAATGGTGCATGAAACAATGTCTTTTAGAAATGAGGTGGCCAGATTTCTATTTGCAGATAATAATTGTATATCTAAAAATCCTAGAAAAAGAAATGATAACAAATGGAGCTACTTAACCTTTACATGTTGAATGCTGCCACTGTTAAAATTTCTGAGGGGGTATAATAGATAAACTATCCCATAGTTCATCTGGAAAAATAAGGTGGTGAAAATTGCTAAGAAATTTTTGAAAGGGTAATGTAAACCTAGATTAACTGTTTTTGAAAGGTAGTACAGAACTGAATGCACAACTAGATATCAATGGTATGTACTCACCCAGAAAAAAGACTTCAGTACATACATGTGAGGGCTTAAAACATTGTTATAAAGACGGGATCACAATGGGAAAAGGATTATTCAATAAGTAGGGCAGGCATTCTCTATGCCTGCTAGGGAAGTGTGACTTGTTATACTCTTTATGTACAGCAATTGGCAGTCTGTGAAACTTTTAAATTCATATACATAACCTTTTGCCCTGCAATTCCACTTCTAGAAATTTATCCTACCAAACAAAGCACATAGATGTGCAAAAGTATGTATTTACAAGTATATTCTTTGCAACTTGGTAATGTCAAAGAATTGGAAGCAACCTAAATATCTGCCATAGGTAGGATAACCATATGCTTTGGCTTTTTGAACACTACCAGTTTATACCTGCTGTTCTTGGATAATTATTAATAGTGCTTTCATTCTCAATGTCTCACTTTAGATAATAAATTACAGAGGATTGGTGAAACTAATTTGCCCAATGGAAAAAGGAATGAAGAAGTGCTTTAGGTACTGAGATGAAAAGATCTCTAAGGCATAATAATGTTTATTGAGAAAAGCATGGTGTCAAACTGTATGGCATGCTACAATTGATGTATAAGAAGAAAAAATGTGTATGTATTCCTATTTGTTTGTATATGGTAGACTGTCTCTGAAGACATATATGGAAGAACCTGATCACATTGGTAGTCTCCAAGGAGCAGAACTAGATACCTGGGGGATAAGGATCCCAGGAGTGAGCCTTTTCATTGTAAACTTCATTGTACTTTGAGTTTTTAACTGTTCAAAAATAATAAAATTAGAAATAAAATATTTCAACAAACAATAAAATGGGATATTTGGGGAAGAAAGTTGTCTCAGGGCTCTCCAAAGAAGCAGAACCGGTTGGACATATGTGTATTTATTTCAAGGAAATGGCTTATACTATTGCGGGGACTGGCAAGTCTAACATCTGTTGGACGGGCCAGAAGACTGAAAAGTCTCAGGTAGGAGCTGAGGCTGCAGTTTCAGAGCAGAAGTTCGTCCTCTTGGAAACTTCAGTTTTGCTCTTAAAGCCTTTCAGTTGATTGGATGAGTCTCACCCACATTATGGAGGATTATCTCTTTTACTTAAATTTAAGGGATTATAAATGTTAAGTACATCTCCAGAATACATCCACAGCAGTACCTGGATTCATGTTTTAATAACTAGGCAATGTGTCCTAGCCAAGTTGATGCATAAAACTAACGTTCACAGTCCATTCCTAGTCAGCTTGGCACCTGTATGCATCTTTTTTGTTGTTTTTTGTTTTGTGAGACAGAGTCTCACTCTGTCACTTAGGCTTGAGTGCTGTGGCCTGATCTCAGCTCACTGCAACCTCTGCCTCCTGGGTTAAAGCGAGTCTCCTGCCTCAGCCTCCTGAGTAGCTGGGATTGCAGATGTGCACCACCACGCCTGGCTAATTTTTGTATTTTTAGTAGAGACGGGGTTTTGCCATGTTGGCCAGGCTGATCTCAAACTCCCGACCTCAGGTGATCCGCCTGCCTTGGCCTCCCAAAGTGCTGGGATTACAGGCATGAGCCACCGCACCTGGCCTGTATGCATCTTAAACCATATTTTAGTCTCCAAATAAAGACTAGGTTGTACTTCTAACATGTACAACGACAAATATTTCCTGGAGGAGGTTTCCTCAGAAGAGGATGCAATCCATTCCCCAAAGGAGGATGCAAAGTCCTTTGGTGATCACTTTTTTCCTTGCTATCCTGTACCTTAATACTGTGATGTAAGGATACCACTGTTAATATGTCTTATATTAGCTAAGAGGATAAAGGAGGGGGGAAAAGATTTGTTCAGTATATATGTGTGTATGTGTAATATATACATATTTGTATACATAAATAGACAATCACAATTCTTATTTTGGCAATTGGACATGTGATTGTATCTGGTATTTTTAACTACCTTTCATTGCCTATTCCATATTTCCTTGCACTCAGCAAGCAACTTGGCTATTTGTGGTTCTGCCTGGTGAGGTATTCCAAACCTTCATTCCTGAAGAATCTGAGCCATTCGTTGTCCTGCCTGTAATAGGTTTTAAAGTTTTCCACTGACTTTAATCAGGGCTTGGTAAAACAGATCTGGTGGATCTCCTGTATTTCAGACATACCCTTCTTTATTTCCTTGTGCAGTAGCAGCCCTGTTTCCCCGGGCAATCAGGACTAGTTACCCTAGTCAGTACAGTAATTCTCTTCTTTATGTGTTGAGTCAGAGGCATGAGGAGTGCGAAGTGGCAGAGTGGCAATCTTACTTAATGTCCAGTTTAATAGAATCATTGTGTCTCCTGGTTGAGGTATTACTGGTTTTGGAACAAAGTCTTCTAGACCTAAAGAGCATAGGAACTTGGGGACAGAAAACAAAAATTGTGGTAGTGGACAAGGGGTGATAGTGAGTGGCATGGCTCCCATTTCCACCCCTTTATTGCTGGATCTGTGAATCCTGGCTATGGAAGGAAGAACACCATATATTGGATGCTGATTTTACAACATATATAGCCTCCTGGAGAACATTTCCCCACCCCTGCAAGATATCACCACCTACCTAGTGCTGTAACTGAGTTTTCAAAAGGCTAGTCTACCATTTTATCAAGCCAGCTGCTCCAGGATGGTGGGGAACATGGTAAGACCAATGAATTACATGAGCAATATAGAAAACAATGTTGCCTCCAAAATCCAAAGATGCTTGTTAGGTATGTACTGTTTTTTTGTTTTGTTTTGTTTGTCAGAGGGCCAGATGCAACAAGTTATTCTTTACCTTAGAAGAGATACTTGACAGGCCCCACACCACCGGACCCCTAGAAATTTTGGTAAATTGGAAGGCACTTGAATTTTTGTCATATTTATTTCCCACTCTCTGAGACAAATGTCTTACCAATATGTCTAGGGTATTTGCTACTTCTTGTTGACTAGGTCCAATCAGCGTAATGTCATCAATGTAATGGACCAGTGTGATGTCTTGTGGAAGGGAAATGTGATCAAAGACCCTGTGGAAAAATTATGACATAGGGCCAGAGAGCTGATATACCCTTGGGGTAGGACAGTAAAGGTATGTTGTTGGCTTTACCAGCTGAAAGCATACAGCTGTTGGTGGGGCTTATGGACAGATATGGAGAAAAAGGCATTTGCCAGATCAGTAGCTGCATACCAGGTGCCAGGGGATGTGTTAATTTGCTTAAGCAATGAAATCACATCTGGAAAAGCAGCTGCAACTGGAGTCACCACATGAGTAAGTTTGTGATAATCTACTCATTCTCCAAGACCTATCTTTTTCTGCATAGGTCAAATAGGTGGGCTGAATGGAGATGCAGTGGAATCACCACCACTGCATCCATCAAGTCCTTGATGGTGGCACTAACCTCTAAGTCCCTCTGGGAATGTGGGATTGCTTTTGGTTTATATCTTCCAGATGGAGGCAGTTCTACTGGTTTCTACTTGGCCTTTCCTTTGATAATAGCCCACACTCTATAGATCAGGGAGCCAATGTTGGGGTTCTGTCAGTTGCTGAGTACAACCATACCTCATTTATTAACTATGTCTAGAATTTGCTTTAAAGTGTTCCAAACAGAAAAAAGAAATTTTTAAGTGTAGGAGAGTTCAACAATATGGCAAAATATTGATGATATTTTGAAAATTTCAGGAAAAGTTAAGCAAAAAAAAAAGATGACATTGTTGCAGATGGTATCTTTGTGTAGGGAAGGAAAAAAAATTGTAAGTTTTTTGATCATGCAGTTTGCCCTTGTTTGAGACCTGTCTTTTTGGATCATAGTTTGCCCCTATTTTTTTTTTAAATAAAGGCCAACTTCAGTATCTGATTTAAACAAACCAGGCTGGACTTGTTATTCTGGTTTCATCACATGAAGGATACTTTATTGTCTGAGGCTGTGCTTAGCTGTCTTGAATAGCTAAGTTCATCTACCCAGGCATACCTTGTTTTATTGCCCTTTGCTTTACTGTGTTTTGTAGATGTGTTTCTCACAAAGATTTATGGCAACCCTGAGTTGAGCAAGTCTATTGGCACCATTTGTTCAACAGCATATATTCACTTTTTGTCTCTGTGTCACAGTTTGGTAATTCTTGCAATATTTCAAACTGGTTTGATGATTATTACATCTGTTGTGGTGATCTGTAATCAGTGATCTTTGATGTTACTATTTTAATATTTTGGGGTGCGATAAACCACATCCACATAAGGCAACAAACTTAATAAATGTGTGTGTTCTGGCTGCTTCGCTGACTTGCTGTTCCTCTATCTCTCTCCCTACCCTTGGGCACCCCCTTCCCTGAGACACAACAGTATTGAAATTAGGCCAATTAATAATCCTAAAATGGCCTCTAAGTGTTCACATGAAAGGAAAAGTCTCACATCTCTCATTTTTAATCAAAAGCTAGAAATGATCAAGCTTAGTGAAAAAGGCATGTTGAAAGCTGAGATAGGCCAGAAACTAGGCCTCTTGTGCCAAAAAATTGTGAATGCAAAGGAAACATTTTTTTTTTTTTGAGATGGAGTCTCACTCTGTTGCCCAGGCTGGAGTGCAGTGGCTCCATCTCGGCTCACTGCAAGCTCTGCCTCCCGGGTTCCCACCATTTTCCTGCCTCAGCCTCCCGAGTAGCTGGGACTAAAGGCGCCCGCCCCCACACCCAGCTAATTTTTTGTATTTTTAGTAGAGACGAGGTTTCACCGTGTCAGCTAGGATGGTCTTGATCTTCTGACCTCTTGATCTCCTGACCTCTTTATCTGCCCGCCTCGGCCTCCCAAAGTGTTGGGATTATAGGCGTGAGCCACCATGCCCAGCACAAAGGAAACATTTTTGAAGAAAATTAAAAGTGCTACTCTAATCAACACATGAATATGAAGCAAGACAGCCTTATTGCTAAGATGGAGAAAGTTTGAGTGTGAGTGGTCTGGATTGAAGACCAAACTAGCCACAATATTCCCTTAAATCAAATCCTAATCCAGATCAAAGCCCTAACTCCCTTCAATTCTATGAAGGCTGAGAGAGGTAAAGAAGTGCAGAAGAAAAGTTCAAAGCCAGCAGACGTTGGTTCATGAAATTTTAAGGAAAGAAACCATCTCCATAACAAAAGAGCAAGGTGAAACAGCAAGTGATGATGTAGATGCTGCAAGGTATCCAAACGACCTAGCTAAGATCATTGATGATAGGTGCCTACACTAAACACCACATTTTCAATGTAGCTGAATAGCCTTCTATTGGAAGAAGATGCCATCCTTTGAAGCTTTGAAGCCAGTCATTGATTTCTCCTCTCTAGCACTCTCATAGCTAAAGAGAAGTTGATGCCTGCTTTCAGAGCTTCAAAGGATAGGCTGACTCTCTTGTTAGGGGTTAATACAGCTGGTGTTTAACCTGAAGCCAGTGCTTACTTACCATTTTGAAAATCCTAGGGCTCTTAAGAGTTATGCTAAATCTACCCTGCCCCTGCTCTATAAATGAGACAAAGCCTGATAATAATACGTCTGTTCACAGGATGGTTCACTGGATATTTCAAACCCGCTGTTGGGACCTACTGCTCAGAAACAAGAATTCTTTCAAAATATTACTGCTCATTGAAAATGCACCTGGTCACACAAGAGTTCTGATATGTACAATAAGATTAATGTTGTTTTCATACCTAGTAACAGGATCCATTCTGCAGCCCATAGATGAGGGAGTAATTTTGACTTTCAACTTTCAAATCTTATTATTTAAGTTATACATTTAATAAGGCTATCACTGCCATAGATAGTGATTCCTTTGACGTATCCAGGCAAAGTGAACAGAAAACCTTCCAGGAAGGATTCACCTTCTAAATGCCATTAAGAACATTTGTGGCCAGGTACAGTGGCTTGCACCTGTAATTCCAACACTTTGGGAGGCCAAGGCCTCCCAAGAGGAGGTCAGGAGTTAAAGACCAGCCAGGCTATCATGATGAAATCCTGTCTTCACTAAAAATACAAAAATTAGCAGGGCATGGTGGTGCACACCCATAGTCCCAGCTTCTCGGGAGGCTGAGGCAGGAGAATCGCTTGAACCCGGGAGGCGGAGGCTGCAGTGAGCTGAGATCACACCACTGCACTCCAGCCTGAGTGACAGAGTGAGACTTCATCTCAAAAACAAACAAACAAACAAACAAAACACACACACACACACGCAAAACCCAAAGAACAAACAAAAATAAGAACGTTTGTGATTTACAGGAGGAGGTCAAAATATCAACATTAACAGGAGTGGAGAAGAACTTGATTTCAGCCCTTATGAATGACTATGAGGGGTTCAAGACTTAGTGGAGGAAGTAACAGCAGATGTGATGGAAATAGTAAGAGAACTAGAATTAGAAGTGAAGCCTGAAGATGGGACTGAATTGCTGCAATCTCATGATTAAACTTCAATGGATGATGAGTTGTTTCTTATGGATGAGCAAATAAAGTGGTTTCTTGAGATGAAATCTACTTCTGGTGAAGATGCTGTGAACTTTTGAAATGACAACAAAAGATTTAGAATGTTACATAAATTTAGTTGATAAAGCAGTTGCAGGGTTTGAGAGGATTGACTGCAATTTTGAAAGAAATTCTACTGTTAGTAAAATGCTATCAACCAGCACCTTATGCTACAGTGAAAGCTTTCAGGAAAGGAAGAATCAATTGATGCAGCAAACTTCATTTTTGTCTTATTTTCAGAAATTGCTGCAGCCACCCCAACCCTTAACAAGCATCACCCTGATCAGTCAACAGCCATCACCATCCAGGCAAGACTCTCCACCAGCAAAGTGATTGCAACTTGCTGAAAGCTCAGATGATCATTATAATTTTTTTTAGCAATAACTTTAGTATGAATTGGGAAACAAAAAAAAATGGTGTGACTTACTTTATTGCAATATTTGCTTTATTGTGGTGGTGTGGATCCAAACCTGCAATATCTTCAAGGTATGCCTGGATGGCTATACCAACGATGCATCTGGAACTGGGGAAATAACCGTAGGATGGGATCAGGGACCTGCTGGTCTAACTTCTCTGGCTCCAATCTTGCTTTTTCTGTGGAAAATATGGTCATTCTCAAATGCCTCCCAGATATTTCTGGAAGTCCTCATAGACCCTTCTTCACATGTACTCCTGAAACTATATGGCATCTGCCATTTTTTTTTCTTTGTTCTTGCTCTCTGGGATGATTATGCCCCACAACCCTGGCCATTGTTGCTACTGCTAAGTCAGGTTGTGGCTGCTGTTGTCTACAAGGGCACACAACCCCTGCTTAAGGCCAAGGGTGCCATCTTTGTTCACAGCTGAAAATGTGACACAACTTACAATCTCATTGTCTGGCCACTGGAGACTGGTGAAATAGCTCTTTTAGATTTTGCTGAGGAGGGGCTGAGTAACAGTCAAGAATGTGCTCCGAATCACCTTTCCCCTCTAATGATGCCTGTATTCCATCAACAAAGCATGTGCAACTCAACCTCAACCCTTCCTATCTTCAGGTGAATTCTTTCTCAAGAAGGCTGTTTCCTTTTACCTGCCAGTCAGCTAGACCTGTGCTACTCACAACGTGGTCCACAGACTGGGCTGTTGTGCACACTGTTTGCTAGCAAGATAAGTACAGAAATGCCAGTTTTAAGTGTTGAAAAACTTACAACAATTTGAGATAGTAACTTTATGCCTGTTGAATCTGATAATAATAAACTGGGATTGTGATATTTGTATTTTTTTCTTGATTTTTCTAAAAATTTATTGAATTTTATGAAATCTCAGTCTGTGATAGATTATAAATTTAAAAAAAAAAGAAAATAAGATCCTTTGCAATAGATGGTTTAAGAAACTCTGCTTGACATCATGGTCAGACAGCCTGAATTCATAGAGAGCAGACCGTAGGCTCAGCCTGGCACTCTGCTGTGTAGTATACTTGGCTAGGAAGAGTCTGGTAGAAACATGGATTTGCTGCAGTGGATCTGAAGTAGTGGAGAGGGAAGGAAGTAGAACTGACCTTCTCCTTACAGTAGTTCTCTTGCTTTCTGCCTGAAACAGGGACACAGCATAATGCCCTGACCTGCATGCCAAGCCCTTGTGAGAAATAAGGAGAGAGGAACCCACTCTCTTGCATGCCATGTGGTTGGGAAAAGAAGGGTCCTGCCCCACCGAGTTCTCTGATGTCCAGGTGTTCTGGCATAGGGGGAAGGTTTCCCCCAGAAACAGTACAGATGTTCCTTGACTTATGATGGGGTTCCATTCCAATAAGCTCATTTTAAGTCAAAGATATCATAAGGAGAAAATGCATTTAATACCCCAATAGACCCATTGTGAAGTTGAACAATCCTAAATCAAATCATTGTAAGTCAGGAACCATCTGTATTAGCCTTCCCTCACCATGTTGGTGTCACCATTTGTCCAGAGAAAACTGCTCCTGTGGGCCAGGATTTTCCCAGAGGGAATTCTGAGAATAACTGCGAATACTTTGTCTTAATGATAAGCTCATACCTGTTAGCAGACAGGGTATAATGCAGATAGCCCACTCTCTTTTCTCCCATATTCCCCTGCTCTGATCTGCCGTTGGCACAAAACATCCTCCCTCTCTCTGGACTTGGAGAAATAGCTGAGGAACCCTCACAGGCTCCACTTGGGAGTTAGAATCATTTCTTTGCAGGACTGCTGAGGGCAGGCAAAACACCTAGTCTAGTACTAGTTACATAGCAGGTACATGTTAGCTCACCCTTTTCATGTCAAAACCCTCCAACAAATTGTTGTATCCCCTGCTGAAGCACCTGCTCCATCAGATAGCTTTGTGTACTTCTCTTACAGTAATGATCTTATTTACTGCTATATATTGTCATATGTATATATATATACACGCATATATATATATATATGTTTATTGTTTTCTCCATATTCAACTAAGAACTCCTTGAGGCCTTGGACTATTTCTTCAACTTCCAATCCTTTGTGGTTAATAGTCTAACTGAAGTGAATTCTTCATTGCTATTTATGATATTAATCAGTTGTATATTTCTTTCAAGTTACAAATATTAAAAATAAATTTTAATAGCAAAATGGTACATGCACAGCAAAATCATGCTTTTTAATAAACAAAGCCAAAGAATATAAATAAACAGGTTATGTTTTATAAAAGGTAAACATAGTAAAACACAATATTACCCACCCAAAGAAACACATTTGTTTCTAAGAAAACAAACATAAAACTATACATATCCGTGAGTATTCATTTGTAACTTCTGTTTTTTTTTGTTTTGTTTTGTTTGTTTGTTTTTTTGGGACGGAGTCTGACTCTGTCACCCAGGCTAGAGTGCAGCGCCGCGATCTTGGTTCACTGCAACCTCCACCTCCCGGGTTCAAGCAATTCTCCTGCCTCAGCCTCCTGAGTAGCTGGGATTACAGGCGCCTGCCACCATGCCCAGCTAATTTTTGTATTTTTAGTAAAGACAAGGTTTCATCATGTTGGCCAGGCTGATGTTGAACTCCTGACCTCAAGTGATCTGCTTGTCTTGGCCTACCAAAGTCCTGGGATTACAGGCATGAGCCGCCGCTCCTGGCCAGTAACTTCTTACTTTACAAACAACACAATACATTTTAACTTGACATTTGCTTTATCCTATATAATACAAACATAACAAAATACATTTAAAATGTTGTTGAAATATACAAAAATTTAATGTAATTTTTGCGTCTGAGATGTTTAAATAAGAAACTTCTTTAATCAGGTATCCCTTTGGACTGCAAGAGCAGTTTATATCATAGCTTTGCAGCATAATCTTTTTACTCTCAGGCTCTTCAAGCATTTTTATCTTCTTTGAAACTTCTATCTAAACAAAAATAGTATTAAAAAAGATAACAGAAGGGGTTAGATTCTGCCAATGAACTGTGGACATCAGTATCTCATTCTTCTATTTGCCTCCTTATTCTAGTTTGAAAAAGCTTTGGAACACATTATTACCTATCATTATTACATATTTCTTGTAGCTTTAGTGTTACTCCCCCGACTGGAAATAGAAGTTGCTCTTTAATAAGGCCCAGGGTGCTTAGGGAGCAATGCGAGATTTTTCTTACATCTCTTGGGCCAACCCTATACAACTAATTCTGGGAAAGGGATTGTTATAATACACTGTCCTTGAAAAGTTTCTTTCAGTCCATTTGGAGAAATGTTGGATAAAGATAACTTAGTGCTTACAAGTGCTCTATTATTAGTAGTATAATAACAATAATTATTATTAAACTAAAAGTTATCTATTACTTTATCACCCTTTCTCAATTTATGTTTTCTCACTCTTTAAAACATTTACCCCAACAGGGTGAAAATAATGGTTTAAAAATTGTACCTTCATTTACCTTTATTATACTACCTAATTGCCCATAGGACATCTAGCTCTCACAGTTTTGTCATTAGAAGCAAAGGACCTGCCAAATTTCTGAACCTTTTAAAAAGAGAAAATAAATGCCACAAGCATTTTCTATTTTAGTTTTGGAAATGTTCTTTTTTTTTTGTATAAAGGGGGAAAAATTAAAAAAAAAAACCTCTCCCCTGAAAATATTTGATGTTTTCTATCTGAATATAAATCCTGCAGAAGTCATCTAAGCCTCCAAGTATCTGTTTCCTTCTTGGTTAATAGCACAACCTGGATGTCAGACAGGCTGACCATGACTCACAGTGGGACTCTAGGCAACTAGTGTCAATAGGCTTGGGGACCACAATGAGTGAAAACAAAAACCCTTCCTCTTCCATTGTGTGTTCTAAGAGTGAGCAGACCTAAGAGTGGTGGTTTAAGCACTTTCTATCAGAATGGTGATTGCTTCAGTGTTCTCAAGGAGATGGCAACATCATGGAAGGGCAGCAACGTGAGTCAGCAACGTGGTATATGGGTCCCAATCAGCATCTGCTTCTGATTTGTTTTTGAAAGAAAATCCTTAGTCGGTTTTCATTTGAAGCCTGCTGCAGATCACAGCGTCAGGGAAACATTCCACCTTGCTCCTGGGCCAGAGCATTCCTTGGCAAGAAAGATCTATTTAAAGATGAACGACCGAGATCGGATCGTGCCTTCCCCTTGGTTGAGCTGTTTTCTTATTTGTGACTGTAATAAAGTACACACACGTGTATCCATTATTGAGTGATTGTAATGAACCCTGGCTTCTAACAAATATTAAATAAGACATGTTGATTAGTAAGGATGTCATACAACTCTAAGTTAATTATCATGTGCTCACCCCCAACTATAAGCTAATTATCATGTGTCCAGAAAAATTTTCTGTATTTTTTTTTAGGACACATATTGTAAAGTGATTGCTAAAACATGTACAAATTGGGAATTGGTCTAATACTTACAGTAATCTATAAAATGCAATACTATTCAATGAGTTAAAAGGAAGATATAGATCTAAAATTGATAATATGGAAAAATGTTCATAATATATTGCTAAGTGAAGTGAGCAAATATAGAACACTGGCAAGTGATTTGTTTTGTTTGGAGTTTGTATATTATCAATAAAGATGCTATGAACATTATTGTAACATTTTTTAGTGGATACATGCACTCATTTCTCTTAGATATACCTAAGCATGAAAATGCTGAATTATAGTGTAGGTATATGTATAGTTTTAAAAGAAACTGCCAAGCAATTTTTCAAAGTAGCCGTACACATTTTCATTCCCTCTAGCAATGTAGGAGAGTTCTAGTTCCTTCGCATTCATGCTAATACTTGATATTGACAGTCTTCATTGTATCCGTTCTGAAGGGTGTGTAGTGGTACATCATTGTGGTTTTTACTTCTAGCAAGTGATTAAATTTTGTTTTTAAATATTTATGTGTAAAGAGAGAAGTCTAAAAGTGTGTATACTTGATATATTTTTCTATAATTCTTGTATAATGATTTTGTGTTACTTTGATAATTAAAAATAGAAAGAATAAGAAATTAATCCATATCTGAGCAAAGGTTTCACAAGACAAATTATCCCTCACTGATACATTGGAAGAATTTAAAAATGAATGGTATACTTATTTGAATTTCAAACTGAAAACATAACTGAAAGCAAAAGTCTCAGTATCTAGAAAGGAATTTTCATATATATCAGACAATTTTGCAAAAAATAATTAAGAAAAATATTTTGTTTGAAATCATCTGGCCGGGCATGGTGCTTCACACCTGTCATCCCAGCACTTTGGGAGGCTGAGGCTGGTGGATCACTTGAGGTGAGAAGTTCGAGACCACCCTGGCCAAAATGGTGAAACCCCTTCTCTACTAAAAATACAAAAATTAACCAGGCGTGGTGGCAAGCTCCTATAATCCCAGCTATTCGGGAGGCTGAGACATGAAAGTCACTTGAACTCAAGAGGCAGAAGTTGCACTGAGCCAAGATCACACCACTGCACTCCAGCCTGGGCAACAGAACGAGACTCTGTCTCAAAAAAAAAAAAAAAAAAAAATAGAAAAAAAGAAATCATCAAAGTTTTTAAGATGGTATTTATAGGAAATTTTAGTCAGCTTTAAGGACAAGTTCTTGGCTAAGAACTCACTAACTTGCAAGCACATGAAAAACAAGTAGAAGATTGGTGAAGTTTTATAAGTACTCACTCAGTCTTCTCCTCGGGAGATATACAGAGAGCAGACAAAATAAATCAGCTTTTGTCCTTGACCTGCACAAAGTGATGCTTACATTGGAAACTAAGCTAAGTGCCTCTGGCAAACTTTCTTCTCTAACAATTTAAAAGGCTTTTCAACTAGAGAAGTATGTCAGCTTTCCTCTGTCAGACCTTCTGGTTCTAAATGTCCCCCTCCAGACAAAACTGAACTAACTGACACACCTTATAGGAAGTCTGATAGGTGGTTATTAGGCTAAGGCTCTATGTCTAAGACCCAAATATGGCTTAATTCTTTCTTTTTTACAATCCTGTCTCCATCTCTTCTCATGTCCCAGAAGAATTAACAGACTGTTCCGCAAGCCTGGAAGTAGACACCCAGACATCTCTTTGATTCTTGGGTCTAGTCTGACTCTTTTGATAGAAATATGTTTGAAATCATCAACATGTTATTTCTCAAGACTTGACATCTGAAGGCTTAAAAATTCTCACCAATTTCCAGCGTAATATCTTGATCCACTCATCAGCTTCTACTCCGGTCTTTGCACAGAGATAAAATGTCCTGAATGGAAATACCAAACTAATAGGACAAAAGAAAGAACATAAGATATTGCAGATCATTAGCTATATATATATATATATATATAATATATATAATATAATATATAATATAATATATTATATATATTATATATATATATATATATATATATTAGTTGAACACTAATTAGAGTATTGCAAGGGAAAAAAGAATTGATAAAGGATGCAGGTAAGTACCTTGAAGTGCTGGTATATATGCACCTACTCCTGCCAGCAAACTGCAGAAATGTTAAGGAAGTTGTAGATTCATATTATTATTCCAAGTCAGATGTATATACTCGAATAAGACTTTGAAGAAGAAAGAAACATGTTCAGGACACCCCTAGATCCTTTTGTGGTTCATGTCTTAGGTTAACTCTAACACTTATGTATTCATTCAGCTGATCTCTCAAAAACTTGTGCTATGATCCAAAGAATAGGCAAGACAGAGAAGTTTGCTAAAAAGAACTCATTTGTGTTAGCTTGCTTCAACGAGGATAACTCTGCCTTCTGTGGTTGTGGGCAATTTCAACTATTGGGACAATAAAAAGAGACAATAAAACTAAATTAGTTATTTCTCCCATCTCTGGCCAAGAGTCAGTCTCTGCTGCAGGGAATAAGAACTTTCCTACTGGCACAAAATACTTTTCCTAAATGTATAGTAATTTTTCATTTGACTGTGTCTGATTACCTAGTTAAAATTATGTAAGCAATAAGGTCAGCCCTAAATTACATACTGAACATACTTCCTTACTTACAGTTGAGATGCAAAAATACCAAAAATCTTTTTTCTTTTTGTGAAAAAGCCTTCAGAAGGGTTTCTATATCTTAAAGCCTAAGCAGTGTATTTTGTTGATACCAGCAATTAAAGTTGAATAGGTAAGAGGTAAGTCTCTGTGCATAGAAGCTAATACCTGGATGTGAGGTCTAGTGGAGAGTGAGTGGACAGTGGTGGGGAGGGAGTGATACAGTGCATATACTCGAAAACTGGTTTCTGTCATTGTCATTGTTTGGTACTCCCTATGGGAGACATTATTAACTGTCTATTAATACAGATAATTATCCCTTTCTTTTGCTAACAGAACCCCAAGCAATAAATCCTAATTTGTTTAAGCCAATTATGATCAGCTGCTGGGGATGGCCATGGCACCCGGTCTCATAGGGGAGTTTCTGGAGAAACATTGGTTTTCCTGATAAAAAGGGACAGACACGGGTAATATCATCCCTACATCTTTCTTTGTACTTTGTTGAAAATATGAGACCTACAGGTGTAGTAGACACTCAAATCCTGAAGTAGCCAGCATGAGAAAAGGCCAGGAGAACAGTAGAGACCCTGGACCTGACCTTGTCACCATAGCTGCTTGCCTCCTGATTTTTGGATATATGAGAAAAATAAAGCTCTGCTAGCTCACAGGGCATGTCTATGCAAATTTTAAAAAGACACCCATTCTCAGTTGATATTATAGAATTAACATTAATTTCTTCAGTTGTAATAATGATACTGTAGTCCTATATGTGATATTTTATTCTTAAGAGACACATACTAAAGTCTTTAGGAATAAAGTGCCATGATGTCTGCAACTTACTTTCAATTGGTTCAGGAAAAAAAAAAAGTGGATAGACTAGGATAAAGCAAATATGGTAAGATATATTAATAACTGCTATGGAGGGTATGTAAACGTATGTCTTTCAACTTGTGTATGCTTGAAAAACTTTAAAATAAAAGGTAGTGGGAAATAAGACATTCCTTTCTCAAGACTCTTCTCCCAGTTAGAACATTTTTATAACATACTGATTATGTTAGAACAAAATATTTTTGTGCCATTTGCCAGAAATTGTCATAACAATACAAATCACCTATCATTAGAGTCAACAAAGTTATAAATAAAATGAGGGAGAAAGCCTCAAAGAAATTAAATTGTCTAAGATGTGAATGGCATCCTCTATGTGAGTCATACTTCTCCAGTACGCAACATAAGCTGAGCTGACCTGCCTGTTTGTTTAAGCTACTTTAAATGAGGTGTTATGTCACACTCAGCTGAAAACACTCCTTACATGCAGGCATGCCCCTCATATCTGATCTTTGTAGACATTAAGATATACAGCTTTCTATTCCTTAGCCAAAATAAGTGTCTGGCAAGAAGACATTAAAAAACGTTTTCTTTATAAAACAACTTACCAAAAACAGTTTACCCTTTCTTGTGAATAATCGAATTGTACAGCTGAACATTCTGTTAGGTCTAGGATCCGAATTGGTTCTGGTGACTAAATAAAATAAAAAGCAACGTATGTCACCATTAAAAAAAAAAAAAAAAACAGACAAATCTGTCCCTCACTTATTCCCCTCACAAGTTTTCCACTATGTGCAATTGTCATATTTCCTTTCACTAACAGGACTGACAATAGAAAAGCCCTACCAAGGGAAGTCCTTGGTTTTGGAATGAGCCTTTCATAAAACTGGGCATTAAGTTACTACCTTTATCAACTTACTGATGAAGATGGATTTTAACACATGGAAGAGAGGTATATTTTTCTCTCATTTTTTAAAACTTCTACTTTCTTAGAAATGTTATATAAGAAAAGTGAGAAAAAATAATTTTAAATTGGCTTAATGAAATGGGCATGGGAAATGGAGAAACTGTATTTTTAATAAAGGGACAAATTGCTGCAAAGAGACAGTTAATAAATTGTGGCAAGAGAATAATTACATTGTCCTAAACAGAGGGAATTACGTGCCCTGGGGAACTATGGTTTAGCCAATCCAAGAAAGCAATTTCTGGGACATACATCTCATCTTTGCAAAATAACTCTGCTCATTTCAGGAATCAAGAATTCATATCTCCAATCATTTATTAGGTATTTCAGGTGGATATAAAAATAATTTCAGAGATTTTAAAGACCTAAGTTTCTTTCATCTAGAGAATTGATTTTTAAAGGAAAAATATATTATCATGTTTCTCACCATCTGGTCTTTGAAGTATTTCAGTTCATTCCTGTGCAGAGTAAACCATCTTGTTTTCCAGGTCTGAGAAAAACACACACACACACAAACACACAGACACACAAAGTTTTGAATACAGGAATGTAATATTTGAACCAGATGATTTACTTTCATTTTAAAAGTATCTAAAAAATTAAATACTATAACCCTGAAAAAATTCTTTTGTGTCATTTCTGAGAAAAAAGTTTCAAAATATCTATAAAAATTAAAATAATTTCATGCATTAAGCTCAAAAAATTCTTTTGTGTCATTTCTGAGAAAAAAGTTTCAAAATATCTATAAAAATTAATTTCATGCATTAAGCTCATAATGAAGGCAGATATATCATTAGTATATTTTTAAATACAAAAAGAATTAGTCTATCATAAATATTCAATGTGACTTATAACAAACCACTACAATTTCCATTTTATTAACTCTATAATAAAGATAAATATTGTTCTTTGAGTACCTAATATGGACGATATACTATCATTGGAGGCTTTATATATTATATCCAATCCTCACACAACAATGCCAGTATTATTATTCTTGTCTTACAAACAACAAAACTGAGGTTTAGGAACCCTGACTCACATGATATTCTAAACCTTGCCTAAGAACTCCAAGGTATCAGTGGTAAAAACCATCATTGCCCGCTGTTACCTTCTTATATACAAACAGCATCCTACTCTATCCTGGGTGTCAATGTGCCCAGTTAAAAGAAGTAACAGAGGATTTAAACATAAATATGCTATGAATATGAATACTCTCTGTCCTCAGGGAGCATTCGATCTAGAAGGGACACAAATAATGAAATTATTTAGGCTAATTCCAAGCATGTCAGTGTCTGTGAGAGGTTAAATACCGTGACTCTTAAAACGAGAAGGAGCAGACACATTCCATGAAGGTCTTCTTGGCACATTGAGATGAAACAAAGGAATTCTAAAGATACAGTCTCATAAATGGGGAACATTTGGATACTCTGAACTTGTAAGAGCTTAAATTGTGTTTTTCTTTGGATTTTATAACATAGTTTCAGTAGCATCAGTGATGTTTTTGGCCTATCCTTAAAGAAACATTTTATACAATTTTGACTTCTTCCTTGTTTTAGAAGAAGAACGAAAGATGTTCTAGAGTAAACTTGCTATCTTCATCCTCAATCATTCCATTATGAGGACTATGTTTTATTGACTTTTAACTGCAGGCTACACCTATGCAGGGCTTTGTCAAAGAACAGTCAAGTCATTTTCCAGAATTTTGACTAATGAGCCATAAAAATGAACTCTTGAGTCAGGTGAATATTACAAATGGGTTAAAATGAGCAGGCAATTATGCTTCCAAGAAAAACTATCAAGATGAGAATTGAGTCTACATGACGTGTTCTCTTTTTTCTGTGGCTGGCATGAGCAAAACCACACTTCCTTACCTTGACCAGGCCTCCCTGTTTGGTGAGGTAACCTTCTTTGGTGCCCAGCTGAAAAAGAAAAGCACTGAGTGAAGACCAGAACTGTCACAACAGGACGTTTGTCCTTCCTTTCATGTCCTATTTTTAAATGAAGAATGTTTGCTTTTGATCTTTAAATTACTGTCTATCATTTTTCACCTAGGCACTTGAAAAGCTTCCATGTGTTGTGAGAGATTGTTTTCAGACTGGATCTACTGGCATCATTCTGTAGCTCCTAACTCCAGTTAGCAATTTGCAAACAATAAACGACATCATTTCACTTATAAAAGTCTGTGTTTGTCAAGGTGTGTCATGTGAAATCCAGCTGTTTGGATTGTTACAGGGTTATTAGCACATAAACACGCACACATCTACTGTCAATACGTTTGGGAGACTGGATTAAGAAAACTAAAAGGATGTTTTTACTTCAGGGCTTCCCAGAGTCTGTATTATGCTAATATACTTTGTAAATTTTTAAGAGGGAACCTTAGAAATAGCATTTTTACTATTTATTTTATCACATAATCCTCCTCCCCACCCCCACACTCTCTTGAGATCCATGTTCCAAAAAACAGACTGTCAGGAGCGTAGATTTATTTACACCTGATTTACCCAAAATGAATCTGAAATAAGAATGAGCCAGTTCTTTTAACTCATGTTGTCATTAATTCAAACGTAAAAATAATAGCACACACTTAGCTAACACCTACGAAATATAAGGGTGGAGAATTGTGTGAACAGAAATTTGCATAAGACAAGTAGCTTAACATCAAGAAATTTATCATTTCATAAATTCCACAAGAAATTCAATTCGTGGTAGAATATTTTGTTCAAATGTGATGTCATCATATGTCTTAGTAAGAAACAAAATTAACAAAAATTGGGAAGTGATTTGGTTGACACCAAGGTTCTTTCTATGGTAATTTCCAGAATATTTTTTTCCAAGGTGAATTTTCCCAACCAAATAAAAAGAGGAACAACCATCTCTACCACAATAAAAAGAGTTAAAGCAGGAAATAAGCAAACACTTCTTTTAAAATCTTATGATATAAAAGTAAGGATAAACTAACCAAATGTTCACTTAAATAATATTAATCAATATTGGTGAATTTGATATCTCATAATTGGTGTGATTTATTTTAACATTAAATAAATTGAATTGACTCAGTTGAATTCAGGTGTTATAGGAATGGCAAAAAGTAATTATTTTGGGCTGTTGCAGGTTAAAATCTGTAGAGGCAAAATAACTAGGAGTAAATTGTTGTATAAAAGATCCTGATAGAATTATTTACTAAAATCAAGCTAGGGAATAATCCCATCTTACCTCCACCCAAACAATGTACTATAAGTGTAGTATTCTTCTAAGGTTTTGATAGGTAAGCCAAAGGCTGCATGGGAAAGCAATGAGACTATTAATTTTATTCAGGGTCTCCAGATGTAAGAAAGTAAATAATTATAGAGCACATTTATCTTTAAAAATCTATGAACTGTAACAGAAAAGCTGTTTATAAGAGCCCCCATTGGGGTACCATCTAAATGTTCAAAAACAAAGGACTGTCCTTCCTGCCATCCTACTACCTACTTGCCTGCCAGCCTTAAATGAAGTCAGTAGCCAACACAGTTCAGGTGAAGCAAGGCAGGCATTGATGTGTGTGTGGAGGGCTTTCAAGCACCTTAGTACAGGGTGGTGGAGCCCAAGTAGGGCACAGGGAGCCTCTGTGTGGACACTGGCAGTGACAGTGGCAGCAGCAGCTGTGTGCGAGGCATTGAAGCCTGGCAGGGTGTGGAGGGCTTCTGCCTGAAGGGGTGGAGGTGGCAGCTACTGCACAGTTTCAGAGCCAAGTTGGGCTAGGTGGACATCTGTAGTGAGGGTGGGAGCAGCAGTGGCCTGGAACTGAGCATTGAAGCATGACTGGGTGGTTGGAGTGTCGGGGTAAGGGTTGAGTAGTAGAAACAGCAATGGGAGATTGCTTATATTCAATTGATCACCACATAAGTGTACTGAGGATGATAAGATCCATATTTTCTCACTGTGGGAGAAGGGAAAACACTAGAATGAACTTTGTGGTATTGGAAGCATTGTTGTGAACTCATGGATCGATGAATGAATCGACAGATAAATACAGATGTAAAAGTATATATGTGTACATATGTATATACATACATATTTTCCCAGCTCTGCTCACTGAGTGGGCTGGGAGAGTGACATCCTGATAACAATAAGCACATAGTACCTAGATGTCGATTTCTAGAGTACTATTCTGTGGAAAAAGAGCAGAGTTTCTTGGAGAAATAGCTGGTTCTAGAGCTGGGTACAAAGAAAGAACAAGATAAGTCTGGATCATCTTGCTATTCAGAAAGTAAGAAAGTTCTTAAAAGAATTTTGAGGCCAGGCCAGGCACGGAGGCTCACAACTATAATCCCAGCACTTTGGGAGGCTGAAGCATGAGCATTGCTTGCACCCAGGAGTTCGATACCAGCCTGGTTAAAATGGTGAAACCTTGACTCTACAAAAAAAAATAAAAAAATGAAAATACAAATATTAGCCAGGAGTGGTGGTACACACCTGTAGTCCCTGCTACTCAGGAGGCTGAGGAGGGAGAGTCACCTGAACCCAGGAGGTCGAGGCTTCATGAGCCGTGATCACACCACTGCACTCCAGCTTGGGAGACAGAGTGACGGAGTGACACACTGTCTCCAAAAAAAAAAAATTTTTTTTGAGGTCATATGAACACAGACACCACTTGAAAGGGCTCTTTCCCCGACTGGCCAAATCAGGGAAATTTTGAAGGATCAAAATAAATAATGATAGTCATGATTATAACCATTTGATATAAAAATGATTGAAAATTTTGAAGAATAAAAAGCTTTTCCTTACAGTAGAATGACAACCAATGAATGTAAAAAGGAATAAGAAAATCAGAGAGTCATCGTTTGGTAACAATCATAGTAATGATTAAAACAGCCAAGACACATCAGTAAATGCTAAAATTGGCAAGTAAAAATTTAATAAGTAACAGAATATTCTTATAGTCTCAAATAACCTCACCCCAAACATTTTTTAATAACAAAGGGAATATGGTGACTTTAGAGTGAAGAAACCTGGCAGACACCACTTAAGTAATCAAACACACCATTATGAGACAGATTGCAATTGTGTTCCATCTGAGAAGACACAGTGAGAAGCACAAACAAAGCATCACTTTTGTGGTATTTGTAGCCAACATGAAAAAACCTGTATCTAATCATGATTCAATATCATATAAACCAAAGTTGGGAAACTATTTACAAAATAACTGGTCTTTAATTTCAGATGTGTCAAAGTCACGAAATTAAGGAAAAACTGAGGAAGTGTTCCAAAGTGAAGAATCTTCCAGAGACAGGACAGATAAGTGCAACTTGTGCTTGAGGACTGGATCTTTTACTCTGACGGAACTTACTGAGAAAACTAGTGAAGCTTGAATGAGATCTGTGGATGAAACAGTGGCACAGCCTCAATGTTAATTTTCTAGTTTGGAAGGCTCTATCTGGTCACGCAGGCAAATGCCCTTATTTTTGGAAATACACACTGAAATATTCAGGGTGATGGGGCATCATGTAGGCAATTTACTATCAAACGACTTGGGGAAAACCAAGTTCTGTGTACTATTCTAGCAATTATTCTGTAACTTTGACATTATTTCAAATAAAAAAGCATGTTAAAACATAATAGTGGATTAACTGAATAAATTGATATACTCAAATAATGGAATATTATGGAATTTGTTTAATGGTGTTCCAGAAAACTAAGTAATTACATGAAAAAAATTTTAAATATATAGTTAATTAAACAAGAATATTACAACTCTACAATGAAGAGCTCATTATTTTATGTGTGTGTGTGTGTGTGTGTGTGTGTGTGTGTGTATATACATACATATACTTTTTTTTTTCAAGTAAAAGACTGAAAGGATAAGCAACAAAATGTTAAACCTGAGAAGAGTTTCAAAAACAAAATACTGGAAAAGGGCAACGTGCAAGGAAAGTATCCAAGAAGAGGAACTATAAAATGTGTCAAAGATTACGGAATAAAGACAGAAAGATGTTGCCAAAGCTAAGGAAACAGAATTTTTAGAAGGAGGGAGTTGTTAAAAACGTCAAATACCACAAAAGGGAAGCTAAGGAAACTAACATTTTAGATAGGACCTATTATGTCAGGAACTTGAACTATATTAATCTCAATCTCTACCAAGACAACTAATTGGTATTTCTCATTTAACATGTCCAAAATAGAGCTCTTCTTTCTCATCCCCTCAACCCACCCCTCCTGCAGAGTTAGCCTTCTCAGTAAATAGCAGGGCTTCTCTGCCATGACTCTGCTACTCTTTCTTTCGTGTATCACATTCAATCCATCTGCAAGAATTTTTTTAAACAAGCTCAGAAGGTAAAGAATTCTCATGTTATGTACAAAAGGTACTACTGAGATTTTGGGCAAGATAATTCTCTACCACTCTTTGAAGAATAGTTAGCCCCTGATCACTGTTGGGAAATAATCTCCACGGGTCTCTTGTCAAGGTTCCAAATGTCTTATGAGCAAGGCATTAACAGTTCTTTGCTGCAGACTGATATTTAAAGTATGCTTATACAAGCAGCCTTGGAATAAAGAAATATTTCCCTTCAGAACAAAAGACATGTCTACTGATCATTAGAAAAGATTTGGGTTCCCAAGGCTCAGGGTTCCTCTCCTGTAGGGCAACCCATTGTGGATATCACCTGGCCCTTTCAATATTGCCCTTTGGGAACTTCGGCTCAGCACAGGGAATTAGCATAAATACTGATATCCTGGCTGTTGCTCTTCCTGTGAATAGCAAACTATTTTTCAACGCTTACCCAGAAGTCTTGTGTCATCCATCAGCATACATGAAACTGCAGCAGGCTAACTTGTTAGCTTGCAAGCAGAGTAAAGTCAGACTCTTCATGGCTCTTGACACTCACGCATGATAGTAGTGCCGCAAAGCAATGCACCAACAGAAACACTCATATTTCTAAATGCTCAGCTGGGAGGTGCTGCTCTTTGAAAACTCCATTGCCTTATGTGATCTGACCCCTCATTACCTCAATAATCTCACCTTCTACAACTTTTCCTCTAGCTCACTTCATCCCGTAATTCTGACCTTCCTAGCCTTTGAAGCACCTCAATTTTGTTTCCACTCCAGGGCCTTTGTACTGTTTCCTCTGCCTGCAGCACTCTTTCCACATCTTGACATGAGTCACTCCTTCCCTTCAGTGAAATCTCTTACTAATGGTTCCTCCTCACAGAGGCCTCCCTTGCTTCCCTCTTCTCCCCTTATCCTACTTTTTCTTTTCATGATGTATTACTGTCTGGTATCAGATTACTGCATTGATTATTGTCTGTGATCTTCACTAGAATGTGAGCTCAGTGAGGGGAGGAGGACCTTTGTCAAAATTACTGCCAAACTCCCAGTGCTTAAAACAGTTCTGAGTGTATTGGAAGCACTTTAAAAAAAAAAAGTTTGTTTAATAAATGAATTAATTAAATTTAATCCTATCATGGGAACTCAATGCTATGTTGTTTATAAGACATAAATAGCAATTTCCCCAAATGCAGTTACTAAAAGATGTTAAACAGTTATACACAGTCATCTGCATTTCTGGGCAGTGGGGCATCTTTCACTTTCGCTTCAAACAAGAAGTTCTTTTAATTCTCTTCCTCCACTGCTAGACCTTGAGCAAGAACTACACCCCAAAAAGAAAATGCAGAAGTTTGAAAACCCTCAGGGCTCTCAGGCTGGAGATGGAGGTGCAGCATCATGTAGCCATTTGGGGTAGCAAATGAAGGCTTAGAACTTGTGTTCAATAAGGGACAAGAGCATTCTGATCAGACCAGAACTCTTTCCCCAGCAGCTATACTGGTCCAGTCACCAATGATTCCCCAATGAGAAGTAATGAGAAACATTTCAGATCCTCTAGGAAACCTTTACATTTTTTTTGTCCATAGTGATGTACAATCAACTTCATAAGCTTGTCATTATATAGTGTGAGTTCAAGTCATTGTCAACCAATCACTCACCACTATTTTAAAAACTCCATTTTAAAAGAGGTGAATCCATCTGATAGCTGGAGTGAGAAAAGAAGGTAAGTAACAAGGTTTCCAGAATGTGCTTTAAAGAGGTTTATTTCTGCATAAGGATACTATATCTTCTGCTCACACCAATCTCACAAATTAGGTATTATCTGCATTTTATTGCCGATAAAGAACACGCTTAATAGGACATGGTTTGTTTGACCTTGAGTGGAGATCTTTAGGGGAAGTGTAGCAGAGGAGAATGTGAAGTTAAACTAACAGGGCAAATGAAAGAGATGTTGAAGTGACTGGTGATCTATATTAAGGGTAAGGGTGGGTAAAGAGGAAATTATGAAGGGACTGGACAACTGGAAAACAAGAATTGGTTGCAGAGTAGATCTTGATTTGTTCTTTGGTCTTTTCTGCCTTTGGACTATTTATTGTCTTGCACTCCTAAATTTCTCAAGTTCTGAGTTCTTGATGCCTTCTCCCCCACTTCTAACAAAGCCAAAATAACTTTCTCAGTCAATTTTCAGGATTTTTATTTCTGAGGAGATGTAGCACTGCAATGAATATGTAAGATGTGCCATGAGCCAGGCTAGGCTGTAAAGCTGCAAGGACAAGCAATGATTCATGTACTTAGATGTTTCTGGCTGGTGGGGAGGGCAGAGAGATGTGAAGGTAATTAGCCCACAGCATGGTAATTTTAGAATAAAGGCAAACAGAGGGTGCTCTGGAGCACAGAAGAGGAGCATTGTAAAAGAAGCTAGTGGGGGTGAAGAAAGGCTTCCTGGAAGATAATGATCCGTGATACCAGTCTTGAGGGATGAGTAGATAGCAATGGTGTTGGCAGCATTTCAGATGTAGGGAGAGGAGAAAGAGCACAATGTTGAGAGAGACAGGTTTCACAGTGTGAGTGTGGGAGTAGCATGAGATGAAGACAGAGAGGCAAGCAGGGTCCAGGTGGGCCATGAACACAAAAGGCATCACCAAAGGATGTAAAGCAGAGGTCATGTGGCAAGCCTTCTTTTTAAGAAAGATCTCTCTGGTCAAGGGTAGAGAAAAGTACTGCAGATATAGAAAGTTACACTTATTTTAATATAATTTGTAGCTGAATATCTTCAAGTGATTATTTTTCAAGTGTCATGATTACTATCCAGAATTAGTTCTTGATATTTATTTGGGTATTATCTTCTTTATCATCTGCCCAAATAGAGGTTTCTTATACCAGGAGTATTCAGCAAACAAGGAAGAGACAACAAATAGAAGGGCCTTCAGAATAATGAAGGGAAAAGGGTGTTGGAGAGGAACCTCTGCAGAGTCACAGTTCACAGAACAAACATAAATGGACTCTTGGACAAACAATGAGTGCTCCAATTGCACTGAAATTGAACAATGGCTCACGTTGCAAAGAAGCACAAGTGTTTTCTGTCTGTAAACTTCAGTCAGTAAAGGAAAAAAAGCTAGAAAAAATAATACCCTGAGTTTTTATAGTAAAGGTGGAGAATATTTGTCTTCCATAGATAGTTGAAATATTTAAAAAAATATATTTTCTTAATATAAGAAAATTGTAGGAGAAAACAGTTTAGAAAACTATGTGAATGCAAACTTCTCTTTTCCATTCTACTTTGAAGTTGTTTGGTTAACTAAGGACAGAGATTTAAGTTCCATTTTCGAAGTATTTAAAATCCTATTACTATTGCATTGCTTTCATTTGTTCGTTTTGAGACAAGGTCTCACTCTGTAACCCAGACTGGAGTGCAGTGGCACAATCACAGCTCACTGCAGCCTCAACCTCCTTGACTCAAGTAATCCTTCCACCTTAGCCTCCTGAGTAGCTGGGACTACAGGTGCATGCCACCATGCCCAGCTAATATTTTTTAAAGTTTGTTGTAGAGATGTTTATGTTGCCCAGGCTGGTCTCCAACTCCTGGGCTCAAGCAATTCTCTTACCTTGGCCTCCCAAAATGTTGGGATTACAGGCATGAACCACCATGTCTGGCTGCATTGTAATTTTTATGATCTACCCAGGACCAGATGAACTGAGTCATAGGCTTCAAATCTCACATTCCTTTCCAAGTTTTATATTCCAAGCTAGAATTTTTATGTGAACAAATACACTCTTATTAACTTTTATTGAACTTGATTGATTTTAGACAGGGAGAGAGCTTGTGGTCACGTTGAAGGTCACTTACAGAAGGTGCTGTGGGCACAAGGTCATCTTCTGTTCTTCCTGTCTGCATTGCTGTGTGAACCCGGACAGATTCATAAATGGAGGGTTCTTCCACTTTTCTTGGGTAGGGATGTTTTAGAACCATCAGAGTGCCTGAATGAAGATGAAAAATATATAATCGAACAGTGTTCCCAGAAGGAAGGTCCAAATGCTAACTGGATAACTGTGGCTGGATTGGAAAGTCTTTTGTTTTTTTCATGTATTCCCTCGCTCATTATCTCAACAGTTATCAAATACCAATTAGGTATAAGGCACTTAAGCTGGACACTGAGATATAAAGCATGATGGAGATGTTCCTTGGCCTCCTGGTGCTCAGAACTGGTAACAGATATGGTCGTTTAAATGAACAGGGTGATGAGACCAATGGCAGCCGTGTGAGCAAAGCATGATAATCATCCCCAGACTGCTTGAAGAACCTTTCCATGAAAGGATTCAGGACAGCTTTCATAAAGGAGGTGACATTTGATTTAGATCTTAAGTAGTAACTGGAAGTTTTCCAGGAAGGCTTTATGAAAGCCATGAGAACAAGACTAAACAAAAGCACTAGGGTAGAGGAAGATCCATTCCATTGCCCTTATTTCCTATCAATCAGTTTCCGAATAAACGTGTAACAAATTAGTGGATTTCAAAAAAGTGAGCATTCTCCCTACTCTCTGATACTACCCAATTAATGAAAGTAACCAAGCAAAGTCTTTGCATTACTAAGTGAACATGACCTGAACAAGCTGGTGCTCACAAGTGATTGCCTCCTTCCCCTTCCATCTGGAGAGGGGAGCCTCCAGGCAGAAAAAGGGCTCAGCCCAGGGGGTCCAGGCATGGGGGGCTGGGGAACTTTGTTCCAAGGGCTCAGAGCAGTTCTGAGTCTATGTTTCTGACATTTCCTTCTTGAAATCCTTCCCTCAATCAATCAGTCAATCAGAAACTAGAAACTAACTACAAAAAGAGGCAACTTAAGGGGATTTTTTTTCTTCTTGCTATGGTTTCTTGCTTTTAATTTTACTAGGGTCTTTTCTATAGCAAGCCTAAGATTGTACCAGACATGGAAGAGATGTAAAGAATTCAGCAATTCATTCAACGAATATTTACAGAGCTTTGCACTCTGCCAGGCACTTGTCTAGGTACTGGGAATGCAATAGCACACAAAGGAGTTTAAATGCTCTTATCGAGCTTATGTTCTAGGTAGAGGAGACAGAAAAAAAATTTAAAAAATATTTTATGTGTGAGAAGTGTTATGGAAAAAATGAATAGGGCATGGTAAAGGGATAGAGAATAGAAAAGGTAGGGTTGGGAGAGGGTGATATTTTACAAGGGTCATCAGGAAGGGCGTCTTTGAAAAGATTTGAAAGATCTGGAGAGTATAGAACCTGAATTAGAGTAAGAGTGAGAAAATGAAAAAGAAAAATGTCTCCTCTGTGGTTAAAAAACACCCTAATGTTAATGATAAATCTACACAAAACAGGCCGGGCACAGTGGCTCACATCTGTAATCCCAGCACTTTGGAAGGCTGAGGTGGGTGGATCATGAGGTCAGGAGATCGAGAGCATCCTGGCCAACATAGTGAAACCCCATCTCTACTAAAATACAAAATAAAAACAAAAATAAATTAGCCGAGCGTGGTGGCAGGCACCTGTAGTCTCAGCTACTCGGGAGGCTGAGGCAGGGAAATTGCTTGAACCCGGGAGGCGGGGGTTGCGGTGAGCCGAGATCGCACCACTGCACTCCAGCCTGAGTGACAGAGTGAGACTCTGTCTCAAAAAAAAAAAAAAAAAAAAAAAACTACACAAAACAAAACCTGTCTATGATACTTGAATACATACAATGTCTGACTGCAAAAACAGAACTGTGGCTTTTGATACTTGGGCCCAGATAAGGTGCTGCTGTAAAATGAAAAGCTGTTGAGAAAAGCCAGAAGAGGGTGTCTGATCTCGACCTCAGAGAAGAATGAAAGCCTCTGGCCCTTCCTCTTTCTGTCTCTCATTGGCATTGCAGCATTGGGATCACAATGAAAAACAGATTTTGCCATTATCAGAACCGTCCCATTCTTGCACATTGTGCTCTCTTTTGTCAATGTGATCTTCCCATAAGAACAGATCCAGTCATATGAGGAGAAGGGGCCGGCTACAGTTTTACAGTCAGAATGAAAGCAGCAGTACCTATATCAAGAGTAGCTGCTGTGCAGGCTCAGGGGCTCTGTGAACACAGTGCTCACATTGTAGATGCATGGTAAATTCAGCGCTGGCTCCCAACCCTAAGAAACACTCCCAGTGATGTGCTTCATAGTCACTCTGGACCCTTGGAAAGAGCACTGGATGCACAGGCAGAGGAACAGGGTTCAATTGTCACTACCGCCATTCAGTACTTATCGGCCTTGGACAACCATTACAAGCTTCTGCTCCTTACTAGTGAGAATAATTATGCTTCCTTCAGAAGGCACCAAATAAATGTTTGTGGGAGAATGATAACATATTAGATATTATTATTCTTTGACAGAATATTTTTAAATCCTTAAATAAAATTTGAATGATTGCATCTTTGGGGACATGGATTTTGAAATCTTAAAAAAGACCTAGACGCAACATTCTGCTAGGAATAAAAATGGTGGTAGTCTAGTAATCACTACTTGTGATTAACTATAGTTAAATTGGTGCCTCTCAAACACTTTCACCTTACAGAAGAGGAGAGGGGAACTGAAGCCTAGGGATCAAAGCAGCTCCCAAATTAGATACATTTTGAACTCTTATACTTTATCTTCAAAGTTGATGCTTAATTTTCATTCTACTTCATATATTTAATACTTAATATGAAAATAATGCTTTAAATGACACTCCAGAAAGATGTACTTAGTTGATACGACCAGGCACACACTTCACATAATAATACCTGTGTTAATTTTTTTTTTTTGAGGCGGAGTCTTGCTCTGTCACCCAGGCTGGAGTGCAATGTCACGATCTCAGCTCACTGCAACGTCTGCCTCCCAGGTTCAAGCGATTCTCCTGCCTCTGCCTCCCAAGTAGCTGGGAATACAGGCATCCACCACCACACCGGGCCAATTTTCGTATTTTCAGTAGAGACGGGGTTTCGTCATGTTGGCCAGACTGGTCTCGAACTCGTGACCTCAGGTGATCCACCCGCCTCGGCCTCCCAAAGTGTTGGGATTACAGGCGTGAGCCACTGTGCCTGGCCTAATTTTTTATTGCTATTGTAGCAAATTGCCACAAACATAACAGCTTAAAACAACTCAGATTTATCATCTTACAATTCTGGAAGTCAGAAGTTCGAAATGGGTCTCACTAGTCTAAAACTGGCAAGGCTGCTTTCCTAGTGGAGGCTCTAGGGAGGATTCATTCCTTTGCATTTTCCAGCTTTCAGAGGTGCCCTCATGTCTTGACTTGTGGCCATTTTCCTCTGTCTTCAAAGCCAGTAACAGCCAGTCAGATCCTTCTCCTGCTGCCATCTTTCTGGTTCTCTCCCTTCTGGCTCCCTACTACTTATGAGGACCCTGTCAATTACAGTGGTCTTACTTAGACCATCTAGGATAATCTCCCCACCCCAAAGTTATTTGATCAGCTGCCTTAATTCCATCTGCAAACTTAATTCCCTCTTGCCATGTAACAATATATTCACAGGTCCAGGGAGACATGTGGACGTCCTGTGGGGGCATTATCCTCCTACCACAGTATCAGTCCCTGGAGGAGAAATAGCCACCGGGGCCAGTTGCGCTGCAGGGTAAGGATCTCTGGGCTGGGCTGCTGCCTGAGCCTGCAGTGCTGTCACCTCTTGGTATTAGACAGCCACTGCCTTTCCAACGTGTGCATTTCCAACCTCTGTGAGCCTCTTCAGCGCACCTATCAGTCAAATTTATCTTTGTATCCCTACCACTTGATAGAGTTTCTGACATAATGAAGGCAGATGAGTGAATGAATTAATGAATGAATGCTACAGTAATGCAGGCTTGAACCAAGAAAGAACCTGGGATGAACCAGCCTCCCAGGTCCACAATTCTCCAGGCCTGAGGCAAGAAAGGACAATAACCGCAGGCATAACTTTTCAAATCTCTGTTGGAGGAACCCAAATTCTATTTTGAAAACCTCCTCTAAAGTTTAATTCAACAAAAGTAAAACAAAGGAAAATGGCATTGAGTCAACCAAGAGAGTAAAACTGACTGTAGATTGATTTTAACTAGTAACCCCACAAATGAGGCTAAACTAAATTGTGAGATGAAGATGACAAAGTACTTATAAAACGGCAACTTATACTGATAAAAATCTGGTGTCCTAAAAGACAGTTCTCCTTAGATGACTATTCTTGCCCAAGGAAGAGCCAATATACAGACTTCTTGGCATGGCTGTGAGGCTTAATGATTTCCCCTTCTGCAGAGATTGTACCTCCCAGTATACAGAGATAGGTTCCCTATAACCATGTTATACCTCCAGACCTGGCCCGGCCCTCGAATACCTGACCTGGTCACACTAATTGGATTCACTTCTTGGGGATCCACTTAATTGCTTCTCTAGAGAGAAGGTCCACCAACTCAATTTCTGAACTACATGAAGTAGACTATTGTTTCCTGCCTTTGACATGAAACCTGGTTTCAGAAAGGCTGAGCGGAGGTACACTTCTGAGACGATCAGAGATGAATCAAGACAGACACATCAATTGACTGAAAGCCTCAGACTTGCCATGATTACTAAGCAGATTCCTTGTTGTCTCTTGGTTGTTCAACTTGCCCTTAAATTCTGGGAGGGTATATTGTTAATATCCTTTTAAAAAATTCTGCTCCTGGGCAGGGCGCGGTGGCCCATGCCTGTAATCCCAGCACTTTGGGAGGCCGAGGCATACGGATCACAAGGTCAGGAGATGGAGACCATCCTGGCTAACACGGTGAAACCCCGTCTTTACTAAAAAAAATACAAAAATTAGCCAGGCGTGGTGGCATGCGTCTGTAGTCCCAGCTACTTGGGAGGCTGAAGCAGGAGAATCCCTTTAACCCGGGAGGCGGAGGTTGCAGTGAGCCGAGATCGTGCCACTGCACTCCAGCCTGGGCAACAGAGTGAGACCCCATCACAAAAAAAAAAAAAAATTCTGCTCCTGTTCCCTGTTCTTGTACCCTACTCACTTAAAAACAAAATCAAAAACAAGACCAAAAAAACCCAGCTAGCCAGAGCTGGTTTCTGTCATTTCCAATCAAAAGAAACTTATCAGCCGGGCGCGGTGGCTCATGCCTGTAATCCCAGCACTTTTGGAGGCCGAGGGGGCGGATCATGAGGTCAGGAGATCAAGACCATCCTGGCCAACATGATGAAACCCCGTCTCTACTACAAATACAAAAATTAGCCGGGCATGGTGGCGCATGCCTGTAATCCCAGCTACTCGGGAGGCTGAGACAGGAGAATCGCTTGAACCAGGGAGTCAGAGGTTGCAGTGAGCCGAGATGGCGCCACTGTACTCCAGCCTGGCAACAGAGTGAGACTCTGTCTCAAAACAAACAAACAAACAAACAAACAAACAAACTTATCTACTGTCGCTACCACAGACTCTTAATACTTTGCCTCCAAGGTCCAAGTTAGTGCCTCAGCTCGGGAAGAAAGGGACCCTGGGTTACTGAGATTCAGACCAAATGAACTCCAGGACTCAGCTGGGAGATTTAGAAAAAGGCAACAGGAGGCAGGGGTAGCAGAGCAAGAAGAATGAGGAAGACCAGTAACCACAGGCCTTGGAAACTTGGCTATAAGTTTCACTTCAGTTTCTGAACTACGTAAAGGTGACTATTGTTTCCTGCCTTTGACATGAAACCTGGTTTCAGCCATGCTTAGCGGAGGTATGTTTTTGAGATGATCAGAGCTGGACCAAGGCAGGCATTTCCATTTACTTTGACTGAATGGTAACTTACAGTTATGTGTAAGAGTTACATATATAACTGTATGCAATAATATGAAATTGCATTGAAGGACCCTTTATCTTGTATTCCAGCAGGAACTCAGAAAGAGAGTAAGAACAGTCTCAATTCTTAGGCATTGGTTTGGTATCTGAAATAGAGTGTAGCACAGGGTACACAAAACTCCTAAAGAAAAACTTTTGTTTAGAGTATTTATTTTATGCAGTGAGGTCAGTGCTTATTCATCAGGTACCCCAGCTAGCCTGTAAGGTGTTTGAAGGCAAGAATAATATCTGATTTATCTTTCTATGTTATCAGTGGCTCACAGGGCCATTTCACTCAAAACATTTTGTTGAATTAAATTAAAATCAGATCATGTCCATCCGTGTTTCATTACTGCCCTCAGGTTCAGAAAATAAGCTCTGCAACTGGCATAATGAGTTCCTCTCTCCCCTCCTTCCAATGAGAAGTAGATTTCTTGGGGTTGGTGGGAGAGAATAGGGTTATTCAAGATCTTTTTCCTTCCTTCTTTGCCACCTGCTCTGCAAATGGACTTTAAGCCTTGTTCATTTACATGTGAAGGGGTTTTAATATTTAATTTCCAGTCTCATAGGGTGAAGTGCACTGAACTAGGAGAGACATACCAGTTAGTCAGTGTAGGAGAAAATTCTGTTCAAATATCCAAGTCAAGTCACTATTTTTGGAGTGCTCACTTGATTCTACCACTTATATGAGTCCACTATGGAACTAGATTAAAGTTTGAAGAGGACATCACAAACATTTGATAAATGCAAATTCAATTGTCCCTAAACTAATTCTTTATTATTTATCAAAGAACGTACAGCTTTTGCATAGAATCTGATGGAATTAATAACCATAAAAGCATTTTATTAAATATGAATAATAATTATTGAATACTTATACTATGCTAAGAATCATTCCAAATGTCCTATGTGCCTAATTTCATTCAATCTTCACAATAAGTCATTAAAGTATGAGCTACTACCATCTAATCAGTTTCATAAGATGATGAAACTGAAGCTCAGAGAGATTATTTAACTTACCTGAGGAGACACACAGAGCCGGCAAATGGCAGAGGCTGGAGTTGAAACTTAGAATTTGTGTGTTTACTCATTATACCATAATTATTCTCAGCCTCAATCTAGTCACCATGGAAACTTCTAGGGCATGTGAAATACTGTGCTGTATTGTGGGCAAGAGTTGACATGTATAAATCAAAGTTTGAAGAAATTGATTCTTTAGGAGGCAGCTTGAGAAAGGAGATGTGAGTTTTTGCTTCCCCATTTCTAACCAGGCCTCAGTTTCTTCATTTATAAAGGAAAAATGCAATAGTCCCTGAGCTCCCTTTCAATTCTAACATCCTGTAAATCTAACTAAGCATACAGGCCCAAATAAGGGGAAAAAAACATCGAGAAGCTTCATTACCAAATGCTTGTACTGCTTCCTGTAAATGTACAATATTCATTTGAAATACTTTGTTCCTGCTGTCATTTGATCTTACCTCTCATTTTCCCTTTCTTTCAGTTTCTCTCTCAAGCTGTAAATTTTATTTTACTTTGTTATACTTAGACAGGCTGTTTGATATCCTTGCTGAAGACACATGACTAAGATGAGCCTGTATATTTAGGGGGATGTTTTCTTTTCAGCCTTTTTATGTTTTAAAGTTTCCTCTGGTATAATTTCTGAAATAGCAATTCATGTAAATAAAATGGGAATAACAATAAATACAAAGGCAGAAGTTAAAGTTGATTCACACTCTTTAGAACAATAGGTTTACTTCATGTACCAAACATGTTATTGTAGACTTTAAAGAAGAGATAAAGAAGAGACTGAGGGATAGGACTAAGACATGTGTTACAGCCCTGCCATATCCTACAATCATTCTACTACATTATTGTAGCAGAAATTCTTCCAAATTTATTAAAGGCCATGCTGTGCCATGGCAGCAATGTATTGCAGTGTCGCTGTAGGACCAATTTCAAGAGATAGCAAGGTGCCTGGAAAGCATCTATGCTTCAGGACCAGGTTAGCCCAGATTCCAATCTCAGCTCTGAGTTCTTCCAAATCCATTTAAGGCCACACTGTACCATGGCAACAATGTACTGTTATTGTGGGACCAGTTTCAAAAGATAGCAAGGTGCATGGAAAGCATCTATGCTTTAGAACCAGATTAGCCCAGATTCCAATCTCAGCCCTGATGTTTACCAGCAGTGAAAACTTGGGCAAGTGACTTAAAACCTCTGAGTTTTCCTTTCCTCATCTGAAAATAGGACCGTTGTATGCATTATTGTGGGTGGCTGAGATGAAATAAGTTGATGTAGGTGAATGCCTGGAACCTAGCAAACACTCTAAAAATGTTGGCTTAATTCCCTTCCTCAGCTGCTTTTTCCTTTTTCGAATAAAACTCATCTATAAACTGAGAACATTTTGTATTTTTGGCAAACATCCAAGGAAGTTTGGAAAAATTCTAAGTTGTCACTAGTTGTTTTCTGAAGAACCACCCAATTCTCAAATTAAAATTAATTTTAACCACATTATTTAAAAATATCACCTGGGTGGTGTCACAAAACAAAATAATAATAGCGGTAGCTGTCGTCAAAAGATTGGGAATCCCCATATCAAAACAAAAAGAGAAATGGAGATTTGACATTTACCAAAAAACCAGATGAGATCTTTAAAATTGGGAACCAATTATTATAAAGGGTAAGCACAAACATAGAACTTGACTTGTATTATATTTTTTCATGCCTGTTAGGTGATTACAGTCACAATACAATGTAATAAATTATACATGGCAATTTCATGTTAAGAATTATTGAAACATAAACAAAAGGTAATGGTAAAAGTAATTTTTTGTTCTAATCATATTTAGACATTTAAGCATAAAGATAAATGCCGTCTACATTTTCAAGACTATATATATGAAACTTAGCTAATTACAAGAGGCTACGACAAAATTAATAATGGACCAAACATATTTATACTAATAAAAAAGTTTCTCAAATTTTCAAGTCTATTTGAGTTTAGTTTAGAGTTCATGCACAGACATGAATATGTTTTATTTGATATCCTACTATTGAGACAGAAAAACTCCAACCGGCCTGCCCACTGAGGTGAAGCCTTAGGAAGTTCGTGTCCTTTGCAGTGGGGAGGAGCCTGGCCCCTCCTCTTCCTGTGAGGAACATAGAATTCAAACTGCTGGGCAGGAAGCGCTCTAGCTTCCCTGTTTCCCTCTTTTCTTTCTTTTCATCCAATAAAACCCTGCTTCACTCACCCTTCAAACCGTCTGCGAGCCTAAATTTTTGTGGCCGTGGGATGGAGAGGGACCCGATCTTTAGCTGAACTAAGGAAAAGTCCTGCAACACTATCACAAATGAAAGGCAAATTCTGAATTTAATCATCACTGAGCATACATGCAACACAAAATATCATTTCAAATTATGTTTTTATAAACTTTGAAAGTTAAAATTGTCACAAGTTTGCTAGTTTTGATGTTGCCATGCAAAAAACTGCAATGCAGGCATTGGAAATGGGGCATCCAGCATGACATATTGTGGAAATGATCAGTACTTATTTTTTCAGGTCCTGGGACATAGCAGGAAGCAAAGCTGACAAAAGTCCCTTTCTTCATGGAGTTCACACACTAGTGTGGAAAAAAAGGTATTTTTTTAAAAAACATAAGTGAATTATAGATGTCAGAAGGTAAAAGGGCCATTGAGAAAAATAAAGCAAGAGAGTACATTGTATATCTCTATCATGTACTTGGGAAATTATTAGGTTTTGAGAATTGGAAGTATCTTAAGAGTGTTTATGGGTATTGATAAAAAGAAATTAGAGTGAACAGAAACTTTAATGGAGATTAGAGAGATGAAATAGAGATTATGGCAAGGGAAAGGGAAATTATCATAAAATACTCTTAAAGTTGTCAAGAGGCTTAGATGTTGCTTAGGAAATCCTTGCTTTTCAGATTAGCAAACAGAAATCCTAAAAGTGTAAAGAGTAGGGAATAGAAAAAAAAGATATCTTAAAATAGCATTAATCCCCTTAGGTCAACACTTTTATCTATTTTGAGTGCAAAAATGTTCTTACGACCCAAAATCAAATATTCTGGGTTTCACTCTACTGAAGGCATTATATATAACTGCAAGGCAAAAGTGTAAAGTTTTGGCTATTTGGATATCATTTCTGTTGCCCTCAAAGGTAATACCACTTGTGCCAGTAGATAAATGTATTATAAGAAAGTCACTCTTTAATAAACTTACCCTCTAGACCCTGCAGGGTGAGGCTGGGCCTGGGTGGGGTCTGGCTGAGAGCAGTGGCCTGAAATATCCAATTCTAGTCCTTGTCATTCTGGTAATCTGAAGTTGAGAGCCCTGGGAGGGGCTTGTCCATTGTGTGGACAAATGCTTTTCCTGGTGATGTTAATCAAACATAAGCTATAAGAAATATCTGTACTTCTGGCGTGAACCCGGGAGGCGGAGCTTGCAGTGGGCCGAGATCGCGCCACTGCACTCCAGCCTGGGCGACAGAGCGAGACTCCGTCTCAAAAAAAAAAAAAAAAAGAAAGAAATATCTGTACTTCATCTGAAGGTGAACATGAAATCGTTAGCCTGAAGATCTTCTGATCACTGGGAGCCAATACTAGGAGCCCATGCTTAAATGAACAAGAAGAAAAGGCCTATTTTTAGAAGGTGGCATGTCAGTTTCCATTCACCATTCTTTATAGTCTGCAATGCTGACTCCGTAACCTTGAGGAATTTCTGGGCTTACAAGTCATCATGACTTGAGCACATTATCTTGTTTCCCAAGGCCTATTACTCCCAGAGGGGCAAGATTTGAACACTCATCTGTCATGGGTTTTGCCTGTTGTTCCTAGCCCTGATGGCTTTCCCTTCATCTGGCTGGGACAGATAAGAGGAATAAAGCTGGTGGACTCTAACTCAAGGGCTGGAAGCCAGCAAGTCAAGTGCATATCCATCAGCACGAGGGGCCGAAAGCAGGAATTCAAACAGCAGCAAATTCTTCATTGGATAATGAATAGAACAGAGGAGAGGCAGTGGAGAGGATAAAAATATTAGGTTCCTGAGTTATATTGTAATAAATAAAATGGCAATTGTAGTCAAGATAATAATACAGCAGGTTTGAGTTTTAGAGAAACTACTGTAGAAGTCTGGATGACAAATCCTTACAATCCCTAATGCATCAATCATAAGGCTTCTTTACTCAGAACAGTGTATTTACAAGGAAGCTTATCATTGTCCCAAATGCAATATCAAAACATCTTTATTTTGGCGCATCCTTAGGTGATCCTCTTGCCTGATGATTGGATCAGTGCCAGAAAGGTTCAACCAGAAAGCACTGCCTTCACTTTGATCTTAAATGTTTTGAAATCTGCCAGTAGGCAGAATATGTATCTTTTCCCTAACTTGGAGAAGGCCCAGGAAGGAGCACAGGGAATGATCAAAGAAGTTGAAAATAGAGTCTAGGAGAAGAATTTAAAAGAAGGGAGCTGTCTTTGGTTGGAAGAAAAAGAGAAAGTAGAAAAATGACAACTCTAGTGGCTTTGAAGACTACAAAGAGTTCTTACTCATAGTTATCCATGTATTCATTTATTTATTCACCCAAAATGCCCTGCAGTGGGCCAGGACCTGGCGGATATGAAATACAAAAATTAGAGGTACACAAAACAAAACCCTGGCTTTAAAAATCTCCTCTACATGGCCAGTGACCAATAACTGAACAAAATCAAGTGTGGAATTGGATGCAAGCAGGAAAGGAGACTGAAGTGTAGGGATTTGAGAAACTGAAATGCTTGCCAAGGCCAAGGTAGCAGTGGAAATAAATACACCTCCACTGGCCATTTGTTCATGGGAACAACTGCTTGTTAAATGGTGAAGTAATTTTCAGGGTTGATTGGGAGAATTTATACCAGGAGAAAGAAGGAAAAAAAGGTTATAACTTCATTTCGTAGTTTGGGTTATTCTTTCTTGGGCTTGGTGTGGTCAGTATAAAGCAGAGCAACTATTTTCTAGTTTCCGCTGTGCACTTCATGTATACTAGACACTGTGTGAGTCACATCAGGGACTACCCACACCACATAAATAGCAGAAAAGACAGAAGCCAATGATGCCATCTCTTCCCATCACACTGAAGTTAACAGAAAGCCCACTGGCAAGTTTGCCAAGAAAACACGTATGTACAAACTCATGGTAACTGGTTGTGTTATTAAGTCTTGAGTTCCTCTTGTGCCGCAGGTTCTTGGAATTTCCTAGTCTTTGATTAACTAAGATTTATCATTATTTAGGACAAAAGTGTTGTGATTCTATATCACAAATACAGGGATGATATTTTACTTCATTAAAATAATATAAATAAACAAGATGTTCAATCTTAGATAATTCAAGTGCCAAGATAGACTGTTTTTTGTGTTTTTTTTCTTTACACATGAATTTTTTTCTGGTTTAATTCTCTAACCATTCAAACAGGAAAATTCAAACTTTTCCAGCCATAGTTAAGTCTAGCTTAAAATCTTATTTAAAAAACCGTGACAATAGAAACAGAATTTTATAACTTAGGAGAGTGCTTCCTAGTTAATATTTTCAATATTCAGTGATCTCTGTGAACATTTAAGTGGGAATTTTAGTTTTTAAAATGCTCAAAATTTACTTCTGTGGGTCTCACTCATATGCAAACTGCCTATATCTGAAATTATGAGTAATCAAAAAGTCATTTTTACCTTTGTTCTTTTTGTGTGTATTGTATATGTTATTTTAAAATGGTGAGCCCATTTTAAAGAAATTGTGTGCTTTTAATCAATCCATTAAGTAACACATTCTGAGAAAATATCTACTTTATACAAAATACATTGTTTTCTCTTCAAGATAATGCTGAAATATAAATGACAACAATGACATTCTTAAATTGAAATCTGCCTTGTCTCTCCTCCATCCCGAAACATTATTTCATAAGTCAAGTGTCTGCTCATAGCTTACCTGTCTCGCTTCCAATCAAAGGCTGATTTGCAAAATGCTTGACAAAATCCTTCAAAGATGAGAATTCATTAAAGCCAAATTTAAATGAATATCCAGTATATTCAACATGAAAGTGTTTAACAGAATCTTTGGCCCTAAAAGGGAAAAAGAAGTATTTAATATTATTTAACAAATAAATATCTTGTTGAAGGGAAATATGATCTCAGATGTTAGCATCACTATTAACCCTTTATAAGAACTGAGAATTAGGCAATCATTGAAACCACTGACAGTTTTAAATAGCATCACTAGTTTCTTTTGGCAGAGTTTGCTCTTTTCAACTTTTATTAATTAATTAATTCATTTATTTATTTACTATTTTGAGACAGAGTCTTGCTCTGTCCCCCAGGCTGGAGTGCAGTGGCATGATCTAGGCTCACTGCAACCTCCGCCTCCTGGATTCAAGTGATTCTCTGGCCTCAGCCTCCTGAGTATCTGGGATTATAGGTGTCTGCCACGATGCCTGGCTAATTTTTGTATATTTAGTAAAGACTGGGTTTTGCCATGTTGGCCAGGCTTGTCTTGAACTCCTGACCTCAGGTGATCCTCCTGCCTCGGCTTCCCAAAGTGTTGAGATTACAGGCGTTAGCCACCACGCCCAGCCTCAACTTTTCACTCTAATGGAAGACAAGAGACTGTTCTCCCTATCTACTCCTAGACTTACCAAAAGAGTCCTTGAACATTATGCTGCTAAGGGGCATGAGTTTAAGAAGGGCAGAGAATAGGAATGATAGAAATGACATATGACACCCTCACCACACTCTCCTCTGCCTTGGGCTTTTCTCCCTTGCTTGTTTGGGAGTCAATCAGAATTCAGCTCTGTCGCTTGATTAGTTACGTGAGCCTAGCCCTTTTCCTCCCGTGCATGTTCCACTGCCTACTGAATAAAATATCAAATTTCCTACATTGTCATTTTCCACTTCATTTTTGAAATGAGGCAGAGTATTAAACAATATATATATATCTATATATATATCTATAGATATCTAATCTATATATATCTATAGATATCTATATATATCTATATATATATATCTGCCTCTCCACTTTATTTGATCCCATTCTATCTTTCTAGCCTCACTTCCTGCTATTACTCTCAGTGCAGCCCATGCTACCATGTTAGCATGCTTCAGAATCATCTGATGGGCTTGTGAGAACCCAGCTTGCTGCCACCTCCACCTCCACCCCTGCAGATTGAGATTCGGTAGATCCAAGGTGGGGCCTGAGACTGTGCATTCCTAGCATGTTCTTAGGTGACACACCTGGTCTGGGGACCACACCTTTAGAACAGCTGCCCTAGTCCAACTGGATCTACTGCTCTTCAAGGAGTTTCCACTTCTGTCCCTTAGTTCATACTGTTCCTTTTTCCTGAAACGGTCTTTCTCTTTGTCTCTGCTGGTAGAAATCCCAGCCACTCATTAAGGTGCAGTTCAAGTACCACCTCCTCTGTCAAGTATTACATGATAATTCCAGCTTAAGTTAACTGCTTTTTCCCTTCTGAACCACCTAAACACTTATCTTGCTTTCTTTTATGTTATTTGTCAACCTCTACTTTGTAGTATGTTACTTGTATGTGGTCTTTTTGGCTCTGTGAGGCTGTAATTCCCCAAAATAAGGTATTTCAATCTTCTACAGCAGGGATCCCCTATCCTGGGGCTGCAGACTGGGTACCTGTTAGGAACCAGGCCGCACAGCAGGAGGTGAGCAGTGGGTGAGCAAGCATTACTGCCTGAGCTCTGCCTCCTGTCAGATCAGTGATGGCATTAGAGTCTCAGGAGCCTGAACCCTATTGGGAACTGCACATGTGAAGGATCTAGGTGGCACACTCCTCATGAGAATCTAATACCTGATGATCTGAGGTGGAACAGTTTCATCCTGAACCCGCATTTTCCACAAAACCAGCCCCTGGTGCCAAAAAGGTTGGGGACCACTGTTCTACAACACGTACCAAAGTGGCTGGTGCAGAATAAATGCTTTCAAATATTCATCATTAAAAGAATGAACAAATAAGTGAATATTTGTTCATAAAACAAAAATAGTCATTCTCCTGAATTAGTCTGTGGTTTTTGTCACCTCTGCTGGTCATTTTTTTAATAAGCATTCTCTAGTGCTTGCAATGAAAATCAATAATTTATTCTTTATTTTTTATGTATATGAAATATGTATGTCATTGATTTATAAAAAGCTTATGATCTAATTGCTCAGATGAGACATACATAGGTGAAAAGTTAATTAACTTTTCATTTTTGGAAGATTCATGCCAGGGGTCCCCATCCATCCCCCTGCCAGCCACGTAGCAAGAAAACGAGTGATGGGTGAGCTAGCGAAGCTCATTTTTATTTATAGTTGCTCCCCATTGTTTGCATTCTCAATGAGCTCCACCTCCTATCAGATCAGTAGAGGCAATAGATTCTCATAGGAGTGCAAACCCTATTGTGAACTGCACATGCAAGGGATCTAGGCTGTGTGCCTCTGATGTTAATCTAATGCCTGACGAACTGTCACTGTCTCCCATCACCCCCAGATGGGACCATCTAGTAGCAGGAAAACAAGTTCAGGGCTCCCACTGATTCTGAATGATGGTGAGTTGTATAATTATTTCATTATACATTACAGTGTAATAATAACAAAAATAAAACACACAATAAATGTAATGCACTTGAATCATCCCAAAACCATCTGCCGCTGCTCCGGTCTGTGGCAAAATTGTCCCTGGTGCCAAAAAGGTTGAGGACCTCTGATGTGTGCAATAAAGCATCTACAACTTAACCATTAGATGAACTTTTAACATTTGCTGTTGAGCAGAGAAAGCACAATTCTTGTTGCCACTCAAACAGAATTCCATCTTGGATTAATAATTTTTTCATCTATGTTATTCAGAAAATTTATAAATAAAATATAACAGGGTGACATGAGAAATGTTAATGAATATGCTTGTTTTTCCTCTGTGACCCCTACTTACCCCATCACCCTCTACCTGTTTCGCACACCCACCCACTTCAAGTAGGCCTGTAGATTTTCACTGTTCCAGGAATGGGAGTTGTGGCAGGCAGCATTCTAAGATGATCCCAAATCCCAGCCCCTGGAGTACACACACTTTATCCCAATTATTCAATCAAAAACTAGTCTACATGCTACTGGGAAGGGATTTAGCAGGTCATAAAGTCCCAAGTCAGTTGATGTTAAGATATGGACATTATCTGAGTGGGCCTGAACTAATCACATGAGCCCTGTAAAACAGAGTTTTCTCTGGCTGCTCACAGAAGAAAAAGTCAGGGAGATGTGTTCTGGCTGGCATGCAAGAAAGCAAACACCCATGTGGTAAACAGCCATGGGTGCCATGTGGCAAAGAACTGTGGGTGGCGTCTAGGAGTTGAGAATGGCCCCTGGCTGACAGCTAAAAGGAAAAGGAGGACCTCAGTTCTACGGCAGCAAGGGAATGGATGAAAAAGGATGAAGAGGAAAGGAGAAAATGAAGGAAGAAGACACTAAATACCAGATCAGAGCCACAAGCTTCTCCAACACCTTTATTTCAGCCTGGTAGGATCCTGGACAGAGAATCCAGCCAGAAACTGTGAGATAATCCAGTTGCGTTGCTTTAAGTCCCTAAGTTTTTGATAATTTGTTATGTAGCATAGAAAATGAATATAGAAGCAAGGCCCAGAGCCCAAAGAGACAATGTGAATGCTGCTACTGAGTTAGTGACCAGTAGTGACCGTGTAGACTGGGAAAGAAGTGAGAGAGCCTCTGAGGCCAGATTAGCTTGAGGAACTGCACTATGAAGGGAAGAGTGACTCTCCAGGGTATATGGAGGTGCCATCAGAACAGTAACACAATAACAGTTTGAGCTTAATGGGTGGGTGGCTGAGGGAAATTTCATGGAGTCCTTACATCCCCTGCCTAATCCATGGAGAAGCGCCTAAAAACCCAAGAATACTTGCTACATGTCAGTGGAAGCCAGAGTGTCAGATGCGACTGAGAACCAGCCGCCTCCCCTGACTACCAGAAGCTTGGTCAGCCTCTCTGATCTGGGGCACCAGACAGAAAGAAGGGGGTGTGAGGTGGGGAGGACCTGAAAGATCTGGACAATGACTGCATTTGGCTGTATGAACCTGGTGGGGACTGGATTAACTTTCTTACCATTTGGGAGAAATAGAGACTCAATATGAAAAGCTAGCCCACTATAGGAAAAATTTTAAACATGTATATTGCCTCCTTGAGGTTGTGACTATGAAAGCCGTACAGTCATAAATCATTCTGCATTTACAGAGAAATCAAAGAATAGTGAAAAGGACACTGAGCCAGGTGTCAGGAATTTGGATTCTGGCACTGTTTCTATTGTTGATTTTTGAGGTACCAGACATTCCACCGCTTTGGGTTTCAGATTCTTCAACAGTCCCATGAAAGGTTTCCATCAAATAATTCCTCATGTCTCCTCCAGCTCTAACAATTTTTTTCCTGCTAATGAATGGAGCAGGAATGTTGTTTTACACCCTCATCATTTAGAGTTTGGAATCCTTTAACCTGGTGGTCCAACAGGAATTGGGAAGTTTTGCTGTCTGGCAATTTGAGTGATGATAAAGTCAGTAAGTGACAGAGGAGCCCATGCTGAAGTCGTAGAGCCCTGAAGCACCTTACCTCACAGAGAGAGAGTACAGCCCGGTGGTCTCATTGCTGTCCCTCAGAAGGTAGCTGCCGTCACATCCATTTGAGAGGAGAAGAGCTTCAGCAGCATGGCGTGTGAGGTTGCCGTGATACCACCTAGAAAGGAGGGAACAGCGCTTTCACTCAGGCCAAACCATGGCATGACTCCCCCTGCACTGGCTTTTCCTTGCAAAGATTACCTAGCAACATTCTTCAAGATAAGTAGCCCAGAGACCCAGCTCTCAGCCCCAACATTAGGACAAGGAAATCCCTGGGTGGGGCTGAAAGGAGAGCACAGAGTTGACTAATAGTAGCGTGACATGGGTTGAATTGTGTCCTGAAAGTTCTTATGTTGAAGTGCTAACCTCTCAGTACCTCAAAATGTGACCTTGTTTGGAGACAGGGTCTTTACCAAGTTAAAATGAGGTCATGGCTGGGTGTGGTGACTCACACCTGTAATCCCAGCACTTTGGGAGGCCAAGGCAGGCGGATCACTTGAGGTCAGGGGTTCGAGACCGGCCCGGCCAACATGGTGACACCCCGTCTCCATTAAAAACACAAAAATTAGCCTGGCATGGTGGCAGGCACCTATAATCCCAGCTACTCGGGAGGCTGAGGCAGGAGAATCACTTGAACCTGGGGGACGGAGGTTGCAGTGAGCCAAGATCATGCCATTGCACTCCAGCCTGGGTAACAGAGTGCAATTCCATCTCAAAAAAAAAAAAAATGAGGTCATTAGGGTGGGCCCTAATTCAATATGACTGGTGTCCTCTTGTAAAAAGGGAAAATCAGGAGATAGATTTGCCTACAGGGAGAACAGCGCATGAACATGACAGTCACTTCCAAGCCACAGGAAGAGGCCTGGAACAGATTCTCCCTCACGGCCCTCGGAAGGAACCAATCCTGTTGACACCTTGATTTCCGACTTTGAGCCTTCAGAACTGTGAGGCAATCGATTTCTTATAGTCAGCTGCCCAGGCTGTGGTTCTTTGTTATAGCAGCCCTAGCAAACTAATACAGTGTTGCTTTGTAATCAGAATTGGTTTTTAAAGTCCAAGTCAAAATACCATAAGAATAGGCTTTGACCAATTTCCTTCTTTTTTTGGTCTCTCACACTCTTTTTCAAGTGTGGTACCTTTTCACGGCGAAACCTCTGTGCTATAATACTAAAGGCTATTGTCATGAGTGAAACGAAGCTGGATGGAAGGAATTATAGTATGAAGTAAATGCCACCAAGTACTGTTTCAGCCTGACAAGTATCTGAAGAGCTAGGGAATGCTCAAGGAGATTCAAAATGATATTTGTGTTTTAGAAAAGGTAATATATATCTATGGTAAAAAAAAAAAAATTCAAATTGTCCAAAAGGAGACATAGCAAAACATGTTTTCTTCACCCTGGGCCCTCAGGCTCCCTGTTCCTTTCCTAGAGGACACCTTGGTAACCATTTTCCTGTGCTTCCTCTTAAGAGATAGTCTACACACTTAGAGGCATTGGATGTGTACCTCCACTCCTGATTCTACAAACATACGAGCATTATTTATTATTTTTATTTTCTAGGCATATTGCTCTGCACCATCTTTCTTTTCTCCAATAACAGGTCATTCACATTCTTTTAAACGATGTCATAGAGGCATGAAATGTGATGATTAGGATTGTGGCCCCGGGGGTTGCTTTGCCTGGGTCCCAATCCAGGTGGTACCTCTTACTAGCTGTATGGCCTTGGACATGTTACTTAACCAATCTGAGCTTTGGTTCCTCATGTTTAAAATAGTATGACTAATAGGCATACGGCATAGGCCAGTTGTGAGTCCTGCACACATTAACATGGATGAGATGTGCTCCATAAAGCCTGGCAACTAAAGCAGTGCTTAGTATGCGTTAATTGCTACCAGGAAGCCATTGAGATCCAAAAAGCCGTAACTTTCAATTTACCCTCTGTGGCATGACTTTCTTATTGCTCAAATAGAATTTTTGTTACTTTTTATTTAGATCAGATAACAGAAAGCTAGACAGCAGAGGCAGTTGCTGACTGCTAGGGACCACAGTTTAGGTCAGTGAAGATGAAAGAGAGACAGGCAATTATACAAATAATGTCAGTGTGATGAACTAAATGCTATTAAAGAGGTGTGTATAGTGTAAAAAAGCTTTGAGGAATAGCCCTATTCTGGCATTAAGGGATCTTGTTGTCATGAACCACACTGATATCCACTGAGACATCCCTGTGGCATAAACTTTTAGCCTGAGTAATAAAGAGTAAACCTAAGTGCACCTGTGGAAGGAAGTTTTTACATAGGTCTCCAAGATACCTATTTTCTAAATCTGCATTTCCTAATGCATGTTTCTTAGCATATTTTATCTTTGGGGCAGAGATGCTTTCATCCTATATTAGAAATATATTTGCTAGCTGAAAGCAATGGCATGAAACACATTTTATAAGAATAAACACAGAGCTATTTACCCAAAGCAGCTCCATTCATTGAACTGATTCCCAGACAAGTTCAAATCTGTTCACTACAAAATGCTTTCAAAGAACAATTGGAAGAATTATAAGTGAAACAATAATAAAGTTCAAGTTCAACTGAAGCCAAAATTCTAATTCTTTTTGATAGGTGAAATTTCCACAAGGTTATAAAAACTTAGATATATTTTGCCAATAATTAACTTTATAATAAACATTTCAGCATAAGTTTCAGTTCGAGCCAGCAGATTGTTTATTTAAAGCAATACTTCATTTGTGAAATTCCAAAACATTTAAAGGATTTGGACATTCCTTTGGATTCTTTTCAATGGAATTGGAAGTTTGTGTTTAAAGCATTTATAGAATTCTTCTTACATCTAATTATATAGCCTGATAACAGTTGTTTATGTAAAGCAATATTTGATTCGCAAAATTCCAAAACATTTAAAGGATTTGGACATTCCTTTGGATTCTTTTCAATAGAATTGGAAGTTTGCGTTTAAAACATTTATAGAATTCTTTTGACGTCTAATTATAGCCTGATAACAGTTTTTACTAATAATGTTTTAATGATAATTTAAAAAACAATAACTATATACCATAAACACATAAGAAATACTTGAGTATAATGCAAGAAGAATCACACTAAGCTGCAGTCTGGAAAATTCTTGGAGACTGCAATTCCTTGGTGGCAGCTTTGCCTGAGTCAATATTGCCTTTTCAGGAGTTTACAGACTCCAGGGCCTGGGCAAGCCCAGTATAGAGCTTTCCAGGCAGCCACCTACATTCCATGATGTCAGTGGTGCAATAAGGATCCTCATTCCCCAAATAGCTTTTCCACAAAAACCTAAACTTCCCCTTTTAATTGAGTTAAGCATTCCTTTCCTGGAACATTCTGATGAGCATTTCTTTCAGGGGAGTGAATGTATATCCTAATGACATTTGTATTCTTTGTAGAAATATGTCCACCTTTGATAAGGATGATTCAAGACTGTGTCCATAAAAGTTAAAAATAGAGTTAAGTTGGTAGTTTTCCCATAATCAACCTTTTCTGCCTTCAGTCATTGCTTCAAATCTGTGCAAGGCATTGTGCTAGGCAGGTCAAAGGGAACAAAAATGGAAAAGCCTCAGACTGGGTGACAAATAACCATTAATCTAGTCAGGAGAATAAGACAAGCATATTGCAAACTATATCCAAGAGAGAATAAAGTACCCAAGGGATGTTCTAAAAAGAAAGATCGAAATCAGGTTCCCTGAATGAGCCAACATCTGTATAGGCCTTGAAATATAACCTGTTTTTTTTTTTTTAAGGTTGTGTTACCTTTTATTCTGATTATAAAGCATATATAGTAAAAGTTAAAATATATACATGTAAAGAAGATAAAGTATGTGTTTTTCAGAAGAGGAAAGATGTGTTTCAAATAAATAATCTCACTATTAATCAGAGAAATGCAGATTACAATAATAATGTGATATTTTTCTTTATCCACCAGATCGGTTATAATGAAAGGATTGGATAGTATTAAGTATTGGAGAATTTGGGCAATGGCTATTACTGTCCATTGTTGATAAGGGTCTAAGTTGGAGGGGAATTTAGCACATAGGGTGTAACTGAACCTCCACATATGACCAGCGATTCCTCTTCTAGTTTCCACCTAGTGAAACACCCATACATGAGCAGAAGAAAATATGAACAAGGGTGTTCACTGCAGAATTGTTTGTAAGAGTAAGAAATCTAGAGCCATCCTAAATGTCCATCGACATGGAGATGATAAATAAAGTGGAGTGCTAAAAGGATGAGATTATGTAAAAAGTTAACCAAAAGTGTTTGAAAAGCTGTGAGCATATTTTTGGTTGCCAGATAATGAGGGCAGGGAGTCGGGGTGCTATTGTTATTTTGTGAGAGGGTGCCAGGGATGCTTAACATCCTACAAATGATACAGTCTTGAAGAACCAAGAATTGTCTTGTTCATGATGTCAATTACACCCCACCACTGAGAATCACTGAAGATAGGTGTGTATACACACACACATCAAAGTTGATAGATCCCAACATATATTGTAAAGTTAGAAGAACTAGTTGCAGGCACCAAATGTTACCACTTGGTTTTAACACGTTCCCCTATAAAATATCAACAACAAAAATATGCTTACATATTAAGATATATAAAAACATAAAATAAGAGTTTTAAAAATATACACCAAATTCATAAGTATGATTTTCTTTGTAGAAGGAACCAGAATTTGTTCAAAGGAGACTTTAGCTTGATCAGATTTTTCTAATTTAGCTTGTTCTAATGAAAAAAATAGATTTCTATATTAGTTAGCTACAAATTTAATTAGAAAAAAAGAAAATAGCTAATTTCTTACTTAATCCAACTTCCAGAGATAACCTTATTAATAATTTGCCATATTCTTTCATTTATTCAACTACTGCTTATTGAGTACTTGGACTGGCCTAGGCACTTAGGTGAAGATTGAGAGAGAGAGAGAGAAAGAGAAAGAGAGAGAGAGAGAAAGAGAGAGTTTGGCTTTTTCCTATTAAAAGTCTGGTGGGGTTTGGATCCGCAGTTGTTCAGGGAGATATAACATGGGAGGGAATAGCAGCAGCAAAGGCCTAGAAGTGAGAGAATGCAAGGCGTGTATGAGAATCAGAATATCATGTAGTCATGTGAGAATTCAAAGTGAGTGATGAAGGACAGCAGTTGGGAATGGTGAGAGATGAAGGTGGAGGATATTGAGGCTCTATATGTGGCACTGAATACTGACAGTTCCTTGTCTGATGTTTATAGAGCTGCCTGTGGCTTAATATGCATGTCCAATAGCTCATTACATAAAATCTAATTGCATGGACCTTACAGTTTCTATAATTTGCTCTATATTCAATTTTTTTTTTTCCTAGATAGAGTCTTGCTCTGTCACCCAGGCTGGAGTACAGTGGTATGATCTTGGCTCACTGCAACCTCTGCCTCCTGGGTTCACGCAATTCTCGTGCCTCAGCCTTCCTAGTAGCTGAGACTACAGGCATGTGCCACCATGCCTGCATAATTTTTGTATTTTTAGTAGAGATGAGGTTTCACCATGTTGACCAGACTGGTCTTGAGCTCCTGACCTCAGGTCATCTCCCGGCCTTGGCCTCCCAAAGTGCTAGGATTACAGGCGTGAGCCACTGTGCCGGGCCAGAACTATATTCAATTTTTAAAAATTTGAATATTCCAGTTATTAGGGATAAGAGGCAGATTTCAATGGTCTTGAAGCTTATAAAATCTGGAGGTCTCTTTAAGACAAATTATGCAAAATTACAAAAAAGAAAGGAATATTTATTTAAAATGAGAAATCGCAAATTACAAATTTTAAAAACAAAAATATCACAAACATCACAACACAGAGAAAATAACGTATTTGTATTAATTAACTGTTGAATCAAACCTTATAATTTTTTTCTCTATATTTTTGCTGTCTGGTATTTGATTGTCTCTTCATGTAATAATTTAATAATATAATTTTCTATGGGGGAATGGAATGATAATTCAGTCTTTCATCTAGAACACTTTAAAAACTTCTTGATAGTATAGAAAAGCTATTTTCAGCTTCTCAATGTGATTAGTAATGAAGTTTTTATAATTGTTGGTGAGGAGAGGTCATGCATTTGTCTCTGGTCGTTCCCTCAGGTAGTCTATCTGCTCCAACAATTTTTACCTTATTCACTATGTGACCCCCTGGCAAGTAGCAACCTCAGTTTTCTCATCCATCAAGGTGACTAGTAAGAATGCCTAGGAAAAAAACTTTCTTTTTTTTTTTGAGACGGAGTTTCACTCTTGTCACCCAGGCTGGAGTGCAATGGTGTGATCTCGGCTCACTGCAACCTCCACCTCCCGGGTTCAAGCAATTCTCCTGCCTCAGCCTTCTGAGTAGGTGGGACTACAGGTGTGCACCACCACACCTGGCAAATTTTTGTATTTTTAATAGAGACAGGGTTTCACCATATTGGCCAGGCTGGTCTCAAACTCCTGACCTCAGGTGATCTGCCAACCTCAGCCTCCCAAAGTGTTGGGATTGCAGGCATGAGTCACTGCGCCTGGCCAGAGAACCTTCTTATTTTCATGTATTGGAAAAATTTTCTTCTTTTATAAATTTTTTATGCAATTCTTTAACTTTTACAGAAAAAAAACTAGATTTGCTAAATTAAACAATGTATTATGGATATGCTAGACATTTGCAAAGTGGTAGGAACACACTGTTATGCAGTTGGGAATAGGTTCATTTTTTGAAACTTAAAAAAAAAATTCTTCTAGTCTCATTTTCCCTGAAGAAGCAAAAAAGAGCAAGAAACTCCTATTAGAAAGAATGTTAATAGTCTCCATTTTCCCCAAGGCCCACACATTGCCATAATTATGTCTCAAGTCTGATAAAGTCAACAGAGAAAAGACTAATCAAGCTCCAAAAGAATATTTGTACTGGGTTTATAAGATTATGAAAACCAGCAATTCAACTTGAAGGAAACAGTGATATTATCCTTTCCATGATACAGTAAAAAACTAGGAAACACCACCCACTAAAGAATTTTCATAGCTGCCTCTTAGTAAGATACAGAAAATAAACTCAGCCACAGAGAATGTGGACAGGCTGGATCCAGAAAGCTGGTCCTCGGTTCAGCTTCCTTTCCTTTCATTCTGGGGCCTCTTTGAGCTAGAATCTTCTGGAAAATTGCTCCAGAATAGTGGAACCTTCATAGTTTCTTATCCCACTGGGTTTTACTGTTTTAATTTACTAATCTAACTTTATACCTCATTTGTTCTGTTCTTTAAAGGAGAGGCTTTTAAATTTTTTGAATTGACTCACAGTACAAAATACATTTTATATCACTCTGTATATATATAAACATACATATGTCACAAAGACGCACAAAAAACAAAAAGTTACAGGACGTAACACCTATCTTTCTATAGGCTATTAACTTGAATATATTGTTTTCTCTTTATTTTGAATGAATATTGATGTGACCCATTAAATTCACTTTAAGCCTACTAACGGGTTGTACCTGATGTTTAAACCACAGTGCAAAGCTTTGCTACTTAAAGTATGGACCAACAGCATCAGCATCACCTGGGATCTTGTCAGAAATGCACAACAACAGTGTTTGAATAATTTCTAAACTCTATAGTACTCTTATCCAATCTTTGCCTACATATTGCTAATGATGGGGAACTCAGTACTTGTATAGGCAAGCTTAATCCATATGTTCATGATTCATGGTTAGAAAACTCTTGGGCTACAATGAATTGCCATTTTTTGCTGTGTAGATGGCTTTCAGCAGATGGTTTCAGAGCTACTTCTTGGAGTTACATAGATGATACTTATAGAAAGAGTTGAAAGCATTTAGAATGCACCTTCTTCTCTTTCCATCATCTTCAGCTTTTCCTTTTATGACAGGCTTTCAGTTCCTTTATCATCCAGGGACCTTATCACCCAAAGAACTCATCTCATCTGAAAACCTTTCAAACTTAAAAAATCTGTCTTAACGTTAAACTCTGACCTGCAAAACAAAGCAGCACAGGAGCTCCCTTATTCTGGCTGCTGGGCACACATAAGGCAGCCCGAGAATGCATTAGTTTCTTCACAATTGCATCACATAGCTGATTCACACTGGACTTACTGTTGATTAAAACTTCCAATTAGGTCATTTCCTTCATCTGCACTTATAAGTGTGATGGTGTTTTTTGTTTTGTTTTTTTGTTGTTTTTTTTTTGAGACGTAGTCTGACTCTGTTGCCCAGGCTGGAGTGCAGTGGCTCGATCTCGGCTCACTGCAAGCTCTGCCTCCCGGGTTCACGCCATTCTCCTGCCTCAGCCTCCCGAGTAGCTGGGACTACAAGTGCCCACCACCACACCTGGCTAATTTTTGTATTTTTAGTAGAGACGGGGTTTCACCTTGTTAGCCAGGATGGTCTCGATCTCCTGACCTCGTGATCCGCCCGCCTCAGCCTCCCAAAGTGCTGAGATTACAGACCGCGCCCAGCCAAGAGTGATGGTTTTAAAATCAGGTGCAATAAGAAACTTTTTACTACTGGGAAGTGTCAAGTGAAAAGAGTTGCTAATGAGCAGCCAACATGGACCACACACAACCTCAGGCCCCTCCCTCAACCTGCTAAGTCCCACGTGATTGTTATGCACTTTAGAGTTTGAGGAGCATGTATGGGAAGGACTCTTGGGCCTGAAAACTTTAATTCACTTCAATAATGTGAACAGTTTGAGTTCACAGAATTTGGCATTTGAAGAGAAGGGCAAAGCAAAGTACTAAGTGACTTTTCAGTACCAACAGAATGGAAAAGAGAAGGATCTGCAGGTTAACATAGAAGAATCACCAAATAGCTGCTATCTTAGTGATATGGACAGTAAATATTATAGCATAGGAAGGGGAGCTCACAGTGGGCTGGAATGATCAGGGAAAACTTCATGGAGCGGGAGAATGATAAACTGCAGTATGAAGAATGAATATAGGATTCATTAGGCAGTGAGAGGCATTCTGAGAGGAGAAATGACATAAGCAAAGGCACTGGAGTGGACATGGGCTTGGTGTGCATGGGCAACCAAATGCCTAGCTGGAGCACAGGGTCCCTGTTGGGAAGTGGTGCAAAATAATTCTGGAAGAACTGGTGGACACAGAAAGCAATCTTGCACTTTAAAACACATGCCACACATCCATTTAGATAGTATATTTCTTGATGACAAAATGTCTTAGTAACTCATGTCTACAGATTATTCACATATTTAATGATATATTTTTCCCTGCCTGGAAAAGATACATGAAATAGAACCTCAATTCTGTTTCATCAGAGTTATAAAGAGGACATATATTTCAACGCAAAGTGGGAAAAAAACTCCTGATTGTGTTAAAACAGCCAAAATGCCCTGGAGTTGAACAGCCAACAAAAGCATTCTTCTTTAGAAAATTTTCTCTTATTTCATTTTCAAAGTTGTTCTCACTTTTATATGACACTGACACCCCTCTGAACTATCTAGACCAAAGATGACAAATGCATAACATATGTGCCACACCCCTTCTCTAAGTTCATACATGGCACAGCTAATTGATGTGTCTTTCTTGCTGAGCCTATACTTAGCCTCACAATCTTTCTGAACACAACAGTGATAGAACAAAGATGAATCTATTAGGCGTTCACACTCTAAGGTTTAATCTGTTCTTACCACTTGAACTATTCCATGGGATTCCTTGGCTGCTGATTTCATTCATGCTCATTTGTTCATAGGGTCGGTGCTAGATACTTTGATTTTGTGAAAGGTAAAGTGTTTGGCCCTCTATGCCATTAGAAATCATGGGTTTAGGGTGTCTTATGTAACTCAAGAGCTACCAGTGCTGTAATTTATATTAGAATCAGGTTGTGACATATCTAAGAAAGATGGTGTTGCCCACACAAGCCCATTAAGTCACATGTTCACAAGTGTGGGCTTATTTTTCCATTGATAATAGCAATGGACCCTGTTCAAATAGAGGGAATCAAGCCGAAGCCTTATAAAGGATTTTGGAAGTTCTTACATGGTCTCAGACAGGTGTAGTGTGATATACAGGGGAGGCCAAAGAAAGATTCTCTAGAGTCTCTCCAATAGAGACGTTTCTGTGATGGAACCAGCAGGGCTGTATCTTTCAAAATTGCTTTTCTAAATGCCCATGTTTACATGAGCTAAGAGCAGAGCTAAATGGTGAGACCAGCTGCCCCAGGCTTTAGAAAACAGACCTGAGTGATGACAGAGGCGGAGCATGCAAATATCTCATTGATCTGTGAGTTAAAGGCAGGTCCCAAGTTTTTTGGTGGGAGTCAAGGCTCAGCTAATGGAAATCAAAACTGAAAGGGAGGAGAGAATTCTGTAGGAGTTTGAGATCAGGATGAACCTGTTCTTGAAGAAGTCTGAGAAATGATGCAAGAAGCTCTGGAAGACGAAAACACAGAGACAGACAGACATGGAGACTCAGAGATTCAGAGACAGAGTGGCACAAAGTCTCAGAGACACAAAAGTCAAAGAGCTGCAGACAGACGGATAGAAAGATAGAGACACAAAACTCAAGAGACCAAGATAGACTCGCCAGCTCACACAGATAGCCAGAAGCACATGGGGACAGAGACTTAGGGAATGCACATGCAGACCCAAAGAGTGATCCAGGAGACAGGGGCAGAGAAAACAATGAAAGATAAAGATGTCTTTAAAGATAAAGAAAAATCCACAGAGCCTGACTCAGAGATGGACCAACATACCCAGGGAAGTCAGATTTGGACAGACCTGAGGGACAGAGCCACTACTTGCGGGAGGGGTGAAAACTGCATCTCACTGTACTGAGATCCTTCTGTTCGGTCCCCAGGGAAGCCTTCACAGTACAGGAATGGCTGCAAGACCAAAAAAGCACCACTGCTCTCCAGTAACTGAGGCTCAGGGAACATTTTATTTGGATTGGAAAAAACCTTGAAAAGGCCTAGAATGACTAGGCAGGGAATGAAAATCAGAGGTTCTCTTAAGAGGGCTCATCTTCAAGTAAAATCAAGCTTGACTCTGGGCTTACTATGGTTACTCTTGTAACTTATCCCTCACAAAGTGCTGGTTCAGGGTAATTGTCTTCAAACTGTGGTTGCCATTGACAACCTACCATTGTGGGCTAGTGTAGGAGACAGAGAGGGTCACTTTCAGGAAGCTTCAGCTATAGGAAAGAGCTATAAGTACATTGGGGTCTGTAAAAAAAATACAGGCAGATTCTTGTTTCATTAGTTATCTCTTCTCTATTCCATGGTTTAGGCGATACCTCTAACCAACGTCAATTTATTCCACCAGTAAAAACCACTGGGCATAAGGGGACTGAGTGAGTCTGAAAGTGATGAATGCAAGTACATCATCAGCGTTGGTTCAGTGGAAAGCTCACTGGCTTAAGTCAGGAGGCTTGAGTTCTGGTCTTGGCCTTGACTCAACTTGGGGCAATTCAACATTTAAACATCTGCTCTTTATCAAGTGGTATGCTCAGATGGAGAAGGCAAAGATGAATAAACCACTGTCCTGCTCCTAAGGAGTTCACCATTAAAAGGAGTTTACTGTGCTCTAGCCTAAAGCAAGTGGCTAAACCTCTTAGTACCTCAGGACTGACATCTGCAAAATGGTTTCAAGAGTATCTGGTGAATCAACCCAAACATGCAATCAACTTGTATAAGTCAGAACTCTAGGAGCAGTAACATGAAACCCAGGAAAATTTAGAAATTTATACTGATAAAGCAAACAATGAGTTATAATATATTTGTGAGACATTAAGGTTTTCAAAATTTCTTTGATACCATTTTGAAAACATACACAAAAGCAGAACTAGTTTTGTTTGGACATGAGTCGCTTATTTTGCTTAGCTCAATGGAATTGCTGGATTCTACCCTTGTTCCTTCCTGACTATTCCCGGGTTAGCACTCTAGTTTCCTACTCACCAATCTGAAAACTCCCTCACTAACCCACTATCTTGGCTCTAGCCCCATTGCCACCCATCATGCTGAACTATCAGATTAATCTACCTAAAAACAAAACATGATGACTATGTAATTCCACATTCCTATGAACCTTCAGTGAGTCCACATTGTTCATTGACCAAATCTATTTTAGGCCCTCCAGAATCTAGATCAACCTAAATATCCATGCTTTCAGAGGGAAGCAAGAGCCTACTTTGAGACAGATCAAGAAGGAGATGATGGAAAAATATCCTACCAAAAAGCAAAAGCAAAATTATACATATAATATGATTACAATTCAATCTCTATATATGTTTGTGTGTGTGTACAGAAAAACATTTCTTAAAAACTAGAATCAAGATGAACAATGTTATTTTAGGTAGTAGTACATGGCTGACATTTTAGTGCTTTTCTTTATATTTTGATGCTTCTCTTCATCTCTCTAATTTTTGATAATTAATATATATTACTATTATTTTCAACTATTTATTATAAATAAATTCAGATATACTGGAAAGTAGAAAAATAGCATCAATGTTACTGCATTGAAATAATACCCATATTTCAGGTAGAATAATTTTTAACCTTTTGCCACATTTTTAATACAACGTTTAATTTTGACTCTTTCGATGAACAGTTTTAAAGTAAATTACAGATATCCTGACACTTTAACCCTAAATAATTCAACATGCATCTCTCAAAAGTGACATTCTTTTACATAATCATCATACTGTTATTAAAACAAGTGATTACTCTTACACTTTTTAAAGTTATAAACATTTTTAAACAAAGAAGGTCTAACAACAGATAATGGGGGCAGGTGCTAGTGGGCAGGGTCAGGGGAAGCATGACCATAAAGAAGCAAGTGGTGAGCAGCGAACACTGATAAGGCCCAGCAGTGTTCACTGTGCTCTTGGTAGAGGCAGGCCTCTATCAGGCAGTAGGACACAGAGGTCGATGGGCTCAGAATAGGAATTTATCCTCTACGGGAGTTGGTAGGAGCCAGAAATTAATGCAGGTTTTAACAAAATATCTAAGAGTATGGTCATGAAAACAGAAGTACAAGAGAAAAGCCAAGTTGAAGCTTCTCATAGGATGAGATGGATAGAGGTAGAGACCAGAACCAGACCACCAGAATGCTGACAAACCAGATGGGTCTTGGGGACTGGGTGGGTCTGAGTTCATGTGAGCTTTTTCAATTCTGAATCCTTGCATATTTTGCTACCATCACTCCTTTATTCAGGCCATTTTCTCTGTAGAAAATTTCACCTTTTCTAACTTCAACTGACAAAAATCATATCAGCTCCAAGGCCATCTTCTCCACTTCTACTGTGGAGAAGATAGCCTTCCATAGGAGATTGTTTTATCTAGACACTGTCACAGCCCTCAGCCCACACAACACTGCATTCTAACTCTACATGCATATGAATCCTCCATCTCTGCACAGCCATGCCTTCTTTATTGTAGTCTCCTCTATGCTGCCTTGCCTGGCGTCATCATACAACAGATAGATCTATGACCCAGTAGAAGAGTGAATGAATGAAACAAAGTGACTCCCCACAACATGGACAGTCTGTGGGACAGATTTCCACTTGTAAGTAGAAGGAAGTCACCCTTTGGAGGAACAGAAAAACACCACAACTGAAGAGGAAATTCACTTGAGTTATGAAGAGATGGAACTGTACACTAGTTACATACTAATTATACAACCACAGAAGAACCACCTTCCGTTTTTAGAATCCAAGATTACAGAGCTGTGCACAGAAGAGGAACAAGCTGTATTGCTGTAGTTAGTGTCACACCGCTGTAAACAGGTTCCACTGAAATTTTGACTTTACGTTTCTTAGCTGAATAAATTTTTCTAGTCCTGAAAATGAATTCTACACAAAATTCAATAATGTTCTGATTAACTAGAATGCTGGCCTGGCTTTGTGTACATGTGCATGTATATTATGTGAGGAATAGAAAGAATAATGTCTTTTATAGTAAACTTTGTTATAATCACAGAACTTTCTTTGCTTCTCTCAGTTCATATTAAGAACTATGAACATGTACTAGTATAGTAAGATGAGAGAAATTTGATGAAAACCAGGAGGTTACATCAGCAGTCAAGCATGAAGGCTCTGGAGCAAAACTCTTGGATTTGAAGGTATGTTAGAATGGAAACTTAAGCATGTGATTAAAACTCTGTTCTTTACTTTTCTCATCTATAAATGGGGACAACATTAGTAATAATACCCACCTCACAGCAATGTGTAAATTAAACAAGTTCACATGGGCAAAGGGCTTAAACTAGTGCTTAGCACATGATAAGCATCCAATAATTACTAATTGCCATTACTAGAATACATACCTTTGACCAGTGGGCTCTACAAAGCAGCACCATGCAGTGGAAAGCTCTGGGGTAAGTTCCTAGGTGTGTCTCTCAGCTCCACTACTTACAAAGTCTGTGACCTGGATCGTATACTTAGCTTATTGAAGTCACCTTTTGCGTCTATGAAATGAGTATGGTGATATCGTATTGAAAGTGTTATTGTGAAGCCTAAATGGCATTATGCGTGTGAATGGTATGGTGCTGATGCATAGTAGGTGGTCAGTAAATTAGGACTATCACAGCAGGGAAACAACCTGGTTTGTGAAGTCAGCATGGGTTTTGAACACAGACACTCAGAGACTGTAGGCAACCTGATTTTTCTGCTCTTGAGTCTCTTCCTGTGTAAAGCTGGAATACCAGTGCCTTTCAAAGACCAGAGCTGGTGTCTACAAAATGCCTGCCTTATAATACGGACTCATTTTGTTTATTATCATTTATTCCGTGGGTCAGCAAACCACCAGCTGAGGGTTAATTCCTGTCAGACACCTGTTTTAGTATGGACTGGGAGCCAAGAATGGCTGTACATTTTGAAATGCTTGAGGGAAATAGAAAAATATTCATAAAAATTATATGAAATTCACATTTCAGTGTATAAATAACGTTTTGTTTGAACACCATCACGGTCATTTGTTTCTGTGTTCTCTGGTAGTTTTTGCACAACAGCAGATGTGAGTAGTTGAGGTAGAGACTGTAAGGCCTGCAAAGCCTAAAACATTCGTTACCCGGCCCTTTATAAAAAAAAGGTTTGCTGCTCCATGGTCTACTCTAAACTTCTCTTATATGTGACTAATTAGTTATCAATTTATTTAAATATTCAGAGCTTGGAATCTAGTTCTTTGGCACTGGCCAATCCAGCCAAACACTGGCACTTTCTTATACAACTTTCGATTTGAGAAAGTATTTAAAAAAGAGAACGTTTATTATGTTTCTCACTTGGAGTTACAACTGACTAGATCATTTGAATATTTAATTTTAAAGTATGCTAAAACACTTTCATTTTGTTATTTCTTTTGTGTTTATACATATATATAGCTATATGTAGAAATAGTATAGTAACCTTTGTTAAAGCCAAAGAATTGCTGGAATTTTCAGTAATTTAACTAGCTATTCTTTACCAGTTTGTTACTTAGGTGATATCTCCAGTATTTGTTACTTGTTTTATTTTGCCATATTTTCATTTTGCAAGCAGCAAACAGCCTGACCCATCTCCTCGTTCATGGTCCACCTCCTTCCTCTCCCCTGATTCTCCACACCCTCACTTCTTGCCCTCCCCACACCTCTCTTCCCCCTAAGCCCATACCCTCCCCTGAGAAGTGTAAGCGAAGCTGAGCAACAATTTAAGATGGTTTTATTTCTCCTTTGCTTCTGGACACATTAATGTATTTTAGATGAAAGAAAATTAATGATTTTAGGCTGACACTCTATAAATGAGACATGGAAAAGCACTGTGTTGCTTGATTTAGGTATTTTAGAAAATAATAAACCTGTACTCTGAGCAAGTTGTATATGTCCTGGAAAGGCAAGTGATGGATTTGCTGCAGTTCAGGGCTCAATTTACAGGATTTACATATTCCAGAGCCTGAAAAAAACAGAGGCCCAAGAACAAAGACTTCTGCTATTTCTGTAATTTAACCACTAACTTATCTGTTTATGTCTATCAAAAACATAAACGTAAGGATTTATCTAACTACTCAAATAACCTCTTAAAAATAATTGAAAAATTAAGTCATTAAAACCAGCTACCTTTTATCTATCCATTACATTAAATCATTTTGTTTTTAAGGAGGTCTTTGGAAACTAAATTAATCAGAAGGTTTGGTAGAGATTCTATCTCGCCAGTGGTTAAAGGTTCAAAGAAAAAGTCATTATAATGTTCGAGTTATGTTCAGTATTCTGGCAGAGGCAACAAGTCATTGTCAAGAGTTCTCAAATTGTTATCTATAAAAAATGTATCAGTGAGGTGCTGCAGGAGCAAGTACTGGCACAAGTTGATTATTAAATATTCAATTCGATGATGTTAAATTGTTGGCAGCTTGAAATTGTCTATAGTGGGAGTATTTATACCAGGGAATTAGGCAAATTCTTGAAATCAGGGCTTTCTCCACACCCCAACTCTTCCCAGCTGTTTTTCCAGCACACTGTTGAGTATGCTTAAATAAGCCATACATCTGAGGGTTCTTTTTGGGAGAACAGAAATGTCCTAAAACTGATTTATGGTGATGGTTGTATCACTCTGTAAAGTTAGTCAAAAGTATTGAATTGTACACTTGAAACGGGTATATTTTATGATATGTAAAATAACCTCAATAAAGTTGCTAATCGAAATGCCCCTAAACCAACAAACAAAATATCAACATTTATTAGTAATTTTAAGATTCAAGTACACACCCAACAGACTTAAAATGAAAAACAAGACCACATTTACCTAATGCATTTGGTAGATACATATTCTATGCAGTGATCATCAACCTAGGGTCTCACTTTGGAATTACTTGGAGAGTTTGACAAGAAAACACCCATCCCCAGAGATACTGAAATCATTTGTCAAGTCTGTGGTTTGGGTGTCAAGATGTTCCAGAGCACAGCCAAGGTCAAGAACCAGGACTGTAGAGCAGTTTTCCCAGATAACTGCAGGTTGCCCATTGCTATAGAAATCATCCTCATGTTTATTAATTGTTCACGCCTTCTGAAATAGGGAAATCTGGCCATGAATGTACCCTTTTTTTTTTGCAGGGAAGTGGTGTGACTCAGTTTTGTATTCAATGTCTATTCTTTGCACATGGAGGAAAGACACAGTCCTATTCCACCCGTGGGTTTCACCTGTAGTTGCTTCTTGCTGTTGACATCATGGTGGGGCACAGAGACAGCATCTAATTCATCTTTGTCATCTAAGTGTGTTCCCACAGTACTCAACCATAGACTCTGGGTTCTAGGATTGTTTGTTTAACTAAAGGACCAGAATTGAATATATTCCTCTATCTCCTCCTTTGGGGTTTTCTATTACAGTGGGCTGGGAATACAGTTAACAGAACATGTAAAGCATTGTAACTTAATAGTTCAATAAGACACTGAGGGCCACAGTTCAGCTTTAGCTTTTGGACTTGGTGACACCTGTGCTGGATGCTCACAGAAGGGCCTTTTACCTCTTCTGTTTGGGGATTCAATCTAGAGGGATAGAGAGATTCTAGAGCTCTGGCTTCCTAATAAGGGGAGTTTTCTTTAATGAAAATTCCAGGTGTTTTATCTGATTTGCCAAATGAAAGTAGAGTTCAATTCCGAGACCTCAGTTTTATAATCTAAAGACAGGAATTATTAATAAACTTTTACAGTAATACAACATAAAAAGATACAATCTCTGCAGCCTTAACACAGAGAGATTTCAACTCTATTTTGGTTTTTCTTTGGTTTCGGACATAGCCTGTGGTAGGTTGGATGCCCAGCTTTGCTATGTAATTGATGTGTGACTAGCAAGCAAGTTATTCAAACCTGTTTGGTACTTGTTTTCATCCTTTGTAAGATGAAGATGACAACAGCTCCTATGTCATTGGATTGCTATGAAGAGTTAGAGCTATTTGTCCAGGCAGAAGGTAAAGGTTTTGCCTCTCCTCATGCACAGGTGTCAAAGCCACCTTCATTGGGATATTCCCAGTGCATTAGGCAGTTTCTCTGGGAAATCCCCAATTCCTCTCTTGTGTAATACTTGTTTCTTATTAAATACCCGGATGAGTTGTCATCTGGGTCCCTTCTTAAAGACAGAGCTCCAATGACTCCACCTACCTATGCTTACCTGTTTGAAGCAGAAATTTTATCCTCTTCCTGGATTGTTGGTACTGAAAGGCTCAAAGTTGGCTCTCTGGACATACATACGATATCAAATCTCACAAATGCAGTATCAGGAGAAAGAAATATACAAGCGAGACTGTTGCAGGAACTTCCTCATTCTCTGTCTTTTGAAAAAGTCCCTCTCCCTTACAGTAGGGTAAGCTTTCTGTTTATCTTACCAGAAACACAGTCCTTTTACTGTCCCTGGGTCAGTGCTAGAAACTCTTGAACAGCGCATTTATTCATAAACCAGAGCAACATCAAGGAAGCCAGGCAACATCACCTCTATATCCCAATTCTGTCCCTCTTCTCAAAGAATGTCCAACATTTGATTTTTTTCCCTATTTTCTCAACCAACTTGTTTTCACATCTAGAAAAATAATGCCTGCTTTTCCAATGGAATTAGCCCCAGACAAGAAGATACTTAACAGATACAAATGAATAAAGTGGAAAAAAATAAATGGTTGAGGTGGCAGAGGGCAACAAGGCACTGAAGATAGTCATTAATCAAAGCATGCAGGTGGGAGTGCGGAGTCAATGTCCACCCACTAGGTACTTTGAAAGGAGATCTGCTGCCTTACCCCAAGTCCTGGAGCAGCTCAGCCTCTCCATCGGATCTGCTCCACAGATCTGAGGGATCCTGGGTGCTCATCTTCCCTTCTAGAAGTTCTGCTCTGCCCATTCGCGCCCTTCACAGAGGTAGAGAGAGAGACACAACTGGGCTGCTCCTGACACCTTCTCGCTCTGTGAGACAGCAGCCTGCTATGGCTCTGAGTCTCCAAGGCAAGGAAGTGAAACTTGGTTACTTACTCCTCCCACCAACACCACCACCCTGGCCTGGAGGCACTGGCAGGAGTGTTCTGTCAGTCAGGAAGTATGCAAACTTAGGTAGCTACCTCTGAGGACACCCACACTACATCACGCAACAGGCGGTTGCTATCAAAGGAAATGAAGAGGCAACCACCCCACCTGGGATTGGACAACAGTGCAAACTGCTTGTGTGAGGCCAAACCCTAGCTTCTCCCTAATGCTATCAGCCTCTGGTTTGTAGTGGAGGATGCGTGCACTCTTTTACCCCATCTTCTTTCTGTCTTACACACCAACACAGGGAACACTGAGGAAGCTTCTCTATCAGGAACACCTTTAGAGTGGATAGAAAAAGCAGAAGCAAACCACAAATTCGACCCTGAAGTTTGATGTTTTAGCACTTTTGCAATATTTCTGCTTGTTTACCCAGACCTTCTAATATATCCTCAATGCTCCGAATAGGGATGATTCAGAGACAATTATTGTTTCCTCCACAGAAAAAGAATTAGGAGAGGAGAAGGTAGGAAAAAGTTACAAGGGGCCATTCTGGTGCCCACCTAATGGGGCATATTAGAACTCCTGGAGTCTTTTTTTTTTTTTTTTTTTGAGACAGTCTCGCTCTGTCACTCAGTCTGGAGTGTAATGGCATGACCTGAGATCACTGCAACCTCCACCTCCCAGGGTTCAAGTGATTCTTCTGCCTCAGCCTCCCAAGTAGCTGGTATTACAGGCACCCGTCATCATGCTCTGCTAATTTTTGTGTTTTTATAGAGACAGGGTTTCACCCTCAGGTGATACACTCACCTCGGCCTCCCAAAGTGCTGGGCTTATAGGCATGAGCCACTGCACCTGGCCTGAACTCCTAGAGTCTTTGAGTGCCACTTCCTTCATGGGCTTACTCACACCTGCATGGCTTTGTGCCCAGATTCATATGTAGAGCAGGATTCTATCTGCCTGGAATGCTAAAGGTAAATTGCAGTGACTGAATCCTTGGGAAGTGGAACAAAGTGCAGTATCAAATGAGTCAAGGACATATGTTGCTTCCTGCCTTTTCTATGTACCTACAGGTCTCTCTCTCCCTCTCCCTTTCTCTCTCTCTCTTCCTATCTCTACTCCCTGACTCATTCAGCACTCACCACAGTGCTCTGTAACTTGTTCTCACAGTGTGGCCTGAGGACTAAACAGCACAGCAGAACTGTTCCTAAAGGACTAGATGATTGCAAAAGGCTGCTGTGCAATGGTTCTATCCTTCATCTTCCTCCCTATTACCACTGTTCACCCGGGATCGGTGAGACCCGGGTAACACTGGTTGCCAGTGGGAAGTTCCTGAGTGTCTGGAGGCAGTCTGCTGAAGACTAAGCTCTGATAATACATATATAACTGACTAAATGAGCACTTAAATTCTTTTGGCTACAGTTTGCTCACAGAGAAGGACAGGGCCCACTTGAACAGAGAGGCCAGTGCAGGCCAGGGAGATACTGAATATGCATACAGCAGTGACAGGGGAACAGCCTGGGCACTAGAGTTCCTGTTCCCTCTCTAGAGCCCTTTATTTGGTGTTTTAGTATCTATTTCATTCCCATTTTTAGCAAATTCTGGTTGTTCTTTTTCTTAACTTTTTTGGAAGTACAAGTAGCAGAATTTTCTAAGATCGTCCTGCTTTTCTGGCTGAATCTTCCTGCCTTTTGCCCTTCCTCATGTTGCTGTCCTGTCTGTTGCCCTCTCCTTTGATGTCATTGTCCCACTTTGTCATTTACTCAATTTTTCACAGTATCCCTACCACCCCGCCCACTCCACTAACTACACACTTAGTTTTGCAGTGGTAACAGCTGCAGGAGGCTTGCTAGATAGTTTCAACAAAATGCTGGAGCCCATCCCTCCCGGGACATCTATTGCTGTGTAACTGAAAGGGGATTTAGAATCTTGTTCTGGGCCGGGCGTGGTGGCTCATGCCTATAACCCCAGCACTTTGGGAGGCCGAGGCGGGTGGATCACCAGGTCAGGAGATCGAGACCATCCTGGCTAATACAGTGAAACCCTGTCTCTACTAAAAATTCAAAAAATTAGCCGGGCATGGTGGTGGACGCCTGTAATCCCAGCCACTCAGGAAGCTGAGACAGGAGAATGGCGTGAACCCGGAAGGCAGAGCTTGCAGTGAGCTGAGATCATGCCACTACATTCCAGCCTGGGCAGCAGAGTGAGACTTCGTCTCAAAAAAAACAAAAAACAAAAAACAAAAAACCTTGTTTTGGAACCAAGGCCAGCATCATGTCTGTTCTTATCCTTCAGTGCCTGTGGCATGCTAGTTGTATATTTAACAGGTATATTGAGGTACAATTTGTATATCATAATGTTCATTTTCCTTAGGTGTACAATAATTTTGAGTAAATTTGCAGAGTCGTGCAACCATCATTGCAATACAATTTTAGAATGGTTTTTATCACCCCAGAAGATCCTTTGTATCTGTAACAGTCTAAATACCACTTCTGTTTTTAGCTCTACCTGAAATTATATAGAATATTTGCTTACTTGTGGCAAATTCTCTTGATGGATAGATAGTAGATAGATGATAGATAAATAGATAGATAGATAGATAGATAGATAGATACATACATACATACATACATACATACACACATACATCTCCCAACCCACATGCTCTTCTGCAATGTGACCTTGCTGCTCCCTGTCAAGAGGCAGCACCTAACTCCCCTCCTTTGAATCTGGCCTGGCCTCTGTGATTCACTTGTGACCAATAAAATGTGGTGGAAGTGACACTGGATCACTTCTGAGGCTAGGTCAGAAGAAGCCTTGCAGTTTCTATTGTGGTCTCTTGGAAGGCTCACTCTCCAAATGTTACTTTCAGGGGTTCCCCTTAGGAACATAATTGTTATGCCTAGAAGCCCAAGCCACGTGGAATGCTTCATGTGTGTGCTCCAGTCAACAGTCCCAGATAATCCCAGCTTGAATCATTCTAGTCCAGGTGCCAGACTTGATTGAAGAAGCCCCCAGATGATTCCAGCCTCCAGCCATTCAAATCACTCTCTCCTAGTGGTTTGCATATTGCCAGCTGAGGCCCCAGACATCAAAGAGGAGAGACAAACCATGCCCTGTTTGAATTTTGGATCTAAAGAATACATGCACTTAATAAGATGTTTGCTATTTGATGCCATGAAGCTTGGGATGGTTTGTTAGGCAGTGATATGGTTTGGCTCCTTGTCCCCACCCAAATCTCATCTTGTAGCTCCCATAATTCCCACATGTTGTGGGAAGGACCCAGTGTGAAATAACTGAATCATGGGGTGGGTCTTTCCCCTGCTGTTCTCATGATAGTGAATAGGTCTCATGAGATCTGATGGTTTTAAAAATGGGAGTTTCCCTGAACAAGCGCTCTCTTTGCCTGCTGCCATCCACATAAGATGACTTGCTCCTCCATGCCTTCTGCCATGATTGTGAGGCCTCCCCAGCCATATGGAACTGTAATTCCAATAAACCTCTTTCTTTTGTAAATTGCCCAGTCTTGGGTATGTCTTTATCAGCAGCATGAAAATGGACTAATACAGCCAGCGATAGATAACTGAAACACTTGCCTATCATCTGGGTCAATGCCTAGAATGTGAGCTCCCAGAGGCAGGGACTTCCAGGGTCTTGATCACCTTATATCTTTGATGGTTACTTTTACGTGTCAACTCGGCCAGACCACGGGTTGCCCAGATAGTTGGTCAGATGTTATTCGGGGTGTTTCTATAAGAGTGTTTTTGAGTGAATTAACATTTAAATGGTAGGCTCTGAGTAAAGCAGATTGCTCTCTATAACGTGGGTGGACCTCATCCAACCAGTTGAAAATTTGAACAGAACCAAAAGACCAGCCTCCCCCGAGCAACATAATTTTCCAGTAGACTGCATTTGGTCTTCATTTGCAGCATCAACTCTTCCTGGTACTATAGTAGACAGCCTTTGGACTTGAACTAGTTCTCCAGCCTGTGAGCCCACCCTGCAGATCTTGGACTTACCAGCCTACATAATTATGTGAGGAAATTCCTTATTTTATACAACGCACACACACACACACACACACACACACACACACACACACACACCCTCTCTCTCTCTCACACACACACACTCTCACACTCCACATATATACATACTATTGGTTTTGTTTCTCTGGAGAACCTTCACTGATATAGTATCCATAGCCCCTAAAATGGTGGTTCTCAATTGGGTCCTCATTTTTGAGGTGGTTTTCATTGTTAGTTGTCACAACCTGGGGAGCCTACTGGCATTTAGTGTGCAGTGATGCTGAATATCCTAGTGTGCAGTACAGCCCCCACAATAAAGAATTACCTGGCTAAAAGTATCAAAAGGGCTACCTGGTCTACCTCAAGCACATTTTTTTCTCACTTTAAGAGCAACCTAAAAACCATAATACAGTAAATCCACTGAAGGTAACTATGCAAAGTCACCTACCTAACGAGAAAGCTAAAGTGAAATAAAAAGCCAGCCCTTCCCAGAAATCACTGGGGAGGATTTCAGGGAGAAAGGGCTAAGACCCTACCTTTTTTACAAGCAACCTGAGGTCAAGTGAGCACAAGTCAAGTAACATTAATGGGACATTGAGGTCACTCTTCATTTGTGTCTACCATATACCCTGTGCCCAAGCCCATTGCCGGCCTGACTTGGATAATCAGTTCTACATGGTTCAGGAAGCCAGGCTAATTGGTTCACTGGTGACATTTCCCAGTAGCTGGTGTTGAAACAATTAAAGCTTTGCCCTCAAAGAAGAAATACAGCCACTCTCAGTGGTTATAAAAGAACAGCTCCCCCTGTTGGTGCAGGCTATATTCATCTTTTCAAATGAAAAAATAACTAACATATTTGACTGGATCACAATTTAGAAACATTCAATAGGCTCCTGGAGGTCTAGAAAGAGAAAGACATGACCAATAACAGCAAACTTAACCAGGATCCATAAAAATACATTTCTTTAGATTATGAGTGTTCATAATCATTTTCATTTGTATATCATGAACATTATGTTATTGACACAGAGCAGGTATTGCTATTCTTGTTATTTTTTAATAGATAAGAAAATTGGAGCTCAGAAATGTTAAGAAAATTGTCAGAAATTAGCAGCACCAGGAAGAGAATTTATGTGCATCAGTCACTATCCAGTTAAGAAAAGAGAAGCCACTGTAGACATTTAGCTGCCACTGCTGGTCTGTGGGACCAGAAGGACACAACTCTGTTGATGCAGCTGAAAACTGGGACTGAGGCTTTTGGAGCATGCAGCTGCCCACCATTGCTGAAGGCTGCTCATGGTGCTGAAAGCACTGCCTAAGGAAGAAAAAAACAAAAACAAAAACAAAAAAACCCCAGATTTCTACCCTTCTCCAGTCTTCCTGTTAGCAAATTCTTTCTGGAAGACAGCTGGCAAGGGAATTAGTGAAATGTAGTTTGTGGGCTTCCAGTCCCCTATGATACCAGGCGAGGAGAGGAGGTCAGAAGTGGAGCTGAAGCCAATTGATGAATAACTAGCACATAACATTTTCACTCAAGGTTCTTTTCACTCTGCCTCATTCTCTCCTGTGTTCATCAGGGTATGCTAAATTGCTACTTCAGAAAGACCCAAAATTTAACACTTCAACACAGAAGTGAATTTCTTATTCATATGACTGTGAATAACGTGGGTCACTCTCCCCACCCCATCCCTAAGGGTCCCGGGTCACTCTCCCCACCCCATCCCTAGGGGTCCTGGGTCACTGTCACCTCATCCCATTTCTAGGGGTACTGAGTCACTCTCCCCACCCCATCCCTAGGGTCCTGGGTCACTCTCCCCACCCCATCCCTAGGGGTCCTGGGTTACTCTTCCCTTACCCCATTTCTAGGGGTCCTGGGTCACTCTCCCCACCTTCATCACTAGGGGTCCTGGGTCACTCTCCCCACCCCATCCCACAGACTGGGTAGCTTACACAAAACAGAAATTTATTTCTCACATTTCTGGAGTCTAGGAAGTCCAAGATCAAGGCACCAGCAGATGTGGGGTCTGATAATGCCTGATTCATGGTTCATAGATGCTGGCTGTCTTCTTGCTGTGTCTTCACATGGTGGGAGGGGCTGGGAAGTTCCCTGGGACCTCTTTTATAAGACATGAATCCCATTAATGAGAATTATGACCTTATGACTTAATCACCTCCCAAAGGCTCCACCTCCAAATACCATCACATTGGGGATTAGGCTTTTACATAGGAATTTTGTGGGACACAAATGTTCAGTTTTTGGTAGGGAGTGAGGAATGGTTTGCCTCTGCTGAGAGGTATATTCTGTCATTGACATTGGTTAGAATTGCTGGTTTCTGGTGATAATAAAGAGCAGAATGACTTCTCATTGGTTTTATCATTATCATTGTTTCTTTATTCCCTTTCTTTCTTTTTTTTTTTTTTTTTTTTTTTTTTAGAGAGTGTCTGGCTCTGTCACCCAGGCTGGAGTGCAGTGGCATGATCTCACCTCACTGCAATGTCTGCCTCCTCAGCTCAAGCCATCCTCCCACCTCAGCCTCCTGAATAGCTGGGACTACAAGCATGCACCACTACACCAGGCTTATTTTTGTATTTTTTGGTAGAGACACGATTTTGCCATTCTTTCCAGGCTGGTCTTGAATTCCTGGGTTGAAGCAATCCTCCCGCCTCAGGCTCCCAAAGTGTTAGGTTTATAGGCATGAGCCACAACGCACAGCCTGTTTCTTTATTGTTATTGACTATACCAGGGATTAAAGTGCTCCCAAGCACCCCCTCACCTTTGTATGTCACTGGTAAAAAAGATTCTTATATTAGAAGGAAAGTTATTCTAAGTCACTTTTAAGTTCCCTTTTAACTTTGAAATAATGTGACTTTTTAGAAACAAATACCCAGGGTTGCTGAAGCTATCCTGCACACATACATAATATATATTAGGCTTTCTTGCTGAAGCTGGGGATGATTTATATTTAACCAAACACCTCTTAGCACAGCAAATCAACATGCCTTCAGATAGAGCAGTGTTAATACATTATTCCAATAATGTTAAGAGAGCACATGTGTGGTTTAAGAAGAGTGCTGTGTTTTGCATGTCTCCTAATTTCCTAGAACTTCACTCTGGCTTTCTTAACAGGTAATGCAAACAGATTAAGTGATATTATGCTCCCTTCCGCAAAGGCTTTACTTCAGCACTTACTTTACCATTTTTAGATGCAGTGTCTTAAAAATATGCAAACATGTGCACTTGTGGGTGAGTGTGGCAGATGCTGTTTGTGCTGGTGAAGCAAGGCACCATCTGCATGGAAAGGTCATGCTTAATTGTGTCAGCACTGATTTCTGAGTAATGAAAGCCTGGACAAAAATGAAACTTCAAACACACCAGCATTTTTGCATTTAAGTCTGCAAAAGTAGCTGCTAACTCAACCAAATGAAATTAAACAAGGTTACGCACTTTTGGATCCTGTGGGCCCTATCCAAATACTTTTTGTCTTCTTGTCCACACTTCATCTGAAAAGATTGCTGTGTTAACTAACGGGAGCTAATGGCAAATAACAAAGATAATTTGACCAACTGGCCAGCTGAGATATCTCCCAGATTCTTAGCTTCCACGAAGCACCAGGGTAGATTCAGCTTTTGAAAATGGGTAAAATTTGAAATCGTTCATGATAATGTGTGTGAATGGAGCAGCTCAGCCAAAATGTCAGAACGTTTGGTCTACCTTGGGGTAGGACTTCAGAAATGAATAAGAGGAGTCTTAGAGCTTTTCATGGAGAGCATCTTAGAGGGAACCTACTTCAGTTCCCCTATTTAACAGGTTGGGCAAGTGGGGTTGGAAACTATTAAGATACTTGCCTGAGATTTCACCCCTAGTTACAGGGATTCTGGCACTTCTGACTGAGCCCAATTCTTTCCTTGCTGAGTCCAGTAATAATACAGCTAACTTTGGTGCTTTCTTTTAAATCACAAAATGTTTTCCAGGCCAGCATTAAATTAATAGAAAGCTTGAACCTCAGATGTATGTTATTTGTCCATTTGAAGCCTGCGTAAAACAAACTCCGCGGGAGTAAAAACTGTGGCTTACAGGTCCTCATATGACTTACTTTGAAACCCCATCAAAATAAATATTTCTTAAAATAGCCCTGGAAGCAATGAGAATGGACATTATAGAAAATATAGCCTTACTCTAGCGCTCCCCTCGCCACCCCCAACCCCCGGGTGTATTTAATTTGTGGATTCGCCCTACTGGCTGTGCTTACTACACCTCTTCCCCTCCACTTCCACAGGCAGGACCTCTGTGATGAGGATATGCTATCACTAGGTGGCAGTAATACCGCGTTGGTGGGCGCGGGGGAGCTGTTTTACCTGAAGTCAAGATTAGATCCATCGCTTTTTCCTTCCTCTCTATGAAAGTATAGTTCTTTATTAAAGTAGCTGAATTCAGGTGATACTACCCAACACCACATTTGTAGAAGATTCCTTAAACGCCAGACTACTAAACCATTAAATGATTCAGGTATAATTTATTACCTGTCTCACCAAGTTTTAAATGGTTCAATTCTTAGTTCTGCTCTCTTTTCCCTTTAAAGCTTTGAGACCTTTACTGAAAGAATTTAAATGAGTAGGAAGTGATTGAAATCTAAAAATTCAATTTTATACCTAAAAATGATTTTCATTTCTGCAATTGCAATATATTTTAAGCACTTACTTTTTCCTCAGCTCATTTGGTAAATATAAATCTTCAAAGCATTTCAATTTTCATTTAAAATAAGGAATGTAGGTGACTCTAAAACTGCTAACGTAGAGCCCTGTCACAGTAACGGTGACTGGAAATAGTGAAAATTCTTCAGGGTTCTCAGCGTTACAGTGAAGGCAGCTTGGGAACAGCTCCCCGATTACAGAGACAGTGACTCAGCCACAGCAACAACTTTGAAGTAGATTTTGTCACTGTTCCTGGGTGGCCCATGGGTCTGAGTTTTCTCTGTTAATCATATAAATATGAGATCTTTGGTATTTTAAATATTTTAAGGGTGGTAAAGAGAAGTTTCTCTTAACATGTAAATGTTTTTGTTCTGTCTATCTAAAGGAGACATTATAGAGATGATTTTTTTTGAGATGGGGGTCTCACTGTGTTGTCCAGGTTGGTGTTGAACTCCTGGCCTTAAGTGATCCTCCTGCCTCAGTCTCTCAAAGTGCTGGGATTACAGGCATCCGTCATTGTGCCCAGACACAAAGTGAATTTTATCCAGAAGGTTAGGTGGGGGATGGAAGCAGGAGGAAGAGCAAAATTATGAGGAACTATGAGTGGTTAAAAAAAAAATGTGAAGAGAGCAGGAGAACTATAAAAGAGAGTACTGACAGGATGGTGTGATAGGTGACTGAACCAGTAATCCACCCGAAGCAAAAAGGATAAACCTGGCCCTGAAGGGGGCCACATCAGAGCAAAAATAAAGGCTTCAGAAGACCCTGGAGGGTGGGGAGCATGGAGGTGACACACTGGAAGCTGAAAGCTAAGGGCTGCAGCAGGGCTTCTCCCAGGACAGGCTGTGCACCACCAGCCTCAAAATCCCCAAGGCACAGGGCCCTGGGGCCTGCATCTTGGACAGTTGCCCCAGGTGATTCTGATGTTCGGCAAAGGTTGAAGAGCACCCGAGTCTGTGGAAGAGCCTGCAGACCAAAAGTAATGTGGTGACGGGTCTGTGGGCTCCTGGGGCAATAACGAGTGCCATAAGCCTGTGCCAAGAAAAGATGGTACCTTGTGACCTAATAAGCTATCCACGTTTGTGTCAGTCAACACCCATCACAAAAGAAGCCTGTCATTCCTTGGACCATCTGTGTGTGCTCACGAGCAATGGGCTGTGTAAGGAGAAAAAGAAGGACTTCCAAAACCAAGAAAGGTTTTCGGGCTTGGAGGTATCAACTAAGTAACCTCAAACTCTTTTGTCTCAGTAACTCTTGGCTGCAGCTCAGCTGAGACTCAGCTATGCTGGCATCAGGAGTTGGCGGCTCCCTGTGGAGATCCTCCAAGTGCTCTCAGCAAACAAGGCCTTCTTAGGGTAATAGGTTGCTCGATGACACTGATGATCCAGATGACCAGAGGTCCCATGGTGGGGGACTTAACTTGATCCAGGCTTAGGATACAAACCAGTCTGACAGACAAGGGCAAATAGGAAAGGGATGGAGCTGGACTTCTGGGAGTAAAAAAGGGAGTCCCTGGGAGGAAGAATCCTTATAGGTGAGGATTCACGGCTTCAGGGCCAAGGGCAGGCAGGTCTTGGTGGTTGTTCTTGGCCTTAACTCAACCTAATCTTGCCTACTCTCTAGCAAGATTTTGTGTCCTGGAAGGAAAGGGCATGATGATGCTCAGTAGTGTTATTGCTTCCTAAGTGATCCAAGTCACCTCAGCCTGTTGGGTTGAGGGAATCCAAGTCCCCTAACCCTTTCCTTTAATTAATGAAAAGAATATCCCCTCCAGGCTTCCCTATCTCACATGCTGTGGCCAATCCAGTGATCTGACAATCCAGTGAGATTTCCATGAATTCTGGGGGCTTACAATATCATAGTTTCTGTTCCTCTTACTTCCTGCTTCCATTGACATCTAAGCCACTGAGCCAGTCAGCCAGCGTGCCTTGTGAGGTTGTTCTCTTCTCTCTGTACCACCTGACCAAACAGTAGACATGGTGCCTCTAAGTGCAGCTGTCTTGTCAAACGGTCAAGGATAGCAGACTTGACTAAAGTTTTGCTTAGAGAAATGGAGGAAAGTTTGCATTATAACACAGCTTACATAAAAACTTAACATTAAATAGCAGACATAGCCAAGCATGGTGGCTTATGCCTGCAATCCTAGCAGTTTGGGAGCCCAACGTGGGAGGATTGCTTGAAGCAAGGAATTCAAGACCAGCCTGAGCAAAATAGCAAAGACAGCCTGCCTCTAGAAAAAGCTTTAAAAAATTAGCCAGGTATGGTGGCACATGCCTATAGTTCCTGCTGCTCAGTGGCTGAGGCAGTAGGATCATGTTAGCCAAGGAGTTTGAGGCTGCAGTGAGCTACGGTTGCACCATTGCACTCCAGCCTGAATGACAGAGTGAGATCCTGTCTCTAAAAGAATCTAAAAAGAAATAAATCAATGGCAGACTCTGAGCTGAATCTCTTCAATTCCGCCACAGAGCACTCACTACTTGGTGACCAGCTTTGCCTTCTGGCCACTACTTCCCACCATCTGCACTTTTTCTTCTCTCAAATTTCTCACTCCCTGGCCTCCTGTCCAGCATAAAGATGGTCATTTGAAGAGAAATGCTGTCACCTGAAAGGGAGGTGAGCATTGGAGACCATTAAGCAGATGGCAAAGAACTCTAGGTGACATCAGTTTACCATGCAACTGCCCTGGGTCATGAAGGTTGGGGATGTGTCCTCTTACTATTTGGGTGGTTGGAGACTGTGATGCAGCAGCATTAACGCCTCAGAGAACTGAAGCAGAGGCTGCCCCAAGAACAAAGCAACAGCTAGAGCAGCAGGTGAGCAGAGCTGCAGGCAGAGGCCGACTGTGTGTGAGAGACTCCCCCCTTTTTTCCTGGAGACTTTTAGACACAAGAATGGGAAGGACTGAGACCCGGCCACTAGCAGGTGGAGGGTATTAATCCAGCAACTATACGAACAAATAATGACTTTGCCTAGGATGGACAAGCTGATGGGCCTTGGGGAATATTCAAGTAAATCTACCAAGATATAGAATAGGATGCAGTGCCTTGCCTTGCTTACCTTGCCTTGCCTTGCCTTGCCTTTTTGAGATAGGGTCTCAGTGAAGTGGCACATTCACAGCTCACTGCAACCTCAACCTCCCAGGATCAAGCAACCTCCCACTATCAAGCATCCTCCCACCTCAGCGTCTTGATTAGCTGGGACTACAGATGCACACCATCATACCTGGCTAATTGTTTCATAAAATTAAACAATAAAAATTTTTGTAGAGACAAGGCCTCGCTATGTTGCCCAGGCTAGTCTCATACTGCTGGATTCAAGCAATCCTCCTGCCTTAGCTTCCCAAAGTGCTGGTCATGCAGGCATAAGCCACTGCACCTGGCCTGCTGCAGTTTCTTGTGTTCTCACATCCTCTTTCAATATCCAGAAAAGATACATCATCTTCCCAACGTGCAAACCAAAAAATGAATAAATCTACTCTAAGCTGTGGCCAGTGCTTCTTAAACTTTAATGTGCATATACATCATCCGGGGATGTTGTTAAAACAGATTCTGATTCAATAGGTCTGAGGTGGGGCCTGAGACCTGCCTCGCTGACAAAAGCATCCATGTGATGTTGATTCTGCTTGGGCCACTTTAAGAAGCAAGGGTATGGGAGCACCCCTGATGTGCTCCTTGCCCCCCCAACCCCCCACCTATATTTGCAAACAATGACAAAAAATAGGCACTGAGGGACAAAAGGTAGTTCGTAATCTAAAAGGATGATAGTTTATGGTAGCTTCCAGGCTCTATAGTGAAATGGGGGTGGTGGGATGGGAGAGGAGAAGCATTCCTGAGGCTCCTTCATGGCTCTCTTAATGAGAAAATTCATTTTATCTTCATTGGACTAGCCCAGTAACAAAATGTGCAAATACATTCCCTACTGCAAAGCTGTTCCTTCTGAGGGGCTTGACGGTTTGCTGTCTCCTGATTGCAGTTCCCTGACCCATCGGTAACACTCTTCTTAAAAGGTGGCTCAGTATGATGTTAGCGGGGATTTTTAGATTCCAAACTTGACATTTTAATTATAGAATAAAAGACTTGGACCATTTTCAGAGAACAAGATAGGGGATTATTTTGAGGGACACTTTGGTGTCCCTAAATCAACTTGGAGAGACAGCTAATTTCTAACAGCACTACATTCACCTTGCTTTAATCAGATCTTCTCCTAAGCACTCAATAAAATGTAACAATGTACTGGGGTGAGTCTTTGTCCCGGGGTTATTTGAGCATTAGCTGTGGCAGCTGCATCCAGCCCCAAGTGACATGTATGATCAATTCTTGCCAACATGAGGGTCACACATCCAGCTCTTCCTTTATACAGACAGCCCTTTGCAGAACGGCTCCCCAAAGGGTTATAATTAGAATTGTAAAAGCACATAAACAAAATACAAGCCACATGAGCCTGCCTGCCCAGCTTCAGGAAATTTGAAAGTGTCAGAGAAAAATCTTTGTTTAAAAGTTTTTAGGACAAAAATACAAAAGAGTAGAATTAGATTGAAACAAAATGGTCAAACAAAAATAGGGCAAAATAGTGGCAAAAAAAAAAAAAGCTATTTGTTTATTGAGGATTATGTTTAAAGGTAGGAATTTAGCTGGAGAGAATGAATTGAAACCTGGGGAACTATCTGGTTCCTGTGACCTCTTTTAACTTGTGACTGGAAAAGCTCATTTGAGGACTTTGATGAGCTAGAAAACTCAGCTTGCAGGGTGTGTCTTTGGAGAAATCCCTTAGTAGTAAATGGTTGTATATAAATCTGACAGTTCATTGACTAAGAGCTCACTGAACACTAGTCAGTTGCTAGATTTGGGAAGCAGGTGGAGTTCAGCTACTCCACCTCAAAAGAGCCTACTCTGGGATATTGACTGTTTTCAGTTAAAGGCGTTTGAAAAACAGCAGATGCCAGAAGGGCACTCTGATCTCTGATCTTCTTTTTTCTTCCTGAAAGCAGGAAATAAAACTCCCATGTGAAAGGTACCCTCCTTGTACCAGGAAAAAGAAAGATATTCTTATCACTAGAGATGAGGAGTTGGGGCTAAGAGAAATCTGTGCAAACAAACACTGTTCAAGGAACCCTTATCTTCCTTGATGCTTTTCCACAGTTAACTGCCCGAGCTCAAGCCCCTTGGTTTTGCTGCATTTCCTTAATTTGCTGCTCTTTGTCAAGCCTAGTAGATAAGCCTTTGGTTCTAACTGCTTCTTTGGGTCTTCAGTTTTTTTGGTAAAGTCTTCCATATATATGCAAAAAACAATTGCAATTCTTATGCTTTTCTCTTTTTTAATCTGTTTTATGTCAGTCCCAGCTGGAGATACTGGAAACTTGGAGGAAAATTTTCCTTTCCCTACACAGGGGATGAGAGAGATGCATATATGGCCTCTGCTTTGAGGAAAGGAAAAAATGCACAGGAAAATATGGAACAACTGTTTATAGTGAACACATAAACAAAGAGCCAGTTCATTATAGCTGGGGTCCCATAGTGGAATGCCACCTCAATTCACTCACCTTTTAGTGAAGAACAACATTCATTTGACTTTAAATTAGGAGTCAAACAAACAAAAATTGGAGGACTTTTGAAATGCCAGTTAAGAATAGCGTCTTCCCTCTGTTTCTGATAGTCGTAAGTTATTCTCTATGAGTTATACCACGAAATCACTGTCATTTATAAAGCTAATGCTAGTCTGTAACTAATACCCTGTACTAAATAATGTTTTACAGAAGTGTTTCAGATGCAGTAACAGTAATTGCTATTACCTAAACTGTTCATGATGATTATTTAGATGCTAAAATTCCTTACAGGTATACTGAGAGGGGCTTCTGTGCCAAACCCTTAGTTAACCTCTTTGAACCATTCCCTCATCTGGTTATCACAGCATCTTATGAGGACGGCTCAGTATCATTATTTCTGAGGTAGAAACAAATAACCTGAGACTTGCACACAGAAGTGGCAGTGAGGAGGGAAACTCTGATTCAAACTTGGGTCTATTTGGCTCATGGCCTTTGCTCACTCCCACCTGCTCGCCCACCCATGATTCCCCCAAGGAGATCAGGAGCTCCCAAGGGATTGGAGAAGGACCTTGCTGGCCTACATGCCCGAATCACTTCCTCCTGACTGGAACTGGTGCCTCCAGGGTGCAAGAAGGAAACTGTGATTTTGAGATAGACACAGTAGCCTCATCCCTCATCCCTGGGGGAAAGAGGGATCACAGAACGTCAAGTACATTTCTCAGGTTTTAATAAAACAAAGCAAATACTGTAAAAGAAAATCAAAATCAAATAGGTGTCTGTTAGAAATTTATAAAAAGAATAAAGAAAATCTATTTGTTTTAAAACCAAAAATAAAATTCTAAGCCCCCAACCAACCAACTGATGGACCTTCCCCTCGGCCAAGGGCATTCCAAAGTTAACTTGAAAAACTAGTCTAGGCCATGTGGGAAGTGGGGGTGGGACATGCCTCATTATACCCTCCACCTTTTGGAATTCAGGCACAGCTGACCAGCATTAACATTAAAACAGAGACCTTAAGACTGATAGAACAGACTCTTCAAGTTCAACGAGAATATTTACAATCTGCTCTCTCTGAAGCCTGCTACCTGGAAGCTTCATCAGTATAAGGACCTTGTTCTCCACACTTCCTTATCTTGACCCAGACATTCCTTTCTATTGATTCCAGGTTTTTAGAAAATAAATCTTTCAACTAATTGCCAAACAGATTATGACTTGGAAGCCCCTTGGCCCCCCCCATTGTTCCAGACAGAACCAATGTACATCTTACATGTATTGATTGAGGTCTTCTCTCCCTAAAATGTATAAAACAAAGCTGTAGCCAAACCACCTTGTCACATGTTCTCAAGATCTCCTGGAGCTGTGTCACAGGTCATTAGTCACTCATATTTGAATCGGAACAAATTTCTTCAAATATTTTACAGGGTTTGACTCTTTTTGTCCACAATTTTCAAAAGCACTTCCCAGCAACTCATGGAATGTACCTCTGATTTCCTAAGAATAACTACCTCTTCCTCCTCCTCACCAGTACCTCTTTTCATCCTGAATTTTAAAATGATAATACAATCAACACTTGGAGTTAGACTCATTTAAGGTTTATTTTTAGGAGAGGTTTACAAGAACTATGTGACCCACCTGTGGCAATTAAGTATCCTAGAGTGCTGTTGTGTGAGTCTTGGGAACTGGCACCCTGAGCGTTGGCTGTCTTCCACATTGGGGTACTATATTTAGCCTAGCTAAAAGTTCTCCCCTGAAATTGAGCTCATGGCCAATTTTCATTTCCTGAGTTTTTATGTGGGGTGACCCATTTCTTGAGGGGTCCTACCTTCTGAACCTGGCTCTGTCATTGCTCTGTCAAAGATTTGCAGAGGGCAAGTCATTAAATCCCTGGGACTCACCCTGACCATCTATAAGAATGGAATGATTCATGGACAACTGCCATGAAAAATGGCTAATTACTGGAAATGACTGTGGAAATCTGGAATACTATGTATGTCTTCCAGCCTCAGAAGGAAGGGAGCAACATGTGCAGATGGTATTTTTCCACCAAGTGTGGGACTTGGAGAAGCTGTCAGGTGTAGACAAGGTTCAGCAGAAGAGGCCATGGTTTGGGAATGAGCCAGACAGGGCCTGGGGCAGAAAGGACTTAATTTGAGACAGTGTCCAAGGCTCCCAGAAAGGGTCTGTTCTTTCCACCCCTCTCTAATGCCACACTGACCCTGCCTCATGGATACATGCATCATGGGAAGGTATAATTACCTAAAATCATACAAATTAGTGATTAGAAGGTGAATATTGGATTTTTACAAAGAATGCTGTTGTTGGTTTCCCCTTTCTTGGAAAGTTTGTATCTTCTGATTATTTGGTTTTAGGACAAGACACATTGGTCGGTCTTAGTCTTGTTAAAAATACTGCCTTTGTTATATATTTGCTCATTTATTTTGTAAAAGAAACAACTGTAAAAATTGATGTCAGCTTTGTGGAAACTACCTAAAACTCAAAGAAAGTAGTGAATTTTCTAAGTGTATTTTTCTTTTAAGATGACTTTTTCATCTTCCTAAAACTATGAGATGATGAAATAGCACAGGAATCAAGAACTCTTTTGGATAAAGTTCATCTCCAAAATGACAAACTTACGCAAGTTTTCTGCCTTAAGTAGGGGAAAGCATCAAACACACACACACACATCCACACACATGCTTACACAAACTCACAATTGCTTGGGAATCATAGGCTATGCATACTCCTTTGCAGGTAAGGAGTATCATTGTAAAATGTCAATTGGTTCAACACACTGCCAAAATATGACTATGAAACCATCAAAATTCCACGTCTGGGGTATTAAATCTGCTTTATACTTTCATTTTTGTCATTCAAAGATGGTTATAAAAGTGTTTTGGAAGCAATAAAAGCTATTACCTAATTTGTTTAAGGTGATTAGTTGCTATGCAAGATCACTTAAAAGTATTAATCCCTATGATCTGAGTCTTTAAAAATTTTCAACCCATAAATACTTTAATGATTATTCTGGAAATACATGAGGGCATTAGCTTTACTTTAAAAGGGATTAAAACTCTTCACCACATTTTTTCATTTAGCTGTTTGCTTCCAGTTACCCTTGAGCAAGCTGTTTGGTCAGAGGGCTGGCTGTGCCTTTGCTCCTAAGGCAGGTCTTACAGGCTGCCCATTGCAGAGGTGTGCCACCTGTTTGGAGCTCCCCAAGGTCACAGGTGAAGCCTTGCCTTCTTAGAATCTTTGGGATAAAGGATATTTTTAAGATTAGATATAGGTAAGGCATAACTTGTTATAATATACCAAAGGAAATTGCTTATATAAATAAGGACCTTAGTAGCTGAAATTAAAATAAGTAAACTTCACTTTGTGCCATCAGGAGACTATGCCTGGTCTCCCTCTAACAAGGCAAAAGATTGTGGACATCATAGCTGTGTTACAAGACTTCACATAACATTTGGCTCAATACGCTGCTGAAGTTTTCTAGAAAAATAACTGATATCTGAGAATATTTTCTATTGTCCTGTCTCCAATTTGGAAGATTCACCAGAACCAGAATAGTCTTAGGTCTCTCCAGTGTTTAATTTTCCAAACAAACAAATGACCCAAAACTCAATGTTTGCAAGTCTCTGAAACACAGTCATAACTTCTCTCAAGTGCTATAAGTGAACATCAGCTGAGCATTTCTAATTATTATTGGGTGGCCTCTATATTGATGACCATGATGCAGTTTAAGATCCAATGATCTTAGTAAAACAGGGGGGCGGTTCCAAGATGGCCAAATAGGAACAGCTCCAGTCTACAGCTTGCAGCATGAGTGATGCAGAAGATGGGTGATTTCTGCATTTCCAACTGAGGTACCGGGTTGATCTCACTGGGGTTCGTCGGACAGTGGGTGCAGGACGGTGGGTGCAGCGCACCGAGCATGAGCCGAAGCAGGGAGAGGCATCGCCTCACCCAGGAAATGCAAGGGGTCAGGGAATTCCCTTCCATAGCCAAGCAAAGCTGTGACAGACGGCACTGGAAAATTGGGTCACTCCCACCGTATACTGCGCCTTTCCAATGGTCTTAGCAAATGGCACACCAGGAGATTATATACTGCGCAAGGCTCGGAGGGTCCCATGCCCACAGAGCCTTGCTCATTGCTAGCACAGCAGTCTGAGATCGAACTGCAAGGCTGCAGTGAGCCTGGGGGAGGGGCACCCACAATTGCTGAGGCTTGAGCAGGTAAACAAAGCCGCTGTGAAGCTTGAACTGGGTGGAGCCCACCGCAGCTCAAGGAGGCCTGCCTGCCTCCATAGACTCCACCTCTGGGGGCAGGGCATAGCCGAACAAAAGGCAGCAGAAACCTCTGCAGACTTAAATGTCCCTGTCTGACAGCTTTGAAGAGAGTAGTGGTTCTCCCAGCATGGAGTTTGAGATCTGAGAATGGACAGACTGCCTCCTCAAGTGGGTCCCTGACCCCAGAGTAGCCTATCTGGGAGGCACACCTCAGTAGGGGCATACTGACACCTCACATGGCCGGGTACCCCTCTGAGACGAAACCTCCAGAGGAACAATCAGACAGCAACATTTGCTGTTCAGCAACATTCGCTGTTCTGATACTCAGGCAAACAGGGTCTGGAGAGGACCTCCAGCAAACTCCAACCGACCTGCAGCTGTGGGTCCTGACTGTTAAAAGGAAAACTAACAAACAGAAAGGACATCCACACCAAAACCCCATCTGTACGTCACCATCATCAAAGACAAAAGGTAGATAAAACCACAAAGATGGGGAAAAAACAGAGCAGAAAAACTGAAAATTCTAAAAATCAGAGTGCCGCTCCTCCTCCAAAGGAACGCAGCTCCTCACTAGCAATGGAACAAAGCTGGACAGAGAATGACTTTGATGAGTTGAGAGAAGAAGGTTTCAGACGATCAAACTACTCCGAGCTAAAGGAGGAAGTTCGAACCCATCGCAAAGAAGTTAAAAACCTTGAAAAAAGATTACATGAATGGCTAACTAGAATAACCAATGCAGAGAAGTCCTTAAAGGACCTGATGGAGCTGAAAACCATGGCACGAGAACTACGTGATGAATGCACAAGCTTCAGTAGCTGATTTGATCAATCGGAAGAAAAGGTATCAGTGATTGAAGATCAAATGAATGAAATGAAGCAAGAAGAGAAGTTTAGAGAAAAAAGAATAAAAAACGAACAAAGCCTCCAAGAAATATGGGACTATGTGAAAAGACCAAATCTACGTCTCATTGGTGTACCTGAAAGTGAGGGGGAGAATGGAACCAAGCTGGAAAACACTCTGCAGAATATTACCCAGGAGAACTTCCCCAACCTAGCAAGGCAGGCCAACATTCAAATTCAGGAAATGCAGAGAATGCCATGAAGATACTCCTCGAGAAGAGCAACTCCAAGACACATAATTGTCAGATTCACCAAAGTTGAAATGAAGGAAAAAATGTTAAGGGCAGCCAGAGAGAAAGGTCGGGTTACCCACAAAGGGAAGCCCATCAGACTAACAGCGGATCTCTCGGCAGAAACCCTACAAGCCAGAAGAGAGTGGGGGCCAATATTCAACATTCTTAAAGAAAAGAATTTTCAAACCAGAATTTCATTTCCAGCAAAACTAAGCTTCGTAAGTGAAGGAGAAATAAAATACTTTACAGACAAGCAAATGCTGAGAGATTTTGTCACCACCAGGCCTGCCCTACAAGAGCTCCTGTAGGAAGTACTAAACATGGAAAGGAGCAACCAGTACCAGCCACTGCAAAAACATGCCAAATTGTAAAGTCCATTGAGGCTAGGAAGAAACTGCATCAACTAACGAGCAAAATAACCAGCTAACATCATAATGACAGGATCAAATTCACACATAACAATATTAACCTTAAATGTAAGTGGGCTAAATGCTCCCATTAAAAGACACAGACTGGAAAATTGGATAAAGAGTCAAGACCCATCACCGTGCTGTATTCAGGAAACCCATCTCACATGCAGAGATACACATAGGCTCAAAATAAAGGGATGGAGGAAGATCTACCAAGCAAATGGAAAACAAAAAAAGGCAGGGGTTGCAATCCTAGTCTCTAATAAAACAGACTTTAAACCAACAAAGATCAAAAGTGACAAAGAAGGCCATTACATACTGGTAAAGGGATCAATTCAACAAGAAGAGCTAACTATCCTAAATATATATGCACCCAATAGAGGAGCACCCAGATTCATAAAGCAAGTCCATAGAGACCTACAAAGAGACTGACTCCCAGACAATAATAATGGGAGACTTTAACACCCCACTGTCAACATTAGACAGATCAACGAGACAGAAAGTTAACAAGGATATCCAGGAATTGAATTCAGCTCTGCACCAAGCGAACATAATAGACATCTATAGAACTCTCCACCCCAAATCAACAGAATATACATTCTTCTCAGAACCACAACACACCTATTCCAAAATTGACCACATACTTGGAAGTAAAGCACTCCTCAGCAAATGTAAAAGAAAAGAAAGTATAACAAACTGTCTCTCAGACCACACTGCAATCAAACTAGAAATCAGGATTAAGAAACTCACTCAAAACTGCTCAACTACATGGAAACTGAACAACCTGCTCCTGAATGACTCCTGGGTACATAACAAAATGAAGGCATAACTAAAGATGTTCTTTGAAACCAACAAGAACAAAGACACAACATACCAGAATCTCTGGGACACCTTCAAAGCAGTGTGTAGAGGGAAATTTATAGCATTAAATGCCCACAAGAGAAAGCAGGAAAGACGTAAAATTGACACCCTAACATCACAATTAAAAGAACTAGAGAAGCAAGAGCAAAAACATTCAAAAGCTAGCAGAAGGCAAGAAATAACTAAGATCAGAGCGGAACTGAAGGAGACAGAGACACAAAAAACCCTTCAAAAAATCAATGAATCCAGGAGCTGGTTTTTTGAAAACATCAACAAAACTGATAGACTGCTAGCAAGACTAATAAAGAAGAAAAGACAGAAGAATCAAATAGATGCAATAAAAAATGATAAAGGGGATATCACCACCGATCCCACAGACATAGAAACTACCATCAGATAATACTATAAACACCTCTATGCAAATAAACCAGAAAATCTAGAAGAAATGGATAAATTCCTCGACACATACACCCTCCCAAGACTAAACCAGGATGAAGTTGAATCTCTGAATAGAAAAATGACAGGCTCTGAAATTGAGGCAATAATTAATAGCTTACCAACCAAAGTCCAGGACCAGACGGATTCACGGCCAAATTCTACCAGAGGTACAAGGAGGAGCTGGTACCATTACTTCTGAAACTATTCCAATCAATAGAAAAAGAGGGAATCTTCCCTAATTCATTTTATGAGGACAGCATCATCCTGATACCAAAGCCTGGCAGAGACACAACAAAAAAAGAGAATTTTAGACCAATAACCCTGATGAATATTGATGCAAAAATCCTCAATAAAATACTGCCAAACCGAATCCAGCAGCACATCAAAAAGCTTATCCACCATGATCAAGTGGGCTTCATCCCTGGGATGCAAGGCTGGTTCAACCTACAGAAATCAATAAACATAATCCAGCATATAAACAGAACCAAAGACAAAAAACACATGATTATCTCAATAGATGCAGAAAAGGCCTTTGACAAAGCTCAGCAGCCCTTCATGCTAAAAACCCTCAATAAATTAGGTATTGATGGGAGGTATCTCAAAATAATGGAGCTATTTATGACAAACCCACAGCCAATATCATACTGAATGGGCGAAAACTGGAAGCATTCCCTTTGAAAACTGGCCCTCTCTCACCACTCCTATTCAACATAGTGTTGGAAGTTCTGGCCAGGGCAATCAGGCAGGAGAAAGAAATAAAGGGTATTCAATTAGGAAAAAAGGAAGTCAAATTGTCCCTGTTTTCAGATGACATGATTGTATATCTAGAAAACCCCATCGTCTCAGCCCAAAATCTCCTTAAGCTGATAAGCATAAGCAACTTCAGCAAAGTCTCAGGATACAAAACCTATGTGCAAAAATCATGCATTCTTATACACCAATAACAGACAAACAGAGAGCCAAATCATGAGTGAACTCCCATTCACAATTGCTTCAAAGAGAATAAAATACCTAGGAATCCAACTTACAAGGGATGTGAAGGACCTCTTCAAGGAGAACTACAAACCACTGCTCAATGCAATAAAAGAGGACACAAACAAATGGAAGAACATTCCATGCTCATGGATAGGAAGAATCAATATCGTGAAAATGGCCATACTGCCCAAGGTAATTTATAGATTCAATGCCATCCTCATCAAGCTACCAATGACTTTCTTCACAGAATTGGAAAAAACTACTTTAAAGTTCATATGGAACCAAAAAAAGAGCCCACATTGCGAAGTCAATCCTAAGCCAAAAGAACAAAACTGGAGGCATCATGCTACCTGACTTCAAACTATACTACAAGGCTACAGTAACCAAAACAGCATGGTACTGGTGCCAAAACAGAGATATAGACCAATGGAACAGAACAGAGCCCTCAGAAATAGTGCCACATATCTACAACCATCTGATCTTTGACAAACCTGACAAAAACAAGCAATGGGGAAAGGATTCCCTATTTAATAAATGGTGCTGGGAAAACTGGCTAGCCATATGTAGAAAGCTGAAACTGGATCTCTTCCTTACACCTTATACAAAAATTAATTCAAGATGGATTAAAGACTTAAATGTTAGACCTAAAACCATAAACATCCCTAGAAGAAAACCTAGACAATACCATTCAGGACATAGGCATGGGCAAGGACTTCATGTCTAAAACACCAAAAGCAATAGCAACAAAAGCCAAAATTGACAAATGGGATCTAATTAAACTAAACAGCTTCTGCACAGCAAAAGAAACTACCATCAGAGTGAACAGGCAACCTACAGAATGGGAGAAAATTTTTGCAATCTACTCATCTGACAAAGGGCTAATATCCAGAATCTACAAAGAACTCAAACAAATTTACAAGAAAAAAACAACCCCATCACAAAGTGGGCAAAGGATATGAATAGACACTTCTCAAAAGAAGACATTTATGCAGCCAACAGACACATGAAAAAATGCTCATCATCACTGGCCATCAGAGAAATGCAAATCAAAACCATAACAAGATACCATCTCACACCAGTTAGAATGGTGATCATTAAAAAGTCAGGAAACAACAGGTGCTGGAGAGGATGTGGAGAAATAGGAACACTTTTACACTGGTGGTGGGACTGTAAACTCGTTCAACCATTGTGGAAGACAGTGTGGCAATTCCTCAAGGATCTAGAACTAGAAATACCATTTGACCCAGCCACCCCATTAATGGGTATATACCCAAAGGAATATAAATCATGCTGCTATAAAGACACATGCACACGTATGTTTATTGCAGCACTATTCACAATAGCAAAGACTTGGAACCAACCCAAATGTCCATCAATGATAGACTGGATTAAGAAAATGTGGCACATATACACCATGGAATACTATGCAGCCACATAAAAGGATGAGTTCATGTCCTTTGTAGGGACATGGATGAAGCTGGAAACCATCATTCTCAGCAAACGACTTCAAGGACAAAAAACCAAACACCGCATGTTCTCACTCATAGGTGGGAATTGAACAATGAGAACACTTGGACACAGGAAGGGGAACATCACACACTGGGGCCTGTCATGGGGTGGGGGGACGGGGGTGGGATAGCATTAGGAGATATACCTAATGTAAACGACAAGTTAATGGGTGCAGCACACCAACATCGCACATGTATACATATGTAACAAACCTGAACGTTGTGCACATGTACCCTAGAACTTAAAGTATAAAAAAAAAAAATAAGATCCAATGTGTCCTCCAGTGTTTTCTTCTAGGAATTGTTCCTACTTGTTTCCTCTTCCTCACCTGAAAGTATCTCTAACCTCCCAGTTACTGGATCAGAAGTCAGATTCTTTACTGGTCTTCATCTACTAATAGTTAATTCTGGTCTGGGCAGATTCAGAAGGTCTGCAACTATGTATTTCTTTATTGGTGAATGGAAATAGGTTGCAGACCTATTCCATAGGATGGGATGCAGATGAAAAGTGTTGTGGAGCATGGCATGCAAACACCAACTCAAGCCGGAAAGTTGGAGCCATCCTCTGCTCCTCTCTGCACCTTGGCGGACAGATTGCATCTGCTTCGTTTTGGTCATTCTTAATGTTTCTGGATGAGGTCAGGCCTCTATCATCTTACTCTAGGAATATGGAGTCTGGTTTCAACTGGCCTTTTAAAAAAGTCTCCATTTCATTATTCACATTCCTGCTAGCAAACTAATGCCCACATATGATTATACTACAGTCTCCTGCTCAAAACTTTGAATAACTCCTTATTATTTATACATCGAAAAAAATTATATTTCCTTAGTTTGGCTTTTAATTTCCTTATCATCTAGTTTCAAACTACATTTTAAATGTCTTTTTTCATTATATTCTCTCCAGGTACACAAGGCTCCTCCTTATTTTCCAAATACATCATGCATTTGTGTATTCTTTTTTTTTTTTTTGAGATGAAGTCTTGCCCTGTCACCCAGGCTGGAGTGCAGTGGCACAATCTTGACTCACTGCAACTTTTGCTTTTCAGGTTCAAACAATTCTCTTTCCTCAGCCTCCTGAGTAGCTAGGACTACAGCTGTGCACCACCATGCCTGGCTAATTTTTGTGTTTTTAGTAGAGATGGGGTTTTGCCATGTTGGCCAGGCTGGTCTCCAACTCATGACCTCAAGTGATCTGCCCGCCTCGGCCTTCCAAAGTGCTGGGATTACAGGCGTGAGCCACTGTGCCTGGCCAGTATATTCTTGTGCCTCCTTTTATTTATTGTCTTCTGTTGTCTTAGAACATTTCTCTTCCCAGCCAATCCAGAAGAATATTGCCAAAAGATACCTATGAGGAATCATCCTAGAGACCTCTCAAAGTTGATCCTTCCAGCCCGTCTCCCTTAGCATATTCTGTATCTCTTACAGTCTTAGCCTTACTCTGCCCTATGTAGCTTGTATTTCTTGTATGTAGCCACAAGAGATTTTACACTCTTTAAGGGCATCAATTGACTCATTCTTCTTTGTTTTCCTTCTTCCCTCAAACATTTGGCAGAGAGCCTTTCCCAGAGTGAGTGCTCACTAGACATGTTTTGACAAATTGGAAAAGTAATTGCAAAGAAATAGTAAGTTGTACGTTTGCTTAACTTACTAGGAATTAAGTTGGAGATAAGAGAGACCTAACAATGTGCCAGAAGTCGCCAAAACCTGGGACAAATGACCTGCAGTCACTTTTCACAGGTTCTAAGCTCAACAGTATTGTACCATTACAGCTTTGTGATCCTTTTGAGACAAAATGTCAGGCTCAGATGTAGCCATTGACTGTGGCAGTTAACTAAGTACAGGTGTCCTCAAAAGCCATCTGTAAGGAAGGCGCTCTTGGGCTTGCTGCACGCTCACTAATCCTGAGGGCTGTGGAGGAGTGCAATGTCATTTTAATTTAGTTTGACTAGCAGCAGCTTTGTTTAGACACCTGCTCTTCTTCAGTAACCAAAGGTAACTGATATCTGTGTGCTTGTACGTGCCCAGACAGGCTTCCAGTCAACTAAAATTATCCTTCTTGAGGGATCTATTTGAATCTGACATTTGTTCATTTATTTTCTTCAAAATATAGTAGAGAAACCAAGAGATTGCTCATTACTATTTCAGGGGTAGACTTCCACATATTATCTCAAATTTCAGGTTTAGGGTACTTTTAGATCCCCATGAGGGCCAGGCAACCATGCATTTTGGAGGAAAGGAGGAAAAGGCTGAAGGCTGGAGAATTTTGTCCTCTAAATAGAATTCCTCAGGAAAATGTCCGTGCTTTTGCTTATGCTGTTCCTATTGACTGCAGTGCTCTCCCTCCTACCCTATCCTTCCTAATCCTATTCACCCTTTGATTTAACTTGAGACCCTATGCTCTTTTCACGAGGTCTTGCTGATTCACGCAGATCATATTATCTGTCCTTTTTCTGAGCCACTCTGCACTACTCATCAGTATCACTCAAATTGCATTTTTTTTTTTTGCCTCTCACTGTTAATTTGATTTTCATGACCAGAAGGCAATTATTTTTAGGGCTGGGTAATGCATGTCCTTTGCTACCCATCATGGCATCACTTGGTAAATACTTATTGGTTGATTGGAAGCCATTGAAATAAAGTCAAAGGATATAATGTAGTTGAAGCTTCAACTACTAGAGCAGTCTCATGATGCTTCTGATTCCTAGAAATCATTTGGAAACTAAAAAGCAGACTGAATTGTTGCTTAAAAACATATTTCCTTGAAGACTGAACATATTACAACACAAATCTTGCACTAATGGAAGCTTTAATCATTTGTGGGAAGTTACTAACCAAGCATGAATAATATTCATAGAGGCTCAGTGGAAGGGACTTTAGGCATGACCCAGTTTTTAACCTTGTTAGTAGCATGGAGAGAAGAGAAACAGTCAGAGAAGGCCTCCAAAAAAGACAGGATTAGTTCAGGGGCTTACTGGGGACATATTGAAACAGAATAGGTTGGAAGCAAGATGATACCTCTACAAGTCTGAAAGAGCCACAGCATTACTGGGCTTGGGGCTACCCCTAAAGAAGCTACGGCTGCAGTGACCAAAGACTCAGATTACAACACCAAAGTTTCTTTGAATACCTGGAAAGCCTTCCCAAGAAGGTTGGGTACAAATACAAATAAACACAAACCGCAACGACTATAATAAATACCCAACTCTTTAATGCCCAGACATCAACAAACATCCACAAGCATCCAGACCATCCAGGAAAACATGACCTCACCAAACAAAGTAAATAAGGCACCAGAGACCAATCCTGGAGAGGCCAAGATATGTGATCTTTCAGACAGAGAATTCAAAATAACTGTTTCGAGGAAGCTCAGTAAAATCCAAGAAAACACACAGAGAAGGAATTCAGAATCCTGTGAGATAAATTTAAGAAAGATATTGAAATAAAAAGAAACAAGCAGAAAATCTAGAGCTGAAAAGTGCAACTGACATAGTGAAGAATAAACCAGAGTCTCTTAACAGCAGAATTGATCAAAGAGAAGAAAGAATTAGTGAGCTTGAAGACAAGCTGTTTGAAAATATAGTCAGAGTAGACAAGAGAGTTTCGTACCTTCATATAATTTCTTACTACGCATTAATGTGAAGTTAAAGTGTAGAATTTTTATTAGTTTTCTCTTTGCTTGTTGGTTTGTTTGTTTATGTTAAGTTGCCATCACTTTAAAATAATGAGTTATAAGGTATTATTTGCAAGCCTCATGGCAACCTCAAATCAAAAAACATACAACAGATACACAAAAAGTAAAAAGAAAGCAATTAAAACATATTACCAGAGAACATCACCTTCACTAAAAGGAATACAAAAAGGAAGAGAAGAGCTCAAAACAACCAGAAACAAATAACAAAATGGCAGGAGTATTCCTTACTTATCAATAATAACATTGAATGCAAAGAGGTATAGGAAAAGGTGCTCAACATCATTGATCATCCAAGAGATGCAAATCAAAACTACAATGAGATATCATCTCATCCCAGTTAAAATGGCTTTTATCCAAAAGACAGGCAATAACAAATGCTGGCAAAGATATGCAGAAAAGGGAACACTCATACACTGTTTACGGGAATGTAAATTAGTACAACCACTATGGAGAATAGGTTGGAGTTTCCTCAGTAAAATAAAAATATACCTACCCCTGACCCAGCAATCCCAGTGCTATGTATATACCCAAAAGATAGGAAATCAGTACACCGAAGAGATATCTGCACTACCATGTTTGCTGCAGTACTACTCATAATCACCAAGATTTGGAAGCAACCTAAGTGTACATCAACAGATGAATGGATAAAGAAAATGTGGTACATATACACAATGGAGTACTATTCAGCCATCAAAAGAATGAAATCCTGTCATTTGCAACAACATGGATGGAACTTGAGGTCGTTTAGTGAAATAAGCCAGGCACAGAAATATGAACTTCACATGTTTGCACTTATTTGTGGAAGCTAAAAAAATTAAAACAACTGAACTCACAAAGATAGAGAGTAGAATTATGGCTATCAGTGGCTGGGAAGTGTAGTGGGAGAGTAGAGGATGTGGGGATGGTTAATAGGTACAAAAATATAGTTAGAAAGAATATATAAGATCTAGTATTTGATAGTACAACAGGGTGACCACAGTCAACAGGTTAGAAGCAAGATTGAGTTGGTTAGGTCAGATCTCTTTCACTGTCTCAGTTATAATTTTGCAAAGGTAGTTTCACCACATCTGGTTAATTTTTTAATTTTTTTAGAGACAAGGTCTCCCTATGAAGCTCAGGCTGGTTTCCAACTTCTGGGTTCAAGTGATCCCTCCTCCTTGGCCTCCCAAAGTGCTGGGATTATAGGCATAAGCAATAGCTCCTAGCCTGTACATATTTTTAAATTCAAGTTTTCTAATTCTTTTTTTGTCAAGTTGAAACTATGGTTTGACAACCAAAATCAAAGATTGAGGCAAGGTTGTGCCACTGTACTCTAGCCTGGGTGACAGAGCTAGACCCTATCTCTAAAACAAAACAAAACAAAACACCATGATATAGTTGTCACCATGCAAATTCTATTAAGTAAGGATGTATTTATGGAATATTTGAATTTTATTGCTGAAAGAAACCTTGCAAATAGGTATGAGGGCAATTTTGGATTAGCAAAGATATTAGATTTATTTTAGATTTATTTGATTTATATTAGATTTAATATATCAGGGAAAGGGCTGATATATTAAATCCAATATATTATGATATAGAGCCATTGACAGTTATGAAGAAGAAAGAATTCTTATCTGTTTCACATTGATAAAGGGTTTTAAATAATATTATATCATAGTTAAATATGGTGTGATAAGTTAACAACACCAGTAAAAAGAGCGTAATTGCCCGACAGGTTCTTCTTGCCGATTACACAGATTAAAAACAGTTAACTGGCCGAGCGCGGTAGCTCACGCCTGTAATCCTAGCACTTTCGGAGGCTGAGGCGGGCAGATCACAAGGTCAGGAGATTGAGACCATCCTGGCTAACATGGTGAAACCCCGTCTCTACTAAAAATACAAAAAATTAGCCAGGCGTGGCGGCGGGCGCCTGTAGTCCCTGCTACTCTGGAGGCTGAGGCAGGAGAATGGCATGAACCCGGGAGGCGGAGCTTGCAGTGAGTCGAGATTGCACCACTGCACTCCAGCCTGGGCGAGAGAACGAGATTCCATCTCAAAAACAACAACAACAACAAAAACCAGTTAACTGAGAACTCAGTTCACTAAGACATGGTATTTCAGTAAAGAAAGAGTTGAATTAATGTAAGGCTAGCCATGCAGAATACAGCGTTATCACTGAAATCAGTCTCCCTGAAGGCTCAAAGATTAGGGTTTTTCAGTGATAATTTGGCAGGCAGTGGGGTAGGAAATGGGGAGTGTTGACTGGTTGTGGATGAAATTTTACGGGTGTGAAAAAAGGTCCCCCTGCGCTGAGTTCACCTCTGGGTAGGGGCCACAGGACCAGTTGAGTCATGAGTTGCGGGTCTGGGTGGACAGTTGCAGCTCAGCTGGTTGTCAGAAATGCAAAAGTCTGAAAAAAAATCTCAAAAACCAATCTTAGGTTCTACAGTAGTGATGTTATCTACAGGAGTAATTGGGGAAATTACAAATCTTGTTATCTCTGGAACAATTGCTGGTAATCATTTCACTGGACATACATTTTAGCAGAATTCAGGCCCCTCTCATAATCCTAACCTTGTGGGCTTTTATTAGTTTTACAAAGGCAATTTAGTTTTGGGAAGAAATATTATCATCCTTGCCTTACGGTTAAACTATAAATTAAATTTCTCCCAAAGTCAGCTTGGTCTATACCCAGGAATGATAAAGGACAGCTTGGAGGTTAGAAGAAAGGTAGAGTCAACTATGTCAGATTTCTCTTACAGGATTCTCTTAATTTTGCAAAAGTGCTTTTACTACCAAGCAAAGTTTTATATTACAGTGTAAACTTGTGGAAAGGGAATGATAAAATTAATATCACTGATAGTGGCAGAAGGCAGACAAATTCCTGGGCAGACAAAGATGGGTACAGGTGAATCCCGACCTTCAAGCCAAAGAGAGCCTAAAGCCCAAAGACTGAACTGCCAGTTTGTGGTAGAGTCCATGACTGGAACTGGAGGAAGCGTGAACTTCCTCCATGCCTTTTAGCCAATCAAATAGTGCTTTTACCAGGGCCGCTCATGGACCAAGTAGCACAGACTCCCCCATTCTGAGACCATAAAAACTCTGGGCTCTGCTGCACATGGGTCTACCCATTTTGGGACCCCTCTCACACAGAAGGCTACCTGCTCTTGGGTCCTCTCTCTGCTGACAGATTTCCTTCTGTCGCTCAATAAAATTCTTCTCCGTCTTGCTCACTCTGGTGTCCACACACCTCATTCCTCTTGGACTCTGGATAAGAATCTGGAACCTGCTGAACAGCAGATGAGAAAGGAGTGGTAACACTCTAACCCTCCTTCCTGCTCGCCTAGCAATGGGGGAGAAAAAGTCGCTGAGTGCCACACGCCCCCTCTCGCCAAGCTGCGAGTGGCGGGACCGAATGAGCTGTGATGTGTCCCCATTCACTGAAGCTGCGGGTGGAGGGAATGAACATGAACTACAACACTTCCTAGGGGCTCAGACCTCAGGACTCCTCAAGCAAAAGCCGTACACCCCTTTGGGGCTCTGCTGATTGCTGGCATCTCCTAGTTTTCAGGCAGCACCATGTCCCCCTCGTCCAGACACCAATGCCCAAGGCAGAAGCTGGTCGTAGCACACCTGGACCAGCTGCAGACTGAGCCAGAGCCATTATGGGCATAGGATCCGGGCCAGTAGCAGGAGCCGAGCACATCCTAGGTAGAGGTGCCACTGACTGCAGAGATTTCTGGCTGGTGAAGCAGGACCAAAAGTATCCTGTATCATTGCCAAGGCTTTTCATCTAGGAAGAAGGAAGGGTTCTAGTTGATGTAGGATGTTTCCTTATACACTAATTCACTTATTCACTCAATAAATATTTATTGCGCACCAATTATGTGTTAGGCACCGAAGATTAAAAAGTGAATGAAAGTCAAAAATCCTTGCTCTTAGTGGAATTTATATTCTAGAAAGTTGACAGACAATATCAAAAGATAAATAAAATATACCCTATATTAGATAATAATATGGGCTAAGGAGACTAAGAAAGCAGCCAAGGAGGCCAGAAAGTGGGGTGTGGGGGGATTATAATTTTAGGCAAAATTGCCAGGGAAGGCCTCACTGAAAAAGTTGTTCTTGAACAGGGCCTGAAGACAGCGAGGAGAGACAGCCTAGTGAATATCTGTGGGACCAACACCCAAGGCAGATGGCTCAGCCCAGGGAAATACCCTGAGGCAGCAGCCAGGGTCTGGAGGATGAGGGACACCAAACAGCTAGTGTGGCTGGAGCAGAGCAGGTGAGGTGAGAACTGCAGGAGAGGAGACGGTGGAGACGGGGTGGGGTGGGGGTAGCAGATCACAGTGGGTCTATGAAAGTGGCTGGGCTCTTAGCCTTTGGAGAATTTTGAACACAGAAAAGGTAATAAGTTGACCTAGGTTTTAACCAGGTCACTCAGGCTGCTGTGTTGCACATACGGTGATAAAGGGTACATTAGTTTTCTTAGTCTGCCTTCACAGAATACCACTGACTGGGTGGCTTCAGCAACAGGAATTCATTTCCTCACAGTTCTGGAGGCTGAAAGTCCAAGAACCATGTGTAGGCAGGGTCTGCTCATTCTGAGTGCCATGAGGAAAGGATCCATTCCAGGCCTGTCTCCTTGGCTTGCAGATGACTGTCTCCTTTCTGTGTTTTCACATCATCTTCCCCGTGTGCATTGTATATCTGTGTCCAAATCTCTTATCCTAAATGCACCAGTCACATTGGATTAGGGTCCACCCTAAGGCCTTCATTTTGACTTAATCACTGCTATAAAAACCTGTCTCCCAATACATCTACCCTCTTTGGTATTGGGGGTTAAGACTTCAACATATAAATTTTTGAGGTGGGCATAATGCAGCCCACAACAAAAGGCAGGATGGAAGCAGGAGACATGAGAAGAAATCACCGTAACCACCTATGCAAGAGATGGTGGAACTTGGACCAGGGTCGTTATGATGAAGATGGTGATAAGAAGTAGATTCTGAATCCATGGTGAAGATCAGAATAACAAGATTTGCCAATAGATTGGAAGTGAGGTATGAGAGGAAGATGAGTCAGGGTGACACCACGGAACTAAAATTCCAGATGGGCTTAACCATGGAGGCAGTGTGAGGAGATGGAAGTGAAGAGTGAGAGAAGTGGAAGCATAGGAAGGTACTTATCTGGCTTAGAAGGAGGATAAAGACACAACAGTTTTAAAAATATAATACCAGGAGTACTTATTAGTAGTAAATTTCAGGTAGATTAAATAGTTAAAGGGGAAAAGAGCCTATAAAACTGTTAGATACAAAACATAGAAAACTATTTTCATTATTTTGAAATTTCTTGATTTTGCTAATCAAGAAATAAACCTCAAAGTCATTTAAAAATGATTGAAAGCTTCAACTAAAACATGCATAGCATTTTTGCATATATCACAAAGCTTATTATAAAACATATGAAAAGATAGATGACAGAGGTGTAAAAAAAGTAAAAAGATTCTTTTCTTTATCTACCACTAGGTTCATGGCTAAAGACCCTAAAACAAAGAGATTAACAAGAAAAAAGCATAGAAACTTATTTAATACAAGTTTTATGTGACATAGGAGACTTTTTAAGAAGTGGAAGACCTGAAGAAATGGTTAATTGTACATATTTTCATGTTAGGTTTAATGAAGTGGATAGTTGTGGAGAAATAGGATTGGAGAAAGAGTACAATCTAATGATAATAAACTGAGGGAAATTTAGCAAGTCCTATTAGTTTTTATTCTTCTCGTGACCTTTCTTCTTCAGAGATAAGGATGTTCCTTTCCTCTAGGTATAGGGAGGGTACCCCTCAGCTGAGAGTCTTATGACCTGCTTCAGGGAAAGGTCAGACAATCCTTCCTAGGTTTTATAGCCTACTCCAGAGGATAAGGATGGGGAAGGCCATAGAGACCTTCCTGCTTCTGCTGTTTTTCCAAATGCCAACACACCAAATTTTGAGGTAGCATGTCCTGAACCCCATCAGAGAGTGGACAATATTTTTGACCCATTTAATGAGCCAAAGTTTTATAACCAAAATTTACAATCAACCCAACAGAAAAAATAGGCAAAAAATATGGACAGGTAATTCAAAAATTAGAACAAAAAGGTTAATAGATGTTAACCATAGAAAAGATGCATAATCTGAATAGTAATTGGGAGAATGTGAATTTTAAAAATGAGAAATTAATTTTGTATTCATCAGACTGACAAAAAATTTAAAAAATAAAATTACATCATTTTAGAAACTCTTGAAAGAAATGTATTTTTAAAAGGCTATCCTGGATAGTAATTTTGTAGTAGCTGCCAAAATTGTAAATGCATTATCTTCAATCTAGTAATCCTATCCTGAAGTGTCTGTCTTAGATAAATACTCCCACATATAAACAAAGACATATATATGTAGAAGAGGAAAAAAATTTTTCCTCTACCCATCTTAGGTTCATTTGCTGAGGCCCTGTAAATTAGACTAACAAGAGAAAAACAAAAACAAACAAGTTTATTAGCATGTTCATCACACATACATATGGGAGCACTCAGAGTTGAGTAACTCAAAGGTTAGTTGGAACTTGCACTTATACAGCATCTCAATGACAACAATAAATTTTAGAGCCATAAGAAGACAAAAAAAAATTTTTTTGAGTTTCTAGTGCAGCAAATTATAAGAAGGAAAATCTGTAAGAAAACTGATGGAAGATAAGGGCTAGTTAATAAAGTTGATGCAGTCTTCCGGCTGACAAGGGTCTAGAATTTTCTCCAGTGATTAACTTGTGTCCTTCCTGGTAAAGGGGAGAAGAAGGACACCTTTACAAATTTATGTCCTACTTTTAGGCAAATAGGGGGACAGCAGTGGCTCTTGCCCAGGCTGGAGTGCAGTGGCATGATTTTGGCTCACTGCAACCTCCGCCTCCTAGGTTCAAGTGATTCTCCGGCCTCAGCCTCCTGAGTAGCTGGGATTACAGGGACCTGCCACCACACCCAGATAATTTTTGTATTTTTAGTAGCTTCTTTTCACTTGCCTTCAGCTCAAAATAATCCTAATGCAAAAATGGTATATTTGGGGATGGCATATTCTGCTACCCTACATATACAAAGATGTTATTAAAGCATTATTTATAATGGGGCTAAATTGAATAAAACCTAAATACACATCACCTGTAAACTACTTAAACTATGGTGCATGCTCAATATGGAATACTCAGCAGTATTTAAAAAGAACAAGGTAGATGTATATATATTGACACAAATATATAAAAACAAAAAGGCAACACCTTTCAATATTAAACATGATCACATTTATGTCCAAAATCCAAGCTACATATTTGCATATGAACATATATATATGTATTTATAGAAAATGGCTGGAAGATACGAGCCAATCTTACAACAATTTTTGGTGAAGGGAGTCAGATGTTACTTTGGAGACTGAAGAGGAGAATGAAGAAGAATTTGCTTTATGAGTCTTTGTTTTGTTTTGACAATAGGAATGTATTAACTGTATACATATAATATTTAAGGATTTAAGTCAGGTGGTGTCTTAATGATGAACAAAGAACAACCAGACAAACTAACTTTCCAAGAGCAGGAAGCAGACCCATCTGGCCCCAAATGAAAGAGGATCAATAATTACAGTACTGGTAACACTTGCCCAAGAAAACACAGGGTCGTGCCCTGAGGGTTATTTTGTATTTTATTTTATTTTGAGGCCATGTCTCACTCTGTCATCTGGCTGGAGTGCAGTGGTGTGATCTCAGCTCACTGCAACGTCTACCTCGCGGGTTCAAGTGATTCTCTTGCCTCAGCCACCCAAATAACTGGGACTACAGGTGCGCACCACCATGCCCAGCTAATTTTTGAATTTTTTGTAGAGACAGGATTTCAACCTGTTAGCGAGGCTGGTCTTGAACTCATGAGCTCAAGCAATCTGCTGTCCTTGGCCTCCGAAAGTGCTGGGATTACAGGTATGAGCCACCACACCTGGCCTTTCTGAGGCTTTCATTGAAATAAGAAGCAGTGGTGAGAGAACTTCTGAACCAGAAGAGAGACGATTTGAATGTAGCATGATATTGCCCTTTAATGGCATATTCTGAGGCATAGGAGGGTCGAGATTAAATGTGTGAGATCTTAACAGATCTGGTTCAGACACCAATTCTGTTGACCGTACTTTTTGATTTATCTGCAAAGAACAGGTGTTACCAGTGTAATAAAAGGTAGTACTAAAAGTTAGAAATATACAATTTCTTTAAAAACTGGTGTAAAAATGAGGAAAAGAGATTCCATGAAATTGTGGGAAAAAGAAGAAGAAAATAGGTAAAATGAACAAGACAGAGCATGGGGATGTTTAGAGCAGAGGCCCAAGAGTGAAGAACTGAATTAACTGCCATCACTGAAAAATTAAAAAGTGTAATTTAAAAGTCTAACTTTCTGGCTTGTCTTGAAAAATCTGAAGATCTAGAACACAGGACTGGTGTTCCTACGTGGAAATCATACACGGGGACTTCACAGCCCCTGAGCCCCCAGCCAATCTCAACTGCTTTTGGATACTGAGTTTCTTAACCTTTATATTGATGCATGGATGCAGACTCACAATTATGGACTCCCTGTGAACCTCCTTGTCAGAATAGTATTTTGAAACACATAAATTAAAATATAGAGAATTACAAGGGAAACCAACTATGTTGTGATTCAGTTCTATCCTTGTGCCCCTTGGGTGTTGAGGCCTAGGACCAGTTGCCATTTCCATTGAGCTCCATCACTCTGGTTTTTGTTTTTCAATTTTTGTTGTTAAGTTCCAGGGTACATGTGCAAGATATGCAGGTTTGTTACATAGGTAAACGTGTGCCATGGTGGTTTGCTGCACCTATCAGTCTATCACCTAGTTATTAAGCCCAGCATGCATTAGATACTTTTCCTAGTGCTCTTTCTCCCCCTGAACCTGCCTAAAGGCCCCAGTGTGTGTTGTTCCCTTCCCTGTGTCCATGTGTTCTCATGGTTTAGCTCCCATTTATAAGTAAGAACACGTGGTGTTTAGTTTCCTGTTCCTGTGTTAGTTTGCTGAGGATTATGGCTTCCAGCTCCATTCATTTGCCTGTAAAAGACATGGTTTTATTCCTTTTTATGACTGCATAGTATTCCATGGTGTATATGTGCCATATTTTCTTTATCCAGTTTATCATTGATGGGCATTTGGGTTGATTCCATGTCTTTGCTATTGTGAATAGGGCTGCAATGAACATACATGTGCATGTATCTTTATAATAGATTTGTATTCCTTTGTGTATATACCCAATAATGGGATTTCTGGGTCAAATGGTATTTCTGGTTCTAGATCTTTGAGGAATCGCCACACCATCTTCCACAGTGGTTGAACTAATTTACATTCCCACCAACGGTGTAAAAGCTTTCCATTTCTCTCCAACCTCACCAGCTGTAGTTTTTTTGACTTTTTAATAATTGCCATTCTGACTGGCATGAGATAGTATATCATTGTGGGTTTGATTTGCATTTCTCTAATGATCAATGATGTTAAGCTTTTATTCATGTTTGTTGGCTGCATGAATGTCTTCCTTTCAGAAGTTTCTGTACATGTCCTTTGCCCACTTTTTAATGGGGTTGTTTGCTTTTTGGTTATAAATTTGTTTAAGTTCATTGTAGATCCTGGACATTAGACCTTTGTCAGATGGATAAATTGCAAAAATGTTCTCCCACTCTCTAGGTTGTCTGTTCACTCTGATGATAGTCTCTTTTGCTATGCAGAAGCTCTTTAGTTTAATTAGATCCCATTTGTCAGTTTTGCTTTTGTTGCAATTGCTTTTGGCAATTTAGTCATGAAATCTTTGCCCATGCCTATGTCCTGAATGGTATTGCCTAGATTTTCTTCTAGGGTTTTTTATTTTTTTGAGATGAAGTCTTGCTCTGTCCCCCAGGCTGAGTGCAGAGGCGCGATCTCAGCTCACTGCAAACTCCACCTCCCGGGTTCACACCATTCTCCTGCCTCAGTCTCCCAAGTAGCTGGGACTACAGGCACCCACCACCATGTCCGGCTAATTTTTTGTATTTTTACTACAGACGGGGTTTCACCACATTGGCCAGGCTGGTCTGGATCTCCTGACCTCGTGATCCGCCCACCTTGGCCTCCCAAAGTGCTGGGATTACAGGCGTGGCTTCTAGGGCTTTTATAGCTTTGGGTTTTACATTTAAGTCTTTAATCCATCTTGAGTTAATTTTTGTATAAGGTGTAAGGAAGGTGTCTAATTTCAATTTTCTGCATATAGCTAGCCAGTTCTGCCAGCACCATTTATTAAATAGGGAATCCTTTTCCCATTGCTTGTTTTTGTCAGGTTTGTCAAAGACCAGATGGTTGTAAATGTGTGGTCTTATTTCTTAGTTCTCTATTATGTTCCATTGGTCTTATGTGTCTGTTTTTGTACAAGTACCATGCTGTTTTGGTTACTGTACCCTTGTAGTATAGTTTCTAGTTTGGTAGCATGATGCCTCCAGCTTTGTTCTTTGTGCTTAGGATTGTCTTTGCTATATGAGTTCCTTTTTATTTCCATACAAATTTTAAAATAGTTTCTTCTAATTCTACGAAGAATGACAATGGTAGTTTAATGAGTATAGCATTGAATCTATAAATTACTTTGGGCAGTATGGCCATTTTCAAGATATTGACTTTTTCCTATCCAAGAGCATGGAATATTTTTCCATTTGTTTGTGTCCTTTCTGATTTCCTTGAGCAGTGTTTTGTAGTTCTTCCTGAAGATGCCCTTCACTTCCCTTGTTAGCTATATTCCTAGGTATTTTATTCTCTTTGTACCAGTTGTGAATTAGAGTTCATTCATGATTTGGCTCTCAGCTTGCCTGTTGATGTATGGGGATGCTAGTGATTTTTGCACATTGATTTTGCATCCTGAGACTGCTGAAGTTGCTTATCAGCTCAAGAATCTCTTGGGCTGAGATGATGGGGTTTTCTAGATATAGGACCATGTCATCTGCAAAAAATTTGACTTCCTTTTTTCCTAATTGAATACTCTTTATTTCTTCCTCTTGCCTGATTGCCCTAGCCAGAACTTCCAATACTCTATTGAATAGGAGAGGTGAGACAGGGCATCCTTATCTTGTGCAGGTTTTCAAGGGGAATGCTTCCAGGTTTTTCCCATTCAGTATGATATTGGCTGTGGGGTTGTCATATATGGCTTTTATTATTATGTTCCTTCAATACCTGGTTTTTTGAGAGTTTTTTAGCATGAAGGGATGTTGAATTTTATTGAAGGCCTTTTCTGCATCTATTGAGATAATCTTGTGGTTTTTGTCTGGCTTGAAGTTTTCTCTTTTTGTTGTATCTCTGCCAGGTTTTGGTATCAGGATGATGCTGGCCTCAATGAATGAGTTAGGGAGGAGTACCCCCTTTTTAATTGCTTGTAATAGTTTCAGAAGAAAGGGTATCAGCTCCTCTTTGGAGCTCTGGTAGAATTCAGCTATAAAACCATCTGGTCCTGGGCTTTTTTGGTTGGTAGGCTATTTATTACTGCCTCAATTTCAGAACTTGTTATTGATCTTTTCAGGAATTCAACTTCTTCCTGGTTCAGTATTGAGAGGGTGTATGTGTCAGGAATTAGTCCATTTCTTCTAGATTTTCTAGTTTATTTGCATAGAGGTGTTTACAATATTCTCTGATGGTTGTTTGTATTTTTATGGGGTCACTGGTGATATCCCCTTTATCATTTTTTATTGTGTCTATTTGATTCTTCCCTCTTTTCTTCTTTATTAGTCTAGCCAGTGGTCTACTTTATTAATTTTTTCAAAAAACCAGCTCCTATATTCATTGATTTTTTGAAGGGTTTTTCGTGTCTCTATCTTCTTCAGTTCTACTCTGGTCTTGTCTTCTGCTGGCTTTTGGGTTTCTTTGCTCTTCCTTTTAGTTGTGTTGTTAGGGTGTCAATTTGAGATCTTTCTAGCTTTTTGATGTGAACAGTTAGTGCTATAAATTTCCCTCTTAAAACTGCTTTAGCTGCATCCTAGAGATTCTGGTATGTTGCCTTTTTGTTATCATTGGTTTCAAAGAACTTCTTGATTTCTGCCTTAATTTTATTACTTAACCTGGAGTAATTCAGGAGCAGGTTGTTCAATTTCCATGTAGTTATGTAGTTTTGAATGAATTTTTAAATCTTGAGTTCTAATTTGATTGCACTGTGGTCTGAGAGACTGTTAAGATTTCTGTTTTTTTGTATTTGCTGAGGAGTGATTTACTTCCAATTATGTGATCAATTTTACAGTAAGTGCCATGTGGTGTTGAATAGAATGTATATTCTGTTGCTTTAGGGTAGAGTTCCATAAATATCTATCAGGTTCACTTGATCCAGAGCTGAGTTCAAGTCCTGAATATCTTTGTTAATTTTCTGTCTCAATGATCTGTCTAATACTGACAGTGGGGTGTTAACATCTCCCACTATTATTGTGTCGGAGTCTAGTCTCTTTGTAGGTCTCTAAGAACTTGTTTTATGAATCTGGGTGCTCCTGTATTGGGTGCATATATATTTAGACTAGTTAGCTCTTCTTGTTGAATTGATCCCTTTACCATTATGTAATGCCCTTGTCTTTTTTATCTTTGTTGGTTTAAAGTCTGTTTTGCAGAAACTAGGATTGCAACCCCTGCTTTTTTCTGTTTCCCATTTGCTTGGTAAATTTTCCTCTATCCTTTTATTTTGAGTTTATGCATGTCTTTGCACGTAAGATGGGTCTCTTGAATACAACACAACAATGGATCTTGATGCTTTTTATTTAATTTAATTAATTAATTTATTTATTTGAGAGGGAGTCTCACTCTGTCACCTAGGCTGGAGTGCAGTGGTGAAATCTTGGCTCACTGCAACCTCTGCCTTGCGGGTTCAAGTGATTCTTCTGCCTCAGCCTCCCAAGTAGCTGGGACTATAGGCACGCGCCACCATGCCTGGCTAATTTTTGTATTTTAATAGAGATGGGGTTTCACCGTGTTGGTTAGGCTGGTCTCGAACTCCTGATCTCAAATGATCCACCCACCTTGGCCTCCCAAAGTGCTGGGATTACAGGTGTGAGCCACCACACCCATCCTGGATCTTGACTCTTTATCCAGCTTGCCATTCTATGTCTTTTAATTGGGGCATTTAGCCCATTTACATTTAAGGTTAATATTGTTATGTGTGAATTTGATCCTGTCATCATGATACTAGTTGGTTATTTTGCAGACTTGTTTATGTAGTTGCTTCATAGTGTCAATAGTTTGTGTACTTCAGTGTATTTTTGGAGTGGCTGGTAACAGTTTTTTCTTTTCATATTTAGTGCTTCCTTCAGAAGCTCTTGCAAGGCAGGCCTGGTGGTGACAAATTTTCTCGGCATTTGCTTGTCTGAAAAAGATTTTATTTATTTCTCACTTAGGAAGCTTAGTTTGGTGGATATGAAATTCTGGGTTGGAAATTCTTTCCTTTAAGTATGTTGAATATTGGCCCACCATCTCTTCTGGCTTGTAGGGTTTCCACTGAGAGGTCTGCTGTTAGTCTGATGGGCTTCCTTTTAGAGGTGACCTGGCCTTTCTGTCTGGCTGCCCTTAACATTTTTTCCTTCATTTCTACTTTGGCGAATCTGATGATTATGTGTCTTGGGGTTGATCTTCTCATGTGGTTCCTTATGGGGTTCTCTGGATTTTCTGAATTTGAATGTTGGCCTGTCTTGCTAGCTTGGGGAAGTTCTCCTGGATGATATTCTGAAGTGTGTTTTCCAATTTGGTTTTGTTCTCCCCGTTTCTATCAGATAGCCCATCAGTCATAAGTTCAATCTCTTTACATAATCCCATAGTTTTTGGAGGTTTTGTTCATTCCTTTGCATTCTTTTTTTCTCTAATCTTGTCTGCATGTCTTATTTTAGCAAGATAATCTTTAAGTTCTAATATCCTTTCTTCCACTTGGTCTATTTGGCCATTGATACTTGTGTTTGCATTGTGAAGTTCTCGTGTTGTGTTTTTCAGCTCTATCAGATCATTTATGTTCTTCTCTAAACTGGATATTCTGATGAACATCTCCTGTAATATTTTATCATGGTTTTTAACTTTGCAATTAGTTAGAACATACTCCTTCAGCTCAGCAAAGTTCATTATTACCTATCTTCTGAAGACTACTTCTGTCAATTCATCCGTCTCAGCCTCAGTCCAGTTCTGTGCCCTTGCTGGAGACATGTTGCAATCATTGGGATTAGAGACACTCTAGCTTTTTGAGTTTTCAGTATTTTTGTGTGTTGATTTTTTCTCGTCTTCATGGGTTTATCTACCTTTGACCTTTGAGTCTGCTGACCTTTGGACAGGGTTTTTTGGGGTCTTTTTCATTGATGTTGTTGCTTTCTGTTTGTTTTTCTTTTAGCAGTCAGGCCTCTCTTCCATAGGGCTGCTGGGGTCCCACTCCAGACCCCATTTTCTTGGGTCTCTCCTGCCCCTGGAAGTAACACCAATGGAAGCTGAGGAACAGAAAAGATGGAAGCCTGCTCCTTCCTCTGTGAGCTCTGTCCCTGCCGGGGCACTGATCTGATGCTGGCCGGAATGCTCCTTTGTGAGGTGTCTGGAGACTTCTACTGGGAGATCTCATCCAGACAAGAGGAGTGGGATCAGGAACCCACTGAAATAAGCAGTCTGGCTGCCCCTTGGCAGAGCAAGTGTGCTGCTCTGGGGGTAATCCTTCTCATCTGGGCTGCCTTGACCCTCCAGAGCCAGCAGGCAGAAAAGATTAAGACTGCTGATCCATGATCCTGCAGCCACTACTCCTCCTAGGGGCTCCTCTCAGGGATATCAGAGTTCTGTCCATAAACCCCTGGCTGGGGATGCTGAAATTTCCACAGGGAGCCCCAGCCTGGTGAAGAGGAGTGGATTGGGGTCCTGCTTAAAGGAACAGTCTGGTCACGAACTGTCCCAGCTCCTGTGCTGCACTGTGGTGAATTACTCCTCATCCAAACTGCCCAGTCTCACTGGCACCAGTGGCAGGGGAAAACGGCGGACTGGAGCCACAGTGATGACGGTTGCCTCTCCCAACCCCGGAACTTGGTCTTCTTAGTCAGTCTCTAGCCCGCCGTGCTGGCTGATGGGGATTCCAAGCCAGTGGGTTTCCATGGGAACAACGCCACTTGGCTCCCTGGCTTCAAACCCCTTCCCACAGGAATGGATGGATCTCCTGTCTCACTGGGGTTCCTGGAGCCAGAGTATGCAAAAACTCCCATGTCTCAGTGCCTGCTCGAGTGGCCGCACACTGAGCAGTCCCCATGAGTCTGCACAGCTCTTTTCTTGGGGCCCAAGGCCCTGGTGACATGGGCTCAATGAGGGAACCTCCTGATGTATGGGTTGCAAGGATCTGTGGGAAAAGTGTGGTTTTCAGGGAAGGGTAGCACAATCCTTCACCACCTCCCTTGGCTGGAGGGAGGGAGTTCCTTTTGCTGCATGAAGCTCCCAGATGGGCCCTTACTCTATCCTGCTTTTCCTCGCTCTCTGTGGGTCATGTCTACCACCTAGTCGGTCTCAATGAGAGAACTTTGGTACCTCAATTGAAGATGCAGAATTCACTCACTATTTTCATCCTTCGTGGGAGTCGCAGAGTGGAGCTGTTTCTATTCAGCCTTCTTGGTTGCTGCAACCCAACACTGTGTTTTTGACACATGGCTTGTCTCCCTTCCTTTTGTTACCCTTCCTGGGCCCATGTAGGCATTTGAATTTATCCCAATTCAGAGAAATTCATGAAGACAAAGATTAAAGAGCACAAGAATAGCAGATTCTCCAACAGAAGTTGGAGCCAAGATCCCAGTGTGGTATAGAGTAAAGCAAATAAGTCTTTGAAGTCAGAGAAACCAGCTTTGGTATATGATCTTATACAATTTATTTAACCTCTTTAAGCCTCAGTTTCCTCATTTGTAATACCATATCATATGATTGTTCTAAGAATCAACTAAAATAATGCATAAAAACAGTGTTGGATGCCATCAGTAAAGGGTAGATATAATTATTCTCCAAAGTCTCATTTCTCAACTGCAAAATAGGGATCATACCACCTGTTTTACAACTCTATTGCAAAGGTTAAATGAGACATTTGAAAAAGTACTTTCTGCTTTTTAGCTTAAGAGCCAATCAATATATGTTGGTTTCCTTTCTTCCTTCCCAAAATTAATATAAAAGAAACATCTATTTTGGTGTATAATATTTGTCTTGATTATGATAGAACAGGATTTAATTATGTTGCAGAAAGTAGTCAAATGAAACCAGAAATAACACAAAAGTGACTGGAAACCAAATACTTAGAATCAGCTTAAATATTCTTCCAAAAAAGAGTAACTACTAACAGAATCCACAGCATTTATGTGCCTAGAATAAAGATTGTAAAAGATGCTGTACTTTCTTTTTTTTTTTTTTTTTTTTTTTTTGAGACAAAGCCTCACTCTGTTGCCCAGGCTGGAGTGCAGTGGGGCGTGATCGGCTCACTGCAACCTCTGCCTCCCAGGTTCAAGCAATTCTCCTGCCTCAGCCTCCCAAGTAGCTGGAACTATAGGCACACGCCACCACACCCAGCTAATTTTTGTTATTTTTTTAGTAGAGACAGGGTTTCACCATATTGGCCAGGCTGGTCTCGAACTCCTGACCTCGTGATCTGCCTGCCGTGGCCTCCCAAAGTGCTGAGATTACAGGTGTGAGCCACCGCACCCAGCTGATGCTGTACTTTGTTTTCTAATTTTGCTATGCTAATAAAAGAAATTAGTTTCCAAAAAATGTTAATTTAAGCAGAAGGGATGAGAGACAAAAACAGTTATCACAAATTTTTAAAATGTTGGAACAGGAAGATATAAAAATATAAGAGTATAAATATAGCAAAATATGTAAGAAGATGAATTCTGGAGTTGGAATTCCAGCTACATCTCTTAGTAGCTATGAGGCCTTAGTAAAGTTACTTATCCTCTGTGCCACACTTTCTTGTCCTTCCTCCATGCCTCATTTCTATCTTTAAAATGGCTACAATGATAGCAGCTGTCTCACTGGATTGTTGTGTATTGCAAATGAGTTAGTTGAATATATCTAAAGTGTGTTTAAAACAGTGCCAGAAACATCATAAATGCTATGTATAAGCTATTATTATCCTAAGAGGCAAGATGGATAGAGAGAATTCTGATTCTCTTTTCTAAATATCAGAGACTGGAAGTATATGTTATAAACCTGTCAAAATACTCCCAAGTAAAGCGTCGATGGTGACTCTGATAGAGAAGATTTTAAAAACAAACATTGCCCCTGCTCCCAACCACAGAAGTAGAAGAAATAGTAAAAACAAAGAGCAAGTCAAAGGCAACTGTGGGGACACAATGAAGCTGTTAAAAGACACAAGTGGTCATGAAAGAGTAACCACCTAGAGAAAATTTCAGTGACTTTTTTTTTCCGCTTAAGATACAGGGTGGTGGTAGTGTTAGGGGAGGAACATTGAAAGGGAGGTTATGGATAAGAGAATTATAGTATTTTGTGAGCTCATTAAAAAAATTTATGTGAATAATATATGTTTATCATGTGGAAATTTAAAAATATATGTGAGGTAAATAAACAATAGCAACAACCCATGATCCTATTGTGGTGGGCAGAATAATGGCCAACACAGGTGTCCATATCCTAATCCTGGAGCCTCTGAATATGGTAGGCTATGTGGCAAAGGGGAATTAAAGTTTCAGATGGAATTAAGGTTGCTAATTAGCTGCCTTAAAGTAGGAAAACTGGAGGAGCCAAGATGGCCGAATAGGAACAGCTCCGGTCTACAGCTCCCAGCGTGAGCGACACAGAAGACGGGTGATTTCTGCATTTCCATCTGAGGTACCGGGCTCATCTCACTAGGGAGTGCCAGACAGTGGGCGCAGGTCAGCGGGTGCGCGCACCGTGCGGGAGCCGAGGCAGGGCGAGGCATTGCCTCACTCGGGAAGCGCAAGGGGTCAGGGAGTTCCCTTTCCTAGTCAAAGAAAGGGGTGACAGATGGCACCTGGAAAATTGGGTCACTCCCACCCCAATACTGCGCTTTTCCGACAGGCTTAAAAAACGGTGCACCAGGAGATTATATCCCGCACATGGCTCAGAGGGTCCTACGCCCACAGAGTCTCACTGCTAGCACAGCAGTCTGAGATCAAACTGCAAGGCAGCAGTGAGGCTGGGGGAGGGGCGCCCGCCATTGCCCAGGCTTGCTTAGGTAAACAAAGCAGCTGGGAAGCTCAAACTGGGTGGAGCCCACCACAGCTCAAGGAGGCCTGCCTGCCTCTGTAGGCTCCACCTCTGGGGGAAGGGAACAGACAAACAAAAAGACAGCAGTAACCTCTGCAGACTTAAATGTCCCTGTCTGACAGCTTTGAAGAGAGCAGTGGTTCTCCCAGCACACAGCTGGAGATCTGAGAACGGGCAGACTGCCTCCTCAAGTGGGTCCCTGACCCCTGACTCCCGAGCAGCCTAACTGGGAGGCACCCCCCGGCAGGGGAAGACTGACACCTCACACGGCCAGGTACTCCAACAGACCTGCAGCTGAGGGTTCTCTCTGTTAGAAGGAAAACTAACAAACAGAAAGGACATCCACACCAAAAACCCATCTGTACATCACCATCATCAAAGACCAAAAGTAGATAAAACCACAAAGATGGGGAAAAAACAGAGCAGAAAAACTGGAAACTCTAAAAAGCAGAGCGCCTCTCCTCTTCCAAAGGAATGCGGTTCCTCACCAGCAATGGAACAAAGCTGGATGGAGAATGACTTTGACGAGCTGAGAGAAGAAGGCTTCAGACGATCAAATTACTCTGAGCTATGGGAGGACATTCAAACCAAAGGCAAAGAAGTTGAAAACTTTGAAAAAAATTTAGAAGAATGTATAACTAGAATAACCAATACAGAGAAGTGCTTAAAGGAGCTGATGGAGCTGAAAACCAAGGCTCGAGAACCACGTGAAGAATGCAGAAGCCTCAGGAGCCGATGCGATCAACTGGAAGAAAGGGTATCAGCGATGGAAGATGAAATGAATGAAATGAAGTGAGAAGGGAAGTTTAGAGAAAAAAGAATAAAAAGAAATGAGCAAAGCCCCCAAGAAATATGGGACTATGTGAAAAGACCAAATCTACGCCTGATTGGTGTACCTGAAAGTGACGGGGAGAATGGAACCAAGTTGGAAAACACTCTGCAGGATATTATTCAGGAGAACTTCCCCAATCTAGCAAGGCAGGCCAACATTCAGATTCAGGAAACACAGAGAATGCCATGAAGATACTCCTCGAGAAGAGCAACTCCAAGACACATAATTGTCAGATTCACCAAAGTTGAAATGAAGGAAAAAATGTTAAGGGCAGCCAGAGAGAAAGGTTGGGTTACCCTCAAAGGGAAGCCCATCAGACTAATAGCGGATGTCTCAGCAGAAACCGTACAAGCCAGAAGAGAGTGGAGGCCAATATTCAACATTCTTAAAGAAAAGAATTTTCAACCCAGAAATTCATATCCAGCCAAACTAAGCTTCATAAGTGAAGGAGAAATAAAATACTTTACAGAGAAGCAAATGCTGAGAGATTCTGTCACCACCAGGCCTGCCCTAAAAGAGTTCCTGAAGGAAGCGCTAAACATGGAAAGGAACAACCGGTACCAGCCACTGCAAAATCATGCCAAAATACAAAGACCATCCAGACTAGGAAGAAACTGCATCAACTAATGAGCAAAATAACCAGCTAACATCATAATGACAGGATCAAATTCACACATAACAATATTAACTTTAAATGTAAATGGACTAAATGCTCCAATTAAAAGACACAGACTGGCAAATTGGATAAAGAGTCAAGACCCATCAGTGTGCTGTATTCAGGAAACCCATCTCACGTGCAGAGACACACATAGGCTCAAAATAAAAGGATGGAGGAAGATCTACCAAGCAAATGGAAAACAAAAAAAGGCAGGGGTTGCAATCCTAGTCTCTGATAAAACAGACTTTAAACCAACAAAGATCAAAAGAGACAAAGAAGGCCATTACATACTGGTAAAGGGATCAATTCAACAAGAAGAGCTAACTATCCTAAATATATATGCACCCAATACAGGAGCACCCAAATTCATAAAGCAAGTCCTGAGTGACCTACAAAGAGACTTAGACTCCCACACATTAATAATGGGAGACTTCAACACCCCACTGTCAACATTAGACAGATCAACGAGACAGAAAGTCAACAAGGATACCCAGGAACTGAACTCAGCTCTGCACCAAGCAGACCTAATGGACATCTAAAGACCTCTCCACCCCAAATCAACAGAATATACATTTTTTTCAGCACCACACCACACCTATACCAAAATTGACCACATACTTGGAAGTAAAGCTCTCCTCAGCAAATGTAAAAGAACAGAAATTATAACAAACTATCTCTCAGACCACAGTGCAATCAAACTAGAACTCAGGATTAAGAATCTCACTCAAAACCGCTCAACTACATGGAAACTGAACAACCTGCTCCTGAATGACTACTGGGTACATAACGAAATGAAGGCAGCAATAAAGATGTTCTTTGAAACCAACGAGAACAAAGACACAACATACCAGAATCTCTGGGATGCCTTCAAAGCAGTGTGTAGAGGGAAATTTATAGCACTAAATGCCCACAAGAGAAAGCAGGAAAGATCCAAAATTGACACCCTAACATCACAATTAAAAGAACTAGAAAAGCAAGAGCAAACACATTCAAAAGCTAGCAGGAGGCAAGAAATAACTAAAATCAGAGCAGAACTGAAGGAAATACAGACACAAAAAACCCTTCAAAAAATTAATGAATCCAGGAGCTGGTTTTTTGAAAGGATCAACAAAATTGATAGACCGCTAGCAAGACTAATAAAGAAAAAAAGAGAGAAGAATCAAATAGACACAATAAAAAATGATAAAGGGGATATCACCACCGATCCCACAGAAATACAAACTACCATCAGAGAATACTACAAACACCTCTATGCAAATAAACTAGAAAATCTAGAAGAAATGGATAAATTCCTCCACACATACACTCTCCCAAGACTAAACCAGGAAGAAGTTGAATCTCCGAATAGACCAATAACAGGATCTGAAATTGTGGCAATAATCAATAGCTTACCAACCAAAAAGAGTCCAGGACCAGATGGATTCACAGCCGAAGTTTACCAGAGGTACCAGGAGGAACTGGTACCATTCCTTCTGAAACTATTCCAATCAATAGAAAAAGAGGGAATCCTCCCTAACTCATTTTATGAGGCCAGCATCATCCTGATACCAAAGCCGGGCAGAGACACAACAAAAAAGAGAATTTTAGACCAATATCCTTGATGAACATTGATGCGAAAATCCTCAATAAAATACTGGCAAAACGAATCCAGCAGCACATCAAAAAGCTTATCCATCATGATCAAGTAGGCTTCATCCCTGGGATGCAAGGGTGGTTCAATATACACAAATCAATAAATGGAATCCAGCATATAAACGGAACCAAATAAAAAAACACAGGATTATCTCAATAGATGCAGAAAAGGCCTTTGACAAAATTCAACAACGCTTCATGCTAAAAACTCTCAATAAATTAGGTATTGATGGGACATATTTCAAAATAATAAGAGCTATCTATGACAAACCCACAGCCAATATCATACTGAATGGGCAAAAACTGGAAGCATTCCCTTTGAAAACTGGCACAGGACAGAGATGACTTCTCTCACCACTCCTATTCAACATAGTGTTGGAAGTTCTGGCCAGGGCAATTAGGCAGGAGAAGGAAATAAAGGGTATTCAATTAGGAAAAGAGGAAGTCAAATTGTCCCTGTTTGCAGATGACATGATTTTATATCTAGAAAACCCCATTGTCTCAGCCCAAAATCTCCTTAAGCTGATAAGCAACTTCAGCAAAGTCTCAGGATACAAAATCAATGTACAAAAATCACAAGCATTCTTATACACTAACAATAGACAAACAGAGAGCCAAATCATGAGTGAACTCCCATTCACAATTGCTTCAAAGAGAATAAAATACCTAGGAATCCAACTTACAAGGGATGTGAAGGACCTCTTCAAGGAGAACTACAAACTACTGCTCAAGGAAATAAAAGAGGATAGAAACAAATGGAAGAACATTCCATGCTCATGGGTAGGAAGAATCAATATGGTGAAAATGGCCATACTGCCCAAGGTAATTTACGGATTCAATGCCATCCCCATCAAGCTACCAATGATTTTCTTCACAGAATTGGAAAAAACTACTTCAAAGTTCATATGGAACCAAAAAAGAGCCCACATCGCCAAGTCAATCCTAAGCCAAAAGAACAAAGCTGGAGGCATCACACCACCTGACTTCAAACTGTACTACAAGGCTACAGTAACCAAAACAGCATGGTACTGGTACCAAAACAGAGATATAGATCAATGGAACAGAACAGAGCCCTCAGAAATAACACCACATATCTACAACTATCTGATCTTTGACAAAACTGAGAAAAACAAGCAATGGGGAAAGGCTTCCCTATTTAATAAATGGTGCTGGGAAAACTGGCTAGCCATATGTAGAAAGCTGAAATTTGATCCCTTCCTTACACCTTATACAAAAATCAATTCAAGATGGATTAAAGACTTAAACATTAGACCAAAAACCATAAAAACCCTAGTAGAAGAAAACCTAGGCATTACCATTCAGGACATAGGCATGGGCAAGGACTTCATGTCTAAAACACCAAAAGCAATGGCAACAAAAGCCAAAATTGACAAATGGGATCTAACTAAACTAAAGAGCTTCTGCACAGCAAAAGAAACTACCATCAGAGTGAACAGGCAACCCACAAAACGGGAGAAAATTTTCACAACCTGCTCATCTGACAAAGGGCTAATATCCAGAATCTACAATGAACCCAAACAAATTTACAAGAAAAAAACAAACAACCCCATCAAAAAGTGGGCGAAGGACATGAACAGACACTTCTCAAAAGAAGACATTTATGCAGCCAAAAAACACATGAAAAAATGCTCACTATCACTGGCCATCAGAGAAATGCAAATCAAAACCACAGTGAGATACCATCTCACACCAGTTAGAATGGCAATCATTAAAAAGTCAGGAAACAACAGGTGCTGGAGAGGATGTGGAGAAATAGGAACACTTTTATACTGTTGGTGGGACTGTAAACTAGTTCAACCATTGTGGAAGTCAGTGTGGCGATTCCTCAGGGATCTAGAACTAGAAATACCATTTGACCCAGCCATCCCATTACTGGGTATATACCCAAAGGACTATATAAATCATGCTGCTATAAAGACACATGGACATGTATGTTTATTGCAGCATTATTCACAATAGCAAAGACTTGGAACCAACCCAAATGTCCAACAATGATAGACTGGATTAAGAAAATGTGGCACATATACACCATGGAATACTATGCACCCATAAAAAATGATGAGTTCATGTCCTTTGTAGGGACATGGATGAAATTGGAAATCATCATTCTCAGTAAACTATTGCAAGAACAAAAAACCAAACACCGCATATTCTCACTCATAGGTGGGAATTGAACAATGAGAACACATGGACACAGGAAGGGGAACATCACACTCTGGGGACTGTTGTGGGGTGGGGGGAGGGGGGAGGGATAGCATTGGGAGATATACCTAATGCTAGATGATGAGTTAGTGGGTGCAGCGCACCAGCATGGCACATGTATACATATGTAACTAACCTGCACATTGTGCACATGTACCCTAAAACTTAAAGTATAATAAAAAATAAAAAAAAAAGTAAGAAAATTATTCTCTTGAACTAGGTGGGCCCAGTGTAATCACAAGGGTCCTTACAAATGAAAGAGGAAGTCAGAAGACAGACCAGAGAGATGGCTGCATCAGAAGGTTGGGCTGGCTTTGAAAACAGAGGAAGGGGCCATGAGCCAAGGAATGCAGGCAGCCTCTAGCAACTGGAAGGACAAAGAAACAGATTCTCCCCTAGAGCCTCTAGAAAGAAATGCATCTTTGCTGACATCTGGATTTTAACCCAGTGAAACTCAGTTTGGATTTCCTGACTATATTAGTCCATTTTGCATTGCTATAAAGGAATACTGCATGAGGGTCAGTAATTTATAATGAAAAGAGGTTTATGTTGGGCCCACATTTCTGCAGACTGCACAAGACGCATAATGACAACATTCGCTTCTGGTGGGCCTCAGGAAGCTTTTCCTCATGGCTGAAGGCAAAGGGGAAGCAGGCATCACATGGCAAGAGAAGGAGCGAGAAAGATGTCAGGCTTTTCTAAACAAACAGCTCTCACATGAGCTAACAGAGTGAGAACTCACTCATTACTGTGAGGAAAGCGTCAAGCCATTCTTGAGGGATCAACCCCATTACCCAAACACCATTCACTAGGCCCCATATTCAACACTGGGGGTCAAGTTTCAACATGAGATTTGGAGAGGACAAATTCTAAACCATATCACTAATGACAGCATTGTAAGATAACAAACTGGTGCTGTTTGAAGCCACCATATTAGTGGTAATTTGTTACAACAACTATGGGTGTATTAGTCCTTTTTCACACTGCTATAAAGAAATACCTGAGACTGAGTAATTTATAAAGGAAATAGGTTTAATTGGCTCACAGTTCCATATGGCTGGGGAGGTCTTAGGAAACTTACAATCACGGCAGAAGGCGAAGGGGAAGCAAGCACCTTTTTCACAAGGCAGCAAGAGAGAGAAGAGCAAAGGAGGAGCTTCTAAACACTTAAAAAACCATCAGATTTCGTGAGAACTCACTGTCATGAGAACAGCATGGATGAAACCGCATGATCCAATCACTTCCCTCCCTTGACATATGGGAATTACAAATCGAGATAAGATTTGGGTAGGGACACAGAGCCAAACCGTGTCAATGGGAAACAAGTGCACCTACTATCCAGGGACAACCACTAGTATAGGTAAACATTTTAATGTATGTATATATATATATATTTATGTGTGTATGATTTTTGCATAAACAGATTTTTTGAAAGCAGAATTCTTTAAGAGACTGCTTTGGAAGCAGGAAAAGTAGAGAGAGAAGGGAAATAATGCAAGTTAGGGTTCAGTTAGCAGTCAAATAATATAGCAGCAGTGTCAAAATAGTTGACGTCTGCAATGGCCTGAGTCAGCCAGGGCACACATAGAAAAATGCTGTGAATGGTACTCAGAAGATCTGCAATAGGGTTCACTAGGATGACTCACACTTCAGAAACAAATTTGCCAGAATTAGTTGCTAAAAGGTTGAGTCACTCATGACAGTATGCCAGCTGGCAAAAAGAGTGCCACTTTTAAGTTGAATAAAGCTGAGGTTAAAGATGCAAAAATTATCTCATGTGGTAGGACACTTTCTCCCTCCAGTGCACTGTCCTTCCTCACCTGCCAGACCATTCACCATTTCCACCTATGGGTCTGGGTGCAGTGATGTTTAAGCAAACCCGAGTTCTCCCTTTCTTTGCTTTAATCCCTTTTCAAGGCTATCAGTTCACACGATGTCATTCTGGGCACCAGGCTGTAGGAGTCTATCTCTGAACTTAACCTGGCTAGTATATATTATGGCTTCTTCTTAGGGTCTCTTCCATTTTCTCTCCTTGAGGCTGAATCCTCCTTTCTAGATCTGCACCATTTTTCATGCCCACCTTCTGACAGATTCACACAATAACAACAGCATCTCTTGGAACCCTAGATTTATTTTGCCATTCAGGCAATGAGCTTTTAGGTTCCTTTTTACACAGGTCAAGCTCCCATGGGATGCTGAGAATCTTGGGTACAGACATGATCAGTCCAATGATGCAAGGACAGTGGCAGTCTTTTCACTTAAGCAAAAGAAAATTAGACTTTGGAAGCTGCTGATGTTTTAAACATCGTTCCAAGAGGTTTCAAGACGAACTTGCTGCAAAGCTGCAAAGAACAGCAGAGGCCATGGCATGGATGCTGCAGAGGTTCAAGACAGCAGTGGGGAAGTAACAAATGTGCCAAAGGATGGGGTGGGAAGACACTTACGATGTTCAGGACTATAGAAGAAACTTGAACAGACAAATATAATTTTCTCCTTAAGAACACCCATGATATAATGTGCCTGAGAAGATGCCAATGATGGGGTCTTGTATCCTAGTGCCAGCTGGTGGGGAAACCAATCAAGTGACTAGCAGAGAGAGATAAAGATCCCAGGAAAGATATTTAAGAGACACTCTTGTGACGGTGATTGGAAGGTGCTGCCAGTGCTTAGTTATAAGTAGCTGACATCCTTCTGGCAGTAAATTTTTAAAAGTACAGCAAAGAAGCGGTATAATTATAGCTCACTGTTGAGTGCTTACCACCTGCCAGACACTGGGTTAAGTGCTTTATATACATGATTTTATTTTTTATTATTTGTTTTGGGAGATGGGGTCTCGGTCTGTCACCCAGGCTGGAGTGCAGTGGCACAATCTCAGCTCACTGCAAACTCTGCCTCCTGGTTTCAAGTGATTCTCATGCCTCAGCCTCCCGAGTAGCTGGGATTACAGATATGCACCACAACACCTGGCTATTTTTGTATTTTTAGTAGAGACAGGGTTTCACCATGTTGGTTAGGCTGGTCTTGAATTCCTGACCTCAAGTGATCTGCCCACCTTGGCCTCCCAAAGTGCTGGGTTTACAGGCGTGAGCTACTGTGCCTGGCCCACATGATTTTATTTAGTATACCTTATTATAGCAGCCCTATGAGGGATATTGTTGTAAACAGAATTCTAAGATGGCGTCCTTGGTCTCTGCCCTATAACAATAGGTCCTGCATTATCTCCTCCCCAAGAGTGCAGGTGGAACCTGTGATTTGCTTCAAACCAACAGAATATGTCAATCCCTCAGTGATCCTTGTTCATTTCCTTCATGGTGCTTAGGACAATCCAAACAATAATCATTTACTTCCCATTGCTCCATGAGAACTTGGATGATCCCTGTTTTGTTCATTGTTGGATCTGTAGTGGTAACACACTTGTGCCTGGCATTTACCAGCAGCTCAACAAACACATAATTTATCAGATGAATGAATTAAGGGAGATCCCCTGTTCATATAATGTAAAGAAATAAAGAAGCAGAACTATAGGAAGGGATGGACTTGAGGATGAAGCTTTTGCTCAGGAAATTGACATGCTCAGATGGCAGCCATCCATGGGAGACTCACACTGCCTATTGCTGGCCAGCAATGAAGTGTTCAGGGCCAATAGCAAACTTTTGACCAAAAGGTGGAGAGAGGCTGGAGGAAAGCCAACAATACTGGGTCTCTGAATAAAAGTTGTCTAGGTGTGGGCAAATTGAAGAAGGAAGGAAGACAGAATCACAATTGTGTCAATAATGTTATTGATTGAGTGGAAACACAGCAGTCAGAAACAGGTAAAAGTTCCAAAGGAAGATCCAACAGAATGGATAAGACACACTCTTGAAAAGAGAAGATTCTGGTAGATGAAAAGAAAATAATGAAGACTTGGGGATACTGCAATTATAGGAAACTGCTATCATATATCTATGGAAAGTTTTGGTAATTGGGAAGTGTAAAAATATTACAATTAAATAAATTTGGGTATTATTAATTTGCATATTTACATAAATGTTTTCATAGAAACCTATGAAATAACATATATAAAAGAACTTTAGAAAAGCAAAAAAGCAATTGCAATGAAAGCCAAAATTGACAAATGGGATTTAATTAAACTGTAGAGCTTGTGCACAGCAAAAGAAACTATCATCAGAGTAAACAGGCAACCTACAGAATGGGAGAAAATGGAGAAATTCAAATCAAAGCCACAATGAGATACCATCTCACAACAGTTAGAATGGCAATCATTAAAAAGTCAGGAAACAACAGATGCTGGTGAGGTTGTGGAGAAACAGGAACGCTTTTACACTGCTGGGAGTGTAAGTTAGTTCAACCATTGTAGAAGACAGTGTGGCGATTCCTCAAGAATCTAGAACCAGATATAACATTTAACCCAGCAATCCCATTACTGGGTATATATTCAAAGGATTATAAATGATTCTACTATAAAGACACATGCACACATATGTTTATTGCAGCACTATTCATAATAACAAAGTGTTGGAACCAACTCAAATGCATATCAATGATAGACTGGATAAGGAAACTGTGGCACATATACAATATGGAATACTATGTACCCATAAAAAAGGATGAGTTCACACCATTTGCAGGGATGTGGAAGAAGCTGGAAGCCATCATTCTCAGAAAACTAACACAGGAACAGAAAACCAAACACCACATGTTCTCACTCATAAGTGGGAGTTGAACAATGAGGACACATGGACACAGGGAGGGGAACATCACACACCGAGGCCTGTCACGGGGTTGGGGGCTAGGGGAGGGATAGCATTAGGACAAATACCTAATACATACGGGGCTTAAAACCTAGATGACAGGTTGATAGGTGCAGCAAACCACCATGGCACATGTACCTATGTAACAAACCTGCACATTCTGCATATGTATCCCAGAACTTAAAGTAAAATAAAATAAAAAAGCAACATATAAATGTAAGCAATTTTTTTCTTTATAATCGCAGCAGTGAGAAAATCATTAATGCAAGCATCCCCTTGGAGAGACAAAGTACTAAAGCTAGGCAAGCCTTGAGACACAGAGTTCTTTTCCTCACCAAAATACCAAGAACAAAGGAACAAAATGTTCAGGAGAGGAGCCGCTCTGTAGAAGTAAGATGAGTAAAATAAAGTTGCCAGTTGTTAACATATTGCTTGCATTATTTTTTTGAATCGTAACTTTCCTAGTATTTCCTGTATCAACTTTTATACTTTAGTGCTTAGTTCTTTCTCAGATGTACTTCATAACTACTCAAGAAAGACTTAATTACATGACATGAGGCTCTTAAAACAGTTCCTAGCACATAGTAAGCAACTCCATACGTATTTGATAAGTAAGTGCATGATTCTAAACATTCACCTCAAGTCTGAATTTCATCTTCTATGTGGTTTTCTTTATCATACTTAAACTCAACAGGGTTAAAATATGAAATGAAACAAATGATTCACAAAAAGACTGGGAATGGGTGTATTAAGTGGGTTGGTACATTTATAAAAAAGAGTTAAATGACTCATCTTACAAATTTTTTTCTCTTCTTCACACTCTTCTTCCCCCACTTCATATGATCTATAAATATATCTGAACACTGGGAATTTTACCCTAACACTTTTAAAGACTTCAGCAGAAAGCTCGTATTTCTCTATAAAAATAACCCTTTCCTTTTCATTTGTGACTAATCACTTCCCCCAATCATCCTTAAAAGAAGCATGACAAAAAAGTGCTTAAAATTCATGTTTCTATGTTCTATTTATTGCTCTGAAAATACAGGATATCTGTCGAGGAATGTGGAGTTTAGTTTTCAATTTGCTTTGTCAGCATATGGACCAGCACTGAATTTATGTTTCTTCAATTCCAGATCTCTAATGGACTGAATTTATGTTTCTTCAATTCCAGATCTCTAACGGACCACACTAAAATTCCTTCTGGTGAACTGTGGGAAATTTTCCACTTCCCAGTTGGTGCTGCTTGAACTTCATTTAGAACTCTGTGATATGTGCCTCCTGCCTTGTGTTTCTTTCTCTGCCCAAATGTGGAAGACCGGATGGCACAGAGGGGGAGGACACAGAGGCGGGACTGCAAGTGCCTGCACCTGTTGGAAATGGCAGGTCCTGTGCTTTCTTCCCTGCCCCTCATGCCTCATGTCCATCTCTTCAGCTCTCAGGGCTGAAGGTTCTGCATTCTTTTTTCCTAGCTTGTTTCTGGCCCCAGTTCTTACATGTTGTCCACTAATAGGAGTGATGCATGAATGAAAAGCGATGAGGAGGGGGTGGGAGCCATGGGCTGGGTGGGATCCAGGCATATAGGGGGCTGTAAAGAGGGTACAATCTGACCTGGAGCAGATGTTATACCTCTGTGAGCCATCCTGGTGGCTCTACATTAGGGAACTGATTTTTCAACCCATATCACTGTGGGAGAGAGGGTGCACAGTACTTCACATTTAAAAATAAAATTTGTCTTTAAAAATATCTATTTTATTTTATTTTTTTGAGACAGAATCTCCTTCTGTTGCCCAGGTTGGAGTGTGGTGGTGTGATCACAGCTCACGGCAGCCTTCACCTCCCGGGCTCAAGCAATCATCTCGCCACTGCCTCCTGAGTAGCTTGGACCACAGGCATGCACCACCACATCCAGCTAATTTTTAAATTATTTATAGAGATGGGTCTTGCTATATTGCTCAGGCTGGTCTCAAACTCCTGAGCTCAAGTGATCCTTCTGCATTAGCCTCCCAAAGGGCTGAGATTACAGGCATGAGCCACCATGCTTGACCCTAAAACTGGTCTTTGAATTAGGGAAGAACAACTAGTAACAGGATAATTAGTTTTTAAAAAAAACTAAAATTCAACGTTTTACCTCACACAGATGGGATAAAGGGAGTTTTAAATTTATTTCAGGGCTAATAGCCACAATTTAAAAAATACTAAAAACTACACATTGTTCAATAGTGAAAGAAAGTTGTTATGAGATTTGTTTTGGATGGGCACATATCCAGTTCACTTTCTGGCACGTTGATTACTAATTCTCCTTTTTAAAAACAAAGACAGCAGGGTCTATATCCCAAGACTTGGGTTCCAGCCTGAGCAGCTTGTCAGACATTATTCAAACTCTTTGGACCTCAGCTTTTCTCATTTGTAAAATAAAAGATTTAGTTCAAATGAGGGGTCGGCAACCTTTTTCTTTAAAAGAAAGATGGCAAATATTTTAGGCCCTGAGGTTCATATAGTCCATGTAACAACTCAGCTCTGCTGTTGTGCTGTGAAAGCAGAGGTAGACAATAAGAAAACAAGTGGTATACATGGATTGAAACATCACCCTGTACACCATAAATATGTACAATTATTATATGTCAAATAAAAATAAAAGAAAACTTTTAAAAACTCATTTAAAAAATTCAAAAATTCAGTCATTTAAATGACTGACCAAAATGATGAATCATTAGGCCAGGTGTGGTGGCTCATGCCTGTAATCCCAGCACTTTGGGAGGCTGATGCGAGCAGATTGCTTGAGCTCAGGAGTACAAGACCAGCCTGGCCAACAAGGTAAAACCCCATCTAAAAATACAAAACTTAGCCTGGCATGGTGGCACACGCCTGTAATCCCAGCTACTCAGGAGGCTGAGGTGGGAGGATCGCTTGAACCCAGGAGAGGGGGGTTGCAGTGAGTCAAGATCGCACCACTGCACTCCAGCCTAGGGGACAGTGAGACCTTGCCTCAATAAAAAGAAAAAAAAAAGTCATCAAAAAATTCAAATGATTAACAAATGTGAAAAAAAAAAAACAAATGAATATGGCAGTGTTCTGATACAATTTTATTCACAAAAACAGGTACGGGGCTGGATTTGGTGTGCAGGAGGTAGTTTTCTGACCACTCTAGAGAGGTCTAGATCACTTGTCTTTCAACTGTTTTCCTCAGAGATTGCTGGGGCTGCCTTAGGAAGAAAAAGGAGTAGGGAGCCTGAGCACATGGGATTGTGCAGTTCTCGCCTCCATTTCAATCAAAGCACTTCTTTTTCATATTTTGGACTTCTAAGATTTTTTTTTAAAGGTTTTTCATTTGAAAAGCATGTAAAAAATATTGTCTTTAAAGTCCCCTTGAAAATTGTATGCTTCTGGCCGGAAACGGTGGCTCTCACCTGTAATCCCAGCACTTTGGGAGGCTAAGGCTGGCAGATCACGAGGTCAATCTTGATCGAGACCATCCTGGCCAACATTGTGAAACCCTGTCTCTACTAAAAATACAAAAATTAGCTAGGCATGGGGGTGCACGCCTGTAGTCTCAGCTACACGGGAGGATGAGCCAGGAGAATCATTTGAACCAGGGAAGCGGAGGTTGCAGTGAGCGTAGATCGTGCCACACTGCACTCCAGCCTGGGAACAGAGCGAGACTCCGTCTCAAAAAGAAAAAAATCCTATGCTTCTAGGCAGTGTCAGCCACTCATGCTTTTGACCGCCTGCTTCCCACCCTCCTGCTTTACCCGCGCTTCACCCTGATGATATTGCGGCTGCTGTGTTTCCTTTTCTGGTCCAGAATTCTCCATGGATTAGACCCCTATATTCCAATTTCTTTCTGGACAACTCTCTGGATTTTCCGCAACTACATCATAATCAATATGTCAAAAATACTCATTATTTTAAACTCTAAAGCTGCTCCTTTTCTCTTTTTTCATCTGAGTTAATGGCTCCAGCTTCCCTCTAGTCACACAAACAGAAACCTGGGACTTAACTCTTTTCTCTCCACTGAGAACCAGCCCCCGGTTCTGACAGGTTTTATCTTGTGATCACATGTTCTAATCTGTTCCCTCCTCTGTGTTAGTGCCTTCATCCTGATGTAGGCCTCCATCTCTCATCTGGGCGGTTCCCAAATGAGAGAAAAGGAGAGAGAGAAACTGGTGACAGGAATAAACTGGTCTTTGCCACCTTCTCAGTGTGTGAGAATGATCTGTCTAAAATGCAGCACTGAGCTGGAAACTCGCCTGATTAAAATGCTTCATTAGTTTTTTATTCTATGCAAGATAAATCTCAAGTTCCTTAACCTGGAATTAGTATAAAAGTTGTCCATGACCAACTTCACTGGTTAGAACCACATGAAATAGCCATTTCTCTAGGTCAAAATGGCTGACTGTAATAATGGTTTATGGTTAACCTAAAACTTTTCTGGTGTCATCTCCTACCATTCCCTAACTCATACTTCATACACGGGAAGAGGGGGACGGGATGGGGGTGGTGACGGGGGAGGGGGAAATTCCTTTGCTGAAACTGAGATCCGCATCTTGACTGACCTCATTAATTTCTATACATCTTTCTCACCTTAGTTCTGGTGGACATTTCCTTCAGATCTCCAAAGTGCTTCCTGAGAAAATGTTCCCTCTCTGTATTCCCAAAGTAACCACTGCAAAAGACAGCCATAGTACTTAGGCATTGCGTTGAAATTGTCAAATGATCTGTTTGTGTCCCAGCCATCTGCCCAGACCTTCAGGAATTTGGAAGCATCTTTGCCTCCCCTCTGCCTGGCACAATGGATTTAGTCTATTGAACTACACTTAATAGACTGGATCAAAGCTATCAAGGTGTCCCCCAATTCTTAGCAAATAACTATCACTAATAAACTGCTTTTGGATTTCACAGTTGTGTTTGAATTTCAGAACTCTTTGGTGGATTTGAGACTGACCAGTGTTTTTATGTGCTGATAAATGTGATTTGAAGCATGAAGCATTAACTAAATGAATATTCAGCTTTGAGAATTCAAGAATAAATTAAGCCAAAGGCTTGTACTTTTAGTCATAAGATTTATATCAGAATAAATGATTTGAGTAAAGGATTTCTGGAGTTGTGCTGTGGGAGAAAAACATTTTTATAGTATGAGTAATGCAAACTTTCATTTTCAAGTTCTCTGAATGTGCAAAATTGCTTTTCTTCATTACATACAGATCTGCATAGATGAAGATGTGATATTTCAGCCCTCCTCCCCCACAAAAAACATACTGAGAAGATTGTAGGCAAATAGTAACTTTAGTTTAGATAAAAAATAATTCTCAGTCATAATTATAACAACCCAGCTGTGAAACTATATATGGCGTGGGAACAGACATATATATTGGGCTGTTGGGGGAGGTGAACAAACTTTTATTCATGCAGGGATGGAATGTTCCCAGATAAAGCTCTCCTGCCTGGTGGAGAGGTAGACAACAAACAAGCCAGTAAGCAATGTCAGCTAATGGGTCACATAGTTGTGTGGGGCTCCTGGAGTAAAGAGCCCAAAGAGGGAGGCAGCCCGCTGCAAACAGGTGATGGCTGTACATATTCAAAGAACTGGAGTGAAACAATAAAAAATAGCAGGCTTATATGGGAGGTAAATATTGAGCACCTCTCCTAGATACTGTGCCAACTGGAGGGCTCTCACAAAGAAAGCCTCACTGTGGCATCCTCCCCTGTCCTTTAAATGCCACACACAGCTGTTAAGCCATCTTGCTCACCAGTATGTGTTAGGAGCCTCATCCCCAGCGCAGCACTAGGCATATAGCAATTAGCAAAGGTTTTTTGACAGTCAAAACTCTCCCACAGGGAGAGGGAAAACTGAAGACCAAGAAGGACACAAGCCTGTGCAGAAGCTACATGAGCATACCAAGGTTGCAACATATCCTGTGCTCAGAAAGGGCTTTATATCCTGGATATTGAAGCAACATGTGTGGAGGATGTGTACAGGATTTCATGGCTATCATAATCAGTGTAAAATCTAAATACAGTGAATACCATGTTTTTCTCCTCTTCTTCCTCCCCCCCGCCCTTCCCTCTTGCTCCAGAGCTGTGTGGCTTATCAGAGAAAGCAAGGTGACTTTTCTAAATGCAGTTGTGTGGAGTCTTATTTTACTGCCACACCTGGTTCCATGTCCATATGAAACCGCATGTATTCCCATTTTCCTTTATCTTCACTTTGAGTACTTTTAAGTGTCTGGGTTACTCTCCATTTTCCTTTTTGGCTCTCAGCCATCATTCTCATAATGATCTCTAATGGCTTTCTCTGGGCCTTGACCAGAGATTTTTTTTTTTTTTTTTTTTTTTTTTTTTTTGTCCCCTGTGGTATTTCCAACCAGAGCTTTTTTCTAAGGAGATTATATATATATATATATATATATACTCTCTGCTTCTTGTAATAATGGTGATGATGGTGTGTGTTGTTTAGCCAACATTTACTGAGTATTATTACATGCCACACACTGCTATGAGAAATTCAAATATGTTATTTACTCTCATTCACTCATTATTTGATTTTTATTCTCTGTGTAACTCATTAAGTTAGGTATTGCCATCTTCATTTTTAGATAAAGAACCCAATGGTAAGAGAGAGAAGTTTGATTAATACTGTTAGCAATTAGCAAAGTTAGAATTTAATCTGTGTTCTGTTTGACCTCAAAGCTCAGGCTCCTTCTACTTGATAACTTTTGTTGCAAGTGGTTGCACCTGGTTCTCCATCATCACCTGTTTTTGTTCGTCTAAGTTGGCTTCATTTACTTTTCTTTCAATGTATCCTACGTATTTGACTGGTACTTTTGTGTGACTGTTTACAAATTTGCCTTTCTGTTCTAACTCACATTCAGAGCCCACCACCTAGCATTCTAAAAAAATGTGTTGGAGTTCTTTCTACAAACCTTTATAGAAAGACAAAATATCTAACCATTATTCCCAAGCCCTTCCTAATTTAGCTCTTTTCTATAACTCAGAGAGCCCTCATAATTTGTCCTGTTCCCTAACCACAAAATCTTTCTGCTTAATTTTAACCTTTTCTATAATAATGTGCAAGCAAAATTCAAATACAGGTATTATGTTTTCTAATGTTCTTGAACTGACCTCCTCTATGTCTTTCAAGGGTATCCTTTTAATTATTGACTAATTTACTGAAAAGGTTTCAGATTGTTGCAACAGAAAATATCAAGATAAAGTTAATATTGTTCTTCTGGCATCCAAAATAGGATTTTGCAATGATGGTTTTGAAAGCTGGGCATTTTGGAAGAATACAACTTTAAAGTTCCTTTATCCTGTCTTTCAACATATGAAGAGCAGGCCCTGGTGTACTGGTTCATAAAGATTTATTTAAGGAAAGTCCCAATCTGATAGAAAGAAGAAGGAAGAATAAGCTTTGGGAGAAGGAAGATTTCAAATGGTGATGGGGGAAGAATCATCCAGAGGAAGCCTACCTGCTTACATGATCTGGAGAAGGCTGGAAGTCTCCAAGAGAAGCCAGACATACGACCATTTTCAACAGGATTCAGAGAGACGATATAGAGGTACCAGCAGGAGTGAGCTAAAAAGATAATGCCTCAGCTTACACAAAGCAGTAATGGAGTTCAGGTGTGCCCAGATGCTGATTTAGGAAAGCACTGTGGCTCTTAGAGGATCTTGGTAGGTAGAGCCTAGGGCTGGGGAGAGGAGGTGTTTGACAATGGAGAGCAAGAAGATCAAAGTTCACGTGGTCAGAAAGAGTGGAACACTCTCCAAAAAGTAGGATAGGATTCGTTGCAACTCAATATTCACCCATTCAAGCAGCCACTGAGACCAGCCACTCTGCAGCAGAGCCTGGCAAGAGGTAGAAGACACTGCATGGATCCACATCTTCCTACCATTCCACCAACCGTGGGATCACATGAGCCAGAATTATTTCCTGTATATATAAGGCCATCTTGAAAGAATCAAGGAGAAGAAATACATTTGAGAGACTAAGAAATTCCAAGTATGAACACAGCTCAGGCTCATTATAGAAAAAAGAACCACAGAAAATACTCACAAAAAAGAAGAAAATACTCATAATCACATACATCTTGCAACAGATCCTGTTAGATCCTTTCAATATCATTCCCTCATCTCTCTCTCTCACTTGCTGTCTGTCACGCAGGCACTTATTTTCTGTGGCTCAGCCTCTTACCACTCATGCGACCTTGAGCATATTCATCATTTGTGAAATGAAGGTAATAATAATAAGTCATGTGCTGCACAATGATGTTTTGGTCAATGACAGACTGCATATACAATGGCAGTGCCATAAGATTATAATAGAGCTGGAAAATTCCTATTGTCTAATGACATGGTAGCCATGGTAAGGTCATAGCACAATGCAATAGTGTTTGTGGTGCTGGGTGTAAACAAACCTTCACAAACTTTCACAGTACATATAATTATGTATAGTATATAATACTTGCTATTGATAATAAATGACTGTTACTGATGTATGTATTTACTACACTTTTTATCATTATTTTAGAGTATACTTAATTCTTCTACTTATTAAAATAAAAGTTAACTGTAAAACAGCCTCAGGCAGGTCCTTCAGGAGGTATTCAGAAGGCACTGTTATCATAGGAGATGACAGTTCCCTGCATATTATTGCCCCCAAAGACCTTCCAGTGGGACAGAATGTGGAGGTGGAAGACAATGATATTGATGATCCTGACCCTGTGTAGTCCTAGGCTAATACATGTGCTTATGTCTTAGTTTTTAACAGCAAAGTTTAAAAAGTAAAAAAATTAAAAATTAAAAATGTAAAAATAGAAAAATGCTTACAGAATATATAAAGAAATAATATTTTTGTACAGCTGTACAATGTGTTTCTGTTTTAAGCTAAGTGTTATCACAAAGGAGTCAAAAAGTTTTTAAAAATTGTAAAGTTTATAAAGTAAAAAAGTTCAAGTAAGCTGAGGTTAATTTAATGTTGAATAAAATTTTTTACTTTGGGAGGCCGAGGCGGGCGGATCACGAGGTCAGGAATTCGAGACCACCCTGGCCAATATGATGAAACTCCATCTCTACTAAAAATACAAAAATTAGCTGGGTTTCATGATGCATGCCTGTAATCTCAGCTACTCAGGAGGCTGAGTCAGGAGAATCACTTGAACCCGGGAGGCAGATGTTGCAGTGAGCCGAGATTGCACCATTGCACTCTAGCCTGGGTGACAGAGTGAGACTCCGTCTCAAAAAAAAAAAAAAAGAAAGTAAATAAACCTACTGGATCCTAAGGGTACAGTGTTTATAAGGTCTGCAGTAGTGTATAGTAATGTCCTAGGCCTTTACATTCACTCACCACTCACTCACTGACTCACCCACCCAGAGCAACTTCCAGTTCTGTAGGCTCCATTCATGTTAAGTGTCTTATACAGGAGTAGTTTTTTTTTAATCCTTTGTACCATATTTTTACTGTAATTTTAAATGTTTAGATTTTTGGATACTTAACACTGTGTTATAATTGCCCACTGTATTCAATATAATAACATGCTGTCCAGGTTTATAGCCTAGAAGCAACAGGCTATACCATATAGCCAAGGTGTGTAGTAGGCTAGACCATCTAGGTTTGTGTAAATACACTCTATGTTTGCACAATAAAGAAATTACCTAATGATCCATTTCTCAGAATGTATTCCCATTGTTAAGCAATGCATACTGCATACTGTACCTACCTCGTGGAACTGTTTTAGAATTAAATAAGGTGCATATAAATGTTTAGCAGTACAGTTGTCCCTCTATATCCATAGGAGATTGGTCCCAGGACCCCTCCGGAGATATCAAAATCCAAGGATGCCCAAATCCCTGATGTAAAATAGCATAGTATTTACATATAACTTGCACACATCTTCCTATATACACTAAATCATGTCTACATCACTTTATAATACCTAATACAATGTAAATGCTATGTAAATAGTTGTTATACTGTATTGTATCAAGAATAATGGCAGGAGAAAATCTGAACATGTTCAGTACAGAGGCAATCATTCATTTTTATTCCAAATATTTTTGAACTGTAGTTGGTTGGATACACATGTGTGGAACCCATGGATATGGAGGTCCAACTGTATATCTAGCACATAGTAATTATTCAACACATTTCAACTGTTTAGTTTTTAAAAATGGGGTATAACATATTTTAAGGTAAATATATGAATATCTTTGTATGTCACTAGTTGCATTTTTCTATAACATTAAAGAGTTGAGTAGTATCTGAGCACGTGACTGTGCCATAATTGAACCAAACCTCTATTGTTGGGCATTTGGGTTTTTCAAACTTGTGCTGTTACAAATAGTTATGATACAAATATTTTTATAAGTACGTATTTGGAATAAATCCTTGAGTGCTTTTCTATGTTGATTGTCCAGAAGTGCAATTTCCTGGTCAGAGGACAGACATTTAAAAACCTTGAATAAGTATTTTCAGATTGCTCTCCAGTAAGGCTGTACTCAAGATTGGGGTACCTTTTAATAAATTCAACAAAACATGTCTGACTGAACATCCTTCATCATCCTTGACAATGTAACAATGATTCACCACAGGATAAAGTTCTTCTGTGGATCAAAAAAACCCCACCTAGAACAAGAGGTCTGACATTTGGCTTTTTCAGGCAGTGAAACCTGAGAGAAGCAGAGAAGGAAGTTCTCAGCTCACCTGCCTGTTTTCATGACTGATTGTCTGTCAACTGTCATGATTTTCTTACTGAGGCAACCTGCCTTTTCTTTGAGAAGCATTTTGTGAAGGCTCTTGTTTGAAAGACATCCACATTTTAATTGGCTGGTCTTCTACATCATTATGTTACATCTCTAACTGAAAAATGACATTAAAAAACAAAAACCTATTACCCTGAAAACACCTCCAGTCTGGAGATTAGTTCTTACCCCTGCATAGCTTATGATAGCTATGATTTCCTTAGGAATTACTCACAGGAGCAAGAGCAGTCTGCTTTGAGCGTGGCAAGATTGAAAGCTGCTAGTCTACAGAGCTTAATTTAGAAACAACCTGCAAAAGATAGTTAGCAACTAAGGAAGGTTAACTGAGCTCTCCCTGGGGATGGTTCTCCTGGCTTAGCTGTAACGGTGCAGAGCCTTTTTTACTTTTTGCATCTGTTATGCCCAGGAGGCCAAAGAGGGAAAGGGGACCAACATGAGTCAAATAGAGTCAGCTCTTCTGTCATAACCCTGCTGCCCTACGTAGGAAGGAAGTGAAGTTCAGTCTTAGAAACTAACATACACTTTTTCAGACAGACATGTATGGTCATCCTTTCTCAAACCCCACCATGGTATAGTAATTACCAGATTCAGTTGTTTTAGGTGTCTCATGTCAAACCTAGATGCGGAACATGTTGAGCTACAAAATAATGATGGTCATTTAATCAGATACTTTAAATATTTTTCAAATTTAAATAAGATATTAGTCATTTAGTCAGATATTTTAAAGAAAATACTAGATTTCTTTTGTGGTATAAGGAATGGCTTGATAGTATTAACAGTCTTAGGTGAAGTAATTCAACAAATTCTTGATAAACATCTATGATGGGCAAAGTGCACTTAGGCAACATAAGTATGTTTCTCTCAAAAGAGCTCAGAGTCTGGAATAAGATATAAAATGTAAATAAGTAACTAAAAGAGGCATATAGACTAGGATAGTCTATATAGACTAGTCTATATAGACTAGTCTATATAGACTAGGATAGTCTAAAAGAGGCATATAGACTAGGCATATAGATAGGATTTTAAAAGGGAGACAGATGCAATCCAGCAGGGCAAAATCTAGGAGAGGCACTCCAAATAGGTATGGACCTACTGAGATAAAAGCAAAGGCCTGCTGTTGGGAGAGCACTTAAAATTGTCAGCCCTTCTTTTTGATTAACATATGGGATGTGTGAAGGGTTTGGGGGATAGTGGGAAGATGCAGTTAGGAAGGTATAGAAGCCAAAACATGAATATATACAATGTTAGCATTGTCAGGATCTTCAATCTGAGATAGCTTATTTCATATTCTTCATTTGATGTCTGAGGAAAATTAGCCCCAGAGAGGTGAAGTGACCTGCCTGAGGTCACACAGCTGGTTAAGGAGCAGAATAAAAATAATCAGTGGAATGAAGGCTTTTCAAATTTCTCAAGTTACAGTTAAATTTAACATAAGATATAACTAAAAAATATCTTCATGATATACAAATTGTGACTAAATTAACTATTTGTTGAAGCAATAATAGCAAATATTTATGGAACACTTTCAATACATGTCCAGCAGTGTGCTAAGTGTTTAAAAACCATACTCTCACTTACTCTTCCCATTAACTCATGGAGTAGTTAGCATTATTATTTCCATTTCACTCATGAAGACACTGAAGCTGGAAGGAGTTAAATAAATGGCTCAAAGTCACACACAGTTAATGAGTGGCAAAGCCTGAATTTGAATTCATTCCCTGACCACATGCTGTTAAATGTTAAGCTCTTCATAATATTCCATATATTATGAAAAGTTTATCACTATGTTCAGGTGATTTTTTAATACCTACAAGTCTAAGTATCTAGGCTAGAATTTATTCTTAATAATCAAAGACAGTCATTGGTTAGCCCTTGATGTCAATAATTGAGTTTAATTCCTTCATTAATTTATTTAGCAAATATTTATGCAAAAAACAGACAAAAACCTGTCTTCATGGAATTTACATTTGAAGTGGGTAGTTTCAAAAATATGGATAAATGATACTGTGTTTGTGCTACTATAACAAAATACTTGGGACTGAATCATTTGCAAAGAGCAGAAATTTACTTTCTCACAGTTCTAGGGCCTGGGAAGTCCCAGATCAAAGCACTGGTAGATTCAGTGTTTGGTGAGGGCTGCTTTTTGCTTCTAAGATGACACCTCCTTGTGGTGTTCTCACATGGTGGAAAGGGACAAAAAGGGATGAATGCTGTGTCCTCACATGGAAGAAGAAATGGAAGGTCCAGGCAGATTTCCGAAGCTTCTTTTATAAGGGCATTGATCTATCCACGATGGAGGAGCCCTCATAACTTAATCACTTCCTCAAAGGCTCCATCTCTTAATACTACCACAAAGAGGACAAAGTTTCAACATGAATTTTGGAGGGACACAAACATTCAGACCATACCAGATACTAAAAATAAGCTTGTTGATAAGGTCTTTGAAAACAGACAGTTTTTTTTGGAGTATAGTTTACTGTTTGTAAACAGTAAATTTCTGTATGTGTGTAAACACACATACAGAAAAAGTGCATAAATCATTAGTGTGCATTTTGATAAATCTTCACAGTGCAAACGCCTCCATGAACCCAGCACCGGGATTAAGAAATAGACCCTAGCCAAGACACCAAAAGTCTCATTTTACCCCCCTTTCAGTAAATAGCCATTCCCCAAAAATGACTACTCTCTTGGCTTCTCAAATCTCAGATTAGTTTTGCTTGTTTTCAACTTTATGAAAACAGAATAATAGAATATGAATTTTCTATGGTTTTAATGTGTCCCCTAAAATTTCATGTGTTGAGAACTTAATTTCCATTGTAACAGTATTAAGAGATGGGGCCTTTAGGAGGTGATTAGGTCATGAGGGCTTCCCATGATGAATGAATTAATGCCATTATTTTGGAAGTGGGTCAGTTATCAAGGGAAAGGGCTTCTAATCAAAGGATAAGTTCAGCTCCAATTTCCTTTCTGTCTTTTGCACTTACTTGCTGTGGGATGCTTTCCACCATGGGATAACCCTCACCAGATCATGGTGCCATGTTCTCAGACTTCCCAGCCTCAAAAATGGTGAGCCAAATAAACTGTTCTTCATAATTTACCCAGTCTATTGTACTCTGTTGTAGCAGCAGAAAATAGACTAAGACAGAAGTTCTTGGTGTATGGTTTCTTCCACTTAAATTATGTTTACTAACTTATCTTGCTGTATAATAGACCAATGCATGAAATTCACAATTTATTTATCCATTCTGCTACTGAAGGACATTTTGAGAAGCTTCTAGATTTTGGGACATATGTACACATATCTCTTTGGAATATACCCGGGAGTGAAGTAGCTGGGTCTGATGATATTCTTGTGCTGCAGAGGCTCAGCTTTAGTAGATATTGCCAGTTTTCCAAGGTGATTGTGTCAATTTACACTTCCACCAGTAGTTCTCTACAACCTTGCTGACACTTGGTATTGTCTGTTACATTTAAGCCTTATGATAAGCATGCAGTGCATCTCATTGTGGTTTTAATTTGCATTTCCCTGATGATTGATGAAACTGTACATCTTTTCATGTTCATTAACCATTTGCATATTGTCTGTCATGAGACATCAGTTTAAACTTTTGCTCAATTAAAAAAAATCAATATTTTAAAGTTATACTACAGAATTAGAAGTCACTTAAAAAAGTTGTTTCATTAGAGACAAGCTTTTTTTGTTAACTTATCTGGGACACACATTCTCAACAAAAATGTCAGGAGAAGGTTGGATAACACAATCAGGTTGGCCCCAAGCAGAGTTCTCTATTAAGCACAGTTTGCCTTTGATATTCTTTTTTCTTACCTATTGGATTTTCTCCCTTCCAAATTCTCTGTACTATCACAACTTCATCAACAACTCTTCCTCACTAGACCCCTCTTTTTCTGTATCCTGGGGATGGGAGGGTGAGGCAGGAATTGCATTTAAAAGTACCATGGCTAGGTTTCTCTTTGGACATTGTTTATATAAGCACATTTATGAGGTTCTGATGTGCAAAGGTTTAGAGCCACATTTGAGAGTAAGGACAAAATAGAGCTTAACTAAATTGGAAGTGAGAAAAATCTGGATTGGAGCAGGAAAGGACTTAACCCTAAATAGAGCTAAGGAGGAGAAATGGGAGGGGAGAGTGAGAATTAAGAATCCAGCAGCATGAAGTGGCTCATGCCTGTAATCCCAGCACTTTGAGAGGTGAAGGCAGAGGAATCACTTGAGCTCAGGAGTTCTAGATCAGCCAGGGCAACATAGTGAGACCCCATCTCTACAAAATTAGCTGGATATGGTGTCACATGCCTGTAGTCCCAATTAGTTGGGAAGCAGAGGCAGGAAGATCACTGAGCCCAGGAGGTTGAGGCTGCAGTGAGCCATGATTGTGCCACTGCACTCCAGCCTGGGTGACAGAGAGAGACCCCATCTCAAAAAAGAAGAAGAAGAAGAAGAAGGTAAAGGAGAAGGAGAAGGAGAAGGAGAGGAATTATTCTAATGGGGGGGTCTAAATAATTTTTAAATTTTTAAATTTTACTTTTTAATTTTGAATTTCTGAAAAAATACATTTACATGGTTCATAAATCAAAACAATATTGAGAAATATAGCATAATGTCTTAGTGCAAATTTTGTCCCTATCCACCTCATTCCACCCCTCTCCTCCATAGATAATTTCTTTTTTAGTTTTTATGGTATCTTTCCAGTGATTCTCTATGCAAAGACAAATCAAAATGAATTTATATTATTTTTTCACCTTCAAAAATATTTTAACAGTGATGTCTAATATTCAGTTTAAGTTATGTGAACTGTAAAGAAAATCCTCAAAATCTAGTAAAATCTACTTTACATAACAATCTTATATGAAATGTGTATGTGTGTGGTTGTGTGGGTGTCAAGGAAAGGGACTGAGTTGTACATCTGGGCTGACATTATGTGGAATAGTAGCACATGTGGGATAGAGAGATCATCTATACACTGATTTAATTCAGCAAAAGCAAAAAAAGCTAGAGGTGAGTGTGAGAACATAAACCCACCAGGAATTGATAAAAACCTTGAGAAGGGTGTTGGATTTTTTACAAAATGTATATCTGTGGTTAGAGCCAATCTTATTTAGTCCCCAAGGGAACAGTGTGGCCTCAGTTGATATCTGAATTATACATTATTGCCTTCAACTATCAAATAATTCTTAATTATTAACTAATTGATACGGCTTGGTGTATCGCCACCCAAATCTCATCTTGAATTGTAGCTTCCATAATTCCCATGTGTTGTGGGAGGGACCCAGTGGGAAATAAGTGAATCATGGGAGTGGTTTCCCCCATACTGTTCCCATGGTTGTGAATAAGTCTTACGAGATCCAATGGTTCTATAAGAGTTTCAGCTTTCACTTGGCTCTCATTCTCATTCTCTCTTTGTCTGCTGCCATTTAAGATGTACCTTTTGCCTTCCACCAGGATTGTGAGGCCTCCCCAGCCACGTGGAACTGTGAGTCCATTGAACTTCTTTTCCTTTATATATTACCCTGTCTTGGGTATGTCTTTATCAGCAGTGTGAAAATGGACTAATACCCTGATATGTTGGGAACTGGTGATAAACCATCATCATTGTCAAGCTGAAAAGCTTAGATATTTTCTAAAGGCAAATGGAAAGTCTTTGAAGGTTGTTGAACATAGGAATGACATAAACAGAACTGTATTTCTAGAAGTTTAATGTGGCAGCAGAAAAATGAACAATTCTGGATTTGGGAATATCCATTTAAAACATACTAGTTATCTATTGCTGCATAACAAATTATCTAAAATTTAGCAGTTTAAAACAACAAGCATTTGTTATCTCACAGTTTCTGTAGGTCAGAAATCTGGGGGTAGTTATTGGCAGGATTCAGCTCCTCAAGGGCTGTTGGACTGGCAGCCTAAGCTCCTCAATGACCATTCACTGGAGACTGCCTCAGTTCCTCCCTGTGAGCCTTTCCATAGGGCAGCTCATAACATGGCAGCCAGCTTCCAACAGAGAAGCAAGAGAGCAAGAGAGGGGTAGGTAGCAAGATGGAAACCATAGTCTTTTGGTTACCTAATCATGGAAGGAATATACCATCACATGTGCCACATGTGAAGCAAGTTGCCAAGCCTGGTCCACACTCAAGGGGAACTGATTCCACAAGGTGTAAATAACAGCAGGCGGGGATCACTGGAGGTCATTTTATTGGTTCTTTCAACCTAGCAAGCTGGAGATAGTGAGGAATTGCAGTAGGTGGTTCCTGTTGGCAAGGAGCGAGGGGAATGGCATGAAAATGAAGACAGAATTAGAATTGCCAGGACTTGCAAACAGATTGGATTGGGAGGATGATTGGAAGAAAGGAGTCAAGCCTGGCTGATTGGGATGATTGCCGAGGGACTCACAGAAGGACGAAACACATGAGAAACAGATTTGGGAGAAATGTCAAGTAATGAGAACAGGTTTTAGCAGACTTAGCATTAAAGAATCAGGAGAGAAAGGAATGAGAGTGTTTTGGGTCCATTAACTTGTGGCAGCTGGTGTAAAATCAAGAGCATGCAGACTGGAATCAGACCTGGGTTCAAATAGTGACTCTTCCATCACTTACAAGTCCTGCCCCTCTGGAAAAACTATGCTGAAGCTCAGTTACTCTTTTGTTAATGTGGAAGCCAATTCCTACCTCTCTTAGTTGTTTTCAGTATTATATGAGACAACCTACTTAAAATTCATACTACAGAGTAGGTGCTCAATAGATGGAACTACTCTGATATGGTTCTGCTACGTATTTTCAAAAGCAAGTATGAAAATACCCTTTCTCAGTGTCTCCTTACAACCATTGAATAACCCCACTTGAATCATGTTACTATGATTATTTCAACAGCTGCCATAAAGTTTACTTCTGTGTATTTGTACAGCTCAAATCATCATATGTGTACAATAGTTAATGTCTTCATTGTGTCATTAAAATATCCCCCAAATGAGGTACCTAAACATTTAGACTTGGAAGCCACTAGCTTACTCTTCATGTGCATCATTAGTGTATTGCTTTCCTCCTCTCTCTCTCTCTCTCTGAGTCCTACTCCAATCTCTAGCCTGAACTTTATTTATTTATTTATTTATTTATTTATTTACTTACTTACTTACTTAGAGATGGAGTCTCGCTCTTTTGCCCAGGTGGACTGCAATGGCACGATCTCGTCTCACTGCAACCTCCACCTCCCAGGTTCAAGTGATCCTCCTGCCTCAGCCTCCCGAGTAGCTGGGATTACAAGCAACCGCCACAATGCCCGGCTAATTTTTTGTATTTTTAGTAGAGATGGGGTTTTGTCACATTGGCCAGGCTTGTCTCAAACTCCTGACCTCGTGATCCACTGGTCTCGGCCTCCCAAAGTGCTGAGATTACAGGTGTAAGCCACTGTGCCCAGCCTGAACTTTATTTTTAATAGTCTCTCCTTTTGTTGTACAGAAAGAGTAGTAAGTGGGGGACAAGACCTGGGTTTGAATCATAACTTTCTTATTTTATGAGCCATGTAAACTTTTTGGGCTCTAGATTCCTCATTCATAAAAATGGGGAGAGTATTTCCTGTCTTACATTCTTATAGAGAGAATAGCTGATAATTATAGGGGTCAAAGTTGCCATCTTTGTTTTCCCTGTACCAACTCAGAGTCAGGGCCTTGTCATTATGTCCACCTAAGTGCCCAGTGCAGAGTGTGCTGTGAGAAGTTGATATTGTGGATGGGCTAGTACAATGGGTAGGTGGATGGGTGGATAAATGGGACCCCATCAGTGGCCATCATGTACACCACCCTCCAAGAGCTGACAGGCAAGAACCCTGTAACATGGATGACGGTCATCTTTGCCACCATTTGGTCAACATTTCCAATATTGTATCTAACTTTCTACCATGTTAACATTTTCAAATAATTCTTCTGTGTTTAAGGGATTCAGGAAGGGCAGACACTAACAGTGAAGTATGTGAAAGATTGTTTGAGATAGAAATGGATGTTTAGATAATTTTTCTTCTTTGTTTTACCATGAATCTATAGCACTGCAAAAATCCACAAGGCTACATGTGTAATGTTAGAATTACACATGTAAGTTTCACTGAACATTTTTTCAAGCAACATTGATATTTCTTTGCAGTTGATAATTGCTAACATTAGCTGAGTACACAAACTGTGCCAGGTACTGTATTTTATACTTACTAACTTGTTTAATATTTGCCATAAACCAGTCAGGTGGGTATTATGACCCCCTTTTACAGCTGAAAAAACTGAGGCACAAATTATTGGCCTTCTTGGAGATCATGGGAAGTGACAGAGTTGGGCATTGATAGATAGGCAGCCTGGCTGCAGAGCCCATACTTCTAATCACCCCTATGCCAAATTTTAAGTGCTAAATAAGTGTTTTCAAAGTGTGATCTGCCAACTTTTTGGTCTCAGAATCACCTGCAAGTCTTAAAATACCTATATCTGAGCTCAACTCCTGACCTACTGAATCAGAGAGGCTGTAGGTGGTTCCTAGAAATCAGAATTTTAGCAAGAATTTCAGTATTATTCTAACACATACTAAAGTTTAAGAACCACTGCATGAAATAGTGCACGATCTCAAATTGGCCAAGAGTCAAGAATCATAGGATACCAGGTCTTGCCTATTTTCTCCCATTGCAAGGACCATTGATGAGCCCCTCTTGAAAATTGAAAGCTGAGCCCATGGAGATCTCTGATTTTTTTTTTTTTTTTTTTTTTTTTTTTTTTTTTTTTTTTTTGAGACAGAGTCTCACTCTGTTGCCAGGCTGGAGTGCAGTGGTACGATCTCGGCTCACTGCAGCCTCTGCCTCCTGAGTTGAAGTGATTCTCCTGCCTCAGCCTCCCAAATAGCTGGGATTACAGGCACCCACTACCACGCCCAGCTAATTTTTGTATTTTAGTAGAGAGGGGATTTCACCATGTTGGCCAGGATGGTCTTGATCTCCTGACCTCGTGATTTGCCCACCTTGGCCTCCCAAAGTACTGGGATTACAGGCGTGAGCTACTGTGCCCGGCTGAGATCTCTGATTTAATTGAAGTAACAGCATCCAGTGTAACTATCCCAGCTCTGCTGTAACCTTAGGTTCTGGGGTTCATTAGTACGTTTCTGCATATTCCTGAGACATTAATTTCTAACAGATTAATTCCCTTTATTTATCTTGTCTGGTCTTGGGCAGCTTATAAGGAACTGTTCTCCTGGCAAGAAGCTCAGGGTTCTTCATGAAAGAATGTCTGTCCAGAGTCTGCACATTTAGCTTCAAAACTACCTTCCCCATAGCTCTCCACTTCTACATTATTCTCTTGACACTCTTGTTTAGGGATGCATCCACTCGCTCATTTCTTCTGATCATGTATCATCCTGTATCACAGGGTCCCTTCCTGGCACACTCCCAGTCCTCTCTGCCCCAGCACTCTCACATGGGTGACCATTCCTGAAATAAGTGATCATAAGAGACATCCCATCTTAGATTTGACTGAGCCAGCCTACCTCCCACCAGATGTCTGTCCCAGCCTCACAGTTCCTGTCCGGTGAATTCCCAAGAATCCCTGTGCCTGCAGGGCTGCCTTTCTTTCCCTTCAGCTTTCCCTCCCTTCCAGGATTGTGGTCCTGCCCCTAAACTCCATCTGGAATTCTATCACTGGATTTGCACTCTATTTTCACTTCTTGATTTCCTCAATGTTGCATGCTTAGCTCCAGACACACTTTTTTTTTAGTTGCTATAGGAGGACTCCTTTCTTGATGCAGGGTTATTCTTGTTCCGTGTGTTATCTTTTGGTTTGGAACACTCCCTGTCTCCTCATCTTTCACTTGGTAACTCCTTCTTAAATTTTGGCTCCAATGTCTCTTCCTCCTTTAGCCCCTCTCAATATTTGGCCAAATGTTCCTCCTGTGACATCTGAACCATTCTGTAGTTCTGCAATCACAGAGCTCACCACATGATAGCGTCATTACCTTTTTACCTCTACATAGTCCCTACTAGGTTTTAAGCTTCCTAATGACAGGGTGTTCATCTTCCCCTTAGATCCTTAGTGGCCAGTGTACAGTTGTTGTTCAGTAAACATGTACTAAATAAGTGAACAATGAATAATGTTTTTCCAGATGCTGGCTAAGTGCCCATCTGAATCAAAATACTTCTTGTTCTGGCTTGAAAGGATGCTACGTTTTGATGCCCAATCATACCCTTATAACACTTTGCTTGGCTCTCTACATTCCAGCAGTGGCATTTGTTGCTATACCTTTCAGATAATGCATCTGATCAGTGGGACTTCCCCAAAGGAGAAGCAATTGTTTTCCCTGCCATAGGGTGTGTCTTATTCCACACCTGCTCCTTTACAATCTACTCTTTCCTATTCTGGTTTACATCCTGTAGACAGGATGTAGACTACTTCAAAGATGGTTCCCAGTAGTTTTCACTTCCTGGTATTTTTGCCTGCGTGTACATTCAATTGCATCCTGTAATCAACTGGAAGTTGCAGAAATGATGAAATATGGCTTCCAAGGTTAGGTCATAAAAGATGTTGTGGCTTATACCTCACTCTCTCTTGGATTCCTATCTTTGGGGGAAGCCAGCTGCCATGTCATGAGGATTCCCAAGCCACCCTTGGAAGGAACTGTGGCTTCTTGCCAAGAGCCAGTTTCAATTTGTGAACATGTGAGTGAGACATTCTGGAAGCAGATCTTTTAGCTTTGTTCAAACTTATGACTGCAGCCCTGGCAGGCATCTTGACTGCAACAACCAACCAGCCAAGTGACTCCTGAATTCCTGATCAATAGAAACATGCAATAATAAATGTTTATTGTTGTTATAAGTTGCTAGGTTTGGAAATTTGTTACACAACAATATATAACTAATTAAATGTCTTAATCCTCATTTCATCAGTGGCATCGAGACCACTCAGCCAACCATGAAAGCAGTCTTAACAGGCTGACGAATGTTCACTAAGACATATGAAAACCTGACCAAGAAGTTTACACACACACAGACAAACACACACACCCCAAAAGGTGTCCTCTTCACTCCCCATAGTTCCTACCTGAATCAATTGTTGGCCCATTTAAACATAATACATATGACAAGGTAAAATTTGGCTCCAAAAGAAACAAAATAAAACATAATACCTATGTGTGTCTTCAAATGCAATACTAACTCTACACCTCCAGAAAATCCACTAGCCAACCTGGAAAAAAAGAGTTGTAAGAGGGCCTAATATTGGTACAATAATAAAGGGGATTTCATATCAGGATAGATATTAGAATTTTTTAACCTAGAAGATAAAGGTTGAAAGGAAATAGAATTTAAGTCTTTAATATTCTGCAGGATTTGGACAAGTTAAAGAGGAATTGTTCCTCTGCTGTCAGTGTGAATGCTTACCACTCTAACAATATGGTCTTTGTGGATGTCTTACCCATATTTGGATTACTTAAAAAATGATCCACACCATGAAATAAACATAGTTTTTAAAAATCATATAGAAATGGCAAGTTGGAAATAGAAACATGCATGCAAAGCTTATAAAAATTATAAGCTTCAAGGAAGATGACATAAGAAGGTCATCCTATCTTCTCATTGATTAGTCCTTAGTCTTAATGTCTCAGTCTGATACCTGCTGAGAACATTCTCATAGTCTTGCAATATCCTCATCCAAATCAGCCTTCTTACCAGTGCTCTTACTTCTGCTATTCCCCCTTCCCAATTCATTCTCCACAAGGCAGCTGGCATATTTACTTAAAACGATGAACCAAGTGAGCTCTCCTTTGCTTAAATCTTCCATCCCTTTTCATTGCTCTTCCTCTGAAACAGACACCTTCCTATGATTTGTCAGACCCTGCAGTCCTGGATCTAACTTCATCACCCTGCCTCCTTCCTTTTCTAACCATCTTCCAAACGCTTCTTATCTCTGGCTTTGGCAGTGAGAGTGCCTCCTGTGACTTACTTATTCTCCTCCTTCAGGTTGCAGTTTAACTCCCACCTTCCAGAAAGGTCTTCCCAGAGAATCCCATTGAAAGTATTCTACACAAGTTGTGTGATTTGATTACATGGTTGATTTCCTTTGCACCATTTATCATTATCTAAAATTACATATTTTTTCTTACTTGTTTATTATTGATTTACAACACCAGTCTGTAGTTCCTAGAGGCTTGCAAGAATGGGGGTAGGGAGGATAGAGAAAAGTGGGCTAATGGATACACAGTTACAGCCAGATTGGAAGAATAAGTTCTAGTATTCTAATAGTACTGTAGGATGACTGTAGTTAACCATAACTCATTGTATATTTTCAAATAGCTAGAAGAGAGGATTTTGAATGTTACCAACATAAAGAAACGATAAATGTTTGAGGGAATGGGTATGCTAATTACTCTGGTTCCATCACTATACATTGTATACATGTATACATGTATCAAAATATCACTCTGTACCCCATAAATATATACAGTTATTATGTGTCAATTATAATAACAAAATCTGTAAACTTCAGATGTCTTGTTCATCATTTTACTCCCCAAACCTAGCACAGTCCTTGACATTTATAATAATAATTATTGCTACTTTTATGATATTAGATATATTATCATTATTAGAGCAATGAATAAGACAAAATAGACAACTAAACTGCTAGATATTTCCTGGCAGATTTCCATAACCAACACCAATTACAACCTCTTCCCTTACTCTTTTCCTTCCTCCTCTATCCCTCACCCAACCTCTTCTCTCTCTCTCTCTCTCTCAATTTCTCTATGTCTTAGAATATCTAAAGCTTTAGTTTTACACTTTGCTGTTCATAGAGGGTCAAGGCAATTCTATTGTGCTCTTAGCTCCTAGTGGAAAGACTGTATGACTTTATTAATAACTGCTGCTTCCCCAAGGGCCTGGGTTTCTTTTTCAGAACAATGAACATACATTTTCTATTTGGTGAAGCCTTTTGACATACTTAGTCCAATGGTGTTTTTCTGTTGTGGAGTATTATTAGTCTGTGACAGAAAGTGCTGAGGGAGTGAAGGAAAGTGCCATGGTTGGCAGCACTATTAATAGCAATTTGGGGAATTGAGACCTACAGGAGTAAAACTTTAGTTCAACCTGAGAACTTGACATCTGTGCTGGCCAGGAACGACAAGCTTTCTGGTAGCATTGCCTGCAAACATTTACTGAATATTTTTTTTCACTTGACCAAAGGGCAGGTTAATATGACCTGAATTAAAATAGAATAAAACAAACAATAACCTTTTATTTGTTAAATTACTTGTGTGTTAGGTTTTTGATAAATTTTCATTTTATTACTGCTTTCATGAAATTTATTACATGCTTTTTTATTAAGAAAAAGAAAGAGTTCTTTTGATTTTCATTTTTATTCATATTTTCCCATATACGCATGTTGCTGGGATAATAATGTTTTGCATAATGATGAAATATTGGAATAAAAATCAAGGTCTGAGAGAATGGCTATTGTGGCAGCTTTAAAATTGGGAACCAAGAGATAAGTATTAAGATAAGATTTTAAAAAATAAAATAAAAGTTTATCTTCCATAGGGCTAGAAAAAAAGTATACCCTAGATTTATTTAGCAGACTTTATTTACAACAGGGCTTCCTAATCAATTATCAATAATCAAAACTGAGTACATGTACACAATTACATATCTACAATGCTGAAGTCTACTGGTCTGAAAATGAAAAGTTGTCGTTTGCTTTTGTGACAAACTGATTTGGCAACAAAATCTAACCTGAACTGATTCGAGGCTGTTAATAATCTTTATCCAATTGAAGGTGAATAGCCATCATTTTACAGAAGAAATAATTTGGGGTTGTTGCTCCAACACCTATTGGAAATATTATTTAAAAAGAGCTTGTGCAATTTATTACCTTTGAAAGAATATGAAAAGCATGAATTCAGTAACATGTGACATGCAATCCCAAGGTTTACAAATAGGGGATTGAGGACCTATATTGTAAAATCATAAATAAATATTTGATTTGGAAAGTACCTAAGATGTAATATATTCCAACCTTCTCATTTTATGAATGAGGACTCAGTCCAGAAAAGTGCAGTGACCTGCCAAAGGTCTTACTACTTGGTTAGTAGCAGAGATAGAAATAGACTCCAGTCCCCAGGTGCTCAAGTCCCAGGCTCCTTCTACTCAGAGCCCTTTAATGAGCTCTTCCTCAGTGGCTGGGATTTCTAAACAAGTGAAATATACATGAGTGTGTCCTTCATCAAGGCTCACTGTTTCAGTGTGGAAGTACATGCAAAATTGGGGGCATATCTACTTTAAAAGAAGCATGTCCCTCTCTTCTCTTCCCAAATCTGTTCCTATAACATTATTTCACTAATCAGCACAGACTTCCCTGACTTGTTAGGCACTGTTACAAATGATAAAAAGGCCAAGTCCTTCATCTTACCCTTCAGTTCAGCTTCATTGTTTAACAAGTTTCTATTTAAAACACTTTATTAGTTCTCCAGAAATTTACAGCCATCTCCTATGTGCCCGGTATGGTAGAAGGACTAAATCAGTGATTTTCAACCAAGAGGGAAATTTGCCCTTCAGGGAATATTTGACAATGACTAGAGACATATTTGGTTGTCACAACTTGGCATGTTTTACTACTATTTAGTGGGTAGAGGCCAGGGGTGCTACTAAACACTTTATAATGCAAAAAAGTAACAAAATGTTACCCTGACACAAAAGGTAAATAGTGTCAAGATCAAGAAACTCCAAGACAAAAATATATACTATTATCCTTTTCTTCAGAGACTATATACTCTAATTGGAAAATAGCAACCTAACATTCATGAAGTTAAGAAGAATAATTAAGTACTAAATTCAGTGGTCTCAAGATTTAGAGTCAGAAGACCAAAGTTCAATCCTCACCCTAATACCTCCTTTGTGACCTTTGGAAAATTATTTAAACATTTGAGGCCTCAGTATTCTTATCTCTAAAGTGGGACTACTGATAACCAACTAAATTATTTCATGGGGATGCTGTGGGTATCAAATGAGATGGTGTTTGTGAAAATACTTTGACAACTGCTTTATGTAAACATAAAGCAGTAGTACCACTATTCTTTGTAACACTGCCTTTTACCAAACATAGAAGACATATTTCACATTTATCAACCTAGCACTGAACTTGCAGAAGTGTCTACCCTGATTTCAGTGAAGAACACTGTCAGAGGTGTGTGAACCAGACTAACTCCATCTTAAATAGGAGCTGGGTAAAATGAGGCTGAAACCTACTGGGCTGCATTCCCAGATAGTTAAGGCATTTTAAGTCACAGGATGAGATAGGAGGTCAACACAAAATACAGGTCATAAAGACCTTGCTGATGAAACAGGTTGCAATAAAGGAGCCAGCCAAAAGCCACCAAAGACAAAATGGCCACGAGAGCGACCTCTGGTTGTCCTCACTGCTATGCTCCCACCAGCACCATGACAGCTTACAAATGCCATGGTAACATCAGGAAGCTACCCTATATGGCCTAAAAAGGGAAGGCATGAATAATCCACCCCTTGTTTAGCATATCATCAAGAAGTAACCATAAAAATGGGCAACAAGCAGCCCTCAGGGCTGCTCTGTCTATGGAGTAGGCATTCTTTTATCCCTTTACTTTCTTAGTAAATTTACTTTCAGTTTGCCCTATGGACTCACCCTGAATTCTTTCTTGTACGAGATCCAAGAACCCTCTCTTGGGGTCTGGATTAGGACCCCTTTCCTGTAACATATTTCTGGCGACTACAAAGGGACCATATAGTGCAGAAATCCTGACCCAATGGCTACCTTTGGGTAAGTGTTGGGGTCCTGTGACATCTTTCTGACAACCACAGAAGTGACTATACTGTTGCGGGAAGTCAGGGACCCCAAATGGAGGGACTGGCTGAAGCCATGGCAGAAGGACATAAATTGTGAAGATTTCATGGACACTTATTAGTTCCCCAAATTAATACTTTTATAATTTCTTACACCTGTCTTTACTGCAATCTCTGAACATAAATTGTGAAGATTTCAATGGACATTTATCACTTCCCCAATCGATACTCTTATAATTTCCTATGCCTGTCTTTACTTTAATCTCTTAATCCTGTCATCTTCCTAAGCTGAGGATATATGTCGCCTCAGGACCCTGTGATGATTGCGTTATCTGTACAAATTGTTTGTAAAACATGTGTTTGAACAATATGAAATCTGGCCATCCTAAAAAAACAGGATAACAGCAATTTTCAGGGAACAAGGGAGATAACCATAAGGTCTGACTGGCCTGCAGGGCCAGGCAGAACAGTCATATTTCTCTTCTTGCAAAAGTGAATAGGAGAAATATCGCTGAATTCTTTTTCTCTGCAGGGAACAGCCCTGGGAAAAGAATGCATTCCCAGAGGAAAGCCTTTAAAATGGCCACTCTGGGAGTGTCTGTCTCATGCAGTTGAAGATAAGGGATGAAATACACCCTGGTCTCGTGCAGTGCTTGCTAGGATTAGGAAATTCCAGCCTGGCAAATTGTAGCCAGACCAGTTGTCTGCTCTCGAACCCTGTTTCCTGTTAAGATGTTTATCAATGACAATGCGTGCACAGTGGGACATGAAACCTCATCAGCAATTCTAATTTTGCCCTGGCCTTGTGATCTTGCTCTGCCCCCATTTGCCTTGTGACAATTTATTGCCTTTTGAAGCATGTGATCTCTGTGACCCACACCCTATTCGTACACTCCCTCCCCTTTGAAAATTGCTAATAAAAACTTGCTGGTTTTCAGGCTCAGGGGCATCACGGAAACTGCCAACATGGGATGTCACCCCTGGAGAGCCAGCTGTAAAATTTCTCTCTTTTGTACTCTTTCCCTTTATTTCTCAGACCAGCCGACACTTAGGGAAAATAGAAAAGAACCTACTTTGAAATATTGGGGGCTGTTTCCCCCGATACTATACTGCAGAAACCCCCTACCCAAAGGCTAACTTTGGGTAAGTGGTGGGGTCCAGTAACATCTTTCTCACAAACCACGAAAGGGACAAACTGAGGCCACCCTTGACCCAAAGGAACTAGACTGGAGAACTGATTGGATGACTTTGGGTAAGTGGTGGGGTACCCAGATAAAGAATGGGATTGGGTTAGAGGCCCAACTTAGGGGAGTTAGAGTCTCTCCTACGACAGAGTGGGTTAGAGGCCCCTCTTAATAAAATGCAAGGAAGCTTGACCAACCTCGGGTTAGAGGCCCAACTTAGGAGGGTTAGAGTCCCTTAGATTTAGGGGGTTAGAGGCCCCTCTCAGTAAAGTCCCTCTCGGCTAAGAATAAATTTGGCACTGTGGGATGTTAACTTCTATTCTCTTTGGATTAATCTGCCTTGAACTCTTTGCTGATGGCCGTGGGTGGCAGGGTTAGGCATGTACAGCATCGTGGGACAGGGGAGCTTTTTTCTCTACCAAAAGGAGAAACTTGAGAGCTAATGAAACTGCTGGAAAAAAAATCCCTTCACAACAGCAGCCTCCTGAAATTTTCAGTGTCGCTGCAGTGGGTGGATCTTTCTCTGGCCGCCCTGAGAATTTTGCCTTCGCCACCTGCCACAGGTAATGTTTGTCTTTCTCTCCTTTCCCTTTCTCATCTTTTCTATTACTTAGGGTGACCATCTTTCCCAGAGACCACATGTTGAAACTCCTAGTCAGAGGTTGGATTAAAGATGATGGGGCCCATCTGAGGGCAAATTTAAGCCTTGCCAGTTTGATATTGGGTGCTAAGCAGAGTGGCTAATGTCTATGTTTTATCACATGTATTTTGCTCTGGCCAGAATGAAAAAAAAATAATTTTTCTTTATGATGTGACTTGGCCCCCAGGGCAATGCTGCTGCAAGCTGGATCACTAGGGCTGCTTAGGAAAAGGGAACCTAGAAGCCTGACATGCAGGGAAAAGGGTAAGAATTTCTTACCCATCAGATTTCTGGCTTCTCTTTCTCTGTGCAAACAGTTGAATAAATGGTTCAAAAAAAATCAGTATTTATCTTCCCTGTGAAGTTTAGATTAATGCAAAAAACAGTTATTTTATTTTTTGAGACAGAGCTTCACTCTTGTTGCCCAGGCTGGAGTGCAACCCCCACCTCCCAGGTTCAAGCGATTCTCCTGCCTCAGCCTCCCAAGTAGCCACCATGCCCAGTTAATTTTGTATTTTTAGTAGAGATGGGGTTTCTCTATGTTGGTCAGGCTGGTCTCGAAGTCCCGACTTCAGGTGATCCACCCACCTCGGCCTCCCAAAGTGCTGGGATTATAGGCATAAGCCACTGCGCCCAGCTGAGAATTCTAAGTCTAATCTTAAGCTGGTGTATTTTGTGCTTGAATTCGTTTATCTTTGGGATAAAACATGGGCTTAGAACACCTGTAAGCCCGCTTTTGAAGATGACCCGGCAAGCTGGTCTGTAACAAACTTGGCTTCAGGTCCCTGAAACAAAGAAAAAAACTGGATGAAGTCTCCACCTTGTTTTATGTCCTTGGGAGCTTGATCTTTTAACCCTGTGGTGGTGCTTTCTTTTGGTCTCCGCCTTCAGGGAATAGGAATTTTACGGTTCATGTCATAGTTAGCTCTAAAAATCATATTAAATAGTTAAAAACATTTTGAAGCTCAAAATTAACTACTCTAGACTTCTTCTGGGAGACAAAGTAGCGACTGTGCTGTAGCTCAGTAGTCAGGGTCTTGCACTTTCACAGTGGCTGTCTGGTGTTCGATTCCCCACCTACAAAATAAGTCATGTCTAGTTTAGTATCTGAGTGACCTTGTCTATTCTCTTCTCGTCCGTGGACTGTCTTAAATTTTCCTTTCTCTAAGCACCTAGGAGGTTACCTTTGGTAAAGTTCAGAAGCTAGAAATATTGGCCGCTTGGCAAGGCTAAAGTCGGGTAATAAGAGATCTGAAAGGATTTTGTTTGTTTGTTTGAGACGGAGTCTCGCTCTGTCATCCAGGCTGGAGTGCAAGCTCCCCTTCCTGAGTTCACGCCATGCTCCCGCCTCAGCCTCCCGAGTAGCTGGGACTACAGGCGTCCGCCACCACGCCTGGCTAATTTTTTGTATTTTTAGTAGAGATGGGGTTTCACCATGTTCGCCAGAATGGTCTCCATCTCCTGACCTCGTGATCTGCCCGTCTCGGCCTCCCAAAGTGCTGGGATTATAGGCATGAGCCACCACGCCCAGCTAAGATCTGAAAGGATTTTTTTAAAAAGTGCTACAGTTAAAAGTCAGCTTAATTAAAAATGGATGAACAAGCTATAGATATATTTAAAAGGTCTTTATGTTATTCTCTTCTTGGAACTTGTTTTTCTGGGAAAAGGTTTTTTCTTCTCAGTCGACTGAATTATTCTCTATTTCTTTTGTCTTGCCACTCTTAATGCACACACGAGAGGCCCTAAAATAACTTCTGGTAGCCTGGGACTCCTTGGGAAAAATAGAGGAGGCACCCCGTTTTGGGAAAAAAACTTCTGTTTTCCTCATGAAACCCTAGAAATTAAAAGCAGATAGATCCCTCTCAAAATCAAAGGTTTCCGTACTGTTTTGCATTGTGTTATCTGATGGTTTTGAGTTTTGGGGGTATCAGAAATTACTTCGCATTATGAGAGAGTTTTGGTGTGTAATAACTAGGTAGGAAATATACTTTAAGGGATGGCTAATAGTAGTTATGGAGGGATAATTGACCAAATCTTTGCACACTTGGATCAAAGAAGCATGCTTTTGTCCACCTGGAAGATAAGGAAACACCTCCACCCTGACTGGGAGATGGGAATCCCATGAAGGTTGGGCTAATTACAAAATAGGCTAATTGGATTTGGGTTGCCTTGCAATGAAATGCAGAGTAGAAGCACTGCTCTGTCTTCTCCCATAGTATTTCCCTCCTTTGGGGGATCCAGGAACCAGTAAAAAATGGCACTCTTAATTCTGGGGATCTGTCTTTGCCTTCAGCTGTTTATTTGCTGCTTATTTGGCCCTAAAATGGCATGCTTTTCTGGCCCTGTTCTTCTATGGGGTCCACCCTAAAGCCAGTCATCCAATTAAGAAACTGGCAAATGAAAAATCTTACTAGTGCTGAATCTTCTGTCTGCCTATGTATTTATACGTGTTGTATGTTTATATATAAAAGAGCTCTAATTAATTGGCTTAGAAAACTAAGTGCTTAAATCAAATAATTTGTCAGAAAAATGGGAATTTTAATGCCTTTTTCTTCACATGACTTTAGTAATCTTTAGGAAAAGACAGTTTTAAAGATTATTGGTAATATAAAATGCCTTGAAAATGGAGATATTTGGTCTAAATTGAGGTCAGATATCAGATTTGCTAACTGCTTCAAGGTCACACGATTTCTTTGACTTTTGAAAACTATTCAATTTACCTACCTTACAGCCATTAGATTCTAGATAAGGCCTGGGGACATGTGGAATTAGCCATGCCCCCTAACTATACAAGGAAGATTATAAAGAAAGAGATTTTATATAAGAAACGATCTTGTATGGTAAATTCTTGTCCTAAAGTAAAATGACTGGTTGTTTAATAGGAGGAATGTTTAGGGCAAGTCCGAAAGTTCAAGGATATCTCAGATGGTCTGTGTAAGTCATGAAAGGATCTGTGCAAGGAAATTTATGTGAGAAATGTACATTTCAAAGGTTGTTAGGCCACCTCAATGCTTCATAAAATGCCACTATGACTCTTACTGTAAAACTTGCCTGCTTAAGTAAGGTAAGGCCTGGGATATGTGGAGTTAGCCACAGCCCCTAGCTATGCTGGAGGGCCAGCTGTTAAATGCACTTCTGTCTGGTGTGTCCTAGGCTAGGCTCCACATCTAGTACATAATTAAAATCTCAAATTTACCAAGGTTTTCACCAAAAATAGAAGTTGCTAAGACTTAACATTATAACATGTAATTAAAACTACTAAAGAAACAATTTTTCATGAAAGGTGTGAAAAGAAAGTAAAAGTATTTTTGGTGAAAGATTATAAGAAGTCGTAGGAATGTGGATTTTTTCAGCCTAGAATAAAGTGTTAAAGGATTGTTTTAAGTAAAAAAAATCTAAAGGTTTAAACAAGTTACGGAAGATTTATAAAAATTAATTGTAAGACATTCTGTGTGTGAACATATTGGCTAAAATTAAAAGGGTATTATTCAATTTTTCTGTAAATTAAACATTGGAATAGAAGCACAACAGATTTTTCTTAGAGCATTAATCTGCTGTTTCACAAAAATGTAAAGGGTTATAAAAGGTTTATAAGAATATTACCTTGTGGTTAAACATTAAAATTGATTAAATATGTCTATAAGGTTTTATTAAAAATTGGGATTAACATTAATAGCACATTAATGTAAAGGTGTAATTTGGCTTATTTGGTATAAAATCATACAGGAAGCATTATCAAATGTGAAATAGTGTTTTGCTTTCTTTGGACTATATTTGCATAAAAGTGTTATTGGTATATGTTTCAAAGTTATGGGAAACTCCTATAATTCTAATATGAATTAGTATATGTTATTAATAATTATAATTATTATGTAAAATTTTGTGTGTCACAGAAGTAACTAAATTTCCTTATCAATTGTGGTTAAACTTTTTATCATCCACAGACAATTGTTGTCTTGTTTTAATCCTCTTTAGAAGGTGGTTTATATAATCAACTATAGAACTCTTGCAGGTGTTCTTAAACACAGGTTTGCTGGCTGGGTGCAATGGCTCATGCCTGTAATCCCAGCACTTTGGGAGGCTGAGGTGGGTGGATCACCTGAGGTGGGGAGTTCAAGACCAGCCTAACCAACATGGAGAAAACCCATCTCTACCAAAAATACAAAAATTAGCTGGGCGTGGTAGCACATGCCTATAATCCCAGCTACTTGGGAGGCTGAGGCAGTAGAATCACTTGAACCTGGGAGGCAGAAGTTGTGGTGAGCCAAGATTGCGCCATTGCATTCCAGCCTGGGCAACAAGAGCAAAACTCCATCTCAAAAAAAAAAAAAAAAAGAAAGAAAGAAATGCAGGCTTTCTGATAACTTTGGAGATTGTGACATCAGAATAAAAGAAAAAACTTTCAGAACTCTCATAGAGAACTGAAATGTTCATAACCATCAAACAGAAGTTAACTACATGGCCTAAACTGAAGAAGTTTAGTCTTTTTAACTTTGCTTAAAACGTTGCTGATCCTCTGTTTTGTTTTTCAGAGTCAAGGAAACTTTTATTTTGAGCTATTTACAGCTTTTAACCATTGATTGTACTCCTATGAACAAAATTTGGAGCATATTTATTTCTCTCTACCTGATTTCTCCAGAATTTGGAAACTAGTTGTGAGTATTCTTAACTTATGGCACTATAGTTATTTGCATAGGTGCAATAAGAGGCTGTTTTCCTTTGTAACAGGACACAATTGGAGAAATTGATTATTTTGCCAAGGCCTTGACTGGAATAGTGTGTTTCCCTTTAGGGAATTTAACTTGACTTACAGAGCCACTAAAAACCCCTTGGGGAACTGGCCTCATACCTTGCCTACAGCAATCCTTGTAGAGGGTTTCTAATATATGGTAAGTAAAGAATGTAACTTTCTCACAGGTCTGGGAGCCCCAAGTTATCTCCTCAAAAGGAGAGGAATTTACCCAACTCATAGGTATTTGGCAGGGCTCAGCTTTTAAAAAGTCTTATCTGAGATTCCTTATGAAACAGAGTTCCATCAAAGATAATTAAAAAGCCTATGTGAAAAATAATTATTCTTGCTGCATTTTATACAAATAATCAGGCCAAGTATAATAAAGCAAATCAGTCGTACTATAATTTGTCTTTAGTAAAACTGGGAAACTGGAGTGAGAAATACTATGTTTCAAAAGCTATGGTACACTTGTTATTAAATTCTAGTCTTATTATTGTTTTTAAGTTTGTTTCTGCATTTAGACTGACCCTGCTTATTCCTGTAAACCAACCAGTGATCTCTGGCTGCTGCTCAGAAGAAACAAGAGGGATGGGTAATGTAAAAATCTGGATCAATATTCTAATTCTGGGCACATTACAATCAGCTAACAACTCTGTATCAGCTTAGTTCCAGCAGTTGCCCAGTTCATGAAGAGCCTTCTAATTTAATTTACCTGGAATAATGTTACTTATTTTTATTTGCTTTTGTGGAATATATTGCTGTTACACTCTTTGTGTAGGAATACGGGACAAGCTTACTGAATGTTTTCTTAAATTATACACTTATTAATCTTGCAGATGTCACCTTTTGTTGAAACTCAAGAGTTATGAATGGACCTTACCATATTGATGCTTTCTGACTGAGCTCCTCTCTACCCTGAATTCAAGAGACCCCTGATAGTTAGGCAGGAATATCATTGCCCAATTCAGCCTGAAGAAGTTATAGAAGATGGACCTTCATCCCTCCGCAACCCTTAGGATTAAGAGTTCTCTTATAAAAGGGAGGGGGGAATGTCAGAGGCATGTGAACCAGAACAACTCCATCTTAAATAGGAGCTGGGTAAAATGAGGCTGAAACCTACTGGGCTGCATTCCCAGACAGTTAAGGCATTCCAAGTCATAGTATGAGATAGGAGTTCAGCACAAAATACAGGTCATAAAGACCTTGCTGATAAAATGGGTTGCAATAAAGGAGCTGGCCAAAATCCACCAAGACCAAAGTGGTGATGAGAGTGACCTCTGGTTGTCCTCACTGCTACACTCCCTCCAGCACCAAAACAGTTTACAAATGCCATGGTAATGTCAGGAAGTTACCCTATATGGTCTAAAAAGGGAAGGCATGAATAATCCACACCTTATTTAGCATATCATCAAGAAGTAACCATAAAAATGGGCAACAAGCAGCCCTTAGGGCTGCTCTGTCTGTGGAGTAGCCATTCTTTTATCCCTTTACTTTGTTAATAAACTTGCTTGCTTTCACTTTGCACTGTGAACTCGCCCTGAATTCTTTTTGTGTGAGAGCTAAGAACCCTCTCTTGGGGTCTGGATTAGGACTCCTTTTCTGTAACAACACCACCATCCATTTGTAATCCAAGTCGGGAACCCAATACCATCATTGATCCTCTTCTTTCTCTCCCCAGTTTGTCACTGAGTCTTGAGGAGTCAACGTTTTTTTTCTTTTTAAAAGACGTTAAATGCAGAAATAGAAATCTAAATTAACCTTCCACGCAGGCACTTACTGATGAGTCTAATGTTGAATCATGGGCTAATACACAACATCCTATGCTGTATTGTCTTCCTCTCCTTCTACCTTGCCCTCCTTCCCCTTGAAATTTCTTCCTTTATCGTTTGGGAGGAAATATCCTCCTGGAGGCTCGGTAGGAGGTCCATTGTTTCCTGATACCTCACCACCTTTGTTTTTGGATATAGACTCAAAGCCAGGTAGATAGTTGTTTTCAAAGTGAAAATCAGGATGTGAGCAAAGGCATGTGTTTTTGAGTATAGACTCAAAGCCAGATAGATAGTTGTTTTCAGAATGAGAATCAGGATGTGAGGAGCAAAGGTGAGTGAGATCCTCAACTGAGGCCTATCGAATGAGAACAGGTGGTTTTACTTTGCCGGAGTTCCCTCTGGTTCCTTAAGTTCCCAAGCATGAGTCTTTGAGGATGTCTGGTACATCTTTCTGGAATGCATGAGCTAATTGGCTAGTCTGGGGATGTCTGTCATATATGTAAGAGGGTACCACAATTTATGACTCTGTGGACTATTTGGCTTTATGCACATTTAGCATATAAACTCCTATGTATAGTAAAAGACTTACTATGGCTTCATTATTCACTCCTTAAAAGATGTTTTGCTTGTGAAGTTACTCCCAACAGTGTAATAAAGACCATTCCAATGCAATTAAAATATATTTTGATTTACAAACAAATGTTTCAAAGGCAGATATCTTCTGCTGTGTCAGGTGATATATATGGGGTGGAAGAAAAGGACAAATGGGCAGTCCCTGCATTGCTGGAAGAATCATATGTATACACACATTGAAAAAGGAGAAAAAAGCTTTCTTTTAAAAACTTATTGATGCAAATCAGTTTATAGAACCAAATCCAATTTTAAATCCATAGTGTCTTCATTGTTTATAGTTTACAAATCTCTTTCTATGGTTTAATATGAACATAAATAAATGCAGTAAAGTTATTTATTTATATTTTCTTTCCCTTGATGTTTTGATCTCATGATAATATAAAATCTCAGCATGCAGAAGTTCTTTAGTGAAATGTCCTTCGAAAATTCCCAGTGTCACTTAATGACATATAAATGGTTACAATACAAGCATTGGCTTTTTCCCATAAGACACACATTTTTCCTGTTACATAGGACCACCCATGTTCTGATTTGATCCCAGCCATAAAGCAAAAGGGAACAATCTTGCAGTAGTTGGCTCAGCCATCATGCCCATCCTTGCACAAAGCCAGACTGGAAACTTCATTCCAACATGAATACTAGGTTACCTTTCTTTTCCCAGGCTATACATCTCTTTGACTAGCTTTCTTCATGTATGAACACCAAGCCTCCTGGTGGTGAGGATGATTGAGGAGCAGGGAAATAAAAGCACACTAGATAAATCTCATTTTACAAATTATGAGGAAATCTGGGCTCTAAACTCTAACACAACATAAATTAGCTTATCCTGTTGGATTTTTATATAATTTTCTAGGGCCCTATATCTCATATTTACTAGTTTTAGTGATGTTAATGCTTATGGTTGTGCATGGACAGAGCTGTCTGATGGGTTTATAGGGAGGCTAACTCTGAAACACATACCAGACTGAGACTGCCCCTGTAACAATTCCAATAGACTTTCCAGGAAAAACCTCTTTCTAACCCAGAAAAAGCCCATCCTCTATTTTTTCTTTCATTGAGCTCCATCTAATGGCAATTGCATGCTTTTCAACAAGGAGAGAAATTCATGGCTTCCAGGTAAACAGTAAACTCTCTCAAGGGTGTCAAGGGAGCTGAGTTTGGGCTTTCTCAGTAACAGTAGTTAAGCCTTGGGGTTTATCATTTTCTGCATCAGGATTTTACTGATTGGACTGATTTCAGTTCAGGGCACACAGAAAGTCAATGCAAGAGAAAGAATATGCTTTTACTTAATCATATCATAAAGCAACGTACCCCTGGTGCACAGCTCCAAGACACATTTGTCAGAGCCATCCAGCTGTTTTAAATGCCAAGTCAGATAAGGAAATAGCTGGCTTGAGACAGAAGACTTCAGGCAGCCTCTAGAACAGCCCTTTACTGCATTGTTTTATAACACTGAGGCAATGTAGAAACGTGCAGAAAAATGCACACAGCAGTGGGTGTGCATTTCAAGATGAAAACAGTGAGAGCAAAGATCCATGACTCATTGGTCACTATACTGCTCATAGGAGTGGAGAGACCTGCAGTAACTGTTCCAAGGCTGTCATTCAGTAGCTGCTGAATGCACGCTCTGCTGAGTCACTGGCCTTGGCAAATCGTGTTGGCTGGGGCATGGTAGGCAGGTGATAGAGAAAAAAAAGCTGCTCTTTAAACTTAGCTGCTCTTTAAACTAAGTTAGTTCATTTTATAAGACACACTTTTAATTTTAGTACATCTCTTCTACTTCTTATGTTTGAGCCATTCAAACAATATTATAAATATTTTTACTTATAAATGTCTTGAATAATTACAAATAATCAGTCTCCAGGGAGAAGGAGACTGGCTTTTTCTTCTCTCCCACCAAATATGTAGATACATGCATACACACATATGCACACATACACACACAGATGTATACACACACACACTTACAACTGCCTGCCTAGGGAGAATTTGTGTTTTTTCCTCATAAATGCTGGTTTGGAGAAATTAAAGAATCCAATACTAGATATGGAATAGTACAGAAAAAATGAGCAAGACCCATCGAAGGCACCCCTGTCCCACATCTGTGACTAAAGGCCTCGGTTGTATACAGCGCTGTCCTTGCATTCAGCGTGAACTCAGGCTACCATTCGAGGTGGGCTCCTCTGGGAAGCATTGCCAGCTCCCACCTCAGGCCTTTACACCAACTTGCCTAATTGGAAAGATTTTCTATCCTCTGAGTGAGCCAATAAGTATTTCCGCTGAAAGGCTGTGAAAGGTGGGAATGATACATCCGGAAGCAGCTGTTTGAGTTCCAAAACACCCATCAGGCCAGCTGGAGTTCCCTTTATTGTCTGTTTGTTATTGAGATAAAGTTGCTCCTTATAGAAGAAGCCGGCTTCTCAAGGGCATTGCATTTCAAGTGTCTTACTATATTTACCCATGTCCAGTAGGAGTGACTTTGCTCTTCCAGTCAAAGGTGAATGATGATCACAATGCCTTGAACATAAAACATGACCTAAGGGCTGGGATGACAGTAAAAGAGAGGCCAAAAACGCAGTCATATATCTCCTTTCAATTTCAATTAATTTAGGATCATCCACCCAGCTCCCCAAACCAGATACTTCTTTAATATCTCTGCTACTGTTTTGTTTTTTGGCCATAATTTTTGTTAACAAGGAAATTCTTGTCCTGGGCAGCCTTCTCCTAGAGGGCAGTAGAATAGCAATTTCTGTAAGGAAATAAGGATTTAAAGAGAGAGAAAAAGTCTCTGTGTCCTTCTATACTGAACTTGTTGCCTCCCTTCGAAGTGCCAGATTGTTGCTCAGGAGGACTTTTGTAGCATCACAGGAATTGCTCCTTCACTTATAACCTTATTTCTTTACCCCTCCACAGAATGCAAGCTCCAAAAGGATTCATTAGCATGCAAACTCCCTTATAACCAACACCCACACTGTGTCTCAGACCTAAAGGTAATAATGCAGGCCCATAATCCTCTTCCTTCCCTGAGACAGGGGAAGGTGTATTTCCTCAATTCTTCTCATTCATCCACCCACTGGGAAGATTTCAGGTTGGCCTAGAAATAAAAAGCTCAGGATATGACGCAACAACATTTAAGCCCTGCCATTCTTCTGACTGCCACAATTCAACAGTTCTTAGGATTGCCTGTGCCAACTTATCAGATATTCATTCAGCCTCAAATAACAGAGCTGTCCCAAGAATGGCTTACATTCATGAGGGTTATTTCCCAGAAACTTGCAGTTTATTTTATTGTCTGCAATGGTATCACCCCTCCAACTCTGAGAGAGTCTAGGGAGTTGAGATTTTTAGTCAGGTACATTGTTACTTTGAAAAATATGAATAAGGAAGCTGGGGGAAGAGGAATGAATTTTGGGTAACAAAATAGTAACTCATGACTGCTACAATTCCAGCATTTGTTGTGCTTGGCAAATAGTAAGTTACACATATGTATTAAATGAGGCCCTAAGATGGTAAGACAAAGCATGATCAAAGTCAGAGCACTTATCCTGAAATGATTAGCCCTTTTGGGATGTTACATGTGACTAAGAAAGCATGCCCAAGAAAGTTTCATGGGCATAGACATAAGCATAAAAAGCAAATAACTGATTCAGTTCTACTTCATCCTTGCCTCACTCTATGAAACAGAGAGAGAGGAAACTCAGAATAGGTCTTTAATGTGATTCTAGTCATTCTTATAGTAGTATTATAGCTCTCAAAGTTACAAGGACCTTGACACTAGCTCTTTCCTCAATTATGTGTATGAATTCCAAGGGCAACGGTCCTCACCACATTTCAGATCTGATATCATGTCTATAATTTCATAGAAAGCATCTCAAAAAAGGTACATGACTCATTATTATTGTCTTGGGAGAGACTTCATTATTTAGCACCTTAATCACAGATGAATTTTCATATAACAGAGGTGTCCGATGATGTCTTTGACTTCAATGAAACCTTGACAATTCACTTCAACAAGGTTTATGATGCATCAACTGTATTCCAAAGACTGTGCTTGTTCCTGAGAATACAGAGAGGAATTATACACTGCTTCTCTCCTCAAGCAGTTTATAATTCAGTGGTGAGAGATTGCTGATACGGTGAGTGTTATGACAGTGGACAAGCATGATGCTGTAAGATGATGATGGAACTAAACTCATTTGGAAAATATTCTCTAGGGTTGTTAGAAAGATCTGAGATGGGCCTTGGGGTAGAGTAGGACTTTATCAAGTAGAAGGAGGTGGTTGAAAATTGTATCCTTTTGCATTTAATTTATTAAAATAATTACATTAGCACTAGGTAAGAAAGAAATGCTGAGTATGAAAGAAGTCTGTGTTTGGGAGAGTAAAAGTTTGAATCTGAATTAAAACCATACCTTTAAAGATGGTTACTAAACCTGTTGAAGATATAGTCATTAGGCACATCACTGCCACAATCCTAAGAAATGTGAAAAATATTTTGCAGACTGATGAAACTTTCCAAAGACTAAAGATATAAACTCTCTTTTCCCTTGACCTTTGATGGAGAAAGTTGAGAGTCACAGGCAACCTTCCCATAAATTTGTAATTGTGAGTTGGGAAGTGCCATTCGGTCCCTTGGAGAGCAAAACCTTTCCCAAACTAAGGATTCTCAGATTACAGTCTGCTTAAATGATTTCAAAATACTTAAAAGGATATTTAAAAATTAAGTCAAGGATCTAGCAATTTTCTTCATAATGCAAAATGCCCAGATGTTTATAGAATTTACATTTGCAAAGTTGGAAAGTAGGTAAAAAGCAATGTGACCAAAATCTTCAGACTGAAGCTTTGCCCCTGCTAGGAGAGAACAGCTGCTTCTGTGACAGTCTAAGAAAGAATTCATGCCCCCTCCAACCTCCACTCTAATCTCCTTTCCCTGACTAACATCAGGGGAGCAGAGATAATCTAGCTCAGAAGTCACATGGAGGTAGATGTTACAGGAGACCAAATATCCAAACTGTAGTCAATCAAAGCACATGATATGGTTGTAGATGACTGACCCAATTGGAGCTTAAAATGATAGTACAGAAGAGATGCCTTGGCACTCTGTGTAGAATAGTTAGATATTTTATCCCCTCCCAGATACTCTGTGTTGCTGTTTGTTTTTTAAACCCCAGTCAGCTTGGATGTTTCAAGTTGTGTTTTTTTCATTTTTCAAAGCTCTGATGTGTGTTCCACATAGAGGTATCCAAATTTAGCACATCTTTGGCTTGAGAGAATGTGCTTACTCTTTTATAGCGTATTTACTGTCGTGTTACTTTAATTTAGTTGTGGGTTGCAACCGAGCATGGCACAACTGCCTGTTTCATTGTGTGTGTGTGTGTGTGTGTGTGTGTGTTTTCTCTTGCACTGCTTTTTGCCTCTTCACGGAAAATTTATACACAAGCTAGGCTGATGATTAGTTCCCTAGTGAGAGTAGCTCACACTCTCCTCTGGGAATGTAGGAAATGGAGCAACCTCAGTGTCTCTCAAAACCAGTTAAGCATTTATACATAACCTGTGCCCAAATCTTATCAGACAATTAAGACGAAAGGACATTTCAATATAATGAAATGAAATTGCAACTTTGACTTTTGAACTGGAATCACTGAAATGTCCTACTCTCCCTTAACTTGGTCAAAAACTAATCTATTATAGGTATGACAGATTAAGGACAACAGCCTCCCTTGGTCCTTTCCAGCCATTCCCTTGGAGAAGGTCCTTTCCTGTGTGACCATTAATGAGCTGGAGCTCCTTAGCACCTAAATATTCCTAACTGTACCCAGGGGCCAGAGCACATGCAAGGAAGCTGAGGGTGACAGATGGGGAAGCAGAAAGAAATCCTTCTTGGCAACAATCATTTCTTCTAAGAGGCATTTTTCTTGTTTGGCTGGCTCAAAGAGCATTCTATTTTTTTTTTCATGGAGGGTATAGACAGCTTTCTGCAACACCTATTTTCTTGTTTATTGAAATTAGGAATCAGGTGTATATGAAAAATAGAAATATTACAAATAGGTAATTTTAAGATTTGTAGACCTCAAAAATAATGTAATATCAGTCATTTAAAAAACCCATTAATTCTGGGATATTCAAATATTGCTTGATACAGAGGAGATCTCTTAAATAGAAACTTTTTTTTTTTTTTTTTTTTTTTGAGATGCAGTCTCCCTCTGTTATCCAGGCTGGAGTGCAGTGGCGTAATCTAACTGCAACCACCACCTCCCGGGTTCAAGCAATTCTCCTGCCTCAGCCTCCCAAGTAGTTGGGACTTTAGGCACACACCACCATGCCCAGCTAATTTTTGTATTTTTAGTACAAAAGGGGTTTCACCATGTTGGCCAGGCTGGTCTTGAACACCTGACCTCAGGTGATCTGTCTGCCTCAGCCTCCCAAAGTGCTGGGATTACAGGCATGAGCCACCATGCCTGGCCTTAAATAGAAACACTTTGCATGATGTTTCCTTGTTTATATATGAAAATCAGATATAGATCAAACAATAATCAGCTGATTAGCAGATCGTACTATGTTGCTACTCTAGCCCAAGTTAATTGTTTATTTAAATTAGGATGTTATTATCTTTACGAGGTTTAGTTTGCTAGGGGCTCCATAACAAAGTACCACAGACTAAGTAATTTAAATAAGAAAAATTTATTTTCTCATAATTCTGGAGGCTAGAAGTCTGAGATCAAGGTGCCTGCAGGGTTGATCTCTTCTGAAACCTCTCTTCCTGACTACATTGTAGATGGCCATCTTCTCCCTGTGGCTTCACCTTTTCTTCCTTCTGTGTCCTAATCTTTTCTTACAAGGATATCAGACATATTGGATTAGGGCCCACCCTAATGACCTCATTTTAACTTAATTACCTCTTAAAGACCCTATCTTTAAATATAGTAAATTCTGAGGTTAGGACTTATATGAGTTTGCAGGTTGGTATGGTTTGGCTATGTCCCCACTCAAATCTCATTTTGAATTGTAGCTCCCACAATTCCCATGTGTCATGTGAGGGACCTGGTGGGAGGTAATTGGATCATGGGGGCAGATCTTTCCTGTGCTATTCTTGTGTTAGTGAGTAAGTCTCATGAGATCTGATGGTTTTATAAAGGGGAGTTTCCCTGCACAATTTCTCTTCTCTTGTCTGCCACCATTGAGATGTTTCTTTCACCTTCTGCCATGATGGTGAGGCCTCCCCAGCCACATGGAACTGTGAGTCCATTAAACTTCTTTCTTTTGTAAATTACCTAGTCTTGGGTATGTCTTTATCAACAGTACGAAAATGGACTAATACAGAGGTATATAACTTAGTTTCAAACAGGAGGTATTAGCAAGCAAAATAAATTTGCAAATACATAAATTTTTCTAAGCCTACTACATTTCAGGCAATGCGATACTTGTTTTATATACATTATTTCATATACTTCTTACACTGACTTGAAAAGCTAGATTATTAGAATCTCCATTTTACAAATGAGAAAAGTTGAGCTAAAAAAGTTCATTAATGTTTTCAAATCTATAGAGAATGAATTCTCAAAACCATATCTGTACATTGTCTCCAGAAAATGGAAAAATTACTATTATGCTCTTGTAGGAGTGAAGGGAACTTTCCTTCTACTCTGATGTTTTGATAATTTGCATCTCTGGAATAAACTAACAGTAGACAGATTAACAAGAGGAAAAGCATACAAATTTATTACATGCAAATGCCCAAGAGCCTCACAAAATATAAGACTCAAAGAAGGGTCAGATGGTTGAAGTTTAAATAGCAATTTATTTTTAAGAGACAGGGTCTTGCTCTGTCACCCAGGCTGAAGTGTAGTGGTGTGATAATAGCTGTCACTGCTGCCTCAAACCCCTGGGCTCAAGTGATCCTCCTGCCTCAGTCTCCTGAGTAGCTGGGACTATAGGTGCATGCCATCATGCCAGGCTATAAATGGCATTCTGAGCTACAGAAAGAAATAGAGGCTTAGGACTTCTTCATGTGAGGGATCAACACAAGCTGTGAAAGGGTGAGGGAAGGAAATGTATGGTGAGCAAAGGTGTTTTGTTATGCAGGTAGTCTCTCAGGTGACAGTATAGGTGGTATAGTGACCTTTAGTCTTCTTTCCTATGAGTTAATCTTCCCTGTTCGATGGACTTTTAAGGCAGGAGCTCATGACAATTACATTCTTTTGCAAGAAACTTCCCTTAGTCAAATAAACAAACTTCAGGGAAAGCCCCTCCCTGCACTTGGAGGAGAAAGAGGGATGAGAGATAGGAGGGCAGAAGAGGATCAGAGACCTTGGTTCTTCTTTAGTTCAAAGTACTCAGCATGCCAAAGCACCATACTTTGGGGTATTATTTTCTGAGCCCCAACACTCCTTTGCAATTTACCCAAGTTTACATAGCTGGTTGGCAGCCAATACAGGCCTCCTGATTCCTTGTGCAGCACTGATATGCAAATAATATTAAATAAATCTATAAACAAATGTAGTTTTTAGTGAAGCAGGAAAATTTCCCCGACCCTTTTGTGGACCGGAACTAGAGTGTGAGCATGGGAACTAGCTGGCTGCTTCAGCGCTGGCAGGGGCAAACTCCACTCACTCAAACCCGCTGTGCTCAACTCCTTGCAGAAGGGAGCATGCAGGTGAGCAAGTGCAGGAGCCTGGGTGAGTGCTTTTGGCTGTTGGCAGGAATGAACTCTGTATAGGTCCTGTGGCAGCGTCTAGTGGGGGTGCCTGCAAACCCTGAAGCCCCAGAAGAGTGTTACAGTCAACGTCCTTTTAGTTTTGCCACCTGTGGACAGCTTAAGTGTTAACACCTCAGTGGAGGGTCAATGTGACAGTCTTTTGCACCCGCACCCGAGTTCTCATCCAGTATCCAGGAGGAATGAGGTCACATGAACAAATTTGAAGGATGGTAAATGTGGAGGATCTTATTGCCAATGAGAGTGGCACTCAGCGGGAAGGGGAGATGAAAAAGGGATGGAGCAGGAAGGTAATTTTCTCTTGGAGTCTGGCTGTCTCCAGCTGGACTCCTCTCTGAAGTTATGCCATCAAGCTGTCCCTCTGAAGTCAAGCTGCTTCTCTCTAACTGTAGCCTCCGACATCCATTGTTTCTCCTCTCTTCTGCTGGTGGAACCTGTGGTTTTTATGGACATAGCATGTGGGGCAGGGCAGGCCATGGGAGGTTTTGGAAAAGGTAACATTTGAGCAGGAAAACAGGAATGTATGTTCTCACTTTGGGCTGTGGTTCCAGGCTCCCAGGTGGCACCCTTGCCAGGGACCTGCCCCCTTCTGCCCAAAATTTCCCTGCCTCTTGTCCCTATCATTACTACTCTGCTTATTAAAAACAAGGACTTTACTTTTTCCTTCTGTTAGTTAGACTTTTTAATTTTTCTAGGAACAGAGAATATTGAACAGGATGAGTTCTTAAAAACCATCAATGCTTTGCTTGTTAACCCAGTTAATTAGGGCTCTGGAAAGGATATATACTGGCAGGATAACTAACCATCCCAGTTTGCCTGGAACTGAAGACTTTCCTGCAGTATGAGAGTTTCTAAAGCTGAGATAGTCTTAGTTTAGAAACAGAAATGGTTTTAGAAGCAGAAAAGGAAAGAAACCATCTTAGTGATCAGAGAGCCAGGCCTATGAAGGACTAGGTGATCAATTTGAATACAAACAATAGAGACTCCCAAGAGACTGATATGCAAATGGACAATGTCCAGACCATATATAAAAATAGAACTTTGATCCACAACTTGTAGAAACCTGCCCAGGAAACCAGCTCCTTATCTGCAATGAGCAACACAAGAAGCCATCCTGCTGTAAGTCAGACCTGCAGGAAGCCAGATTGCTATCTGTAGTGATGATCCAGGAAGCTAAACAGTAGCTGCTATAGCAATAGGCCCCAAATAGCCAGGACTTGATTAATAATTGACAGCATCCCTAATTTTGATCTCTGCTTCCAACCTAGGACCAGAGAAATCAGAATATATACCCCTAACTAATCACACAGGACAACCTGATTCTGGTTAGCCCACTTATAGCTTCCCCAGGCCAAAGCCTCCGATCAGTGCATGCCTGAAGCCTTCCCTTTTTTCCATTGTAAAGCTTTCCCACTTCTTTGCCTGCCTTTAAATCTCTGCCAAAACTCAAGGGATGATGCAGACTCTTCTGCTATAGCAAGCTCAGAATAAATAACCTTTGCTTTTCTCATTTGGTTGGTCTTTGTTTATTTCCACACTCCCGTAACTGCCCGATGGGTTCTTCCTGCTCACTACACAAATAAAATCAACTCACCAAGACCATGGCATTGCAGTAAAGAAAGAGTTTAATTGACATAAGGCCAGCAATGCCATGTGGGAGACTGAGTTATTACTCAAATGAATCCCTGAAGGCTCAGAGGTTAGAAATTTTTCAAAGATAGTTTTGTGGACAGGAGGCTAGGGTAGGAAGCATGCTGATTGGTTGGGTTGGAGTTGAAATCATAGAGAACCAAAGCTGTCCTCTTGTGCTGAGTCAGTTCTAGGGTGGGGGCCACAGGACTGGTTGGCACGTCTAGGTGGTGACATCTGGTTGTCAGAAACGCAAAAACCTGAAAAGACACCTCAAGAGGCCAATCTTTGTTCTACAACAGTTATGTTATCTTCAAGACTAATAGGGGAAATTGCAAATATTATGACCTCCAGAATAATGACTGAAAATTATTTAGAATTCAAGCCCCTCTCATCCTCCTAACTTGGTGCCATTTCATTAAGCTTTACAAGAACAGTTTAGTTTTTAGAAAGGTCTATTATTACATAAGCTATAAATTAAGTTTCTCCCAAAGTTAGCTTGGGCTATGCCCAGGAATGAGCGAAGGGAACCAGCCTGTGAGGCTAGAAGCAAAATGGAGTCAGCCACGTCAGATTTCTCTGACTGTCATACTTTGGCCAAGGTGGTTTCAATACATCAACAGGGCACATTGTTGACTCTCTGGTGTTCCAGGATTGCGGCGACTCAGCATTTTATCCTTACTGCTCTTATCTCTCCAGCTGCCATAGAAAATACCCTGTCATCCTTGTGTTCCCAAGGCTTCTGTTTGCTACCTTATTCCTGCCTCCTTCAGGTTCTCTTCTCCTCCACTAGCTGCATTTCTCCTAGAGCTAAACTCTCGAAGAGATAGAAAATCTGACTGCAATATGTATTGAGCACCTAGTGAGCATCCTTATTATGCATTGTTATGGCTCCAGCCAACTGGTGAACTGCAGGCCAGACTACAGATTGCTGCTTTTGGCTCAAAAGCCTGTTTTGAGGCAATTAGCTGTGCTCATCGTAACACCATCATATGGTTCAAAGCATGGCCGTTTATGCATAAAGTATCATTTCATTCAAAAGGTGTATGTGTACACTCCATGTATTCTCTACTTTTTTTCTTGTTTCCAAGAGCTCCTTTTCCCGGTATATCTGGAAATAAGAAGCTTTGAGTAAGTGCTCAATCTGATTTGGCAGACTTTTATCCCTGCCTTGTTACTACTGGGTTTTCTTGAATAGAATCTTACAAATCAGATTCCAAATGAACAATATGGCATTCTCTCACCTTACTGAATAGTCCTTTGCATACGAATAATTGTTATTAATTCATAATTCTATAAACTACTTTATTTTCAAAGGAATTTGAAACAAATAATGGCTACTTCCGATTCCATTTTTCATAAAGTTCTTCAAGATATTTAATCTTGAATTACTTGTATTCTCTTATTTGTCATGTATTTCTCATATTTTCTGAGCACCTAATAACTTTCGGGCACTATATGATTATCTATCTGTCATATAGTCTTATTTCCAAAGCAAAATTGTTATGCTTAAATCTTCAAATTACTTCACTGTAGTTAAATCGGTAGGGGAGTAGTCAGAGAAACAAGCATAATTTCAATAACAGAAGGTCACTAGGCTTAAGGGTTGCAGTTTTAGGATCTAATCTCCATTGCCCATGGAGATGAGAACTCCTATTTTGTGGCACACAACTAATCGAGATTACAGGAAGATGAGTTCCAGAGGCAAAGGGAAGTTGCTAGATTCTGTCTTAATCCCACAGCCACCCAATTCTCTTAATTTTTAACTTTGTAGTCACTAGACAAATAACTGTTCTTTTTTACAAATAGCTTTTCTAATGGGAAATACAACCTGTTGACCAGTTAAAATTAGAGTTTACTCTTCCTGGCAGTGGTGTTTCTCTCAGTGTGCTGATAACAAGTATTTCATTGTACAAATTTTTATTTCCTGAGTGTGATTTGCTTGTCTCAAGATCTTATCAAACTTGAAGGAAAGAAACTTAATCAGCCTAGAGGTCCTCTCTGACCAGAAAAGAGATGATACACCATGGAGTGGACATTCCTTTCATGTCTTTCTTTGGTGCTGAGTATAGATGCTAGGGCGTATAAACAAGTATGAATGACAGTAGTTGTCAACTCATTTCTGAAAGCAATTGGTATTGTGAGTTTATCCAAGGAAGACCCAGATAGCGCAGATCTTGGAATAAAGACAGGGCTGTGGCATTCTGCTATGAGAGCCAGATGGGTCAACACTCAGAAGCACAGGGCAGGTAATGGATGTGTGTGTGTGTGTGTGTGTGTGCACGTGTGTGTGTGTGTTCCAGCTATAGAGAGGTGTGTGGGCATGGGAAGTAGGAAAGGGGATTGGGAATGACTGGAATTGGGGGAAAAAGAGTTTTATTTTCAAAAGCCCAAATCCAGGTGTTGGGTTCAGAAAACAAGCCCAGGAAAAATGATTTCTTCAAAAACTAAGAACTGAGAAACAGACCCTAGCAAGCTTGGGACAATTAAGAAGGGCTTGCTGTTTCCATTCTGTATCACTTAGTATTCTGCACAAGGTATGGCCCTGTTTTGAGATTTCTATCATAAGTTAAATCCATTCTTATACCTTTTCTAAATCTTTCTGTAGGTTTGAGAAGCAGAGTAATGTTGAGGGCCACTGCTGTGTGCACAAAGCTGCAGCTTATGTAAATGCTCTATTCATCATTACTCAGCGATGGCAAAGGTAATCACTAATAACCTCTGCAGGTTTAAAACTTCTCACCAGCTGTCAAATGACCATAAAAAGTATAGTTGACATATCTGCACAGAAAAATTCCAGGCTGGATGAGGTTTACAATCCTTAGCTGCCCTGATTCTGTCCCACCTTTTTGCTTTGCTTTACCTTTTTGCTTTGCTCATCTTTTTGCTTTGCCCTACCACCGTCTTTCCAGCTTCCTTAGCTAGAATGGCCCCTGTCATCTGCACACCACATCCTTACTCATACACTGCACCTCTCATCCCAACCATGCTGCCACCATGTAGGAAAATTACTCTTACTTCACCTGAGCAGGTTAGTCTTTGACTCTAGCATAGAATTGGATGGCACAGAAAGCACAGCTTTTTTCCCCTTACCTGACTAAACCTCACCTCACGTGACTAAACCTAACCACATGTATCTTAGCTAGAAAGCATTACTCCACCTTAGTTCCTTCTTGTTCACACCCTGTCTACGTTTACTAGATTAAACAGATGTGGATTCATGCTGTTAAAATTATGGTAACAGTTTCATCCAGAATTGATTCTCAGAGTCCCAGGGTGCTCAGTCACTGTGTCTTCATTTCCACCCTACTCACTGTCCCTCAGGAAGAAAGCCATTTCTCAATGTGTTCTCAAGCTTTCTGTCTTGAGCCATCACCATCTCACTGACTTCATTCATGGTGGGCTCTATGGCATTGGGGCCCAAAATATTCAGCCTTATGCCCTCATTCATTTCACTCCAGCTTGTATAATTTACTTGATACTACATGTTTACTAGCTAGTGAGATACTAAGATTCATTTCACCCTCAAAATAAGCTCAGCTTCCTCATCTACTATTCCAAATTGGCATCAGGGCCAAATCTTATCATTATTTATCTGTCTCTGATGACAGATTCCATCCATTCTCATTTCAAATCTCTATCAGTTACTTCTGACTAGGAGAAACAGAATGTCTGTCTTTTCATTTTGGAATTGTCCATATGGGTTCCCTAAGTTCCTATTTCCTCTCTAAAAGATGCCTTTAAATCTTAGCTCATTTTCAGAACAAGGAGACTCTCAGTGAGTAACCAAACTTATGTCAGCAGCTCTACTCATTGCCCCAGGTTGTTCTAGGTGACTCACCCCTGAGGAAACTCTGAAATGTCATTTTCTAGTATCCTGTACCTGCACTACTTAGCAACAGCAAAACTATTTTATGCTGACTATAAGCACAACAGACACAGTTTCCATCAAGGGAAAAGAAGAGCTAGTAACTGACAAATTCAAAGTATCAATTACTCCCTAAGCTTAATATCAGAAAAAGCCCATAGTATCTATTTTGAAAGTGGTTTTCCTGGTCCACAAGACACACTAGTATGTCTCAATAGGATGTTTTTAAAATAATGTACTACATGTAAACTGCAGCTCAAAGAATGTAAACAATTGAAATCATCATACCATGATTCAGGAAAAGTAAGAAGTTATTTTAGAATAGACCTGATCTTTTTTTTTTTTCTTTGATGGAGCCTCACTCTGTCACCCAGACTGGATGGAGTGCAGTGGCACAATCTTGGCTCACTGCAACCTCCACCTCCCGGGTTCAAGCAATTCTCCTGCCTCAGCCTCCTGGGTAGCTGGGATTACAGGTGTGCACCACCACGTCCAGCTAATTTTTGTATTTTTAGTAGAGATGGAATTTCACCATGTTGGCCAGGCTGGTTATAATCTCCTGACCTCAAGTGATCTGTCCACCTCGGCCTCCCAAAGTGCTGGGATTACAGGTGTGAGCCACTGCTCCCAGCCTAGACCTAATCTTTACATTAGATTTTTGGCACACAATGCTGGTATCATTCAAACATTAAACTTCACTAAGTGTATAGGAATTTAATTCACTCACAAGCATTCTGTAAACTTTTAAGGTTTATGTATTTTTATGAAACATTTATTTCTATAGGTTCTTATGTTTTTGCAATTATTTTAATTAAAGTACATTCTGGATTTGCTATGTTATCTTATTAAGAAAAGATTAGAGAATCTACATTCTGATGAGTCAGCATAGCCAGTTGGCTAGTCAGAAGTGACTCTGTGTTCATCAGTATCAGCTGTGACAAGTATTTATGTCAAAGGGCAGCCATGAGCATTTGTGCAGGCATAATATTAATCAGGGGAAATATTAATCAGAGAAAATGTATAACATGCAAATGATGAGTGTAAGCCTTCTACTGAAAAATTACATGAGTAGTTCTCCAATTTCTGCTTCAATATATTATAGCTTCTTGGTAACACAAGCAGGATAATCCTTTAGTTCTATCAGAAATACAATTGCCTACCATGGTTTAACATTTGAATTTTCTTCTCAGGAAACGTTACGGCGTGAAGCAAACTGTATCGGAAGATGCAGCTCTACATCATGTCTTAGCCTCAGCAGAACAGTAGTCAACATGAGCTACTGAAGCTCAGACATGATATAATAGGGTTTAAGTTCTCTCTTCTTCTGTTCTTCTTCAAACTAAAGTAGATTACTTTCACTTTACTATTTTAAAAATTATATTTTATAATAAAGAAATATACCTCCATAAATGGTAATGGAACAAATGTTATCCACATTACAAAATTATTATTATTGGATCCCTACTACCTACCACAAACAAAAATCAGTCCTAAGTAGACTAAAGATTTAAGTGAGGAAGAGAAAATATAAACCTATAGAAGAAAATATAGTAGGATATCTTTAAAAATTGGAATAGGGTAGAATTTTTTAGACAAAAGTAATCCAAACCATGAAGGAAAAGATGAATGAATTCGACTACATTAAATATAAGGACACTTTCTTTTCCCCTCCCTCCTTTCTGTCCTTCCATAATAATGCTACCCAAAAACTATAGGGACCAGGGGCCTGAGCAAGGAAGGCACATCTTACAAAGGCAGCAGCATCTCACAGAGGTGTTGGGTGCTTTTATGAGATAGGAACATCCAGTTCTGTAGCAGCCCGGCAAGGTCAGTAGATTGCTTTCATATGAGGACTGACCAAATGTGAAAGCAGATTGAGAATAATGGGAGCAAGATTTCACAAAGTTGGAGAAAAAAGTTACAATTACAGAAAACAGGGAAAGCTAATATAAACCCCAAAGTTTTCAATATATGGAGGTCATAAAAATAAATATATTCATACATACGTAAGTGTGCATGTGTGTGTTGCTCTCTGCATGGCATATTGCTCATTTGGAAAATATTGCTTCACTGAGATATGCAGATCTTCCAAATTTGACACTTTTTATTGTATAATATCAAATAAACACATTCTTAATAAAGCCATTAATCAGAAAAGTCTTTATGTATTGGCAAACTGTTTCTTTACTGTGCAGATACAAGTTTTCTAAATTCTGAATTTGCCTAAAAGCTTAAAATGGAATTTTGTCATTGGCCATAAAGACTGCCTGGATTCTCTAGAGAATACACCTTCCAGTCCTTGCTAGATTGGAGCAGAGGTAGTCACTTAGCTATGAGGTGTGGGAGGCTACCTGGGAATCTACATGCTCTTTATACATACTTTTATCATTTCTCACTACATTTCTCACCATCTACTTCCACAGTAACTGGTGCATCCAATGCTTGGGACTCTCCTTGGTGCTGCTGTATGAAACAGCTTGCTATTTTTGAACATCTTCCTTTGCATCTTAGATGCTTACATTTCAGCTTTCTTTACTCTGCCTAGCCAACATCTCATCTTCCAAAAGTTTATTGACATACCTCATTTCCCGTAGTCTATTCTCTTTTTAAATTGTGGTTTTAGAATATTTTTATCTTTTATTGTTGTTTTAATAGGGTTTAGGGGAGGAAATAAATATTTGTGCTTAATCTGCCATGTTCAAGGCTCCTGCATTAAGAATGTAATTTTAAAATTTGTCTTTCTCACCTCTTCAAACAAAACCGTTCAAGCTTAGAGGATTCATGTCTTAGATTGCATTCATAATGTAAAGAATATCACCCATCTTTCTTCGATAGTGAAATTGTGAGACTTCTTAGTGGTACAGGTTGCGCATCACAAATCCCAAATCTGAAATGCTCCAAAATCTGAAACTTCTTGAGTGCTAACATGATGCTCCAAGGAAATACTCACTGAAGCATTTTGAATTTTAGATTTTCTGATTTGGGGTGCACAACTAGGATGTATAAAGCAAATATTACAATCTAAAAAAAATCAAAATCTGAAACATTTCTGGTTCTAAGCATTTTGGGTAAGAGATACTCAACCTGTAGAAGGCAATAGAGATGAGGAATGCTAACAGTCATTTTTATGTGTGCTAATTTTCCCTGTGGATTAAAGCTACTTTCTGGGTGTAAATTGTGGTTCAAATATTTTGCCCACTTTTAAATTGGGTTGCTTTTTTTAGTATTTCTATTCTGGGTACAACTTCTCTGTTAGCTATGGGTATGTAAATATTTTTCCCATATATGGTTTGCCTTTTCATTTTGTTAATAGTGTCTTGATGAATAAAAGTTTTAAATTTTAATGAAATCAAATTTATCTATTTTTCATATATAATTAGTACTTTTCGTGTCACCTCTAAGAAATCTTTGTCTCCCAAGGTTCCACAGATGTTCTCTTATGTTTTTCCTAGAAGCTTTATAATTTTTGCTTTTACATTTAGGCGTGTGATCCATCTTGAATTGATTTTTATGTATAATGTGTGGTTGAAGTTGAGGCTTATTTTTTTTCCATATATTTATTCCAGTTTTTCCAGCTCCATTTGTTTAAACAATTTTTCTTCACCTATTGAATTGTCTTGAAACCTTTATAGAAAATCAACTGACTCTGTATATAAGGGTTTATTTCCCAACTCTTAAATCTTTCCTATTTTTTGTCTATACTAATGATAATTCTAAATTTTTTAATTACTGTAGCTTTATCATAGGTCTTGAAATAAAATGTGAGTGCTCCAACTTTTTGTAGAATTATATTGTTGATTTCTATAAAAATGCTTCAGTGTTTTGATTGGGACTGGGTTTAACCTATAGATCAATTTGGGAAGAATAGACCTCTTAACAGTATTGTGTTTGTTGATCCATGAATATTCTATATCTCTCCTGAAATTCATTTAGATTTTTAAAATTTATTTCAGGAATGTTTATAATTTTAAGTATAGAGATCTTTTATATCTTTCATTAAATTTATTCTGAAATATTTTGTATGTTTGTTGCTATAATTTAAAAATATTTTCCAATTGTTTTCGGCAAGTACATAAAAAGAAAGTTAATTTTTTGGTATATTGATCTTATTTCTTATGACCTTTACAAATTCACTCACCAGTTCTAGTACTGTAGTTTTTAAAAATAGATTTCTGGCCAGGCACGGTGGCTCACATCTGTAATCCCAGCATTTTGGGAGGCCAAGGTGGGCAGATCATTTGTGGTCAGGAGTTCGAGGCCAGCCTGGCCAACATAGTGAACTCCATCTCTAGTAAGAATACAAAAATTAGCCGAGTGTGGTGGCATGCACCTGTAATCCCAGCTACTTGGGAGGCTGAGGCAGGAGAATTGCTCGAACCCGGGAGGTGGAGGTTGCAGTGAGCCAAGATCGCGCCACTGTACTCCAGCCTGGGCAACAGAGCAAGACCCTGTTTCAAAAATAAATAAGTAAGTAAACAAATAAAAATAAAAATAGATTTCTTCATGATTTCTAGATGAAAAATCATGTCATCTGGAAGATAAATATGGTTTTCATTTTTTCTTTCCAATTTATATATTATTTTATTTCCTTTCCTTGTCTTACTGGGGGGTTTCTCAACCTCAGTGCTATTGACATTTTGAGTCTGTCCTGTGCGTCCTAGAATGTTTAACAGCATCCCTGACCTCTACCCTGTAGGTAAGAGTAACATCGCCTTTTCCCCAGAGTTGTGAAAACCAAAAATGTCTCCTGGCATTGCAAAATAATCTCTTGCAGGGCAAAATCATCCTCCTGAGTACCACTGCCTTTTTGCATAGACTGGGACCCCCAATGACATGTTGAAGAGAAGTGGTATAAATGGACATTCTTGTGTTGCTTTCAATCTTAGAAGGAAAATATTCAGACTTTTGCTATTAAGTAAAATGTTGGCTGTGGGTTCTTGTTATATATGCCTTTTTATCAAATTGAGAAAGATTAATTCTAATCCTGGTTTACTGAGCTTTGTTTTTTGGTCATGAATGGATATTGGATATTGTGCAATGCTTTTACTGCGCGTATGGAGATGATCAAATGATTTTTCTCCTGTATTTTGTTAATATTGTGAGTTGCATTCTTGATTTTTGAATGTTAAACTAAACTTACACTTTACTTAGAGTGTATTATGCTTTTTACATATTGCTGAATTTCAGTTGAAAATATATTTAGGATTTTTGCACCAATATTCTTGAGAAGTATTGTTCTGTAATTTTCTCTATTTGCAGTATTTTTGTCAAGTTTTGGAACCGGGGTATGGTATCCTCAAAAAGTGAGTTGGGAAGCTGGCAAATTTGTAATGTAATTCTCTATTTTCTGAAAAAGCTTGTGTAATATTGGTATTATTGTTTGTTTACAGATTTAAGAGAACTCATCAGTGAGCCCATTTGAGTCATGATTTTTGTGTGTTTGGGAAGATTTCTAATTAGCAATTCAATTTCTTTATTAAATGAAGAGTTATTAAGATTTTTGATTTCTACTTGTGTTGATTTTGATAGTAATTGGTTTTGGCAGGGGTAATTTGTCCTTTTCATCGAATTTGTCCAATTATTAAATGGGTTCTTGATTGGATCCGTCTCATACTAATTTTGGTATATAATATTTATCATATGAACATATATTCATATTTATATACACAATTAAAATTAATTAGACCAAATAGGAAATCATCCTGGCTTTTCAGTCTTTGTAATGATGGTTAGTAAATAATCTGAACAAGGAAACTAAGTAAGTGTTCATTATTCTGGTTAATATATTTGTGTGTGGAAATAAGATATATTTTATACAAACTCCAAAGTGTGATTGATTGAAGGGAGTATAAAACCAGTTTCATATGAATTATTATTTTTTGTTTTTGTTTTTCATTTGTTTTTTATTATAGCCATCTCTTTTTAAATATACTTTAAGTTCTAGAATACATGTGCAGAATGTGCAGGTTTGTTACATAGGTATACATGTGCCATGGTGGTTTGCTGCACCCATCAACCTGTCATCTACATTAGATATTTCTCCTAATGCTATCTTGCCCCTTGCCCCCTGCCCCCCAACATGCCCCAGTGTGTAATGTTCCCTTCACTGTGCCCATACGTCCTCATTGTTCAATGCCCACTTATGAATGAGAACATGTGGCATTTGGTTTTCTGTTCCTGTGTTAGTTTGCCGAGAATGATGGTTTCCAGCTTCATCCATGTCCCTACAAAGGACATGAACTCATCCTTTTTTATGGCTGCATAGTATTCCATGGGGTATATGTGTCACCTTTTCTTTACCAAGTCTATCATTGATGGGCATTTGGGTTGATTGCAAGTCTTTGCTATTGTAAATAGTGCTGCAGTAAACATACATGTGCCTGTGTCTTTACAGAAGAATGATTTATAATCCTTTGTGTATATACCCAGTAATGGGATTGCTGGGTCAAGTGGTATTTCTGGTTCTAGATCCTTGAGGAATCACCACACTGTCTTCTACAGTGGCTGAACTAATTTACACTCACACCAACAGTGTAAAAGTGTTCCTATTTCTCCACATCCTCTCCAGCATCTGTTGTTTCCTGACTTTTTAATAATCGCCATTCTAACTGACGTGAGATGGTATCTCATTGTGGTTTTGATTCGCATTTCTCTAATGACCAGTGATGATGGGCTTTTTTCATATGTTTGTTGGCCACATAAATATCTTCTTTTGAGAATGTTCATATCCTTTGCCCACTTTTTGATGGGGCTTTTTGTTTTTTTCTTGTAAATTTGTTTAAGTTCATTGTAGATTCCGGGTATTAGTCCTTTGTCAGATGGATAGATTGCAAAAATTTTCTCCCATTCTGTAGGTTGCCTGTTTACTCTGATGATATTTTCTTTTGCTGTGCAGAAGCTCTTTAGTTTAATTAGATCCCATTTGTCAATTTTGGCTTTGTTGCCGTTGCTTTTGATGTTTTAGTCATGAAGTCTTTGCCCACGCCTATGTCCTAAATGGTATTGCCTAGGTTTTCCTCTAGGGTTTTTATGGTGTTAGGTCTTACATTTAAATCTTTAATTCATCTTAAGTTAATTTTTGTATAAGGTGTAAGGAAGGGGTCCAGTTTCAGTTTTCTGCATATGGCTAGCCAGTTTTCCCAACACCATTTATTAAATAGGGAATCCTTTCCCCATTTCTTGTTTTTGTCAGGTTTGTCAAAGATCAAATAGTTGATGTGTGGTGTTATTTCTGAAGCCTCTGCTCTATGCCATTGGTCTATATATCTGTTTTGGTACCAGTACCATGCTGTTTTGGTTACTGTGGCCTTGTAGTATAGTTTGAAGCTAAGTAGCGTGATGCCTCCAGCTTGGTTCTTTTTGCTTAGGATTGTCTTGGCTATACGGGCTCTTTTTTGGTTCCATATGAAATTTAAAGTAGTTTTTTCTAATTTTGTGAAGAAAGTCAATGGTAGCTTGATGGGGGTAGCACTGAGTCTATGAATTACTTTGGGCAGTATGGCCATTTTCACAATATTGATTCTTCCTATCCATGAGCATGGAATGTTTTTCCATTTATTTGCTCTCTTATTTCCTTGAGCAGTGGTTTGTAGTTCTCCTTGAAGAGGTCCTTCACATTTCTTGTAAGTTGTATTAATAGGTATTTTATTCTCTTTGTAGCGATTGTGAATGGGAGTTCACTCATGATTTGGCTCTCTGTTTTTCTGTTATTGGTGTATAGTGATAGTGATTTTTGCACATTGATTTTGTACCCTGAGAATTTGCTGAAGTTTCTTATCAGCTTAAGGAGTTTTTGGGCTGAGAGAATGGGGTTTTCTAAATATACAATCATGTCATCTGCAAACAGAGATAATTTGACTCCCTCTTTTTCTATTTGAATACCTTTATTTCTTTCTCTTGCCTGATTGCCCTGGTCAGAACTTCCAATACTACGTTGAATAGGAGTGGTAAGAGAGGGCATCCCTGTCTTGTGCCAGTTTTCAAAAGGAATGCTTCCAGCTTTTGCCCATTCAGTATGATATTGGCTGTGGGTTTGTCATAAATAGCTCTTATTATCTTGAGATATGTTCTGTCAATACCTATTTTATTGAGAGTTTTTAGCAGGAAGTGGTGTTGAATTTTATTGAAGGCCTTTTCTGCATCTATTGAGATAATAATGTGGTTTTTGTCATTTGTTTTGTTTATGTGATGGATTACCTTTACTGATTTTCGTATGTTGACTTAGCCTTGCATGCCAGGGATGAAGCTGACTTGATTGTGGTGGATAAGCTTTTTGATGTACTGCTGGATTTGGTTTGCCAATATTTTATTGAGGATTTTCGCATCTATGTTGATCAGGGATATTGGCCTGAAATTTTCTTTTTTTGCTGTCTCTGCCAGGTTTTGGTATCAGGATGATGATAGCCTCATTAAATGAGTTAGGGAGGAGTCCCTCTTTTTATATTATTTGGAATAGTTTCAGAAAGAAAGGTACCATCTCCTCTTTGTACCTCTGGTAGAATTTGGCTGTGAATCAGTATGGTCCTGGGTGTTTTTTGGTTGGTAGGCTATTAATTACTGCCTCAATTTCAGAACTTGTTATTGGTCTTTTCAGGGATTCGACTTCTTCCTGGTTTAGCCTTGGGAGGGTGTATGTGTTCAGGAGTTTATCCATTTCTTCTAGATTTTCTGGTTTATTTGTGTAGGGGTGTTTATAGTATCCTCCGATGGTAGTTAGTATTTCAGTGGGATCAGTGGTGATCTCCCCTTTATCATTTTTTATTGTATTTATTTGATTCTTCTCTCTTTTCTTATTTATTAGTCTGGCTAGCAGTCTATTTTGTTAATGTTTTCAAAAAACTAGCTCCTGGATTCACTGTTTTTCTTGAAGGGTTTTTTGTGTCTCTATTTCCTTAAGTTCTGCTCTGATCTTAGTTGTTTCTTGTCTTCTGCTAGCTGTTGAATTTGTTTGCTCTTGCTTCTCTAGTTTTTTCAATTGTGATGTTAGAATGTCGATTTTAGATCTTTCCCACTTTCTCCTGTGGGCATTAAGTGCTATAAATTTCCCTGTAAACACTGTTTTAGCTGTGTTCCAGAGATTCTGGTACATTGTGTCTTTGTTCTCATTGGGTTCAAATAACTTATTTATTTCTGCCTTAATTTTGTTATTTACCCAGTAGTCATACAGGGAGCAGGCTGTTCAGTTTCCATGTAGTTGTGCCATTTTGAGTGAGTTTCTTAACTCTGAGTTCTAATTTGATTGCACTTTGGTTGGAAAGACTGTTTTTTATGATTTCCGTTCTTTTGCATTTGCTGAGGAGTGTTTTACTTCCAATTATGTGGTTAATTTTAGAATAAGTGCTATGTGGTGCTGAGAATAATGTATATTCTGTTGATTTAGGGTGGAGAGTTCTGTAGATGTCTATTAGGTCTGCTTGGTCCAGAGCTGAGTTCAAGTCCTGAATATTCTTGATAATTTTCTGTCTCATTGATCTGTCTAACAGTGGGAGTGGGGTGTCCCACTATTATTGTGTGGGAGTCTAAGTCTCCTTGTAGGTCTCTAAGATCTTGCTTTATGAATCTGGGTGCTCCTGTATTGGGTGAACATATATTTAGGATAGTTAGCTCTTCTTGTTGAATTGATTCCTTTACCATTATGTAATGCCCTTCTTTGTCTTTTTTGATCTTTGTTGGTTTAAAGTCTGTTTTATCAAAGACTAGGATTGTAACCCTTGCTTTTTTTTTGTTTTCCATTTGCTTGGTAAATCCTTCTCCATCCCTTTATTTTGAGCCTATGTGTATCTTTTCACGTGAGATGCATCTCCTGAATACAGCACACCGATGGGTCTTGACTATTTATCCAATTTTCCAATCTGTGCCTTTAATTGGGGCATTTAGCCTGTTTACATTTAAGGTTAATATTGCTCTGTATGAATTTGATCCTGTCTTTATAATGTTAGCTGGTTATTTTGCCCATTAGTTGATGCAGTTTCTTCATAGTGTTGATAGTCTTTACATTTTGGGTTGTTTTTGCCATGGCTGGTACTGATTTTTCCTTTCCATATTTAGTGCTTCCTACAGGAGCTCTTGTAAGGCAGGCCTGGTGGTGACATAATCCCTTAGCATTTGCTTGCCTTTAAAGGATTTTATTTCTCCTTCACTTATGAAGCTTAGTTTGGCTTAATATGAAATTCTGGGTTGAAAATTCTTGTCTTTAAGTATGTTAAATTCTTCTCTTCTGGCTTGCAGCGTTTCTGCAGAGAGATCTGCTGTTAGTCTGATGGGCTTCCCTTTGTGAGTAACCTGACCTTTCCCTCAGGCTGCCCTTAACATTTTTTTCTTCATTTCTACCTTGGTGAATCTGACAATTATGTGTCTTGGGGTTGCTGTTCTTGAGGAGTATCTTTATTGTGTTCTCTGTATTTCCTGAATTTGAATGTTGGCCTGTCTTGCTAGATTGGGGAAGTTCTCCTGGATAATACTCTGAAGAGTGTTTTCCAACTTGGTTCCATTCTCCCTGTCACTTTCAGGTACACCAATCAAACATAGATTTGGTCTTTTCACATAGTTCCATATTTCTTGGAGGCTTTGTTCATTCCTTTTCATTCTTTTTTCTCTAATCTTGCATCTTCATGCTTTATTTCATTAAGTTAATCTTCAATCTCTGATATTCTTTCTTCCACTTGAATCGATTTGACTGTTGATACTTGTGTACGCTTCACGAAGTTCTCATGCTGTGTTTTTCAGCTCAGTCAGGTCATTTATGTTCTTCTCTAAACTGGTTATACTAGTTAGCAATTCCTCTAACCTATTATCAAGGTTCTTAGCTTCCTTGCATTGGGTTAGAACATGCTCCTTTAGCTCAGAGGAGTTTGTTATTACCCACCTTCTGAAGCCTACTTCTGTCAATTCATCAAACTCATTCTCCATCCAGTCTTGTTCCCTTGCTGGCAAGGAGTTGTGATCCTTTGGAGGAGAAGAGGCATTCTGGTTTTTGGAATTTTCAGCCTTTTTGCTCTGTTTTTTTCTCATCTTCATGGATTTATCTATCTTTGGTCTTTGCTGTTGGTGACCTTTGGATGGAGTTTTTGCGTGGTTGTCATTTTTGTTGATGTCGATGCTATTGCTTTCTGATTGTTAGTTTTCCTTCTAACAGTGAGGCCCCTCTGCTGCAGGTCTGCTGGAGTTTGCTGAGGGTCCACTCCAGACCCTGTTTGCCTGGGTATTACCAGCAGAGGCTGCAGAACAGCAAAGGTTTCTGCCTGTTCCTTCTTCTGGAAGCTTCATCCCAGAGGGGCACCCACCAGATGCCAGCTGGAGCTCTCCTATATGAGGTGTCTGTTGGCCCCTGATGGGAGGTGTCTCCCAGTCAGGAGGCACAGGGATCAGGGATCCACTTAAGGAGGTTGTCTTTCCCTTAGCTGAGCTCGAGCACTTTGCTGGAAGATCCACTGCTCTCTTCAGAGCTGGCAAACAGGAACATTTAAGTCTGCTGAAGCTGTGCCCACAGCCGCCCTTTCCCCCAGGTGCTCTGTCCCAGGGAGATGAGAGTTTTATCTATAAGTCCCTGACTGGGGCTGCTGCCTTTCTTTCAGAGATGCCCTACCCAGAGAGGAGGAATCTAGAGAGGCAGCCTGGCTACGGCAGCTTGGCACGCTGTGGTGGGCTCTGCCCAGTCCGAACTTCCTGGTGCCTTTGTTTACACTGTGAGGGGAAAACTGCCTACTCAAGCCCCAGTAATGGTGGACGCCCCTCCCCGCACCAAGCTCCAGCATCTCAGGTCGACTTCAGGCTGCTGTGTTGGCAGCAAGAATTTCAAGCCAATGGATCTCAGCTTTCTGGGCTCCTTGCAGGTGGAATTCACTGAGGTAGACCACGTAGCTCCCTGGCTTCAACCCTCTTTCCAGAGGAGTGAACAATTGTCTCTTGCTGGCATTCCAGTCACCACTGGGTTATCAAAAAAACAAAGCAAAACAAAACAAAAAAACTTGTGCAGCTAGCTCAATGTGTGTCCAAATGGCTGCCAGTTTTGTGCTTGAATCCCAGGGCCCTGGTGGTGTAGGCACCCAATGGAATCTCTTGGTCTGTGGGTTGCAAAGACCATGAGAACAGTGTAGTATCTGGGCCAGATAGCTCCATCCCTCACAGCACAGTCCCTCACAGCTTCCCTTGGCTAGGGGAGGGAGTTCCTTGACCCCTTGCACTTCCTGGGTGAGACGAAGCTCCACCCTGCTTCTGGTCGTCCTCCGTGGGCTGCACTCACTGTCTAACCAGTCCCAATGAGATGAATCAGGTACCTCAGTTGGAAATGCAGAAATCACCTGCCTTCTGCTTTGGTCTCACTGGGAGCTGCAGAAAAGAGCTGTTTCTATTCAGCCATCTTGCCCAAGGCTATGATAGCTATCTTATTGAGTGCCTCAAAAAATTATTAAGCAAAGTGTTACGTGAATTCAGAGTATGCTAAATAGCTTCCAGTCAGGGGAAACTAGTGAAGTCTTCAGGAGGTGGAAGCTGTGAGGCAGCCAGAAATGGACAGCAGAAAAAAAAAAAGGCATAAGCTTGGGGAAGCAATGAAGAGACATGGAGGCAAATAGACATGAGGAATAGTTAAGAAACAGCAATGTGTCCAGTTTGATGGGATCAAGCCTGCTCAAGAACAGCAATTGTGGTTACATAAGGAATGGTGTCTTGGGAAAAGTTTCTGAAGGTCCAGAAATGCCAAAATTTGAAGTTTAGATTTTTTCCTTTAAGCCAATGCTTTTTAATATTTCCCTCTCTTCTTTCTTTTCCCTTCATTCCCTTTCCTTCTTTTTCTGAATTTTTTCAAATATCAAAGCAGAGCCCTTCCTTCAGATTAAATATTACATGGCTGACTAGAATTGAAAATAGGCAAAATCAAAGATGTTTCATCAAAATGTGTGCTGCATGGAGGAAACCTTAAACTTGTCACATGATCCTCTCCTTGAGATGGCTCCTGAGGGGTCCTCCTAGGGCACTTTAAAATCTAGATTAAAACTGCAACTCTAAGCAATCGGGAGTCAAAGATTTTTCAGATGAGAAGGTGAGCCTTTTCCCAGTAAGCCTTGAGAACATTATTTGCCTCTGTGGGGCTCATTTTCTCCCTTGTAACATGGAGATAATGATACCTTCCAGAGAGCTTGTAACATTGACAAAAAAAGTATGTGGCATAGTGCCTGGTCTATAGGTGTTCAGATAAATGTAATTGCAAAGTTAATGGTTATGACTATGATAATGGAAACAGAAGGCATTGCCAGACACCAAGTTTCAAATTCCCAGTCTTATTACCAGATTTCTATTGGGATTGAATTCCTGGCTTACTCCAACACCAGGGTCAGAAGATCCCAGAAACTCAGTAGCCCTCCTGAAGAGTTACCACCTCTCTATGTGTGTACCTCTGGCTATTCCCGGATATTCAGGAAATGAATCTCTTTGAGGTTTTCCTGAGTCTGAACAAGAACCGAGCTTGACTGATCCTCTATGGTGGCGCTGATTGTCCTAGCATGCTTCCACTCAGAAGTGCTACTCTGGTATGAACCTGGTGCACCAAAGACAAAACAAGGAACTCTCTCCTCTCCACACTCAGCGTGGCATAACCCTAAGTATTTCCTACTCCAGAGGAATCAATGCAGCAGATTTCTCCACTCCAACTCTGGAACTCTGAGTAAAGCAGCTGGTTACACTCTTTTCCCTTTAGATTCCCATGTGTCATTTTATAAATAAAATACATCTGACTTATGTCATAGCTATGACATATTTTCTGTGAATAGTCTTCTTTTATGGGAAGGTAAATTCATTTACTGTTTATTTATTCATTGACGCAACAAACAACTATTGAGTGCTCAGTGTGTGCCAAGCACTGGTTTGAGTAGACACTAAAAATACACTGACAGACCAGCCTGCAAACTAAACATCACAAAAATACTAGTGATATGTTTATATTTGTGTGTGCGTGTGTGTGTACAGATAGATGTACACACACTCAAAGGAAATTTAATATGGAAAGTCAAAGTCAACTTCTAAATGTGTTTGTGTCTTTCCAGGCTGACTTATGTGGCATTGCCAACACCATCTGCTCTAGAGCAGAAAGACTACTTAATAGGCAAAAGCAGCTGCCAGCTTAGGCTCAAAGTACTCTTTTAGTTCCCTCCAGGATGACCTGGTATGACCACCCTTTCTAGGTAAAGAGGATTCCATCGCCATTTGACAATGAATCCTCAACCCGATCAAAGAGAGATCATGTCAACCTGGCTGACTTTAAGTCACAGGAGGGTGGCATTTTTATGACTTAGTACTACCAAGCAAAGGCCAGTGTGTCAATCATTCAGAAGGGTGAATCTAGGTAAGTTTGGTTTGGGATTTGACTATTATCAATGTTTCTATACCACTGATGTGAGGAAAAATAATATTTCTGAAAAACTAACATATATTAATTTTTCCCTGATATTTTGAGACATAGTAAAATGTGGTGGCTAATCCCTAGAAAGTGGGTGCAGGGAGGGGTGAAGGTAGAGGTCATCTGGGGAAGAAAGGAGAATGAAATTTGAGGTCAAGGTGTTCTCCTCTTGCAAAATGATGACTTGAAATAAAAATTAGTTTTGCTATAGGAAAAAAACCTTAAAAATCTCTTTCTTAGAGGCTTGATATTGTCAGATGAGAGTTGCAGTTGCCTCAGATACTTTATAGGGATTTGGCCTGAAATGAAAGTATCCTAATGCCAGCTGCTCTACAGTAGGCAACTTTGGCAAATTGCTTGATAATGGCAGCAAATATTGCAAGGTTATTGTAAGAAATTTCGAAAATGTAAAATGCCTAAAGAGAAAACAGTCTCATTTATAATATTGACATCCATTTCCTATTCTCTCTTCATTTAAAAATAGCATAATTAAAATTATCCATATGTAGCTTTTAGTCTACTGTGTTTTGACATTGTATAAGTAATATTTTATGAAAGTGTATTTTATTAAAGTGTTAATGTTAACAATTATTTTACTGTTAAATGGCCATACTGCCCAAAGCAATCTACAGATTAAATGCTATTCCTACCAAACTACCAACATTATTTTTCACAGATTAGAAAAGATTATTGCAAAATTCATATGGAACTAATAAAACCTGAATACCCAAAGCATCCCTAAGCAAATGGAACAAAGCTGGAGGGTTCACATTACGTGACTTTAAACTATAAGCCTATAGTAATCAAAACAGCATGGTACTGGTACAAAAACAGATACATAGAACAATGGAACTTAACAGAGAACCCAGAAATAAAGCTGCACAACTACAGCCATCTGATCTTCAACAAAGTCTACAAAAATAAGCAATGGAGAAAGGACTCTCTATTCAGTAAGTGGTACTGGGATAGCTGGCTAGTCATTGGCAGAAGAAGAAAACTGGACTTCTACTTTTCACCATATACAAAAATTAACTCAAGATAGACTAAAAATGTAAATGTAAGATCTCAAACTATAAAAGTCCTAGAAGAAAACCTAGGCAATATCATTCTGGACATTGGCCTTGGCAAAGAATTTATGACTAAGTCTTCAAAACCAATTGCAATAAAAGCAAAAATTGACAAGTTCGACCTAACTAAACTGAAGGGCTTCTGTACAGCAAAAGAAACTATTAACAGAGTAAACAGACAACCTACAGAATAGGAGAAAACATTCACAATCTATGCATCTGACAAAAGTCTAATATACAGAACATTTAAGGACTTAATTCAACAAGTAAAAAACAACAACAAAAAAACCATTAAAAAGTAGGCAAAGAACATGAAACAGACACTTCTCAAAAGAAGACATACAAGCAGCCAACATATGAAAAAATGCTGAGCATCACTAATCATCAAAGAGAGCAAAATCACATTGAGATACCATCTCACACAAGTCAAAGTGGCTGTTATTAAAAAGTCAAAAAATAACAGATGCTGTTGAGGCTGTGGAGAAAAGGAATGCCTATTCACTGCTGTTGGGAATGTTAATTAGTTTGGCCACTGTGGAAAGCAGTTCAGATATTTCTCAAAGAACTTTAAACAGAACTACCATTCGACCCATGGAATATTATGCAGCCATAAAAAAGAATGAAATCATGTGCTTTGCAGTAACATGGATGCAGCTAGAGGCTATTTTCTGAAGAAAATTAACACAGGAACAGAAAACCAAATACTGAATGTTCTCACTTATAAGTGGGAGCTAAACAGTGGGTACTCATGAACATAAAAATAGCAACAACAGACACTGGGGACTACTAGAGCAGGAGGGAGAGAAAGGGGGAAAGGTTGAAAAACTATTGGTTACTATATTACCTGTACGATGAAGTCATTTGTACCCCAAATCTCAGCATCACCCAAAATACCCATGTAATAAACCTGCACCTATATCCCTTGAATCTAATGAAAGTTGAAAATATTTACAAAATTAATATTTTAATGTTTTAATGTCATTAAAACATGTAAATAAGAAAATTATTTTATTATAAAAACTAACCTATGTTAATCGCAGAAAATTTAGAAAATAAAGTTTAAAAAATTAAATTTTTAAAAGATAACTAATCACTCTTAATATAGTTAGCTCTAAATTATAGGCAAATGTCTTACCTCTAAAAGCTTCCTATTATTTATCTTTAAAATGGACATAATGATAGTAATTTCCTTATAAGACTTATATTTCATGTTAACGTAAAATGTTTTTCACAGTTCCTTATACATCATAAGCACGTGTTTATAATTTTATACCAGTTTTAAGCAAAGCAACATCAACCTATACAAATTGTTCTGTAAATGTAATCTGCTTTTTTAAAAATATGAACAATATATCAGGATCATTTTTCCATGTTAGTAAACATAAATCTGCAGTATAATTTGAGTAACTATGTAGTATTTCTTTTTATGATTGTGCCATACTTATGAGACAATTAGACTGCAAATGTAATTTTTAATGGTTGTATAATATTTCATCATAAATATGTACTTGGATTTATTTAACACTTTGTGTCATCTGTTATGATTCAGCTGCCTGGGGAAAATGAGGCCATCTTAATAGTAATAAAATATATTTCTCTGAATCTCTTCCAATTTTCTTCTGCTGAACTTTAAGTTCTCTTTAAAGACTCCTTCTCTCATTTCCAACAGTCCCCAAGGGATTCACCCATCCCTTCAATCCAAAAATAAGGAGCACATGCCATGTACCAGACAGTGCAATAGGGATGCAATAATGAGAAAAAAAAAGATTCAGCTGCTGCTATCTTGGCATTTCCAATCTTAAAGGAGAAAACAAACCTTAACCAAATAATCTCCCAGGTAATCAAACACAGACTATGTTATGCACTACAAAGACAAAATAGAATGCCATTAGAACAATGGCAAATGCCCAAATATAGACTGGGGTTCAGGGAAGGTCTCTGAGGATTTAGATGATTGAGATGATATCTGAAGTGTGGAGAGGCTCCCTAGGTCTGGGGAATGGTTCAGGATGAAGAGGGTTGCTTCTGGTTGGAGGAACAGCAAGAGCAAAAGCTCCCTGGCAGGAGGAATAGTGGTTGCTTGAAGCCTCTAGGCTGTGGGTGAATGCATACAAGGAACAACATGCAAAGCCAAGTTGGCAGGTACCACCCATTTGTTTGAAAATGTAGGCTTTATTGTTATTCAAGCATAGTGGGGCCAGCAGATCAGGAGATCACTGTTATTAAAAATTTAGTTTGTTATACTCACACATCCCCAGAGGAGGAGGGCCTGCCACACCACACCCAAGCTGAGTTAGGGGTTGGGTTGGGGGCGGGGACATGGAGAAACACCAGAGTCAGTCAGGAGGCAGAGAGATTTAGTGGGAAATGTGGGAAATAACCATTATGGTGGTTTTCATGGGAAGGAACAGAACAGGCAGGGTATGCAGATTTAGGATTGGCTAGTTTGAGTAATTTCAGCAGGCTCTAGGGCATAAACCTGTCTCTAGTTTTCTGGTGCCATGCCCTGGGGTGATCAGGAAAGGGGTATAATAGCCCTGAGTGTGAGAGCCCAGTGGAGGAGGTGGTTGGGGGTATGGAACCTTAATTGGTTAGCGTACATATAAAAGACACTCACAGGCTAGTTGTTTACTATCTCTGGGAATTAGCTAGCCCAGGAGGGGCAGGTTTTTCAAAGTCAGCAAGGCTGGAAGATGTTAATGCCCTTTTTATGGAACTCTGCAACTCTCCGCAACTACCCCTTTGGATGGAAGCTGGGAAGCATGACTATTTTTATCCCATTAAGAACTGTGCTCCAGTTGGCTGTTACAGTTTGGGAGACTCCATTAAGCTCACTCAGCCTACCCCAAATCAGTAAGCACGGTATAAATAAAGGAAAAAAATTAATTAAGGGAATAATGAGCCCTTGTAATGGTTTGACACCTGCTACTCCAGAAGAGACTGGCTTTTGAAAACTCTGATTCCAACTTACTTAACACCTTTGCAGAGGTGTTATAAACTAGGAGAGATCAGTTAAAGGTAATGACAATGTTGGGAAATATTTCCTGATATTACTAAAGTTCTGTTCTGTGAATTGTTCCCTGAGAAATTAAACACCTTCTCATTGAGCGTGAGAACTAGCCCTGAATTTCATGAAAGATTGAAAAGCTCATCACCAGCAGGTCTATTTCTGCTCTCAAGAGAAATTGATAATCTTCAGAGGCCAGGCCCTTCCCCACCCCTCAGAGTAGCTATTGTACCTCTCAAATGGTCAGAAGTTTTTTTTTTTTTAAGTTTTATCATTCTATATTGTTTTAAATGGTTTTGTTCCATTATGACCTTGTTCAATTATAAAATAAAACATGAGCTATCTAACTAAATAAGCTTTAGTAAATGCATAGAATTGTACACTGCGGTATAGCTTAAAAGTGAGTGTAGGAGGGTGATATCAGCAAGATAGTGGAGGAGAAATTTTCAGTACTTGTTCCTTCACAGAAACACCAATTTGAACAACCATCCATGCATGAAAACATCTTCACAAGAGCTAAGGAATCCATATAAGATATTACAGCACTTGGGTGGAGCATAGATATAAAAAAAGACACCCTAAAGAAGGTAGAAAGAACAGTTTCACCTTATCTGCATCACTCCTCCACAAACCTGGGCACCACAGTATGGCAAAAGATACCCTCCACCTAGGGGAAGAAGAGTGAAGTGAGCACCTGACTTCACCATCAACTCTAGTTAACCCTGGCACCAGGCCCACTCCCATGGACCCAAGTGCCAAGCCCATCTCCGTGGACTCAGGTTCCAGGCCTGCCCCAGCACCAGGCCAGCCCCAGTGGACTCATACTTAAGTCATGCTCCAGCACCAGGTCAGCTTCTATGGAAACAAATTTCAGGCTCACTCTTGTGGACCCAGTCTCCAGGCTTGTCCCTGAAGACACAGACTCCAGGCCAATTGTTATGGACCCATCATGAGCCCCATCCCATTGGACTCAGATCCAGGCACATCCCTGCAGACCCTGGTATGAGGTCAGACCACCTAAGTACACCAACAGGAAGCACACACATGGACCCCACTAGATGGCCCACTTAGAATTTCTAGGCAAGGTGATGGGAGAATAGCTTTCTCTTTTGAAGCTAGTTTGTAAATACTGAAAGAGGTGTCTACTTCTTAAATGTGTAGACACCAATACAAAGACACATGGATCATTAATAATCAGGGAAGCACAGCACCACCAAAGAAACAAAATAAAACACAAGAAACCAACCCTAAAAAAATGAAAATGCATGAACTGTCTGACAAAGCACTCAAAATAATTGTCTTAAAGATGCTCCACCTAGCTACAAGAGAACAGAGACAATGAAATAAAATCAGAAAAATAATACATGAACAAGATAAGTTCAAGAGATAGAAACCATAAACAAGCACCAATCAGAAATTCTGGAGCTGAAGAACACAATGACTGAACTAAAAACCTCCATGGTGTGCTTTAACAGTAGGCTCAGTCAAGCAGAAGGAAGAATCAGTGAGCTCAAAAATACACCACTAGAAGTTACAGAGAAACAAAAAGAAAAGAAAATGAAAAAGAGTGAATAAAGCCTACAGAACTTGTAGTACACCATCAAGCAAACCAATTATGAAAGTTTCAGAAGGAGCAAAGAAAGGGAAACAGAGCAGAAGCCTATTTAAAGAAATAATTACAGAAAACTTTCCAAATGTGAAGGGGTAAATAAACATTCAGCTCCACAAATTCAAATAATTAAAGAACCTCAGATAAATAAAGAAATGGTCACTGGGACACATTACAATCAAAGTCTCAAAAGTTAACTACAAAGGGAGAATTTAGAAAGCATTAAGAGGAAAGTGACCAGTCACAAGTAAGGAACTCTCATAAAACCATCAGTGGACTTCTCAGCAGAAATCTTGCAGGCCAGGAGAAAGTGTAATGTTATATTCAAAGTGCTGAAAAAAAAAAAACCTCTGCCAACCAAGGATACTATATTTAAGTGAGCTGTCTTTCAGAAATAGACAGATAGAGACTCATAGACAAACAAAAGCAAAGAGAGTTCATTACCAGTAGACCTGCCTTGCAAGAAACACTAAAGTGAGTTCTTCAGGTTGAGAAAAAGGATGCTAACTAACAATATAAAAACATAAAACTCACTGTAAAGATAAGAATATAGTCAAATGCAGAATACTCTAATAATGTAATAGTAGTATGTAAATTACTTTGACCTCTAATATGAAACATAAAACTATTAAAAATAACTATTATTATAATATTGGTTAATGGATGGATAATATAAAAAGATGTAAATGGTGAGGTCAAAAACACTGAATATGGGAGGAGGAGAAATTAAAGCATAGAGTTTTTGTATGTGATCAGAATTAAGTTGTTATCAGTTAAGTTGTTATCAGCTTAAAACAGGCTGTCCTAACTATGAGATGATTTATGTAGGCTTCATGGTAATGACACAAAAAAATGTCTAGTAGGTATACAAAAGATCAAGGAATAAGCATAACACTGCAAAATCATCAAATCAGAAAGAAAGACATCAAGAAAAGAAGAAGAAAGGAACTACAAAATCACAGAAAACAATTAACAAAAGACAACAGTAAATTCTTATCTGTCAATAATTATTTTAAATGTAAACAGATTAAAATATCTAATTAAAAGACATAGGGCCAAGCGCTGTGGCTCTTGCCTGTAATCCTAGCACTTTGGGAGGCCAAGGTGGGCGGATCATCTGAGATCAGGAGCTCGAGACCAGCCTGGTCAACGTGGTGAAACCCCAACTCTACTAAAAATACAAAAATTAGCTGGGCGTGGTGACAGGTGCCTGTAATCCCGGGTACTCAGGAGGCTGAGGCAGGAGAATCACTTGAACCCCGGAGGTGGAGATTGCAGTGAGTTAAGATCATGCCACTGCACTCCAGCCTGGGTGACAGAGCAAGACTCCGTCTCAAAAATAAATAAATAAATAAAATAAAATAAAAATAAAATAAAGACATAGAGTGGCTAAGTGGATAAAAACAAAATTCAAATATATGCTGCTTAAAAGAGACTCAACATAGTCCTAAGTACACACATACACACATAGGCTGAAAGTGCAGGGTTGGAAAAAATATTTCACAAAAATGGTAACTAAAAGAAAGCAGAGGTGGCTATACTTATATCAGACAAAATTGACTTTAAGTCAAAAACTGTGACAAGAAACAAAGAAAGTCATTATATAATGATAAAGGGTCAATTTATCAAGAAGATGTAACAATTGTAAATATATATTCACCCAACATTGGAGGACCTAAATATATAAAGCAAACATAAACGGAATTGAAGGGAGAGTAGACAGCAATACCACATGAACCAGCCATCTCACTTCTGAGTCTATATCTAAAATATCTAAAGGAAATAAAATCAGTATTCTTTTATTATTATTATTATTGAGACAGGGTTTTGCTCTGTTGCCCAGACTGAAGTGCAGTGGCATGATCATGGCTCACTGCAGCCTCCACCTCCTGGGCTCAGGTGATCCTCCTGCCTCAGTCTCCTGAATAGCTGGGATTACAGGTACCTAACACCATGCTGGGCTAATTTTTGTATTTCTTTTTGCTGTTTTTTTTTTTTTTTTTTTTTTTTTTGAGACAAGGTCTCACTGTGTTGCCAAGGCTGGTTTCAAACTCCTGGACTCAAGCAATCTGCCTGCCTTGGCCTCACAAAGTGCTGAGATAACAGGCATGAGCCACAGTTCCCGGCCCTGAAATCAGTATCTTGAAAAGATATCTACATTCTCATGTTCATTGTAGTATTATTCACAGTAGCCAAGATATAAAATAAACTTAAGTGTCCATCAAAGGATGAATGAATAAAGAAAACATGGCATGTATATACAATGAAATATTATTGAGCCTTAAAAAGGAAGGAAATTGCAATATGGATGAACTTGGAGAACATTATGCTAAATGAAATGGGTTAGGCACATAAAGACAAATATTGCATGATCTCATATGTAGAATCTAAAAACGTCAAACTCATAGAAGCAGAAAGTAGAATGGTGGTTGCCAGGGGTAGGGAGAGGTAGGAGAAATGAGGAGATATTGCTCAAACGGTACAAAGCTTTGGCTATATAGGATAATAAGCTCTGGAGATCTAATGTATAGCATGGTGACTATAGTTAGTAATACTGTATTGCACACTTTAAATTTTCTTTCTTTTTTTTGAGATGGAGTGGTGCTCTGTCACCCAGGCTGGAGTGCAGTGGCATGATCTCAGCTCACTGCAAGCTTCACCTCCTGAGTTCACGCCATTCTCCTCCCTCTGCCTCCCGTGTAGCTGGGACTACAGGCACCCACCACCATGCCCAGCTAATTTTTTGGCATAATTTACATTTTCTAAGAGAATAGATCTTAAATATTCTCAGCAACAGAAAAAAAAGCTAATTATGTGAGGTGATGGATATGTTAAGTAGATTGATTGTGGTAATAATTTCACAGTGTATGCATATATCAAAATATCACATTGTGTACTTTAATATATATGATTTCTATTTGTCAATTGTACCTTAATAAGGCTGGGGGGGGGAAGAAGACCCCCAAAAATGAGACACATAAAATAAGTTGAAGAACAGTACATAAAATGTAATTTCAATTGTGTTATTAAAAAGAAAAGATATTTTAATATTCTTGAAATATATCTGTACTGAGAAAATGGCTGCCATAGGCAAGAGGTGTAAGGAGGTCAGGAGAGTGATAAGATACAGGAGATGTTTGTTTTTCAGAGGTTTTGAATACGCTGTTTGCTTTTCCACCTGAGATTCTCCAGGTGACAGGATGCCATTTAGGAGGCTCATGCCTTGTATGTAATTTAAAACATTAAGCTCTTTATTTGTTTGCTAAATGTTGTACTTTAATTATAGGTCAGAAAGACTCCTAATAAAATAAATTAGTCTTTCACAAAACTGTTTTATGTGCCATTCACTTTTCAGAATGGCTATACCTTCCACCAAAGAATATAGTGAATCTTTCAAGTAACTAATATATTTCTCTTGTTTGATCAATGCCCACCTAGTTGGCACGTTTCTACTGACCCGTAGCAATACTGATTTTGCGGTAAACAGTTACAATAGTTTCTAGGCAAAGAATGCTTTGTATGGTAGACATACACTACTCCCAAAAATGAGACAAGTCACTCAGTGGCTGATCACAGTGGAAAGCAGAATCAATAAATCTTTGTAACATTGGGCTTGCCAAGCAAAGCCCTGTTGCACTACAAATATACTGACTAGTGAGAGAGAGAGTCTCCAGGTCACATCATTCACTCCACACCCCCAGCTATCTTTCTTCTTCTTGTCCAACTTTTTTTTTCCATGACGATACTGCAGTCTCTGCTGAAACTTAAGAAAGACTAAAAATCAGGGACAGCTGTTGTAGTTGGAAACAACCATGTTTTCTGTGTTATAGTGGTCATTGAGCCCAACAGCTGCACATATGCAAGGCCAGTCAGTGTTCACTTTAATAGAAGTGTCTTCTCTGTTTGGAAGAAAAAAAATGCCATCAGAACCTCAGATTATAAGCTGATACTGTGGGTTGTTTCATTTTTGCACAAGAAATATTTTTTCATTTGTTTCTTCCACACATATAAACTTAGATGACAGCACTTGCAGTTAATTTAAAGTCAAAGTGGGGAATCATACAGATATATGTATCTATGTTTAAATATTTTATTTTATCTTAAACTATAGAAGTTTATTTATTTTCTAATGTCTAATGTAGATCCAATGATGATTTTGGTGTGAACATGGTGTTTGGAGTTCTGTTGTTGCCTCTTTTATGTGGATGTCACTTTTGTATTTTGTAAAATTTCTTAATGTATTATGCATTATAGATTTCTTTAAAGTAGAATTAACACTCCAAGATAGTTATAAAACAATCTGAGAGTAGCTTCCATCTAGATTTTTACAATCTTTCCCCAAAGAATTAACTCATTCATACATAACTCCTCAGCAGCATTGTTAGTAATTAGTTTTCTGATGCTAATACTTCTTAGTATTCATAGAAAAAATGTATTAGTCAGTTTTCACACTGCTGATAAAGACATACCTGAGACTGGGAAGAAAAAGAGGTTTAATTGGACTTACAGTTCCATATGGCTGGGGGAGGCCTCAGAATCATGGTGGGGGGTGAAAGGCACTTCTTACCTGGTGGCTGCAAGAGAAAATAAGGAAGAAGCAAAAGTGGTTTTTTTTTAACATAAGCCCATCATATCTTGTGATACTTATTCACTATCATGAGAATATCATGGAAAAGACTGGCCCCCATGATTCAATTACCTCCCCTGGGTCCCTCCCACAACACGTGGGAATTCTGGGAGATACAATTCAAGTTGAGATTTGGGTGGGGACACAGTCAAACCATATCATTCCACTCCTGACCTCTCCAAATCTTGTGTCCTCACATTTCAAAACCAATCATGCTTTCCCAACAGTCCCCCAAAGTCTTAACTCATTTCAGCATTAACCCAAAAGTCCCCAGTCCAAAGTCTCATCTGAAACAAAGCAAGTCCCTTCTGTCTATGAGCCTGTAAAATCAAAAGCAAGCTAGTTACTTCATAGATACAATGGAGATACAGGTATTGGGTAAATACAGTCATTCCAAATAGGAGAAATTGGCCAAAACAAAGGGATTACAGGTCCCATGCAAGTCTGAAATCCAGCAGAGCAGTCAAAATTTAAAGCTCCAAAATGATCTCCTATGACTCCAGGTCCCACATCCAGGTCATGCTGATGCAAGAGGTAGATTCCCATGGTTTTGGGCAGCTCTGCCCCTGTGGCTTTGCAGGGTACAGGCTCCCACCTGGCTGCTTTCACGGGCTGGCACTGAGTGTCTGCAGCTTTTCCAGGTGCACAGTACAAGCTGTTGGTGGATCTACTATTCTAGCTTTTGGAAGGCAGTGGCCCTCTTCTTACAACTCCACTAGGCAGCGCCCCTGTAGGGACTCTGTGTGGGGGCTCTGACCCCACATTTCCCTCCCACACTGCCCTAGCAGAGGTTCTACATGAGGGTCTTGCCCCTGCAGCAAACTTTTGCCTGGCCATCCAGGTGTTTCCATACCTCTTCTGAAACCTAGGCAGAGGTTCCCAAATCTCAATTCTTGACTTCTGTGCACCTGCAGGTTCACTGACACATGGAAGCTGCCAAGGCCTGGGACTTCCACCCTCTGAAGCCACAGCCCAAGCTGTACTTTGGCCCATTTCAGCCATGACTGGAGTGGCTGAGACACAGGGCACCAAGTCCCTAGGCTGTACCTAGTACGAGGACCCTGGGCCCGATCCATGAGACCACTTTTTCCTCCTGGGCCTCAGGGCCTGTGATGGGAGGAGCTGCTGTGAAGGTCTCTGACATGGCCTGGAGACATTTTCCCCCATGGTCTTGGGTATTAACATTAAGCTCTTTGCTACTTATGCAAATTTCTGCAGCCAGTTTGAATTTCTCCTCAAAAAATGGGTTTTTCTTTTCTACTGCATCATCAGGTTACAAATTTTCTGAACTTTTATGCTGTGTTTCCCTTTTAAAACAGAATGCATTTAACAGTTCCCAAGTCACCTCTTGAATGCTTTTCTGCTTAGAAATTTTTTCCACCAGATACCCTAAATCATCTCTCAGGTTCAAAGTTTCACAAATCTCTAGGGCAGGGGCAAAATGCTGCCAGTCTCTTTGCCAAAACATAACAAGAATCACCTTTGCTTCCATTCCCAACAAGTTCCTCATCTCCACCTGAGACCACTTCAGCCTGGACCTTATTGTCCATGTCACTATTAGCATTTTTCTCAAAGCCATTCAACAAATCTCTAGGAGGTTTCAAACTTTCCCACCTTTTCCTGTCTTCTTCTGAGCACTCTAAACTGTTCCAACCTCTGCCTGTTACCCAGTTCCAAAGTTGCTTCCACATTTTCGGGTATCTTTTCAGCAATGCTCCACTCTACTGGCACCAATTTACTATATTAATCCCTTTTCATGCTGCTGATAAAGACATACCTGAGACTGGGAAGAAAAACATGTTTAATTGGACTTACAGTTCCACATGGCTGAGGAGGCCTCAAAATCATGATGGGAGGTGAAAGGCACTTCTTACATGGTAGCAGCAAGAGAAAATGAAGAAGCAAAAGCGGAAACCCCTGATAAACCCATCAGATCTTGTGAGACTTATTCACTATCACGAGAATAGCACAGAAAAGACTGGCCCCCATGATTCAATTATCACCTCCTAAGTCCCTCCCACAACATATGGGAATGCTGGGAGATACAATTCAAGTTGAGATTTGGGCGGGGACACAGTCAAACCATATTTAAAAAAGTACTCTCTTTTCACTCTATTTCACTGGCTTATATAACAGATAATTAAATCAATATAATCAAAATAACAAGTACGACTGGCATTTACTGGCTTGAAGACAAAGTCCAACTGATCCTTGGACAGTAAGTGGCTCTCCTGGAGGGACTAGCGGGGGTAGCTCTCTGTGGGAACAGCCCACAGCAGTGCCCCATCAGCCACCAAGTGCATCTGTCAGCACATCTTACTTAACTCTGGGAGAAGGTGAAGTACATGTTGGTTCAAGGAACATCTGCTGTTTATTAATTTCTTTTAGAGATTCGCAATGCGTTTTAAGCAGCATGACCCTTTCTTCAGTTGCAATCATACACAGAAAAACAGAATATCCATCAAGAGAGGAGCTGTTCTGGGGGAGTTATATTCATCATCTTTATTCCCCCATGGTGGTCCTTGAGAAATATCTAGAATTGTCCCAGGCTATATGAAGCACAATATGACAACCTATGACAGAGTCCAGTCCTTTTGCATTAAAGTGATAAACTGGAATCTAAAGATCTTGTGACCAGAACTCAGTTTTTCTACTTCTTGAGCTTATACTTTTTTTGTCACATTTTCCATCTTTTACTTCCCATGTGACTTGCAGCTGCCTCTCATGGGGTCTTTTAGACATCTGATTTTCTCTGAGTGGCAGCCCAGAGGCACTTACAAGTACCCAAGTGCCCGCCTCCTTGGTGTCAGCCCTGACATTTGGCCTAGAGGTTAGGAAGGAAAATAGTAGCTTGGCTCAGCATGTCCTTACTCTATATAATTTACTGAACTTGCCGCAAGCAACTGACCCCTGTGAATCAGGGGTGTGGTGGACCAGGCATGAATTTCTTTCTCTCTGAAATTTTCTTCAAGACTGTTACTTTCCAGTAGTCTGTGGGTCTAAGAGGTTTTATTTTTTTGACGGAGTCTCACTCTGTTACCAGGCCTGAGGGCAGTGGCACGATCTCTGCTCACTGCAATCTCTGCCTCCCAGGTTCAAGCGATTCCCCTGCCTCAGCCTCCCGAGTAGCTGGGACTACAGGCACACATCACCACGCCTGGCTAATTTTTTGTATTTTAGTAGAGACAGAGTTTCATCAAGTTGACCAGGATGGCCTCGATCTCCTGACCTCGTGATCTTCCCACCTTGGCCTCCCAAAGTGCTGGGATTACAAGTGTGAGCCACTACGCCCAGCCAGAAGTATTTTTATTGTCTTCAAATTGCTCCCAGGGGGGGTTATATCCAAGCTGGGCTTGGTCAGTTAAAAGAGATGGAAGGGTAAAAGGAAATTCTAGGCAGAGGGAATATCAAATGCAGAGCCCTTAACTTGACTTGAGCAAGCATGGTATTACAGAAGCAAAAGATAAGAACAAAAGCCAGAATCATGAAGGGTTTTATAACTGTGCTAAGGAGTTTGGATTTTATTCTGAAGGGAGTGGAAAGTTATCAAAGTTAAAAGCAAGCAGGGGAATGGTATGATCAGATTGTGATTTAGATGGGTCACCCTGTCAACACCAGAAAATGAATGGGGACAAGGAGAGATTGAGGCAGGGAGACCAGATAGGAGGCTGTAACAGTAACTCAGGGGAAAGATGATAGAGACCTGAACTAAGGCAGTGATAATTCAAATAAAGAGGAGGAGATAGATTCCTAGATATTAAGCATGCCTCTACTTAGGACACTTTCCAGTGCTAACTGACTAGAAAGCCAGATTAAAGTGGCCAAAACAATTTTCAGGGGCATGAAAGAGAGTGTAGATTTCACATGTAATCAAGCTTCAGATTCAGTTTAAGGAATATTGTAGAGCTTCTAGTTTTCCTATTGGGGTTGCCATGTATGGCTAGATGTGCTGTGCACTAACACAACTTTATTTTTTAAATATTTTAAATGTTTTCTGAGACGGAGTTTCGCTCTTGTTGCCCAGGCTGGAGTGCAATGGCACGATCTTGGCTCACCACAACCTCTGCCTCCTGAGTTCAAGTGATTCTCCTGCCTCAGCCTCCCAAGTAACTGGGATTACAAGCATGCGCCACCCCACCCGGCTAAGTTTGTATTTTTAGTAGAGATGGGGTTTCTCCATGTTGGTCAGGCTGGTCTCTAACTCCTGACCTCAGGTGATCCACCCGCCTCAGCCCCTCAAAGTGCTGGGATTACAGGTGTGAGCCGTCATGCCCGGCCACAACTTTAAAATGTGCTATGATTATAGACCAGAATGTGTTTGAAGCCTCTTTGAGTTGTGCAATGCTTCAACTCTTCTTCTTATGATTGTGCAAACAAAAATTTCCAAAGATAGTCTACACAGCTTCTTGAGAAATGTCATGGGAGGTATATAAGCCCTAAGATCTAATGTAAGACTGAAACAGTTATTGCTCCACACAGGTGCTGAGAGAGGTAAGAGAGGAATGCCGATGGCAACAGGCTCTGAGGTAGCTGGGGAAGGACCCCATAAGAAGGTAATATAAAGCCCTTTGTATCAAAGCAGACTGAGGGAAAACTTCCATCAATGTGTCACAGCTTGGAAACTAGTCCCAGTAGGGACACTCCACAATGGTGCCCAATTCAGGGGCTCAGGATATGGACTGCAGAAGAATGTGGAAGAGTCTCTAGATTGCTAAGCTCCTCCATAGGATCTGCTCCCCAAAACCAAGAGTCCTTTTCTTTCCATTCTCTTTTTGGGAAAGGCTGAGATACATGCACCTTCCTTTGCTTCATCATAGCCAATAAAGTTTGTAAGTATTCTAGAAGTAGACCCTTTGTTCACAATCCATGATGTACCTGAAATATGTGAAGAAGTAAATGAATATGTGTACTTGCCCATTACTGTACACAGTAGATATATTTCTGATAAGTTGTAGATACACTACATAGAAACCAAATTTTACTTTTAAATAGTTTTTATCATGGTGACATTCTAAAAATATGTAGCAACTATAGTTTATTTAAACATTTACTAAGCATTTTAACCCAGGGTGGACATCTGTAAGACAGGAAAATTGCAGATGAAATTACACACACTGTGTTGATTTTATCAGTGCTTAACACATATATGTATCTGACACATAGTAGACACTTGATGAATGTTCACTGACTTCACAAATAAATGAGTCTGTTCAACCAAGAGCTTCTACACAAATTATCTCATCACTAACAAGTCTGTGAAGTAGGTGTTGTTATCTCTGTTTTACATAAAAGAAAACAAAAGCTCAAAAATGTTAACTGACAAGTCCTCAAGGCAGAACTAATAAATAATGTGGCTGGAACATAAATTGAGATTTTTCGATTCTTTCCACTATTTGGCAGCTATTTGTAAAAGCTTTATTCTGAATAATTCTGATTTTTGAGAAAGCTACTGAAGAATCCTCTTACAAAGAAGAAAACCATGTCCTCATTTAAATTTTGTAATTAAAAAAAATTGGCAGGGGGGATTTTTCTATAGTGGGATTCTCATCTTATAAATGCATGAAACACTAGTTTCCATTCATTTTGAAGATGGAATAATTGAGTACCTGAAGAATATACAAATAGTTGATAGGCACAAAAAGAGAAAAAGAAAAAGGGCAAAATACAAAAAAATCCACAAAATTTTAACTTCTTAACTCTCCTATTTTGTTCTGCCTATTGTTATCACTTCTTTCATTTTTAGCTAGCGTTATATAACACTTATTTCTTTTTTTTTCTACCTGCTTTCAGATTGAAAGATTTGTTTTCCAAAACTGTTATCCTAATTTGTTGAGTTGACTTGATAAACTGATAAAATAGAAATCTTCCAGAGAACAAACAAGCTTTGAAAGAAATAACAGGTGTTGAAAATGATGGGTGGAAGGGACCATGATTCACTGGGACTCTGAGGTTTCCTCTGCACAAAATCTAATGCAGTTGACCCTAATGTTGGGGGAAGCTGGTTTCATAGTGTCACCTCTCCAATATGCCACAAAGAGTATACTCTGCCCATTTGTGGTTATTCAGATTCCCACATCTCTCCCACCAGCATGGGGACCCCTTGGGCTAAAGTCAGCTTAAACCATCACATCCTCCCTTGGTGATCCCCGTGGCTTCCACTGGAGATCATGTTCCTTGGTTCCTGTCCTAAATCAGTGCTGAGCTTTGCACACTTGATGTGCTTTTTCTCCACTATCTTTTTTTAGGTGAGGGTGGACTGAAGTCCAAGGATCAGGTGCTGGCTACAGAACAGAGAGATTTAGTTTCTGTCAGGATCAAAGGTGAACATAAACCAAAAATAAGGTCAGTACCTCCACTGTTAGGGTCCTTTCAGACAATAAAACAGGATACATATTTATAATCTGTAAACACCACTCAGGAGAATTTGTAGCAAGCAATGCACTACCTTAATTTGATTGACCCAATCCTTTTTTTGACTGTGAAACTGTCCATGAGGACACAGGGCAGTGGTTCTCTGCAACCTCAGTTGGCATTTTCCAAGAACTGCAGAAACTTCAATCTTATCTTTGGTTAATCTTCTTTCATTCAACCTGCTCTGATTCAGAGATCTTTTTATTCATACTTTTTCTAAATCATTGAACAGGAATTGATTAAATATCAGATTTTAAAACAAAAAATAAATTTGCTGGGGGTTTTAACTGATAAAAGAAGGTCCAATAAGATATAAATAAATACATGCATGCGTGAAATTTTGGTGGAGGTGGCAATGTACTCCCCAGCAAGTAAACTGCAAACTCACAATGGTGTTTACTGAAGTGCACTATTTTTAGAAAAGGCAAGTCTAATAGAAGTTGGCTTTGAGAGCCATTTGATCCAGCCTTTCATCACTATGAGGTGGAGACGACTTTGGCAAGCCCTGAGCTGGGAGAAATCACCACCAGGGCTTCCACTGCACGAACCTCCGCCCTTGTGACCAAACATAGCCTTGCTGTTTCAGGAAGGTTTGCATAAAAAGGGATTGATTTTCATTTGATTCTGCAGATGGACTCCCGGAGCTAGCCTGGTGGAAAGGAAGAGAATAAAAAGGGCAAAAAAAATTCTTTGGCAGTTCTGGCCAGCTTCCAAATGCTTCAAGCTGCCAGCACAACTGGCTTAATCTGCTTCTTTAGAGCTGAAGACATGCTTAACTTTCAAGGCCAGAAACTCAAGACTTAATGAGGGATAATCTAAAATTCTGAATCTTTTTTTCTGGTAAGAAACAAAAACAAAAGAGAAAAAAAACAAGCTACCATTCTTGGACTCTTCTGCATTTAAAAATTTTTAATTGCAGGAATGGTGGTCATTCTCATTTAAAACCATTTTTAAAATAGTAAATATGCACAACATCTATAAGAAAGAATCCTCTTGCATGTGTTGTTATTATATGATTGGGTTAAAACTGTTTAAGACAAGAAAATATCTCCCTGAAATAAAATATATTGAACTTGATCTAAAATTGTTACTTTTTTGCAGACCATTTATCATGGGCAGGCATTAATTTTAGTTTAGTTACAAAGATGAAAGATCAATAAAACATATTCCCTATACTCAGGGACCTCACAATCTAGCAGGGGAAACACAAAATCATGAATATATAAAGATACGTCTCCAAATTTTCATGCAGTGTGAAGAGCATTATGTGAAAGATATGGGCAAGATGTGAAAACAAGATAAGGTAGCAACAAATTCAGCCTAGGTGGAGAGAAGTTGATTAAGGCTTCACTTGCATATTAATGTTTGAGCTGGGCTTTAAGGAAATATTATCTAACAAGTGTTGGAAGTGAGACCAGGACTAAGTGAGGACTTGGAAAGCACTTGCTAATGGTGAGGTCAGCTCTGTTCAGACAAGGGGGTTGGGCCACACACAAGATTGCACAGCTCCTACCACCTCGTCAGAGCTCCAACAGACTTCACCAGAACTGGAGCATTAGGCTTCTGACAGGGCTTCTTGCTTCACCCATCATCCTTCTATAGAAGACTTTTCTCCCCAGAGTTTTAAGATTCAATACTTTAATATATAAATCATTTATTTCTTAAACACATGTTTATAGAGTGCCTACTATATGTCAGGCACTCTACTAGACACTTGGAATACACCAGTAAACAAAACAGAAAACTCTGCCCTTGTTGAACTAATTCCCTGGCAGTGGGAGATAGTCTTACCATGAAAAAACATAATAGATAAATATAAACTAAAATTTATTGTATGTTAGAAAGTAGTATTATTTTTTAAAAATATGAAAGTGGATCAGAAATAGTGGAGTGGGAGGAGGTTGAAGTGTTTAAAAAGAGTGGTCAAGGTAGACTGCACTGAGGCATTAGTCTTTAAGCATAGACCTGAAGGGGTTAGCCATGTGAGTCATTGGGGAAGAGTGTTATAGGCAGAGGGAATAGCCAATACAAATGAAAAAAGTATTTTCAAAAACAGCAAAGAGGTCACTGTGGCTGGAACTGGGATCAAGGGAGAAAGAAATAAAGTCATCTCATGAAGGGTCAGGGTATCACAAGATATCTGGCTTTACTTGGTGGGAAATGGGTTTAGAGCAGAGGAATGAAATGCTCGGATTTATACTTTAAAATGAAACAACCTGGCTGACTTGAGAATAGACTATAGGAGAAAATGTTGAAATGGAGCATGCTTGAGAGACTACATCAGCAACCAGCAGAGAGAAGGAGGCTGAAAACAGAGAAATAAGCAGAGGAAGTTGGGTGAAGCAGTGAGAGTCTGGATATATTGTGAAAGCAGAGCCAATAGGATTTGATGATGAATTGGCTGTGAGGTGAGAATGGAAGGAGTTGGTGATGACACCAAGGTTTTTGGCCTGAGCATCTGGAAGAATGGAGTTGCCATCCACTGAAATGGAAAAGGCTATAGGTAAAACAGGCTTGGGGATAAGACAAGGAGATTAATTTGGGGCATATTAAGTTTAGACACCCCAGCAGAGACAGAAACCTGAGTTTGTGGGAGAGGTGAGAATGGGGATATTCATTTGGAAATCATTGGTGTATAAATTGTGCTGAGTCATAAGCCTGGGTGAGATCACAAAGTGAGTATGTATACAGGGAGAAGAAAAGAAGATCATGTGCTGGGAAAGGAACAAGCTCAAAAGACGGAGAAGGACCAATGATCAAGGTAGGAAGAATACCCAGGCACTGTAGTTGCCTGCAAGCCAAATAATGAAAGTTGTAATCAAAGAGGAGAAAATGGACACCCCTGTCAAATGCTGATGAAAAAAGCAGAGAACTGCCCTTTGTATTTATCAACATAACTGTTAAATCCAGGGACTCACTGGTAAATTTTACAAGAGCAATTTTGGTAGAGTGGTCAAGGTAAATCTTGATTGGAGTAAATCATTCAAAATTTCTCCTTTAGAGCCATATTCCCAAATTTTCCGATTTTTGCCCTGCATCTGATCCTCCTATTCACCTTGCTGTTTTCTTTTTTTTTCTTCTTCAACTTATATTTTAAGTTCAGGGGTACATTTGCAGGATATGCAGATTTGTTCCATAGGTAAAGGTGTGTCATGGTGGTTTGCTGTACAGATTATCCCATCACCGGGGTATGAAGCCCAGCATCCATTAGCTATTCTTCCTGATGCTCTCCCTCTCCCCACTCCCCCAATAGGCTCCAGTATGCAGTGTTTCCCACCATGTGTCCCTGTATTCTCATCATTCAGCTCCCACTTGTAAGTGAGAACATGCAGTGTTTGCTTTTCTGTTCCTGTGTTTTCTGAGGATAATGGCTTCCAGCTCTATCCATGTCCCTGAAAAGGGCATGATCTCATTCCTTTTCATGGCTGCATGGTATTCCATGGTGTTATGTACCACATTTTCTTTATCCAGTCTGTCACTGATTTACATTTAAGTTGATTCCATGTTTTTGTTACTGTGAATAGTGCTGCAGTGAACATACATGTGCATATATCTTTATAATAGAATGATTTATAATCCTTTGGGTATATACCCAGTAATGAGATTGCTGGGTCAAATGGTATTTATGCCTGCAGATCTTTGAGAAATTGCCACACTGTCTTCTACAATAGTTGAACTAATTTACCCTCCCACCAACAGTGTATAAGCATTCCTTTTTCTCCACAACATTGCCATCATCTGTTGTTTTTGACTTTTTATTAATAGCCATTCTGACTGTAGTGAAAAGGTATCTTATTGTGGTTTTGATTTGCATTTCTCTAATGAGCAGTGATGTTGAGCTTTTTTCATATGTTTGTGGTCTCATGTATGTCTTCTCTTGAGAAGTGTCTGTTCATGTCCTTTGCCTGCTTTCTAATGGGTTGATTTTTTTTCTTGTAAATTTGCTTAAGTTCCTTGTAGTCTTTGGATATTAGACCTTTGTCAGATGGATAGATTGCAAAATTTTTCTCCCATTCTGTAGGTTGTCAGTTCACTCTGATGGTAGTTTATTTGGCTGTGCAGAAGCTTTAGATGCCATTTGTCAATTTTTGCTTTTGTTGCAATTGCTTTTGGTGTTTTTGTCATGAAATCTTTTCCTGTTCCTATGTCCTGAATGGTATTGCCTAGATTTTCTTCTAGAGTTTCCAGAATTTTGGGTTTTACATTTAAGTCTTTAATCCTTCTCGAGTTGATTTTTGTATATGGTATAAGGAAAGGGTACAGTTTCAATATTCTTCATATGGCTAGCCAGTTATCCCAGCACCATTTATTAAATAGGAAATCATTTTCCCATTGCTGGTTTTTATCAGGTTTGTTGAATATCAGATGGTTATAAGTGCGAGGTCTTATTTCTGCGTTCTTGATTCTGTTAAATTGGTTTATGTGTCTGTTCTTGTACCAGCACCATGCTGTTTTCGTTACTGTAGCCTTGTAGTACAGCTTGAAATTGGATAGCATAATGCCTCCACCTTTGTTCTTATTGCTTAGCATTTTCTTGGCTATTTGGGCTCTTTTTTGGTTCCATTTGAATTTTAAAATAAATTTTTCTAATTCTGTGAAGAATGTCAATGGTGGTTTAACAGGAATAATATTGAATCTATAAATTACTTTGGGCAGTATGGCCATTTTCATGATATTGATTCTTCTTATCCATGAGCATGGAATGTTTTTCTATTTGTTTGTGTCCTCTGATTTCTTTGGGCAGTGGTTTGTAGTTCTCCTTGGAGAGGTCCTTCGCTTCCCTTGTTAGCTGTATTCCCTGGGTATTTTATTCTCTTTGCAGCAATTGTGAATGGGAGTTCATTCATGATTTGGCTCTTTGCTTTTCTATTGTTGGTGTATACGGATGTTAGTGATTTTTGCAAATTGACTTTGTATCTGAGACTTGGCTGAAGTTGCTTATCAGCTTAAGAGGCTTTTGGGCCAAGATGATGGAGTTTTCTAGATATAGGATTCTGCCATCTGCAAACAGAGATAATTTGACTTCTTCTCTTCCAATTTGAATACCCTTTATTTCTTTCTCTTACCTGATTTCCCTGGCCAGAACTTCCAATACTATGTTAAATAGAAGTAGTGAGAGAGGGTATGCTTGCCTTGTGCTGGTTTTTGAGGGGAATGCTTCCAGCTTTTGCCCATTCAGTATGATATTGGCTGTGGGTTTGTCATATATGGCTCTTATTATTTTGAAGTATGTTTCTTCAATACCTAGTTTATTGAGAGTTTTTACATGAAGGAATGTTGAATTTTATTGAAGGACTTTTCTGCATCTATTGAGATAATCATGTGGTTTTTGTCGTTGGTTCTGTTTGTGTGATGAATCACATTTATTGATTTGTGCATGTTGAACCAAACTTGCATCCCAAGGAAGAAGCCAACTTGATAGTGTTGGATAAGCTTTTTGATGTGCTGTTGGATTTGGTCTGTCAGTATTTTGTTGAGTATTTTGCATCAATGTTCATTAAGGATATCAGACTGAATATTTTGTTTTTTGTTGTATCTCTGCCTGGTTTTGGTATCAGGGTGAAGATGGCATAGAACAAGTTAGGGAGGAGTCTCTCCTTTTCAGTTGCCTGGAGTAGTTTCAGTAGAAATTGTGCCAGCACTTCTTTGTACCTCTGTAGAATTCAGCTGTGCATCCATCTGATTCTGGGCTTTTTTTGGTTGGTAGGATATTTATTAATGTATAAATTTCAGAACTCATTATTGGTCTGTTCAGGGATTCCATTTCTTCTTGGTTCAGTCTTGGGAGGGTGTATGTGTCCAGGAATTTATCTATTTTGTCTAGATTTTCTAGTTTATCTACATAAAGGTATTTACAGTATTCTCTGATGGTTGTTTGTATTTCTGTGGGGTCTGTGGTGATATCCCCCTTATCATTTGATTGTGTTTATTTGATTCTTCTCTCTTTTCTTTTTTATTAGTCTAGCTAGTGGTCTATCTATCTTATTATTTTTTTTCCAAAAACACAGCTTCTAAATTCATTTATTTTTTGAAGGTTTTTTTGTGTCTCTATCTCCTTTAGCTCAGCTCTGATTTTGGTTATTTCTTGTCTTCTGCTAGTTTTGGGGTTTGTTTTCTCTTGGCTCTCTAGTTCTTTTAGTTGTGACATTAAGGTATTAACTTGAGATCTTTCTAGCTTTTTGATGTGGAAATTTAGTGCTATAAATTTCCCTCTTAACACTGCTTTAGCTGCATCCCAGAGATTCTGGTACATTATCTCTTTGTTCTCATTAGTCTCAAAGAACTTCTTGATCTCTGCCTTAATTTCATTATTTACCCAGTAGTCTTTCAGAAGCAGGTTGTTCAATTTCCATGCAGTTGTGTGATTTTGAGTAAATTTCTTAATCTTGAGTTCTAATTTGATTGTTCTGTGATCTGAGAGACTGTTATGACTTTTTTTTTTGCATTTGCTGAGGAGTGTTTTACTTCTGATTATGTGATTAATTTTACAGTAATTCTCATGTTGCAAAGAGAAGAATGTATATTCTGTTGATTTTGGGTGGGGAGTTCTTTGATATCTATCAGGTCCACTTGATCCAGAGCTGAGTTGAGGTCCTGAATATCTTTGTCAATTTTCTGTCTCCATGATCTGTCTAATATTGTCAGTGGAATTTTAAAGTCTCTCACTATTATTGTGTGGGAGTTTAAGTCTCTTTGTAAGTCTGTAAGAATTTGCTTTATGAATTTAAGTGCTCCTGTATTGGGTGCACATATATTTAGGACACTTAGCTCTTCTTGTTGAAAGGCATTATATAATGCCTTTCTTTGTCTTGTTTGTTGGTTTAAAGTCTGTTTTGTAAGAAACTAGAATTGCAACCCCTACTTTATTCTGTTTTCCATTTGCTTGGTAAATTTTCCTCCATCCTTTTATTTTGAACCTATACGTGTCTTTGCATGTGAGATGAGTCTCTTGACCACAGCATACCTATGGATCTTGGCTCATTATCCAGCTTGCCATTCTGTGTCTTTTAATTGTGGCATTTAGCCCATTTACATTTAAGGTTAGTATTATTATGTGTGAATTTGATCCAGTCATCATGATGCTAGCTGGTTATTTTTTAGACTTGTTTATGGGTTTGCTTCATAGTGACACTGGTCTGTGTACTTCAGTGTATTTTTGCAGTGGCTGGTAACAGTTTTTCCTTTCCATATTTAGTGCTTCCTTCAGGAGCTCTTGCAAGGCAGACCTGGTGGTGATGAATTTCCTCAGCATTTGCTTGTCTGAAAAGGATCTTATTTCTCCTTCACGTATGAGGCTTAGTTTAGCTGGATATGAAATTCTGGGTTGGAAATTATTTTCTTTAAAATGTTGAATATTGCACCCCAATCTCTTCTGGCTTGTAGGGTTCCCACTGAGAGGTCTGCTGTTAGTCTGATGGGCTTTCTTTTATAGGTGATCTGGCCTTTCTCTCTGCCTTCCCTTAACATATTTTCTTTCATTTTGACCTTGGAGAATCTGATGATTATGTGTCTTGGGATTGCTCTTCTCATGAAGTATCTTACTAGGGTTCTCTGGATTTTCTAAATTTGTATGTTGGCCTGTCTTGCTAGGTTGGAAAAGTTCTCCTGGATGATATACTGACGGATATTTTCCAACCTGGCCCATTCTCTCCCTCTCTTTCAGGTATCCCAGTCTGTCACAGGTTTCATCTTTTTATGTAATCTCATATTTCTCAGGGGTTTTATTCTTCCTTTTCATTATTTTTTCTCTATTCTTGTCTGCCTTTTTTCAGCAAGATAGTCTTCAAGCTCTGGAATTCTTTCTTCCACCTGGTCTATTCTGCTATTGATATTTGTGATTGCATTGTGAAGTTCTTGCATTGTATTTTTCAGCTTCATAAGGTCGGTCATGTTCCTCTCTAAACTGGGTATTCTAGCTATCACCTCCTGTATTGTTTTATCATGATTCTTAGCTTCTTTGCACTGGGTGACGAGACACTCCTTTAGCTCAGTGAAATTCCTTATTACCCACTTTCTGAAGTCTACTTCTGTCATTTCAGCCATCTCAGCCTCAGCCCAGTTCTGTCTTTTCTGGACAGGTGTTGCAATCATTTGGAGGACATGAGGCACTCTGGCTTTTTGAGTTTTCAGCATTTTTGCATTGATTCTTTTTCATCTTTGTGGGCTTATCTACCTTCAATCTTTGAGGTTGCTGACCTTTAAATGGGGTTTTTTGGAGTTTCTTTTTGTTGATGATGTTGTTGTTGTCTGTTTGTTTTTCTTTTAACAGCCAGGCTACTCTTTCATAGAACTTCTGTGGTTTGCTGGGGATCTGCTCCAGATCCTAGTTTCCTCGGTATTTCCCATACCTGGAGGTATCACCAGTGAAGTGTACAAAACAGCAAAGATGACAGCCTGCTCCTTCTTCTGGAAGGTTCATCCTAGGTGGGTACTGACCTGTTGCCAGCCTGAACTATATGTGTAGGAGGTGGTTGGAGACCCCATCAGGAGGTCTTACCCAGTCAGGAGGAATGGGAATAGGGACCCACTTAAAGAAGCAATCTGGCTGCTTTTTGGTAGTGCAGCTGTGTTGTGTTGTGGGGGACCCTTCCTCATCTGCACCATCTGAACTCTTCAGAACTGGCAGGCTGGAACAGCTGAGTCAATGGAACCACAGAGATTGTAGCTTCCCCTCCCCCTTAGAATGCAGTCCTTCTCAGGCAGACTCTAGCCTGTTGCTTTCAGCTGGCTGGAATTCCAAGCCAGTGGCTCTTACCTTATGAGGTGCTGTGGAATGGGTTTAAGACAGAAACCGATGGCTCTTAATTTATGGGGCCTGAAAAACAATGCTGTTTGGCTCCCTGGATTCAGCCCCTCTCCTAGGGCTATGTATGGATGGATCTCCCATCTTGCTGGGAATCCTGGGGCAGAATATGCAAAACTCCTTGGTCTCTGTGCGTGCCTGAGTGGATGCTCTGCTGGGACTCCACACAGCTCTGTGTGTTGGAACCAAGGCCCTGGTGGCATGGGCTTACAAGGGGATATCCTGGTTGCAAAGATTCATGGGAGAAGCATGGTTTCCAGGGTGGGATCACACAATCACTCACTGCTTCTCTTGGCTGGGGTGTGGGTTCCTTTGGCTCTGTGCTGCTCCTGCGTGGGCCATTGCCTCACCCTGCTTTTCTTCATTCTCTGTGGGCAGAGCTGTTTTCCTAGTCAGTCCCAATGTGAGAATCTTGATACTTCAGTTGAACATGCCAAATTTACTTGCCACTTTGATTCCTTTCTGTGAGTTCTGCAGACTACCGCTGCTTCTAATCGGCCACCCTGCCTTACTGGTTTTTTTGTTTCTATCTTCCTATCAGGTTTGTACTTGGTGCTTGGCCCCATCTCCATGGTTACAACTTTGCTTCCTTTAAATAATGACTATCTGTCCCAAACACATTGCCTTCAGATGTGTCAAATACAAATCTCTTCTAGCTCTCACTGACCCTTATCTTCATGGCTTGTTGCTACTGGATTTTTTTCTGGCTTTAGAAGGGACCAGAGAAAAGCGTCAAAGAGCTTACTGTAAATTGGATTGCTGGCAAGTCTTCCTGGTACATAGATCCTAAACCAAGTTTCTTTTTTCCCTTAACCCAGTCTGTTTCATTTTCCCTAAGGCAGATTCACCAACCTGGCTGTAACAATTTGTCTTCCTTTCCATGAAACTGGGATATTTCATGTCTTTATCTGGCCACAAGACCTAGTTTTTTTAATGGAGAGTTTTATCTCCTGGAAACCTGTCTTTTCTGAATTCTTTTGAATTCTTTGGCACTTTCTACTTCTAAGATCATCCCATATGAGAACTTCCACTAAGTTTTTGTTATCAAGAACAGGTCTTATATTCATCATATTTGCAACACTATATGCTAGGGTCTGCTGAAAGCTAGAAAAGAAGGTCAGGAGGGTTCCTAATACTTTTCATCAAAAGAAATATGATATAGGGTATTCTTCAGGAGCTTATGCTGATCCTTATGTTTGTTGTGGCTCCATTCAATACCAAGACCTGGCTATAATGTCAGCATGATGGTAGATCTAGTATTTAAATGTCCTTGAAAATTAAGGGGATGAGGGGCTAAGAATAAAGAGTTGTTGAATAATGACTGCTAAAAGACACTATCCAGGGAGAAAACTAATTTCTCTTTGTCCGTATTCTTTAGTCCAAATATTTTATGATGCCTTCCTAAAAATAAGCACAGTAGTGGCACTTTAGAATGGCCGTAGTGGTTATGTAAGTCATCCTAATAGCAACTGTGTAAAATTGACCACTTACTTAAGTTAACAATGATGGAAAATTGTGATGGTAAGCTCTTTGACACTTTCATAAAAATGATGATAGCCAGCCTCCAAGATGGCCCCAGTGATTTCTTCCTTCCAGTATTCCCACTCTTATGTAGTCCTTTTCCACAATATAATGGATGTGACTTCCAAAACTAGGTTATAAATGGTGCCATGGATTCTGTAGTGCTCTCTCTCTTTCTTGGATCACTTGCTCTGGGAAAGCCAGCTGCCATGTTAGGAAGCCATTCAAAACAGCCCTGTGGAGAGGCCCACATGGTGAGGAACTGAGGTCTTCTACCAACAGCCAACAAGGAACTAAAATTTCTTGCCAGTGTATGAGTGAATCTGGAAGTGGATTCTCCAGCCCCAGTTAAGCCTTTGTATATCTTGAGCCCTGTCCCACATCTTGACTGCAACCTCATGAGAGATTCTGAACCAGAACCCACTAGCTAAGTTCCTTCCAAGTTTCTGACTCACAGAAACTATGTGAGATAGTAAAAATTTTAAGCCACTAAATTGTGGCATAATGTGTCATGCAGCAATAGATTACAAATACAGTGTTGTATGGAAACTTTTGAAGGTACTATCTTCTCTCAAATTCTAGAGCGCTAATAAAATAATTGACTTTGTTTATCTAGTGTCTATGTGTACAATTTAATCTCCATTTGAAAATGTTTTCAGAATTCTGGAAATTTTATTTCTTTACCTTAGTATTTACCAAATTTTAACAATAGCACTTGATGATTCAAAAGTTGGGCCTTGGAATCAACAAATTTTAGTTTAAATCACAGTCCTGCTATTCATTACCAGTACGACCCAAAGAAAGATGGGCCTCTGTTTTCTTGTCTGAATCATGATTATAATAAACACCTAACCTAAAAGACTAACATGAGGATTAATTAGATAATTGCAGGATCCCCTAGTTTCCTCTTGCTTTCTTCCTGTGTCCTTACTGAAAATCACAGAGTGCCTTGACCATTTTGTGACCCAGCCAGCTGCAAGTTTTTCCCAGCAGGCCTGAAGCCAAACTAGGGCCTTGAACATTCATAGACACTGATAAAGGTCTCTAGGTTGTTGCCCAAAACACTGAGAGGAACTGGCTCCAGCCTTGAGTAAAAATTTTTAAACCCTCATATAAACTCTGTACCCTGACCCCCGCTCTGCAGACATACCTAAGTAAAATATCCTTTTTCTCTCACTGTCTGTCACAAGGATTAATGCAGCACTCTGTAATTAGGTTCCCCTAATAAATGCTTTGGGCCGATTACCCTGGCATTTATTGCTTCTTTCTTTGGAATCCCAACCAGCTCCATCTCAGCTTCGTGTGGGGACACCCCTTGTAGGAATTCCCCTGACACTGCTTTTGGGGGTGATTCCAGCCTCAGCGTCAAAGGACCAAAACAATAATATATGTAGGCCGGGCGCGGTGGCTCACACCTGTAATCCCAGCACTTCGGGAGGCTGAGACGGTTGGATCACGAGGTCAGGAGATCAAGACCGTCCTGGCTAACACAGTGAAAGCCCATCTCTACTAAAAATACAAAAAAAAATTAGCCGGGCGTGGTGGCAGACATCTGTAGTCCCAGCTACTTGGGAGGCTGAGACAGGAGAATGGCACGAACCTGGGAGATGGAGCTTTCAGTGAGCCGAGATCGCGCCACTGCACTCCAGCCTAGGAGGCAGAGTGAGACCCTGTCTCAAAAAAAAAAAAAAAATATATATATATATATATATATGTGTGTGTGTGTGTATGTGTGTGTAAAACAGCATATTGCTAGCTCATAACAACTACTCATTAAATTGTACCATTGATGATGATATGATGATGATGAGGATAATGTTGACATGATGATGAGGATGATGGAAAAGGAAAAAATCTCCTTGTTTTTAACCTGTAGGTAAATTCTTTATGAGGTAAAAGATAGAAACTTTGCATTTCTGTATTATGGTGTTCTCAGTTTATTGCCCTGTATTTTCTTCTTGAACATGTATAATTACATCTTTAATAATCATTATTTAATTTGGCAACATAACTCCCTAGCTTCTTCACCGTTTTCCATAGCCCATGATAAAGAAGGCATGTTGCAGGTATTATCATGATAAAAGCACATACTATCGAGTCAATTAAGGGACAATTTTATCTATAAGTTTAATTTTGGTCATTATTTAGATTCCTACTGATTGCTTTTTCTGCAGTTAGTTTACTTGATAGTAAAGAGATAATGAAATGCATAAATTGTTCAACTATTCAACCCTTTGTAGAGAGGTACAACTATATCCTTTGGCCAAGGGTCTGAAAACCTTGTAAGGTTAGTTAAATCTCAATAGTAGGATTAATTTTAAAAGCTACATAGAGTTCACTTTCTTTAACAAAATTTTACTGTGTCTCAATCTCATAGTTAAATGTGAGTTTGGATTTCCTTTCCCCATGGAGTTTAACAAATGAGAAAAGAAGACCTACTTATTATCACTGATATGACAAGTATTTGGTGCTTCTCCTAGTCTCAATTTTCTTATCTTTAAAGTGAGTGGATTGAGCTAAATGACTTACAGAGTAATTCTTCTTACAGATTTCTACTCATGCTCCAAGTGGTGAACCACAAATCCACTTCCCAACAAAGGCTACAAAATAAATGCTTTGCTGAATCTTGTTTCTAAATGAATATCTAGCATTAGAGGAGAATTCTACCCAGCCTTTTATGTGTCTTTGGAGTATCTGGGGTCAGTAAGTTATGAAAACTTTACTAGATGGTCCCCAAAAGATCAAAACTCATTGCTAGGATGTCGTTTGTGATGAGACTGCAATAGAAATGATAGCAACAAACAACACTGATGGGCTCACTGTTTTAAGCAATTCACATGTATTATCTTGTTCAATCCTAAATCTGACTCTATCAGCTATTGCTATATTTTACAGGGTCACCTGGTGTCTCACTAAGAGTATTCTACCTTCTCCACTTCCAGACATAGGAGAGATCATTCTTATTCTCTCTACAGTGCTGTGCCCTAAGCAATTGAGTCATTGGCATTGTCTTCCTCATGCCAGTAGCCATGGAAGCTGAACTTTTAAAAAATGTAGTTCTGCAAACCTAGAACTAAACAAGAAAATGTCCATTCACGGCAAAAGGATAAATGTGTGCTCTAGAAGTCCATTCTGAGAGATATAAACACTTTGCTCAGAAGCCGTAAAGCCCAGTATTCCCCAACCCTTTCACTCCATTATAAACACAAATACTGTAAACACATACAGAGGGTGTTCACTCCTGCCATTTTACATAACCTAAATTTGATTGAATACCAAAAGAAATGGAAAACACATTTAATGGCTTTTTTAAAAAATGCAAGTAAACCAGATGAATGAATCATTTTATACAAGAGAGGAAACAAATAACAGGAATTTGAAAAGATCAGGGCTATGGCTAGGAAATAAAAAATTCTGCCTTTCTAGCTAATAATATGGGTCAGTGGTTCCTAGATATGTGTTTCTTGTGTTTATTTGATTTGTCTAATTAAGGCCATTGGTATTTATGAAAGCGTTTCCATGGAAACAATGTCTAAGGTGCACAGCTGGTTCCAAATGGACTTGTTTCAGACACAGAACAGGAAGCAAGACTTCAGAATAGAACTCAGAGGCCAAAAGGTATATCTAACCTCTGAAATAGAGAACTTTCTTGAACTCAAGGGCATTTGATTTATATAAATTCATCCACTCTGTGTGTGGGGATGGGGAACTCAGAAATAAAATGTTGCCAAGTGTTATTTTGCATATATGTTCTTTATTATATACTGAATAAATACGTGCATTTATATATTGCATACAAGTATGTGCATTCACATATTATGTTATGCAGGTTTTTACTCAAAATCCTGAAATCAGAACTTATGAGTGATTTAAAGAATTTCTAAGGATAATTTTCACCTTTCCTGCTTTTTATTTTAACATGTCTTAGAGGCCCAACCAGATAGCAGCCTGAGACGCCACTGTGAATTAAAATGTCCCTGTGAGTGAGTGACAAGGCTGAAAGGATGGATGCCTCCTGGTTCCAAGTATTAATTCAGATCTGTTTGCTAATAAAGTAGTGTCTCTCCCTTTCAGATACTGCAATTCACCTGGAATAGAGAAGGAGGAGAAGTCAAAGTGGCTCAGGAGTGTATTTGATCAGTCTGTTAGATTTGATCCAGAATTGTGCAGAAGTTGCTTTAGTTACACTAGGACAGTTGGGAGAAAACCCAGGTAAGAATATCTTTCAACTAGGAGGACACATTCCAAAATCAGTGAGAGAGTGTTCTGTAAGGTATCGTATTAGAAGTGTGTTGTGTTGAGTTAGAAATGGTTTTCTTGCACACAATTTTGCTTCCTCAGCTGCTGAAGGCATACAGAGAGGATGGCTTATCAGAGTTAGTCAGAAAAGCCCTCTGCAGTTATTTCTATTCTTAGAGGCTGTGTGTGTGGTAAAGGTACAGAAATCAACTCAAGTCTTATGGAAGGGGGTATATGTTTCAGGGACTAAAATAATACCACATTTAAATCAGGTAGGTACTTGCCTAGGAATGAAAAGCCATCCTCTCTAAAAAGTCTCTGGAGGTTTTTATTTAAATGTTTTCAGCAAAATAAACTGTTACTAGGAAAACATGTTCTCATAAATATAAGAAGGGTCTGCAGGCCTGAAATGTATCTGGCTGATGTCTCTTTCTTTGTAATCCCACTAAGCCCAGATACTCAGCCATGAAAGTCAGAACTCCCTGCACCCTTCATCACCCATGGCTGCTGGCAGAAAGCAGCCAATGTTCTGAGCTTAAAGTAAACAGTCTTTCTTGATTAATGACCCCTGACCTTTTAAAGACCATGTATTCAGTGAGCTATTTTGACCACAGAGGCTCTTACATGATATATGGGCTGATCAACAGACATGGAAGAATTCTGTTGGCCTGGTTTAATGAAGTGCTATAGCATACTCCAAAGAGACCTACTCTTGATTTTCCTCATCACTTTTTGAGCTGAATTATAAACAAAAATTATTACTTCAGAATTTATTAATTCTGAATTTGCATCATTTAATAACAGCATATTAAGTATTTTATCTTTGCTTTAATTTAAAAAGTGTTCTACTAAGCAAATTTATAATGTAAACAAGATGAGGAAATTTTTGCAAACTTTTGAAAATTAAGTGTTTCTAAGGAGTTTGTATACAACTATTTGTAAACAACATGTTTGTAATACCCATAGATCATAATGCTTTGATGCATTAATTATAAATTTTTTTACCTATTCAGTAAAGGAGTATTTTTTCCTAAATAATCTTGCTAGCTTCTCTCCGGTTATCCAAAAGTAATTATTAGACTATTTAATTATTGATTCAATAATGTAGATAAAAGAGCATTTGCTGAGTTTCTATTGTTCAGTCATTACAGAGTTAATAAAGATGTATTGATGCTCACTATGTGCTAGGCCCTTTTTTGGGCACTGAAGACAATATCATGAACAAAGGAGAAAAAATAAAAAGAACAAAAAGAAAAAAGAAAATCTTTGTCCTTATGAAGCTTGTATTGTCCTAGATGTTAGAATTAAAACAATAAATATGTTAGACATGATTCCTGCCTGTATACAGTTTTGATTCAGGTGGGAAAGATGGGCAACAAACCAGGAAAATAATTTTATAAAGAGAATTCAATAATAAGGTAATGTACAGGGTGATGGGATAGGACATGGTCACTCTGACTCCCACTTTGGATACAGTGGTCAGAGAAGATCCCATGAAGAAATGATTAAGCTAAAACATGAGGGATAAGAAGGAGCTGGAAATTTAGAGCCAAGGGAAAGGGGAAGAGATTTTCAGGCCGGTTTATAGCCCTAGGCAAAGAAGAGTTTGCTGGGGGAGGAACCTATGACTGGAACTTAATGTGAGCAGCCCTGGAGGTTCAGGTGGGAACCAGATCATGTGTGTCCTTGTAACCTGAAGTAAGGGGATTGGGCTTTACCTAAATGAAATGGAAAGGGGTTTAAGACAGGGAGTAGCAACCAATTTCTATTTGTAAAAAAAAATGTCTGCCTGCTGGAGAATGGATTGCAGAGGGGCACGGAGGGAGCAGGAGGGCAACTTGGAGCCATGTAAGAATGGTGAGGGCTTGGACCACTGTGGTGACTTTGAAGATGGAGAGTAGGGAATGGGTTTGGGATGGACTTTGGAGGTTGATTTGAGAGCGTTATTTAAAAATGGGAGCACCGTAAAAGGGAAGAACCAGGTCTAAATTGATGAAGTGCCACATATTAAAATGGAAAAGACCAGGGTAGAAATAAGGTTTGCTGAGGGGAAGGTTGACATGAACAATGATGAGTTCACTTTTTGATGTGTTTAACCTCTGTAATGGCAGTCAGGCATCCACATGAAAATGTCAAGTAGCCCATGGGATATGTGAGTTAGAATTGAGGACACTGTTTAGGCAAAGGCATAAAAATTAGCAATCATCAGTAAACACAAAATGTTTAAAACAAAGGGCCAGGATGAGATCAACGGAGAAAAGAATATAGATGATCAGGGGTCAATTAGTCAGCAATTCTTTATTGTGTGCTCCTTATGTGAGAGGCACATTGCCTCGTCAATGTTGACAGACAAAGATGTATAAGACAATATCTTTATCCTCAAGAGACCTACATTCAAGGTGAAAGGAAAAACACATACAATTGAAAGCAAATGTCAATAAAAGAACCAAAATGTATTAGTCCAGAGAGTAATTACTTTGGGTATCAAGAATTAGACTCATTTTGTGATGGTGCTGGTAGTCTGGGGAACCCTAGATGGGAGGCTGGTCTAGGATTCAGGGGGATTGTAAAACTTCAGAAACTAGATGGTTTGTATACATGTGCGTATTTTTTTAAAAAAAGAGTGAATTGTGAAATTCTCAAAGGGTTTTCTGAATCAAAAAAAGGATTAGAACCATTGCCATGGGAGATAAATTTAGTCTCAATCTTAAAAGGATTGGTTAAATTATAGAAGGTACAGAGAAGGAAAAAGGATATTTCAGGAATGGGGAGAGTGCAAAGAAACTTCCTGAGATAAAAAGACATTCAAGGCATCTGTGGGAATAGTTTTAGACACTGTGTTTGGGACAGGGGATTTATATAAAGCAGTGAATAAACTAAAACTGGAAAAATAGGTGGGAACTGAAATGAGGGACAACCTTAAAGGAGAACTAAGGAGATTAAATTTTCTTCTACAGACCATGGGGAATTATTGCATTCAATTCAGCTAAAAAATATTGAGCATCTGATAAATGCAAAACAATGTGTGATGTCCTGGTGTGTGTGTGGTAGGGGGCGGAGACTCACATGTAGTAGGAGAAGGGTTAAAATTTCTCCAAAGCATAACAATAGTTACCAATCATTAGCATTTATTCAGTGCTTACTATGGGCCGGGTTCTGTACTGAGTGCATTAAATGTAGTTCTCTAACTTACTCGGCACAACCTTATTGAAGTGTACCCTTTTGGGATACAAGGAAGCTAAATTACAATTCCTCGGTTACGTGACTAGGAATGGTGGAGTCACTATTCAAATTCAGGCAGTGTGGCACTGCCCATGCCCTGAATGTTGGCTCTGACTCCCTGCTTCTCACACCAGGGGCGCTGATACCTCTGGAGGCACTCTGCAGTGTACTAAGTGGTATGTGAAGGACAAAATAAATATTGCATATTTTAATAAGCCATAAACTGTATTTCAAGATTTGAAATATATACATATGAAAACAGACATGATTGTAAAAATCACATTAATTCTTAATGACTATATTGTATAACATTTATTCAGAAAAGTGCACAATCATAAGGATACAGCTCAATATACTTTCACAAAGTGAATGCATCCATGTAACCGCCACCCAGATGAAGAAATACAAGATTATCAGCACTCTAGAGCCCCAGTGTGCTCTCTGACAACTGTAACTAAAATTAACCACTATCCTGATTTCTAACTAATGACTGATTACTTTGTCTTGTTTTAGATTTCTATATAAGTAGAATCATATAGTATGTTCTATTTGCCACTGACTTCTTTTCCTTAAAAGTATGTTTGTGGCCGGGCGCCACGGCTCACACCTGTAATCCCAGCACTTTGGGAGGCCGAGGCGGGCGGATCACGAGGTCAGGAGATGGAGACCATGCTGGCTAACACGGTGAAACCTCGTCTCTACTAAAAATACAAAAAATTAGCCGGGCGCAGTGGTGGGCGCCTGTAGTCCCAGCTACTCGCGAGGCTGAGGCAGGAGAATGGCGTGAACCCGGGAGGCTGAGCTTGCAGTGAGCTGAGATCGCACCACTGCACTCCAGCCTGGGAGACAGAGCGAGACTCCGTCTCAAAAAAAAAAAAAAAAAAGTGTTTGTGAGATTCATTCATGTTTTTACATGTGACAGTAGTTTGTTGATTAAATACACATAGTTTTTAAGATAAAATATGATGTCACAGTGAAATTTTTTGCTTTTTGAGGGAATATACAGCAATTTTTTGAGAATGCAATTAAGTCTCCTTCTGGTCACTCTGATGACAAAGTCTGAACAACACAAGAGCAAACACTGATTTGGGGTCAGGAGAAATGGATTTTAGTCTTCCTCCACTATTCATAGCTGTGTGACCTTGGGCAAGTCTCTTCTCTAAACTTCTGTTCCGGTACTGATAAAATAAGAAAGTTAAGCTAAAATGTCTGTCTTTAGTCTACTTCATTGTGAATGTTCTTTACTCTAACCCCAAGCTTCAGCTTAGTTTGGGTTTAACTTAAGGAAAAGTTATAGAGAAAATACATTTTTCCAAAATAAAATTATTTTTTTATTATAAAAGAAAAGCACATTTGTTCTAACAATTCAAACAAGACAGAGCTACCTAAAGGAAAATGTAATAATGCACTCATCCCTTTGTTGAATTCTACCTTCCCAGACATACAAAAATAATGTTAGTTTTGTATTTATACTCCCATAATATTTTCCATGCTGATAGAACCCTATGCTTACTTAAATGGATGTTACTGTTATTGTTATTGTTTTGTTTTTTTGTTTTTTTCTGAGACGGAGTCTGCACTGTTGCCCAGGCTGGAGTGCAGTGGTGTGATCTCGGGTCACTGCAAGCTCCGCCTCCCGGGTTCACGCCATTCTCTTGCCTCAGCCGCCCGAGTAGCTGGGACTACAGGCGCCCGCCACTATGCCCGGCAAATTTTTTTTTTTTTTTTTTTTTTTGTATTTTTAGTAGAGACGAGGTTTCACCGTGTTAGCCAGGATGGTACCGATCTCCTGACCTCGTGGTCCTCCCGCCTTGGCCTCTCAAAATGCTGGGATTACACGCGTGAGCCACCGTGCCTGGCCTGTTACTGTTATTTTTGAAATGGAATGGTACTAACACATTTTATTCTTCAATTTTCTCTTCATGGAAATCCTTTCAAGGTTAAAACTGTTCATTTGAATTAAAGTCTGCACAATGTTCCATAGCATGCATTCACTGTAATCAGTCAATCATTTCTCTATTGATTGATATTTAGGTGGCTTCCTTTTTTTTTTTTGCTATCATAATGCACTACAACAAGCATCCTCATGCATATAATGTTAAGCCTTCATAGTCTTTCTCATTTTGTATGATAGATATAAATGGTCAGATTGTTTTCTAAAAAGTTGCTCTAATTTGCATCTCAGTACTTGAGGTTTGTGAAGGTTTGAATGTGAGATTTAAAGAAAGCGAAGACATGACATCTTAAATAATTTTCAAAAATATTCATAGAAATAGAAAGCTAAAAAATAAAATATTGAGTGTATCTTTACAGGCTCGTGTTTGAAATTGCTGAAGTCTGAAATCAGATGTGTAGGGAGAAGAAACATTTTCCAAAATAAACAGAAACAGAAACATGGTTTTAGCCCCAAAAATGCAATATCAAGAATTAAAAGGTGAAAAAAATTATTTCTTAAAAAAAATCACAGAAATAAGTCACTCATGTGGTTCATAGACAGGTAGCTGAGCTGGCTGGTTAATGAAACACTGTTTCAACATCAACCTGAAAAAACTTACAGTAACTTCTTAAAGCCTAATGAGGCAGCTCTTCTGTCCTGCCCTCCACAATGGGGAGGGTATCCTTGGCCACTCACTTTTCGGGTCCTATATCGTTCATGCTGGGATAACAGACAGAGGTCTCGGATAAAATGGACCAAGATTTAGGGTTAGGCTACTTGAAGTTGCCAGTATTATATAGAGAAAGATTTGTTTGTCCTGTTGATATTTCATTCTGAGGCTAGTCTGGAAGGAATAATTTTCCATTATCCAGCAAAATCTGAAACACCAAAACTTCCACAACTCCCTTGAGAGAAAGCCAGATGAAAACCACTATCTGGGACAACAAGTCAGGTACTAAGAGGAAAAAGAGGGGCAATGGGAGTGAGGAAAGGGAGGGCAGATGCCTAACAGACCATTCAGAGAGGAGAAGGAGAGGGAGGGAGATCAGAGAGGAGTGACTCCTTGATATACAACCTGATGCAAGGGGGAAAGTAGCAAACATTTTTGCATCACCTCTGGCCTCTGTGTGCAGGCTTGAGTGGCTGTTAGTAAGGTTTTATTTCTGGTGGTGAATTGTTTCTTCCTGTCCTTCCAAGTTTTAATGGCATAGCTAAGGGGTTGCATCTACAATGTGTATGGCATGATTCTACAATAACGTGCTCTTCTTTGCACAAGAAGATAGTGCTACTTATTCATCCTCACGGTACATGCTGTTTTTCTATTCACAGGGATAGTTTTATACTAATCCTGCCACTCCGTTTCCTTGGACTCCATGGTGACCAACTGTTCCTGTGTGCAGGCAGCTGGTTGAGGCTGTGAAACAGCTAACTGGCCAGCAGTGGGCATGACCCTGTGACCTCCACCAAATAGACTGAATGCTCAATCATCAACTTAGCGTGAGCTCCAGTCACTCAGAGCTGGGTTCTAATCAAGGCTCCAGCACTTATGATTATGAAAAGTCATTCAGGGCACATGTCTTCACTCAGCCTCCAATTCTTATCTATAAATGGGAATAATAGTTGTTCTTTCATGGTATGTTTGAGAGGAGTAATGAGCAAAAATATGTAAAGGATTTACCCCAATAGACAAATAAATAGCACTCTTTGGCACCCTCAGGAAAAAAGATAATACGGTGCCTCTCCTTCAGATGTAATTCTTTTGCATGCCTACCTTGGCCAGGAGGAGAAACAGCTGGCCACCCTCTGAGTATTAATCTGTGGCCCGCAGAAGAGACTCCTTTCCATCAGTGTGTGTGAATAGCTGTGCAAGTGTCTATGGAAAGCCTGACACAAAATTTCAGGTAGTCAGAGAATATCCCTCACCCACCACATCCCAGAAAATCCTGAGAAGGTCTGTGTTTGGTAAATCCTTTTTCTGACTCCTTATTTGAGTCTGAGTTTGACTCTCTCTTCATTTCTGGTCTAGTGGTACACCTTTGATAAACTGTTCTTCCTTTTGAATAACATATTTATTTATCTTATTATGCCACTGTCAGAAACCCTAAATATAGCCGTGTCCTTTTACCAACTGGTGGATAGTCTGGCCTTCATTCTTTTACATACCATCATCTCCAACACTTTCAGGGAATGCTAAGAAACTTTCTCTGCAGAGATAAAAATAATGATACTGAGTCATTGCCTTTGTTACTCTTTGAATTCCCATATAAAGTTATCAACTAAGTGTACCTAGCCTGGTCTAGCAAGTATGCCTGCTTAATATGGTTTAATGCTGGTGACATTAGTCACTGTTAATTGCTCAAGAGTTGAGATCAGGTAGGCAATCACTGAGTTCATCTGTTAAAAAAATGACTGTAGTCATATTAAGGAATAAAAGGCTCCATGGCTACCTAATGACTGCAAGTTATTTCAACAAAACTGACAACATCCATTTTCATAGTAACATATACTACTCCAGAACTCTGAAAATGCCAGAGGGAAAGCAGTTTGGGGTTCTTAATTGTTTTACTTTAGCCTTTATCGTTTTTCTATTTATCAGTTGTTTTTTGCTTTTAATAGAGTCTGTTCTATTCAAAATTTTCAGCTCACATGGTTTTTAAAGAGAATTTGTGGTTTGAATTAAACCCGACTGGAAATTGACTTCATTTGAAAAAGATTTCTCTTCAAATTTTTTCCTACACTGGCATTCATTTAGCTAGAAAGCAGTAAAGGAGCCACACAGATACTTTGGAGGTAAGTACTACTGTCAGAATGATGCTCTCTCTTTGCCTCTTGGGGAGTTTTAACTAGGGCTGTGCTCTGTGGAGGAAGCAAGATGCTGCAGGTAGATTTTCAGAACTTTGGGTATTAAGCAATTATGTTTTAACCTACACTTAGGGCATATGACCTTCCAATTTTGTAGTGTGCCAACTGCAGAGAGAAACTCAGCTGAAATCTGTTGTCATGACAGACAAGGCCATATGAAAAGTGCTGGAAAATTCCTCCTTAGACTATAATTGACTTGATGGGCAGAAACTCTGCCTTCTATTCCACTATGGAGTATGTATGCACCACAGTGCTCACAGCTGTGTTCATGGTTTATCGTCCAAGACACGGTTAGCCTCAAAGCAAAATTTAAATGGGACATTGAAAATACTCAGCTTGCCTGAAGGAGCCAACTATATGTTATTTCATTTTATTTCTAGGATTATGATCCTTAATCCCTGAGTACATAATGTGTACACAGTTTTGTTATATGAAAAACCAGAAAAAACAAACAAGTTATATGGTATATGTGTGGTCACGCAGATGAAATGAAATTGCCTAGTGGATAAGTGGCTTCCTTCTAATTGTGAATCCGGGTGCCCTGCAGAGTATTTGAGCATGGAAGTCAGCAACACTGTGTAGCATAATGGTAAAGGTCCAAGCTCTGAAGCCAGACTGCCTGGGTTTGAAGTCTGTCACATAATTTCTTAACATCATTCTGCCTCAGCTTTTCCATCTATAAGGAATTAGAACAATGATTACACCTAACTCATCAAGTTGTTATGGGGATCAAATAAATTAATACACACACATTTAAAAATGTTTCAAGTAGTTCTTGGCACATAGTAAATGCTATGTAAGTCTTAGCTGTGAATATTGTAATTACTATCATTAAGAATCTAAGAGCTGGGCATTGTGGCTCACGCCTGTAATCCCAGCACTTTGGGAAGCCGAGACGAGTGGATCACCTGAGGTCAAAAGTTCGAGACCAGCCTGCCAATATGGTGAAACCCCATCTCTACTAAAAACACAAAAATTAGCTGGGCGTGGTGGGGTGCTCCTGTGGTCCCAGCTGCTAAGGAGGCTGAGGTACGAGAATTGCTTGAACCCGAGAGGCAGAGGTTGCATTGAGGCAAGATCATGCCACTGAACACCAGCCTAGGCAATAGAGTAAGTCTCCGTCTCAAAAGAAAAAAAAAAAACTAAGATAAAAAAAAACATGGCTCTCTATAATCAAAGAGTTGATTGCACATTTAGCAAGTTCTCTCGCTCTTTACTCTTTCATTCTCTTCCTTTCTTTGTTTCTTTCCTTTTCCTTTCCTCTTTTACTCTCTTCACCTAGATCTCTGGCTTTATGTCTATATTCTGATTCTTGGTATTTTTAGTCTTGCCTTAAGTCATACTTTTAATGGCAGTGGTGTGGGCAGAAAGGAGTTGAGAGGATAACGGCAGGCTTGTGTTGTCCACAGCCCAAGTATGAGAAGGTAGATGCTTCAGTTGTTAGGGGCTCCCACTCCATACCTACCCACATGCCTATTCGGAGGAAAGAACATTTTTCTGTGTGGAGGTGGCATTCATGTTGAAAGGGGATGGTTGATGGTGTTATTTTTGTTCCCTGCAAATGTGGTTGTTTAAAATAGTGCTTTATTCAATCGGCATAAGTGACACATAGACTATGTATAGTGGTGGAACTGGGCCTGGCAGGTGACAAGGGTCAGATCTCACCAAAATCAAGCATCATGGTTCTCCACCGATAGTACCCAAGGAATCAGCTCTGAGGATGGCCAGCACAGACCCCCATCTTAAGTTGACTGGCAAATTTGCTTGCACAACTACCAAATTGTCTGAAATGGAGGTACCTCAGAGCCAGTGAACGGGGATTTTGGCTTCGTTTCCATGGGGCATGCCAGTGGGTCACATTTCCTCTCTGAATCTCCCTCCAAGCCGCACTGTACTCTTGAAGGGTAAGTGTATTTGTTATTCTTTTGCTTTTTGACTCAGTGCCCTGCAGGCCTGGAATTCAGCCAGCGTAACCGAATCATGAGGCTGCAGCTCAGGCTATATTTAATTGGAGGTTTGTTGTCTTGCCATGGTTCTACAAGTTTAGGGATCTTTTTTGAGATTGATTAAGGCACTGTAGGGATTTGAAGTAGTGTCAATTTTGGCTCCATGTGCCCTTTTTAGTGACCATAATGAAAAGTTTGCTTAAAGTGTTAAGTTTAGGTCTTTGAAAATTGCCCTTTTATACTTTGAGTCACCACAGTAAGGATTCTAGGAGAGATTCTTCTATTTTGAACCAAACAGGTCGTGTTTCATAGAGTGTAACTTTGGGGAAAGAGGGATGGAATATTCTATTCTTATGAAAAGTTTTACTACCAAAACTCATCTGATTTGGCTCTCCAAAGAAAAAGAAATGCATAGATTTTGAGGCAAATATAAGGCTACCATATGTACCAGGGAGACTTTGAAATATTTCCAGAGTGTCCTTAATTCATGCGAAATGCGTGAAAAATTTGAATTTTATTTAAGAACAAGTGGGGGGAACCATTTAATCAAAAACTTGAGAGTGAAAGATGGCTGTGAGGAAAGAATAATTTCATACTTGCTAGACATCGCTATAATAGATTACATAGAACATTTGGCTGATTTGAATTAGAATCCACATGCCTCCTCCACCCCCAACCTTCTCTTTTCATCTCATTAGAGCCTCTTCTTTCTACCCTCAAGTGTGGTTTCGATATGACTACGGAATGGACACTAAAAATATTTCTGGAATGACGTGACCTTCTCTCGCCCCATCCAGGAAAGGGACAAGGCTTCACAAGAAACAGCACATGCTTTCCTTTCATTTCTGGAAGTCCCGGGGTCAACCTACAGATGCTGCTTCTTCCGTGGCCGATGGCATTCAGACTCCTCGCTGCTGCCGACGGTGCCAGGCAAACAACTGGACAGGACAGCTCAGCTACAGAACACTGGCCACAGTCTCGGCCGGAGCAGCAGCCCCCCAGCCACAGACCACCTCCACCGCCTCATCCAGGAGCCTTCCCACCTCCCTCAGGCTTGCTGCGGCCCCGCCACAGGGGCTGAAGAACTGGGAGGTGGTGGCAGCAGTGGCAGCAGTGCCTACAGCCTTGGGGCCAGTCCAGATACGTGGGACCCTGCTTCGGGCAACTCTGCAGCCCCTCCGGGGCCAGAGACGGACCCAAGACTTCCCCAGCGATCACCATTGTCTCTTCCTGTCGCTGAAACCTGGGCAAGGGCTCATAATGGAAGCTGCCCCTCCTGAGCTGAATTCGAAAGCAAGACAGGCGGAGGTGGGGGACGGGGTGAGCAGTGCTCAAGACAGCCAGGAGCTCAAGCAGCAGCTGTGGCCACTTCCCAAGCCTTCAGCCTCCTCCCAGCGAGAAGCGAAATATGTGGACATGTGTGCTTCAGCTGAAGTCCAGAGGGAGAGTCCCCAGACCATGAAACTTACCCTGGGGCACTGCCCTGGGGGTCAGAGGGCCTCTAGGAGCCCAAAGGAGAAAGCCCAAGATGAACCCAGCAGCAAGACTCCAAGCCCCCAGAACAATCCTGCCTCCTCCCAACTCTCTAGATCCCAGCACTCTGCCTCTGAAGAGGGTGGCAATTTCTCATCTTCCTCATCCTCCTCCCCGATGAACAAAGCAGAAGAGGATGGCCTTTCCAAAATGGAGGACTCCACCACATCCACAGGGGCTCTGGCCACCTCCTCTTCATCCTTAGGCTTCGAGAGTGAGAGTGGTGAAAGTGAAGGTTGCCAGGCCGTGGGAGGAGAAGGAGAGAAAATATCAGGAGGAGGGGGAGGAGGAAAAGGAGGAGGGGGAGGAGGGGCAGGAGATGGAACAGAGTGCAGGGACATTATTGCCAAGTCCCAGGGCAGCAGGGACCCCCCCAAAGTCGAAGAGGCTCACTACATCACCACCCATGAGATCCAGCTGAGTGAGGTGGAACAGGACATGGATTTCGACGTGGGACTGGCCTCCCGCTGGGATTTCGAGGACAACAACGTGATCTACTCGTTCGTGGATTATGCTTCCTTTGGTGGCAGCGACGAGACCCCAGGGGACATCACCAGTCTGACCGAAGAGGACGACGACAACAGCTGCTACCTCAGCACCACTCCCAGCACCAACACCACCCGGACGCCCAGCCCTACAAGCAGCGACCTGGCCCGCCCCAATGCAGGCCGCAGTGGCCGCGACACCAGCAGCACCGAAGTGGGCAGTGGCCCCTCTGACAGTGGCCCCACTCCCCCACCCACTGGGCCTGGCACTGCCCCCCTGACTGAGCCCTTGCCTGAGACCCCGGAGGCAGCTTCAGGGGCAGCAGCCGCCGCCGCAAGCAGCTGTGGGAGTGCAGCAAGCCAGATCCTCCTATCAATCAAACCGGCTTCCCGGGCTATAAATGAGCCTAGCAACGTGCGTGCAAAGCAAAACATTATTTATGCTGCCAAGCATGAAGGCGACATGAGCCTCCGCGTCTCTACAGCTGCTGAACACAATTCAAGTTCGCTGAAGCAAAACCCGGCTGCAGCAGTGGCTCAGGACCATGCAAAGAAATTCATTGCTGTACCTGCTCGCCTGCAAACCAGGTGCGGGGCCATCCGGGCGAAGGAGCTGGTGGACTACTCCAGCGGAGCCTCCAGTGCCGTGAGCGAACTGGACGATGCGGACAAAGAGGTGCGTAACCTGACCTCCCGGGCCTTCCGGAGCCTGGCTTACCCCTACTTTGAGGCTCTGAACATCAGCTCCCGGGAGTCCTCCACCACGCTCTCCGAAGTGGGCTTTGGGCGCTGGTCAACTTTCCTGGACTTAAAATGTGGGGGTGTTGGGGCCAGGGTGGAGCAGAGCCTCCTCAGGAGCAGCGCGGCCTCTGTGGCTGCAGGTCTGAGGAAGGGCAGTGGGGCCCGGGCCACTGCCGACCAGCTCTACATCCAGTCCAAGAAGTCTCAGACCAAGGCCTTGGAGTTCGTGGTCAGCAAAGTCGAGGGGGAAATCAAACATGTGGAGACGCCCCTGTGTTTCCAGAAGCAGGTCCAGACGGGCTCCCGCGTCGTCACCCTTTTGGAGCCCCTGAATGTACGCAGTGAGAGCAAAGCCAGCTCGGCCCCTGGGCCCGGCAGGGCCACCAAAGGCCCCGGCAAGGGTCCCGGGTCGGCATACACGGACGACGGCTCCGAGACCTCCGAGGGCAGCAAGCCCACCTCCCGCGCCGATGGCCCCCAGAAGTCCAAGTTCGCCTCCAGTCTGCTCAAAAATGTCATTTCCAAGAAGATGCAGCGGGAACACGAGTTCAAAATGGAGAGGGGAGAAGTCATGGATACATCCCACCACCTCTCAGGCACCTCCAAGGAGACGGAGGGCGCCCGCGGGAGCGAGAGGCAGCGAGAGAGGGGCCTGCAGAGGCAGAGCTCTCGTCACTCCGAGGCCGGCTCCGAGTACACAGTGGTCAGCATGTCCGACGCGGGCGGGGAGGGGTCCGTGGCGGGCTCCAAATCTCCAGTCTTCAAAGCCAGTACTCCTCGCGAGCGCAACGCAGGCCCTGGCCGGAATTTCACCGATGGACACACAGAAGTGTGTGAAATTAAAAAGAGTGCCTCAGAGACCGTCAAGGGCATCTTCCTCCGTAGTCAGAACAGTGCGTTCCGGTCATGGAAGGAGAAAGAGGCCGAGAAGAGGGAGGAACAAGCCCCTATAGGGAAGCTGAAGCTGCCCAAAGGAGGCGACTGGCGGGCTGATCTCGGGGAGATTTCTGCCAGCAAGAACACCATCATGTCTCGCCTCTTTGTCCCCAACATCCAGCAGACACCCAAGGACAAGCAGCCGAGGAAGCAGGCCACCAAGTACCCTGCTGCTCAGGCCACCTCCACAGCGGTGATCAGACCCAAGGCTCCCGAAATCAAGATCCGGCTGGGGAGTGTGCAGCAGCCGAGCTCAGACTTCAACATTGCCAAGTTGCTCACGCCCAAGCTGGCCGGTGGCAGCGCCTCTAACCTGTTCAAGACCATCGAGGACAACAGCAGGGCACAGCAGAAACTCTTCCGCGGGGACAACCTAGAAAAAGTGCCCCATTTCCAGGTGAGAGACATCAGAGACAAGTCCAAGGCTCAAGGCCCCCTCCACCAGGTGAGAGATGTCAGGAAACTAATTAAAGGGTCAGGGGATAGTAGTGACAAGGGCAGTGTTACCCCAGAGCAGGGGCTGACTGGACCCAAACCCAGGCAGCTGTCTGCAGCAGCTGGCGGATCTGGATCCCTGTCCCCCATGGTGATTACATGCCAGGCTGTAGTGAACCAGAGGGAAGACAGCATGGACCGAGAGCCCAGGGAAAGCATGGGCAAAGGGGGCGGCAGCAGAGTCTTGAATTCTTCCTCCCCAGAAGGGACAGTCTTGGTTCACAGGGCATCTGGCAGGCTGCCTGTGGCTACCATTGCCCCCAATAAGCCCGAGCAGGGCTCATACCTGCCTGTGCTCAAGATTGTCTCCAAGGCTTCCACCCAGAAGACCCCAGAGAAGCTCAAGGAGGAGGAGGTCAAGGAGGAAGGGAAAGCCACGAAGCCAGCCCGGAATGCCCTGGAGAAGCTGACTGCAGCCGTGAGGTCCATGGAAGAGCTGTACAGCTTCAACAGGAACGAGTGGAAGCGCAAAAGCGACCCCTTGCCTATGATGATGGACAGCCACGTGCTGTCGCTCATTGCCAGTGAGGAGAGGGAAGGGGTAGTGGTTGCTGATGGAGACCACGACAAGCTGTCCAAACGGCTGGGTGAGGTGGAAGAGCGGGGCACAGGAAACAAAGCTGGTGTGGTCCTGCGAGGGGCCCCCATAGAACGTCTGCAGCGGAGAAACTCCAACCCCAGCGCTGAGAGTGTGTCTGCCAGGGCAGCGGCCTTTGAGAACCTGGCCAGGGAAAGACCCCGATCTCTCTATATTCCCCCAGTCCACAAGGATGTAGAGAGAACCCAACCCCTGCAGCCCCTCCCACCACTCCCCAGCAACCGGAACGTGTTCACAGTGAGTGCCAGCAGCATCCAGAAAACTGGGGGTGTCGCTGGCAAGTTCCCACAAGGGCCTTCTCCGGAGAGTCCTTCAGCAGCTAAGGGCATCAAGTCGCAGGGACTCCGGTCCCTCAAGATCTCTCCAGCCACCCGGGCACCTCCTGATGAGGTGACCAACAGGAAAAGTGGCAGCAATTTGGAGAAGAGCAACAGTGACTGTGAGAATTACCTGACCATCCCTCTTAAAGGAAGCTCTGCTGCAGGGGAGCTTCTTAGCAGGCCTGGGGCTTCCAGGGAGGGGCCCCCCAACTCCTCAGCTGCCACTCTCTGTAGTTTACCCCCGCTGAGTGCCCGCAGTCAGGTCCCCAGTAGCTCCAAAGGCTCTCAGGTTAGTGGAACCAGCCGACCAGCTTGGCGTACCAAACCTGACAACCCCCGGGAGACAGTAGCTGCCCCCCCAGGGCCACAGAGCCCCGAGCATCCCCCCACCACCATCTACCACCAGCCGCCGCTGCCCTTCACCCTACAGGGGGCCCAGCCTCAGGTCCTCTGCTTCTCCCCACCCAGCATGCCTGCCCCAGCACCTGCAGCCTCAGCTCCCGTCCCCACAGACCCCTTCCAGCAGGCACAGCCTCAACAGACCCAGCGTAAGATGCTCCTGGATGTGACAACAGGCCAGTACTATCTGGTGGACACACCAGTACAGCCCATGACCCGGAGACTGTTTGACCCTGAGACAGGGCAGTATGTGGATGTGCCCATGACCTCCCAGCAGCAGGCTGTGGCTCCCATGTCCATCTCTGTGCCTCCCTTGGCCCTGAGTCCTGGGGCTTATGGACCCACCTACATGATTTACCCTGGGTTTCTGCCTACCGTGCTGCCCACCAATGCTCTGCAGCCCACACCAATTGCTCGCGCTCCAAGAGGAAGTGAGCTCTCCCCAATGGTGGCAGAACCTTCCAGCAAAGAGGCAGCTGCAACGTTCACCGAGGCCCCATACTTCATGGCTTCTGGTCAGTCTCCGGCCTCCTCAACCTCCTCAGCCCCAGCAGCCACATCCCAGCTCCTAGGGGCCAAGGCCTTTGCCCAGCTGCATGGCAAGCCTGTCATCAGCATTACTTCGCAGCCCCTGGGGCCACGGATCATTGCTCCCCCTTCCTTTGATGGCACCACCATGAGCTTTGTGGTAGAACACAGATGATGAGCAGCCACCAGGAAGCGGAATGAAAAACTGCTGGTAAGTGAATTTCACTTTGATAATCAGGTTTAAGAGAGTAAGAACAATATTTTTTTGTTTGTGTTTGAAGTGAGAGATTTACAATAAAGGAGGCTGTCTCTAGAAATGGATGTTTTGAGAGAATAGAACAAAACTGCATCCAATTTACAAAGGGGATAATTTTGCCAGGATTCCCCCTCTCTCTAGGCTTCAGTCCCCAAGGTCGGCCTTTGCCCTTTGACCTTTTCAGATTGCCTGAGTGTTTTTTCCCACCTGAGAGTAGAAGGGAAGTGAACCTTGGGTCTGTTCCTTCAGTCTGTCCGTGGTGAACGTTGTCAGGGCAAAGAAATGAAAACCCAGCTTGGATTTTGTGGAGTGAGCCTCACTCTGTTCATGACAGTCCCAGGGACAGGAGGCACTGAACATCCCAGGAGGTCATTGGAAACCCCTTCAATCTGTTTGCTCCCCAGAAGTATGGAGAAGCAAAGACAGATGTTTTCTTGTAGGAACATTTTCTAAAATCTGCAGAAAAGCTTCTTTCTCCTCTGTATCTTCCTTTTGAAATTGCTTATACAAAGCGACTGTATTTTTTAAGCTCTTGTTTTTCAGTTTTCAGATAATCAGAACATGTTCTCAGGATGAGTTCAAGGTCTCTAATGTGTCTTACACACACACACACACACACACACACACACACTTTGTTCTCTATGGGGGAGGGAGGATTCTGGAGCTGCAGTTACTCCTTGCTTGAATGGAGTTGCTGTGTTTAATCCAGTCCTGTCCAGACTGAACACATTATGCTTTGCTGCTAATCCCCACAAGACTGTTATTTTCATGTCTGCATTCTTTCTTCAGAAAAGAATCAACTTCCACACCTACCCCTAGGTAAAGGAAATCAGGGTAAATAGATTCCTGACAACTAAGTTAATCCAAATGTCCAAACAGGAATCCCTGGAAATACAGTACATGGAACTTGATAGGAAGAGTGAGCTTTACTTGTTCAAACCGGGACACTTCAGGTCAAACACATGACAGGGCAAAGACACCTTCAGATAGGAGCGTAAAGGTGTCAGAACTGTGTGGGGACAAACTTGCCCCTTACACTCCTGTTCTCTTCAGATTGGGAAAAGGTGATATTATAAAAGCTTCTAGGACTTTCAGTCTTTGGTAAGATCATATTCTGAACCAAAAAAAAAAAAGAAAAAAAAAGAGATGGAAAGAAGAGAAATCCTATTTATGCTTCTATAATAAAAAATATGTTATTTCTCTCTTCTCTGTTATAACTGAAAAGGAACAGGAATATTGTTGCTTTGTGCAATGAAAGAGCCTTCATTCGGGAGTTAGCATCACTGGATTTTGGAGTCACACAGCTTCTCACCAGCTGTGTGATGTTGGGCATGACAAACTTTTTAGCATTCATGTGTCACCTCTAGTAGGGACAATAAATAATATCTAACCCTAAACATGTATCTAAATATCAGATGATATAACAATGTATTGCAAGCTAAAAATTTTGTTCAAATTAAGAGATTGTTACTGAATATTATTACACTTATTGGACTGTAAGACAATATTAGACACTTTAAAAAACCCTTAAATCTTTCTCTAAGAATTCACTTGAAAGCACAGCCTCATTTTAGCTGCAATCTAGAAATACATTATTTAAATTCTTCTTCTGGGATAGTCTGCAACAGACACTGTGTGATGATAACAGATGAAGAGGGGAGGGAGAAAATTAAAGACAAATAAGTCATCTTTTGTTTAGTGTAGAAAATTAAAAAAAAATTCAATATGCATGGGTAGGAGACTCAGAATTAGAGAATTAGTTTCGCAGAAGGAAAAGAGTAGCCTATAGGCAAAAGTGTTTTAATCGCTTAGACAGGTGGTGTGTTTACCTAGGGCTATTTTGGACCAACTAATGCTATGAGGCCTTTGTGCAAGCTGTGGAGGTGCAGAAGCAAGGGGAAGGGAGGACAGGGAAGAGAGAAGGGAGGATCGGGCACACACTTGCACAGTATCCTCTTAAGCAGCTGCCTTTGGCCTTTCCCCTGTCTGTTGAGTCTAGAGAGATTAGACTTGGAGTTTTTTCCAGTAGACACAGATATACATTAGAGTTTTTAGTGTTTGGGACTTGAATAGTGATATTTGCAAATTTTTCCTTTTTGAAAGCACGACCTTCATTTTAGTAAATAAAGCCCTAAAGATAGACAGAAAGGCCAAATCTGGCTGGCAGCTAAAGATTAGCTTTTTGTATGCAGGTAAAAGTTGACTTAGCCAAATTGAAATAATGAATTAAAAATTTTTCAAAACTCACCTTTGTGAACATTCAATACCACCTTCCAAAGAAAAGCCAGATGGATTTTTTTTAAGTGTGTAATTCTTTTCCTTGTGTAAAAAAGTTGTAACTACCATTCAGATATTTCAAGATGGTCAGTATGAGAAATCTTGAAAGGGATTTCAGGTCAAAATTTCCCTTAAAAACCAGACTTATTGCAGATATTTGTTTTGAGGTAGGGTAGGTTTATGTCCTCTTTTCAAATGAGAATTTGTGTAAATGATTTTATCTGACCACAGTATTTCACAGAGAAGAAAACTGGGACTTAGAAAGAAATGGTTTTACTGAGGTCCCCAGAGAATGAGAGAACCAGGACCTTTAGAACCAGCTCTTAACTCCTGGGCCACACCTTGCTCCCTGCAGACCACTCTGTGTTCCTTGGTGTGAGGCATGGAGCAAAAAAGGGACAGTAAAGGAGGTGGTAATGAGCTCTGAACTGGCAGCAAGGACACCTGGGATCTGCTCTGTGGTGGCATTTGGCCATTAACCATCTGTGTTTCCATTTGCCTCTCTGGACATTTGTAAAATGAATGTTTCAACAAAATGCACTAATTCAACAAGCATGAATTACATGCCTACATTCTACGAGCCACTGTGTACTCCCTGTTGGGGCCGTAAACCCACATACGGATAACACAAATTAGGGGCCTACACTCCAGCAGGAGTGTAGACTTGTACACACAAAACTGCAAAACAAGTGTTCAAGAACTGTCATAACCTTTAAGATTCATTCCAGTTCAAATAATAAGTATTTCATCATCTATTTTTAGCACTACATTGCAATAGGGAGCTTCACTTTTGTTCCTTCCCGTATATATTTGGACATAAACAGCTGCTGTTATCTTTTTCTGATTATTCTCTTATAAATGTTCCTTTATTAAAAAAAAAATTATAGGTGGGGTTTTCTCACTTCTCTTCATCCTGTGGTCAATATCCCAGTTATTCTCAGATTTTGCCATGCCACAACCCATCTAAAAAGATAATATTATTCACTTTATTATTATTCAGTACTCTCATCTCACATTGTGATTAAGGCACAAGGCTGTGTACCACCTGGGACCCAACTGCCCAGATGGCTACAGCAGTAATCCAATTGCAACACACCAGTGTACTAGGCACAGCAGTTGCAAAACTTCACCACTTTCTTTTTTGTTGTTGTTAGGCCTTTTTGTCTGCCTATTTTGGTTTTTAATGTTCCCTCTTCACATGATCTTTGACAACTTTTTAGTGAGAATTTTTTTTTAGATTTCTGTTATTTGAGGAACATGGCTATGTTTTTCCCTTCCTGACATGCTCTCCTGCCCATCCACTTAGATGCTGTATTTTTGTTTTAAGATTTTAATTGGGACTTGATGCTAAATACCATTTACAAGGGCATAAAGATAAAATAAATATGTAATATTAACAAAAGAAAACTTTCATTGGCACAAGTAGTGGATATCAGCCTAAGAGAATTGCAATTATTTTGTTTCATTTGTATGTTCTTTTTTTTTTTTTTTTTTTTTTACTGTAAGCCTTTGTTTCTTCATTTCTCCCTGTGTTTCATGTTGCTCCTGCATTGTTGGTCTTTCTTTTCTATTTAGTCCCTCAGAGTTATTTCTACCCCCTGTATAGGGCCCCATGCATCAGCAACTAAAGTAGCAAGAGCAAGGGCTGGATTCAGGGAGAGCTGTTTTATTATTCTAATGAGTCCCTAGACTGGGTCCTTAGATCATCAAACCCAGTCTCTTTGTATTGAAATTCCAAGAGGAAATTGGCACTCAGAGAGGTTAAGTGACCCTTCCTTAGTCACAGAACTGGGACTCAAAACCTAAATATTCCATGCCAGAGTCTTTTTCTTTTTTAGAGATGGGGTCACTACATCGCCCAGGCTGGAGTTCAGTGGTACACAGGCGCCTTCTTCTTCTTGTCCATTTCTCCTTTTCCTTTTCTCCCTAAGGCCACTTTTCTTTGATGGAGTTACTTCCTGGTGTCTGTCCCACTAGTCTCTCTTTTTTCCATTGCCATTTGCTTGAGAATTTATTTTCTGTCCTTTGCTTTTTTTTTTTTTTTTGCAACTTGTTCCTTATTGCGGTTTCTCATTTTCCATTCACTTCAACTTGATTTAGTTCAACATTCCACCACCTTGCTTCTTCCCTTCTCCTCACTTTTTTTGTAGTTTTTTTTTTTATTATTATCATAGATTAGACAGCTTAAAGGGTAGGACTGGGTGAGTCCTCCAGCTCCCTCACCTGAATGTTCTTGAAGCGTTGTACTTGGAGCCCACGCAAGTCATCTGAAGGACAGGAAATTTGCTGCTCCGGTGCATGCAGGCCAGGTAGCTAATCTGCAGGCTATAACCTAGACGTTTTATTTTCACTTCATTCCATAGTTACCTTCATGAATTGAATAGTTTATTTCTATTTTCCCCACTAACTTGGTAGTGACTTCCTCTCCCAATTATTGTAAATAGCTTCTGTTTTATTTTATCTTCTTAATGTATTTGTTTGTTTTTGCCTTTTCTTTTCTCCCTTTCCCTTTAATTGCATTGTGGCTTTCCTCTAGCTTACTATTTTGTACCTTTCTTCACGATTCCATTACCTTTACATTTTCTTTTTTAACTTATCTAAAATTAATAAGAAATTAAAAGTAAAAGCTAGTATGTATTAATCATTTAGTATATACCAAGACTTAACATCATTGAATTAACACAGATAGGTACTATTTTTAATCTCTGTTTGACAAATTAAACATTAACTTATCCCAGATCAACACCTATTGAAATCCAGGCACTTGGAGCTCCGTGGCCCGTGCTCTTATAGATTACCCCCTTGCTCATTTATTTGTCTTATTCTCTGCTCGCTGGTCTCAGTTCTTTGTTGTAAATTGTCCCTCTTCTCTTATTTGTTCTTTGTGTCAGGACTTTCCCACTACCTAACTTCTCCAAAATTTTTCAGCCATTGCATTTTTCCTCTCGGCCACATCAGTACGTTAAAGGGTTAATTATATGAAACATTAAAGTCCTTGTGGATGGTGGAAAAGAACACAGTTGGAATTGACTGGCTGCCCTGCTGCTAATTTTCCAAATTTCTGTTTCATTCAGAGGAAATAGAATCTTCTGGCCGTTTTACTGCCGCGGAGGGGGTGTGTGTGTGTGTGTGTGTGTGTGTGTGTGTGTGTGTGTGTGTGTGTGTGTGTTGTGGCTTGGGGGAAAGGGCAGGGAAAGGGAATAAGGTAAGAAACTGACCCTGAATCTGTCAGTGTTAAGCATATACTAAAACTCTATGTGTGTTTTTCATTTGATTAAAAAACTAGCTGTCCTTAGAACATTATATGCCCCAAAAAGAAACCTGAGACAGCTTAAGGACTCCTAGGAGCTGTGGCTCCCAGAGGTAGGAGAATTTTTGTTTATGTAAAGCAGAAGAATGTGCGCTGTAAAGGTAAGGGTGAAATCTTCTTGGATGCCAGTGGATTAAAGCATTTTAGTTGAAGGGAAGCTGTGTGGCTTTTACTAAATCACAAGTACGTGTGCCTTGAAGTCAGGCAACCCCAACTCAGATTCTAATACTGTTACTTACTAGTCTAAGTAACTAGTCTTACTTACTAGTCACAGTGTAGTCCAGGCAAGTGACTTGTTGTCACTGAGCCTCATTTTCCTCATCTGTAAAATGGGGTACATTTCAGGAGAGTAGTGAAGACTGAATTATAAAACCATGACAGAAGACATAGCACATAGTACATTGCTCGTAGTAGGTGTTCAAGCTCCCTTGAAACTAGATCCTCATAAATGCCTCAGAATCCCCTTATCTTCTCAGGGCCCCTCACCAGAGCAGAAAATCAGCCCTTATCAATGCAGACTCCCAGGGTAAGCATCATGGACCTGTGCCCAGGATTGCTCTGTATTTCCCCAAACCGGAGGCAGTGCCCACAGCTCTGCAGTCCTCTTTGAGCTAGCTGGCTGATCTCTCAGGGCAGGCCAGTTGGCTGTGTGTCAGGGTACTCTAGTATCCCCCAAGGCCTTCCAGAATGTTATACAACTCTGAGCATAGCTTGCCAGCTGTGTGCGGTGATTTTCCCCTCTGTCTGGGCACAGGCCGGCGTGGAGAAAGGGAAAATCTGACCCAGCATCCCTGTTGAACTCTGTCATGTGTTCTGGTCCTAAAACCGTGGGAAGTCATCCAGTTAAACTCCCTGGTGACACAGGGTAGTCATCCCTTCATCTTTACTGACTTCTTCGTGATCCATTCTACTGCAGTAAATATTTGTGAGGCCTCTAACAGGTTAGCTATATTGGCGATTTTTATTACTTTTTCTTTAATAGGAATTGGGAGCAACTTTACTACTTTTCAATTTCAAACCAAATTCCTCTGAAATTAATGTAAGCAGAAGCGATATTCTGTGACTATCCAAAAAGGCAATATCTACACTATCAATCCCTAAATATGATCCTAGCAGATTGTATAACCAGATTTCTCCTTCATTTCTCAGACTATTACCGTCCTATAGTGCAATCTCTCTCGATTGTTTCTTTCTTTTCTCTCTGTTTCCCCTTAATGTCTTCTCACTGCTCAAGGAGTCTTTGCAAATCTTGCCTAGTGATAGGACTCAGTCAGAGTTGTTATCAAATCCTTGTATCCACATTGAAATTATTCTTCTCAGTCCCACATTTTCTTTTCTCCCTCTTGTAATTAAATTTTCTTTTCGTATTGCTGCTTTTTATGTCCTAAGGTAGAAAAACTTACATTTAGCAAATGAGAGGTCTCCAAATTCACAATGGTCCCTTTCATCTTGCAGGTCATTCCTCAATATAAAGTACAACACAATAAAATAAACATGGAGTGTATACATATAAGCTTAAAAATTATTCTTATAGACTTCTTTTTTAAAACACATATTTAAACAGGTTTGTTTCTAGATGACAGAATTAAAATGTCCCTTGCCTTGCTACTCTGAGTGCATATAATTGGCTAGATAGCTGTTATTTGATACTTCTTGGAGGTTATTTTTCACATGAGCCTTCTTAATCCCTAACAAATATTACCTGTAGGCCACTCTATTTCTGTTTTCATAATATTATGTTCAAATATCAACTCCCAAATGTTAAAAAAAACTTACTTAGGCAAAGTTCTGGTAGATATACTAGAACTTATATGGAGATAGAGAGAGAAGGCTAACCTTCAGCAAGCTTTTGAACATGTCAATGCTGTTCTAGAATGGATTTAACTAAGATAGGTTCTAACCAGTACATCTTATTTTGAACAAAATGTACTATGTGAATTTCCACATAATTTAAGTACTGGTCATTTGCTTTACAAGAATTCTCAGCATGGAGTTTACTCATTTAATAAGATTGATAACTAAATTTCAAATATTTCCATTTAGCTTAAATATTTCTGCATGCTAATATTAGAAACATATCTATTATAATATTTTATCTTTGCTATGAATGATTTCAATGAAACGGAACATTTAACTTTAAAGTCATTTTTGAAGAGTTGATTAGATTTGATTCAAATTCCACTTGGGGCAATTTCCTGAAGTTGGCATAATGTTTAGTAAGTTCATAAACACATTTGCCAAGCACATGTTAAAATGTTAACTTCATTATTAACATTGAAATTAGTCAAACAGTTAAATAAAATGTATTTTAATATTTTTCTTGTTTGTAAAAGTGAAATTTGCTTTTAGAACTAAAAATCTTTTCCTTGACTATGTTTTTTCTTAATTTTTTTATTTTATAGGAGCAAGACAAAAAGATGGACTATTCTTCTTTAATCTGGAATTTGCATTGTAATAGCACTAAGAATTATTTCATCTGAAAAACTTCTTCCACATGTGTTATTCTTAATTTTTGCTTCTTATAAGCTAAGTGTGTAAGTTTCTATATTTTTCTGAACAATCCTCTTAAGGCAGTTTTTATTTTAATTTTATTAAGTTGATTGAATGGTTGCATTTTTTCCCTTTATGACTATTTCTTTTTATACTTCAACACAGGATATAAGCTTTCTATTCACCTCCTTCCCCCCTGTACTTGTGACTAGACAAACAATTCCTTTGTTCCCATTGTTCAGTCAAAACATACCACAGAATGGGATTGATTCTGTTGTAAACCAAGCTAGTAAATGAGTAATTTGGATCACGAATCTCCTTATAGTTTCTTGGAATATATCAAGACTAGCTGGCTGAGTTGTAATACGTATTTAAGTTTTCACTATGATGGTCTGCTCTTTGAATCATATATCAGCCAAACCTACCCATTCTCTTGGTTATGCTCTATATGTTCTTTTATTAGGTTTGGCATGATTTCAAATGTGATTGTGAAAAATGGTGGTTGTAATGTTTGTGCTTTATTTTATTTTTCCCATTTGTACAATGCCACGACACTATTTGTTGCCTTAAAATAGAATGGCTTGAAATACTGGAAAGCCAATGATTGCATCTAAAATTAAGTACTTAGTCTCAGAAAGGTATAAAATATCTATTTTCCTTTAAGAATCCAATTATTTTTGTGGGTGCATAACATTTTTCTTTTCTTCAATAATTCCCTCCATAGTTGCATACTCGTGTCTCTCATGGATTGTTTAGAGTCTAAAGAGTGACCCATTTGGGGCAGTAGAGTAGAATATGGCACTAATTCAGTGGCTCTGATTCACTCCAGCCCTAGCCTCGCTATCCCAATAACAGTAACCTAGAGTTACAGCACTTGCTCCTTATGAGGATGAGGCAGGTTTGAAGAGATGTCAAGAATCCAAATCACAGAATCTTTTATTGACATTTAGTACTGTCTCAGTTGTAACCCAATTCTGAAGGCTATTTGAGTGAGTGTTCACAGGGAGTCTTGAAGACTGGAAGACTTGATTGAACAGATAAATATTTAGCTTGTCATAATAAGTGTATCGATATATACTTGGCAAATGTTACATTGAAATATTACTTAATTACTTTTTAAAGGAATAATTTGAAGGTTTTCCCAGGATTTTTTTTTAAGAATCTCCTTTTATTTACCAATTTGTTTAAAGATAAAGCATTCTGGTAATTTTTTAAACACCCTAATATTATTTTAAACCTCAGCAATATTTGATTTCTGCTTAAATTTTCTTCATAAGCCACAGAATTTTATGCTACTCATGACAAAAAGTGTGAGTAAAAAACTAGGAGACTGAGTTTTGTATGATTTATATAATCTTTTTACTTTGTAGTTATGCTTCCCATCTCAGACTCTTAAAAAAGACTTAATTTCACTTTCAGGGCCTTCCTTTAAGGGATCTTACTCTGAAAAAAAGTTCTCTTGGGTATAGGGAAAGGTTTGAGGCGGGAATAGTCAGCTCTGATCACGATTCAATTGCTTGTTGTGCTGATGAGCTATGAAATGAAGCTATAGACTTTATGAGACATGAAATATGAAACATAGTCTCTGTGTATAAAAAAGATGCCCTTGTGCCAAATTCAAGAAAAAGATATTTCTTTATCATAGAGGTCTTCTTACCCAGGCACATCAATCAATTCCCCCCAGAACTTAAAGTAAGTTTTATCCACTGGGGAACAAATCTTATGGCATCAGAGCTTCCTCGTTTTCAGGAGAGATTGGCTGGGTATAAGGTAACTTAATATTGACCCAAGAAAGTAGAATCCCTTTCAGAAATCTTACACTTATTTTACTGAAAGCAGCACCAAGAAACCTCCAGTATTTGAATACACCTGGTGAAACCTATATAGGATTTGGGTGGATAGTACCAAAATTGTTAAGACTGGTTTAAAGCCAAATGCGACTTTCAGGAAAAACCAGTGGCCATGTTGAGTAGTGACTGCTCACCAACTCTTCCAAAAGAGAGACAACTCCTTCTCTAGAAAATGTGGTAGAGTTGAGGGCTTGGGACCCCTAATCTATGTATCAGTGTTTCTCACCAGCAGATTTGAGTTTTAAATTCTCACACTGAGGTAAATTAGGACACAAACTAAGGAAAGAAAGAAAAAGCTTTTCATTTGTTTGTTCTATACAAGAGGCTTCACCTTTTAGGAAGTTGCCAAGGACACAGTGATGTCCAAGTGGCTAAAAACGCAACTTTTAAATAATGTTCTATTAATATCATGTCATCTATCGATAATTTTATGGTTCTCTATTTCACCAAATCATACAAAGCTGCTAGGCCATTCACTACCTCCAGTGATAGGGAAAAAATATTTTCACGGGCATGAGGTAAATCTCAATCTTGATTTTTATTGTTTTGTCATTTCTTGAGGTTGCATGAATATTTGAATGAAGTGATATACCCTTCCTTTTATAGCTCAAGGGGAATCAAACAAGAGCCTATGAAGCCTTCTGACCCATAAAACTATTACCCTAATAATGTCCCTTTAGTTACTGAACTTCCCTTTTATTTTTTATTACTATAAAACCATTAGTAAAACATTTCCTAAATAGTGCCTTGAACTTGAATCTAATCAGAATTGCAGAGTCTGGCTTTTATAATATCCTCTTAGGGTTATATGTGTGGCTTAGTTTTCCAGAAGATCCACTTTTTACTTGTTGATAAAATGGTCATATTTGAAATATGTCCCATTTCAATCATTTCTGGAAAACTGAACACATGTGTAACCGTATAAAAATTTAATTCGCCAGAATGTATGTTTTTAAAAAGTACTCAATGAAGTTGCCCTCAGGATTAAGTGAAGGCCCAGATATGTAGGTAATGACATAGCAGAGAGGCTCTCTATATGTCCATTTATCAGGGAGTAAATAAGCTAAAGCAAATCACACTTTATATCTTTATAACAAATCTCAACTATTGACATGCATTTCTAATACATCCTTATGTCACTGGAAATATCTGGTGATATAAATTCCTTTTTCTTATTTTCAAATTTGACATTATCATCCTTGCCTCTTAAAAAGATAGATTTTAATTGTTTTCATACTTCATAGAAATCAAAGTCTGTGTTTGCTACAAATTGAATGCTCACGTTACCTGAAATAATACTTTGGACTGCAGGACAGGACAGTATTGATTCCTAAGTAGATTGACTATAATCTCATGATAAGTATGTATATGTGCATGGGAAAACAACATTCAATAATAGTCTTTGTGTTTAAAACTATCATGGTATACATTTTCTTATGTGGTGCTTGAGGAGTTTCATTCTACAGTTTACAAGGTGTAGGTTTGCACCCCAAATTCTCAGGGTATGCTATTTCACCCAAATACTTGAAAGAAAAAGGTGCCCTGTATTTTATCAGTACTGTTGAGGGGGAAATTTTTTGTGTAAGTTTGTTTGATAAAACTGCTTATAAAAATCAAATTCACAAAATATGTTAGGCTTTCACATAATTTCTAAGGAGATATATGTAGAAATAAGATATATATTATCAAGAGACTGCTTATATATTCTTAACTAGCTTCTGGGTCCTAAGTAGACCTCACAGGTGCATAAAATCATTAATAAAGCATGTAGCACTTGCTAATTGGTGCCTTAAGCTTGAATCTAATCAGAATTGCAGACTCGGGTCCTCTGGGAAAAAAACATGTCCGTCTGTGGCACGTGTGAGTACTAGGCCCAGGGGAAGAGTCTGAAAATTGAATTCTTTTGTGTGTCCTGTGTCTCAGAAGAGAACTGAATGTTCAGAGCAGCGTTTGTAAGCTATTAACATTCAGTATTTCGTGTTGCAACTAGAACACATTATTAGATTTATTCCTGTTTAATTCATAATGGTGCAGAATAAAACACACACATCTGATTTGATTTCTTTTTCTTTTTTTAAGTTTCATAATTGCTTTTTATGGCTAGTGTTAATGGCAAAAAGTCCTTTCCAGGGCTCCCTGAATAATCTACCATACCTGTATCCATAGCAGGTGATGCTTTTTTTTATCCCCACTTTGAAGACGTGTGTTTCTGTATTTACACATAAATCATACTATTGTATATTAAAGACAGCAGTGGTTGAAAAGAATGTGAACACTGTAGAAGTTATGTTGGAAAAAAGGAGAGTAAATTGTGTGATTAATGGGGAAGGATATTGGATAATGTTATACCCCGGACTATGAAAAAAGCTGGTGGTAAATGGGAAGAATGTGAAATTTTAAACTGCTCTCAACGTAGGAATCTTGGTGGAAAAGTTCCTACCTGAGGTCTGATATGATTCAATTATAGAATGCAATGAGCTTGGCCAAGGGGACTTTGAATCCAGCCAAGGAAACTTTGAATCTCGACAGCTCTGAGAATCACATTTTCAGTGCATTGAATATGGAGTAAACTATTTAGACAAGGATTCTGTGAGACTAGGCTACTTACCTTTAATTGCCAGCATTTGTAAATGATTGTGCAATCTTGTGTAATGGTCTTTTATTTTGACTGTTTTGGAAAAAAAATGTTTTATTGTTTTTTTTTCCCAGTAAAAATTACTTCAAAGAAAACGTACATTGTTTGTCTTTACTTTAACTCAAAAAACAAGCTATGGATAGTTTTATTTTCTTCTACTTTAAATCCTTCATTTAATTAAAATACTCTATTAGTATTTCACATCCAGGTACTATTAATTTTCTATTGCTGTGGTAACAAATGACCACAAATTTAGTGGCTTAAGACAACACAAATTTATGATCTTACAGCTCTGGAGGTCAGAAGTCTGGTATTGATTTTTGTCTGTACCCAGAGTATTTTACTTCCTGTACCTAGAGTATTTTGGCCAACCTAAGGAGTCTGATCTGAGCTTGGCTCATTAAGTAGCATTGTGAGGAACACCTACCAAGGTGTCTGACATTCCACTGACACCAAAGAGCAACACAGACAACATGTGTCCCTGAGAGTCCACAGTGAGGCCCCAGAAAGTAATGTGGTCGTCCCTCTCAAAAACTACATATCAGAGACATACATTTTGGAAACCTACTGCACAGTGAAGATTAATGCTGTAACATGTCCCTTAAATAATCCACTAGTCAATTGAGATCACTATAAACCTTAAGATTAAGACCCCAAAACACTTGAACCCATATTGCACAAAGACAGACATCCAGGATTCCTCACATCTGTCTAGTGGTTGGGGAATATAGAGCAAGAAAGGAAATTAAGGGCAGTTTCAGATCTTATATGTCACCTCTGAGTCACCTCTGGCTTCTGGCTCTTGTTTCTAATCAATTCTCAAACTACAGTCTCCACTTTGCACCAAGTATGCGTCATTTTTCTCTGCACTGCATTACCCCACCAGCCTTCATTGCAGCACACTCACCCCATCCTGAGTATTCCAGAAACAGCGACTGTATGTGTGGCAGGATTTGGCTGAAGGTTTGCTGTAACTCGATGGAGATTAGCAGGTAGTTCATCATATGGCAGGCAGCTGCATTAGCATACACCTTAAACCTGAACCACTGGCATTCCAATTCTTAAATAGCCCCATGCCATCTCTGGCACGAGATCATTTTCTCTGGTTGTTGAGTTTATTTGTGCTCCAGACACTCTCCTAATTGCTAGAGCCCTCTACTTTCATCTTCCACTTCCTCTGCTCCCTAGATTTCTGGCTCCCCATCCTCCATGTTTCTGTAATTTCTTGTATACAGCAATTTACCTATCTAATGAATCCCTACTGATGCAGACCCACTACACTATATCCAGAAGATCTTACTTTCATAAATAAGCATGCCCATTGTTCTAGTTATGTACTACTGAGAAACAATCTACCTCAAAACTTAGTGGCTAAAAATAACAAAAATCATCTGCTTAGCTCATGAATCTGCAATTCAGGCAGGGCTCAGCATGGCAGATTTGGGTGTGATTCACATAGTATCAGTCTAGGAATGGGAGAATCCACTTCCAAGATGGCACACTCACATGACTGGCAAGTTGATGCTAGCTGTCAGCTGGAAGCTTAGCTAGGCCCAAGAGAAAAGGGTCTTGATTCCTCTTCATTTGGGCATCTTGCTGCTTGGGCTTCCTCAGAATATGATGGCTGGGTTATAACAGTAAGTATCCCCAGAGACAGGAGGCAGACAGTGCCAGTTTCTTAAGACCTATTTCAGAAACTGACAGAGTCACTTTCATCATCTCTATTTGACAGGAAATCACAGAGCCCAGATTCAATGGACAGGAACATAAATTCTACCTCTCAATGGGTGGAGTGCCAAGAACTGGGGGACATGTTTTAAAAGCACCATACTCATTAAGAGGTGTTTTTAAACGGTTTTTTTTAAAAGGAATTCTTAAGTCAGTTCTTCAATCAGTATCATCTCTGTGAAATAAGTTTAGTAATAGCACTATTATTAACAGTATATAAAACACTATAGTGTGTGTTTATGTATATAATATACACAAACACAATATATTTAACAGTATTACAATATACCATATTATATTTATGACATATGTATCATTATAATGAGAAAATTATGAGATAATATGTATCACTCCTAGCCTATAGTTAGCATTCAAGAAACATTAACTGCTATGATACACCTCCCCATTATAGAACCTCTGCTTCTGAAAACTTCAAATTCACTGTTATACAGCGTACTTAAAAATACTCAATCATTTATTGGGATTCCTTGTATGCATTATATTTACAAATATAATGCATATTCATTGAAAAAAATTTAATTACAATATTTTAAAAATTAGAAAGCAGGGGGAAAAATTTTTACTTGGAGACCCACTGCACAAATTGCCTCTAGAAAATAAATATTTATAAGTATATTTGATATTTTACATGCTATTTTGTTGTCTACTTTTTTTTGCTTCATAATATTGTACCTCTTCATTTACCAATTGTCAGGTTCTAACGAAGATCCAAGGGGAGTCGGTGGGCGAGTGCGGGGGAGCTGGAAAAACACTCAAGGAAACGTAGACAGTTTCGACATGGCTTTACTCTTTCTAGGCACGAGCGAGTCCAGGCACGAGCCATATGTACAGCGTTAGCAGGATAATTATACCTTTTACAAACAATAGTCGCTCCAAGCCTAGCATGAACTCACGTGGGTGATCACCTAATGCGCCTCATGTGGCGTGGTTACACAATGAGCAGAGTTGTGCACCTCTGCTCCAAACTCACTGAGTCATGCTGGACTGGATGTCTGCCTCGGCCTGTTTTGACCACAGCACATCCATTTTCCTTACACCAATATTCTACCTCTTTGTCTTCCAATATTCTTGGAGGAATGACTTTTAACTGCTCTATCTTTTTTCTCATATAGCTGTATTATAATATGTTTAATCAATCTCATATTTTAAAGTATTTATAGTTTGGAGCTATGAAAATGATGCTGCAATAAATATTTTTGAACATAAATCTTTGTAAGCATCTCTGATTATTTTCATGAGGTAAAGTCCTCTAATTAGAATTACTAAACAAAAGTGCATGAGCATTCTTAGAAATTTTGACACATGAGATTTTGAAATGTCTTCCTCCCTCCATCTCCCAATTCCACCATCCCCCTACACACCTAAATCACCAGTTCCTTAGAAATATTCTATGCTAATGAGAGCTGCCATGCAAACACTGCATTTAGAAACCTCATATTTTAGCACTTCACTTATTTCAAATTATCTTGAAGGTGGAAGCATGAGCAGCTCCTTGTGATTTGCAGAAATACATATTTCACTGCAGAAAGTAGTATATAAACTTTTACTTTGACATTTCCCTCACTTGCTACTTTACAGACATCAGGAAAGAGTAATGGACTAATGGTCTTATGTGGTCTTAGGATTGTCCTTGTCTTTCTTCGTTCCTGGGTCAAGTTTCTCTAGAACAGGGCTCTCAAAGTGTGGTCCCCACATCAACAGCAGGGGAAACTTAACGTGTTTTCAATGCAAACCCTCAGACCATCTTACACCTGTTAAATCAGAAATGGACAGGGAGTGGTGAGAAGCTGCAATCTGTATTTTAACAAGCCCTCCAGGTGCTTCTCATGCAAATTTGGGAACCACTGCTCTGGAACACTGTGCCCTGGCAACACAGTTTGGTCACTTCCTGGACGGCAGCAAGACTGATATTCCTGAGTAGAAAACTCTGCTCTTGACCCATTATATTAGTGTACTAGTCCCCAGTGAGATATTTTCTCTCCAATCCTCATTTTCCTCAACGATCTTTAAAAATGGAGACAATAAATGCCTGCCTCAGGGTTTTTGTGAACATTTCATAAAAACAATTCTTAAAAAATATTGTTTTCCTTCTATATTGATACAGTTAATCTAGCCTTTATTTTTTGAACATTTATCTTTTTTTTTTTCTTTTGAGGGAAGTGTCAGAGTACCAGGGCATGAGGGGAGAGTAAATTGCTTTGCTATGGAGGCTGTAACAGAAATCTGCCCACTTCAAATGGCACCTTGGACATCCTGAAGAGCAGTTTAAGTTATGGATGTCCTTAGCATCCATAGGGAACAGCTCAGGGGTCATTGAACACAGACTATACACTGCATGAAGAATACTGAGGATATATACATGGCGCTGAGTTTGAGAAGCTCACACTTTATTTAGAAAGATATTTACATAAGTAATCTTAAAGTAAAACTTCTAAAAAATAATGACATAAGGCAACAGAGAAAGGCAGTCACCTAAGTTGGTTTGGTTAATTTCCAGTTGGGTTATATATTTAATAAGCATACATGGGAAGCAAGTGTCTCCATAGCTGGCAGATTCTATGTGCAGAAAATGTAATAGGAGCTGGGCTTGGTAAGATTTGTTTCGGCAGAAGGGAAGGGGGAAGGCAAGAACACAGAAACAAACAGCTAAGGGTAAGATCTGTTTGGGACAGTGCATATTTCAGGGGCAGGAAAGGTGATATTCATGAAAAGTCATGCATAGGAGACAGGAATGAAGTGTGGAACCTGAGTGTGAGGAGAGAATTGAATTCTAGTCTTAGGAGCTCAGACTGGATCTTGCCATAGGTAGCAGACTCCTCTAGAGTTAAATCTTGCAGAATTAAATCCAGACTCTGCCTTTCGCCAGCTGTGAGACATTGGACAAGTCACTGAATCCCTCTGTTTTGATTCTTCCTAAACAAATCTAGTGTGTAATAATAGTTCCTACTTGGTAGGGTTCTTATGAGAAGGAACTGATTTAATGCCTGTAAAGGGCCTAGAGCAGTACATGGCACTTAACAAGTGTAATATAAAATGTTTGCTAAATAATAAAGGTAGAGAAAACTTTGTTTAGGCATGTTAAGTAATGTTAATTCTTGGGAATTGTCTGCTCACCTAACAAGTGCTTTGTATTTACCATAACTCCTTCAGATCTCATTAAAGAGCGAATGTCTGTTTTTTTTGTTGTTGTTGTTTTGTTTTTTTCTTTTTTTGACGGAGTCTCACTCAGGCTGGAGTGTGGAGTGCAGTGGCATGATCTTGGCTCACGGCAACCTCCACCTCCTGGGTCCAAGCGATTCTCTTGTCTCAGCCTCCTGAGTAGCTGGGATTACAGACGCCCACCACCCTGCTAGTTTTTGTATTTTGAGAAGAGACAGGGTTTCACCATTTGAGGAATATATGAGAGCATCTCTACCTTTAAGCATCTCTGTGTATCTTGGCAATTTGAAAGATTCATTGCACCCTGAAATTTTACTCCATGACTGTTTACATGGTTAATCTTCAGGCAAATTGAGTGGGAGAAGTATTTTAAAAAGATAGATATCCCCAAACCAAATAACATTGACTCATTTTCACTAACAAAGGAAATCAGTTAATTTATAACTAAAGCCTATTCTGGAAAGAGAATGTCCACACTTTTACATGTAATCCTAGAAGATTATGGCAGGAATCTTTCTATTAAAAATAGAAGGGTGAAAATAGCTTACAGATTTACATCATGTTCCAGTTAACTATGAATAAATTAAGCTTTTATGAATAGGATGGTAGCAAAGGATGACTAATGTCACTCTAGACTAACTATAATCCCAAGATAGGAGGTAAATGATTAGCTAATATACCTCCAGCAGTGGAATTTTTATCAGTCTAAATATTCATATTTTTTTCTACTCTCATCAAATAGGATTGCAATTTTTACAACAGGCTCTGTAAGACTGCAGATTATTTCTCTGCACACTCAAGCTGAAGACTAGCAGACCTGACTCTATGCTGGGGTCTTAGATGTCGTGGACAGTAATGGAAGCTGATACAAAGTTAAAGGAAAATAGCAGTTGGTTAAGTAGCAGCTGGGGTTGAGGTAAAGTACCCATGTAGCCTAATTCAAATATCACCTCCTCGATGATGTTTTCTTCATCTTTTTTCTCTTTATGCTCCATTAGGATTTTGGATATGTTTCTTTTACATTTGTATCATTGAACTAAACTATTTTTACATGTATTGCTTCCCTCACTTCACCGAGTTTCTTGAGATAAAGCAGCATATCTTGCTTTTTTTTTAGTCTAATACATTTCTTGATTCTAATAGGTGCTCCATATTGCATAAGACAAATGATTAAATAAATTAACAAGTTGTAGAGAAGGACTCATCATATAAGCTTGGCTGGATTTCCTTCATTTTCCCCTTCAAACTACTCTTGACTGTTTCTACCTGCTTTGTATATAGTTTAGATTAATAGTGCACTCTTGCCCTCTGGCTCCTGGCTGATTCAGCTAAGGGGTGCCATCAACAGAAGACAGAGAGATGAAAGAAAGTGAAAACAGAGTTTCCCTAGTTTCCACCCAGTGGAGATGGTGAGGGTGGTTGCATCCCTCTACCCAAGGCCACAGACCAACACAGTTTATATTCTATGGATGCCAATAATCACTCCCTCCATTGACTTTTTGGGATCCCTGTTGTTAGGAGCCTCAGGGAGCTACATCATCCCTTGTGGTTTTTTCTATATCCTGCCCACATCTTTATAGAGTTTTTTGAGCTCTCCTCAAATTACCCAGTTTCAGTTTCATGTAACAACCCTATTTCTTATAGGGGCCTTGACATGGAAGGAGAAACTGATGTTAAGGAAGATGAAGACTGAGAATAGGTAGAAGTTTAAACATAGATATGACATTCTGCTCAAGTCCTAAACAAGAATGACTGAGCTGGAGTGGTGTCTTCTGGTATTTTCTTTCCTCTCAAAAATCCTATCCATTTTATTTATGATGTAGAGTTCTCTTAAGATTTTCTCCAAAAACTTTCTACTAGAACTTTCTTATTTTGTGGATGAATTTTAAATTCATTCCATGCCCCCTAGTGAAAAGACTTATTCTTTTACTCTTGGTAATTATCATATTTACAGAGGACAAAAGCAAAGAAAAATGGTAAAGAAAGGATCAGTGAAATCTCAGGTCAATTTAGGTATGCAGAGAAATGGATGAAAGTCATGTTTTTACAAAATGGAGGAATAATTTTTTATAATGTGAAAGTAGTGTTTTCATGATAAATAAACAAAACTGGTAGCCATTCCAAAACTTATGATGTTCATGGATGAATGTCCAGAAAATAGATTCACTCCATTGAGTCAAAACATAAAATGTTGCTTTACTCAGAAATTGTATAAGACTGCACATGAAAAGTTAGTATTAATGAGTACTTATTAAATGCTTGTTATGCGCCAGGAACTTGCTTATTACCTTACTTCATCCTCACAACAACCTATGAGGTGCTGCTCATTTTCCCAATGTAGAAGCTGAGAGGCTTGAAGGTTTATGTAGCAGTAGTAAGAAGAAGAGGTGAGATTTCACGTATGCAGGAGTATCTTACTCCAAATCTCCTCACTGCTGCAATCCCCTGCCTCCTACCTTCCTGGATGCTGCATGGGAAAGGTTTTCATGCCATTCTGCACCAATTCTGGAGAGTTAGAGAGAAAATTACTACTATGCTCTCCAACTACCTGTAAGGAAGAGGTAGAAATAAAGTGCAAACAAACTCCTTTTTATTAAAACTGATCAGTTATAAGATATTGCTCACTACATCTCCAAAATTAAAAACATTAACCAAATGCTACCAAGTATGTGCTGGGCAGTATGCTTTACATGCATTATCTCCATGAATCCTTAAAACAACACAATGAAATAAAGATTATAATACCCATTTTGGAAATGGCAGATAGGTTGAATCCCATGTCCAAGATCCAGCAGGTAGTGGAACTGGATTTCTAAGCCAGGCCTCCCTGTCCTATTCCCTTTCTCTCCCCGCTTCCTTCTAGGGGAGGAAGTTGACTAAGTTGACAACACTGAAGCTTCAACCAATCTGAATCTCAAACATATCCTTAGTGCTGGTACAGGCACCTCAAGTTGTGTATCTCTTCTCTGTGCAGTCAGACATCTAGACTATCTTGAAAGTGTTTTAAACGTTCAAATAAGCTTTTATTAATTTTCAAGCACAGCAGAACTTACAATACTTCATATGCATGAGTTCTCCATCTATGGATAGATTCAACTAACTGAGAATCAAAAATATACGGAAGAAAAATTTCATAAAGTTTCAAAAAGCAAAACTTGAATTTGCCCCACATTGACTACTAAGTTGAAGCCATGTGAATGAAGTGATGTTTAGACATTGTATTAGGTATTATAAGTAATCTAGAGATGCTTTAAAGTATACTCAAGCATGTGTGTAGTTTATATGCAAATACTATGCCATTATATAAGGGATTGAGCATCCACAGATTTTAGTACCCACAGGGGTCCTGGAACCAATCCCCCACAGATACCAAGGAACAACTGTATATTACTTAGTGAAAATAGAACTAGAGCTACTGCCAAACAATTTGGGCCTTCCTTTCATGTCCCGTGGTTATTAGTGTCTGTCACTGCTGTCACCACCACCACATTTTTCACCAGCATTATCATCTTTGCTATGTCCACTCTCACCACTTCTATTCAAGATTGTGCTGGAGGTTCTTGCCAGGGCAATTAGTCAAGAAAATAAAAAAAGAAAAACATTCAGATGGGAAAGAAAGAAGTAAAACTATGTCTATTCAAAAATGACATTATTCTTTACATAGAAAATTCTAAAGAATCTATTACCAAAAGATATAGAATGAATAAATGAGGTCAGCAGTGTTGCAACATAATTTGTTTTTACAGGAGCAATATATTATACAAAAAAAAACTATATTTTTATATACTTGCAATGAACAATGAAAAAATGAAACAAAACAAATGTGTTCAGAATAGCATCAAAAAGAATAAAACATTTGAAATAAATTTAACGAAAAAAGTGCAAAGCTTATACTCTGAAAATTACAAAACACTGTTGAAAGAAATTCAAGATGTGTATAAATGGAAAGATGTTTCGTGTTCATGGACCTGGAGACAATATAATTAATTTTTGATGCACAGGTTCAACACAATCTCCATTTGAATCCAAGCTGGCTTTGTGGAAATTGACAGGCTAATCCTAAAATTCATATGAAAACTTAAGGGACTCAGAATTGCCAAAACAATCTTTAAAAAGAACAAAATATGCGATTCACACTTCACAAGTACAAAACTTACTACAAAGCAACAGTAATCAAGGCAGTGCGGTACTAGCATAAAGATCAACATAGAGATTAATGGAATAAAACTAACAGTCCAGAAATGAGCCTTCATGTTTGTGGATGCCAAAATAATTCAATGGGGACAGAGTTGTTTCTTCAACAGTCAATGATGGGACAACTGGAAATCCATACACAAAGGAATAAATTTTGATCCTCTACTTCTCACTATATAAAAAATTAACCATGATGGACTAATTTAACAGCTAAAATATGAAGTTCTTAAAAGAAAACATAGTGTTAAATCTTTGTGACTTTGGATTTGGCAATGGTTTCTTAGATATGACACCAAAAGAACAAACAAACAAAAAAGAAAAAGTAGAGATAAATTGTATCTCAGCAAAATTACAAACTCTTGTACTTCAAAGGCCGTTATCAAGAAAGTGAAGACACCAACAGAATGAGAGAAGATTTTTGCAAATTATGTATGTGATAAGGGACTTACACTGAAAATATATAACTAATTCTTGCAATTCAAAAATAAAAGGAAAAATATTCAACTTTAAAAAGGGCAAGGACTTGAATCTTTTTTTTTCTTTTTTGAGACAGGGTCTCGCTCTGTCATTCAGGCTAGAGTGCATTAGCACCATCACGACTCACTGCAGCCTCAACATCCTGGGCTTGAGCGATTCCCCGACCTCAGCCTCAGAGTAGGTGGGACTACAGGCATGTGCCACCAAGCCCAGCTAATTTTTTTATTTATTTATTTTTTGTAGAGATGAGGGTCTTCCTATGTTACTCAGGCTGGTCTCAAACTCCTGGCCTCAAGCAATCATCCCACCTTGGCCTCCCAAAGTGCTGGGATTACAGGTGTGGGCCGCCATACCCAGCCAAATACATTTTTTTATTTATTCGAAATATAGTGCTAACTTCACACCCACTAGGATGACTATAATCAAAAAGAAGTATATTAATAAGTGTTGGTGAGAATGTGGAAATATCAGAACCCTTATACACTGCTGGTGGGAATGTAAAATGGTTCAGTTACATTGGAGAAAATTCTGGCAGTTCTCAAAAAGTTAAATATAGTGTTACCATTTGAGTCACCAATTGTACTGCTAAGTATAAAGAAATGTAAACACATGCCCACCAAAAAGTTTGTACACAAATGTTCATAGCGGAATTATTCATAATATCCAGAAGGTGGAAACAAACCAAATGTCCATTAACTAATGAATGGATAAACACATGGCATAACTGTATAGTGCAATATTATTTGACCATAAAAAAGAATAAAGTGCTCATACATGCTACAACGTGTACGAAACTTGAAAACACAATGCTAAGTGAAAGAAGCCAGTCACAAAAGACTACATAGTATATATGAGTGCATTTATATGAATTGTCCACAATGAATCTAGGCACAGAAAGTAGGCTAGTGATTTCCTAGGGCTGGGAGATGGGTACATTGGAAGTGATAGCTAAAGTGTACAGGTTTCTTTTTGGAATGATGGATGCGTTCTACAATTGATTATGGTGGGCTTCTGATTCCATCAGAGGAGGAGACTGAACGACCACAGAGAAAGGGCAACAAGTCCGCCGGGCGCAGTGGCTTACACCAGTAATCCCAGCACTTTGGGAGGCCAAGGCAGGCAGATCACGAGGTCAGGAGATCAAGACCATCCTGGCTAACACGGTGAGACCCTGTCTCTACTAAAAACACAAAAAATTAGCCAGGCATGATGGCGGGCGCCTGCAGTCCCTGCTACTCGGGAGGCTGAGGCGGGAGAATGGCATGAACCTGGGAGGAAGAGGTTGCAGTGAGCTGAGATTGCGCCGCTGCACTGCAGCCTGGGCGACCGAGCAAGACTCTGTCTCAAAAAAAAAGAAAGGGCAACAACTCTTAGCTTTATTGCTGCTGTCACATGTTTCTCATTTTCATAACCTACTGTCTGTATTCGTTTGGCAGCAAATCTTTAAAACCAAAAGCATGTGGGAAACATCCTATAATGGGTTCAGAGAGCAGGTTCTGAGGTGAAACTACTCATATTTGAGTCCTGGTTCTTTCACTTTCTAAGTGAGAAAGTGTCTTCTGTGGGGCAAATTAAATGTCTTGTGTGCCCAATATTGTACTATTCAATACAGCAGCTTCTAGCCACATGCATCTACTGAACACTTGAAATGTGTCTCATCCAAACTGAAATGTGCTTTATATACAAGATATATACCACATTTTGAAGACCTAATCTTCCCCACAAAAGTAAAGCTTCCCATTAATAATTTTTATGTTACTTATATATTGATACGATAATACTTTGGATATTTTGGGTTAAATAAAATATATTATTACAGTTTACTTCGCCTGTTTTGGTTTACATTTTTAATGTGGCTACTAGAAATTCCAAATTGCTTATGTGACTCATATTATATTTCTCTTAGTGCTGATCTATCATATGGAAATAATGCTACCTATTAAATATAGTTTTTATGAAGATTAAATTAATGTACGGAAAAGGCTTTAAAATACCTCGCATATAATAGGCACTCAGTAAGTGTTAGCTTTAACACTTACTTGAAGGTGGTCAGTTTAGAGAAGCAGGGAGCAACTTGTCACAGGCAGGACTGCAACATGAGCCAGGGAATGACAATAACACTTCACAGAAGAAAAGAAGCCACGCTAATCTTAAAGCTTGCAGGAAAGATCTGACTGGACAGAGGCCTGGAGATTCACATTAGGGGGCTATACAATTCCCAAATAGATGTCTTTTCAGAAGACAAATGTGTCTGTATGCTGGCATTTATAATGGAGAAGTAGTCAGAACTAGAGGACTGCAAATGAGGTTTAAAGTTATTTTTCTGGCTCCAATATCTTATTTCCAAATGTGGACTATCACTCTACCCCTCTTCATTTTCTGTCTTGTTTATCTACAAAGGAGTTACTGTTTGTCCTATGCTGCTGCTTTCTTGTTTCTTTGGAGCATGTTAGAGTTGCTCAGGATCATCCATTCTCCACTGGGTGGGCAGATACTTGGCTCAGCAGCCCAGTAAACAGTTGGGAAATGGCAAAACACTAACATTCAGAGCACCACAGTCATCATTGTTAAGTAAATGATTACATTTTGCAGAGGTGGCTGTGATTTGTTAAACCTCACAGGGCTGAAGCGCCTGAGTCCACAACATCTTCAGCTTAGTACCCTAGACCAACTCACTTTCCCTGCGACGTCAGCATCTTTACAGAGTGGTTTCCCCAAGGCTGATGCTACCACATACCATGCTCCACCCACCACCTTAGTTTCTGATTCCTTTCTTCCTTTTTAGTAACATGACAGTAAAGGGGCCAGTCCAGAGCTTTATGAAAACTGGGGTTATGGCATGTTTTCAAGCTCACACGTCCTTAAGAGGTTCTGACTGCTGATATTTTCAGTGGCCCATTTTTCAAATGGGTCTGGTCTCCCATCTAGAGAACCTGGCCTGACCTGTATTGCTGCAGAGGCTTAACTGTGTATGTGTCTAGGCTCAGAAAGTGGCAGGAATGAGAAATATGGTGTTGGAAGTAACAAAAGACAAAAGGAATTCAATATGATTTCTACATATTTATTTTATCACACTTCGTTTTCAATTTACAACAAATAGTGGGCTAGCTAAACTTTCATTTCATGTGTCTGTGTTTAGTGGAAAATAAGGACCTGTCATTTGTTTTGGGTTTATCACCACATCTGTTTATTAATAAATATTTGCAAATGTTCAACATGGATCTTTTAATTCATACAAATAAAAACATTTTTTTCCTTATTTCATATTTTGGAAATCCAAATCCACCAGTTTCTTGAAGCAATGTTCTCTTAGTCATCCTAGCTATTGTGCAGAGTACAGTTAAATGAACTAGAGCTCTCACCCCCAAAAAGGTGAGATAAAATGAGGATGTCCCTTAGAGGACAGTGTACCATATTACAGTCTCAAAAAGACACAGCAAAAGAAAAATCAAATGGAGTTTCTGAAATTAATTTTCCTGATTCCTCTGTGCTAGGTCCAATATTTTTGCAGGGCTGGAGGTAGAGACCTGAATGTCTTTGGAACAACCTCACTAAAATGGTCAGCAGAAAGATGAGATGTTATTTCTATGTGCCTTCTACCTTAAGGCTTAAAACTAACAATAACAGAGACATAAATATTAATTCTTGAAGTTGGCTAACAAGTCTTTTAAAAGTCTTGTCCCTTCTCCCTGGGCCCCCAACTCCAAAAAAAGAGAAAAAAAATGGTTTGTTTGTGTCTTACTTTTTTTTTTTTTTTTTTTCCTGATTAGGGAACGTGTTTGGTTTTCCCGTCATGCTTAAGGAAGTCCTATCAAGAGCTTCATATACATTGATCAAAAATTGTTGAAACAAAATTGGGTTCTCCTTGTGTGGTTTTGTTTTTATTTTTGTTTTTAACAAACACTAGTTTCCTCTTAGAGAATAACTATTCTGACTGTACCAAATGAGATTTGAGAGAGGTATAAGTAAACTAAGAACGTTGTTGAAAGCGTCACATGATGATTCAAAATGACGCTGTGGGTAGCATACTGCATATACCCAAATTTGATCAAACTGCAGTTTTTTGTAGCTTTTTACAAAAATCTTAAATACAGGTAAATATGTAAACGCTGTGCTCTCAGAGAGCAAGTACTTAGTCATGCCACATTGTGTCCCTTTCGGGGAGACAAATTCAAGTAAAATATCACAGGTCAGTTTCAAAACCATCCGCTGGAAGTACTATCCGGCTGAGGGGCAAACACCACTTTGCACATCTCTGAGTTCTCTTGATGGAGCGGGAATTCACATCCTGCTAATACGCTTTCTTTTCTTTTCTGAGAGACATAACCTCTGCCTGTGGACAGCCTTTCGTACTTTTTCTCAAATTGCCTGTACAACAACAGCAACAATAACAGAATTACACACACAGTTAAGTCACCCTATACCTCTCCAGCCAAGTTACTGAATGTACTTGAAGTTTCTGTTCCAAAGCAATCTGAGAAAGGATATGAGTGTCAAAGGCTACTCCATGAATGGGTGATTTTCTTCTCATTTCTTTTTATATCAACAGAAACACTTCAAATGCCTGGGATATGGGAGTCCTGCCATACATTTTTCTAGAATGAAAGACTAAATTCATTTCAGCTTTTTGGTGATGCCATTAAGCTTTGCAGGCTGTGCTGTGTCTCACCCTTCATTCCAGAAGCCCCACCTTGGGAGCACTCTCCTTTTGAGTAACAGGCAAGCCCAGCTGGATTTAAGCAGAGAATGCGGACAGAGAAACATTCTAAGAGCTCTGGCCCAAGGCAAATGTGGAACCAAACCAATTAATCATGTGGGTGGGTTGGTGGTCACTGCATTTCAACCATTAGAAGGTTGGGGTTTTTAAAATGCATTTGTGGAGGTTCATTCTAGATATAACTTAATGTAAGTTAGTGACAGCTTAATAGTTTAACTATAAAGCACAATCTTTTATTCTCTGAAAATACAACTGACTCGTTTACTTTTATATAATCAATGCGTTTTTTAATATGAATCATGAAATGTCAGTAAAATAATGAAGGTGCTCAATTTTGGCCTACTTAAAAAAGGAGATGATGTAAGATGTGGCTTGCTGTTTTAACTGTACAAATGACCCTTATGCTTACCGTAGGTCAACTATTATGAAAGGGTCAGTGCTACCTAGACTCAAGGCATTCTAGCTCTATGTGATAGTATTGTTACAAATAATGGTTACAAAATTCAAATGACACAGCACAAATGTTACATGGAAATTATATCTTTGTATTTTAAAACACTAACTATTTTACCAAAAGCATTATTTAAAAAAATTCAGAATCCCAAACTCTGAAACTTGAGCCAAAACTTAAACAGGGTCAAGTTGCTGCTATATGGAATACTTAAAAATTGCGAATTCATTTTGGCCCTTAAACATGGTAAATGGATTGCCAGGTGTTTTATTTGAAATCTTTTGTCCAGCAGTTTATTGTGAAGATACCAGACAGTAAATGTGTATCTGATTTTTTTTATGAAACTATGTGGCAACTCCTATGGTAAATCATAGGCCTTTCTTTCCTGGATAAATTGTTTCTGGATTAGAATATGATAACTATCTCCAGAATCAAATGAACTAGTCATTAGATTTTTTTTTGGTATCCCAGAAACTGACTTTTTTTGGCCTTATCAATTATTCTTCTACTCATTTAAAGAAAATTCATCTTTCCCTGGGTTTCTACTGTTTTGTTTTAATTCTGAAACTGAATGTTCTAAACTGAATGCAAGTTCCTGGTGCACTGGGGATGGTCCTGGAACATGACCTGAACGCTGCATCTTACCTGAATGGAGCTTCATCCTTGTCCATCTGCATGCAAACTAAGAATGGGTACTGAGAAAACTGCACTGTGGAGATAAACTCCAAGCCTGCTTCTGTTTCTGTACTGGTTTCCAGGCCAGCTTTCACAAAAGAGGAGTCCACTGTGATGTCAGTGGTTATTACCACAGTCACCCTAAACATTTGAGAAAAAAAGAAAAAACTTGTTCATATTATATTTAATGGTATTGGACTAACAGCTGTAACTTTACAGGGTCTGAACGTATGATGCCAGTGACTGGAAGGAAACACTTAAGGGATTCAGAGGTGACCTGGATGTGCTTAGAGTTCTGCTGGTAACCAGGGCCTGGTGAGTCTCAGATATTGGGCAGGGAAGGTTTGCCCTTCCCCTGAGCTCTCCCCTGCCTTCAGTTGCAGATGTGGGGAGTGTCTGTAAGATACTACATTGTTTTGTATGGGCATAACAAAGACCAAAATGAAAACATTCTTGGAACCCAGTCCTCTCAGCAGGTCAGAAATACCCAAGTTATATTAAAATGGAGTCTAAACTCACCAAGAAGACAATCGATGCTTATAGTTTTTTGTTAACTATCTCTCTGTTGGCTTCTAGGCAGCTATTTTAATTCCATTTCATTACCTTCTCCAAAGAGTCTCTAGAGGCGTAAGCCCTTGATTGCCAAGATATTTGAAAAAATATTGTGTTACAAAAAATCATTCTTACAGTGGGGCATGTACAGTAGGTCCTAGGAGGAAAAATATGGTGGGTCCTTTAATGATGCTCTAGATAACTGGATAAACAGATTGCATTGGCTGGGGAATGTGCCCTGGATAATGATGAAGAGGATAAATAATTTCAACAGAAGACTTACTTCTACTGTAATTGAATTGTGGACTTTAAATCAAACTGTGAGAAACTGCTTTCACAATTAAATGAGAGTTTTATGCCCTTATGTTTTGACAGGAATATTAATTTTTGCTGCGCAAATTAAAACCCCTGCTGCTGTTATGATCAGTGTAAAAATAGGTCAGAGGTCGTTTTAATCCCTGAATCACTTAGAGTACCTTCTGATGTCCTATATTCAGCAAAGGTTTAAAAGATATTTTTTTCAAATGAACAAGTGGAAATGGAAGACAGATTGGTTACAATATGGATAAGGGTAGATTCTTAAGGATACTGTGTACTTTTTTAAAAAATCCAAATTACTTTTTGTTGTTGTTGCTGTTGTTGATTTCTCTTTGCAAAGAATTCAATTCCATTTCATTTGGAAAAACTTCTGTCTAGAAAGTACTTTGGAAAGAGGTGAAAGATGACTGATTATGTGGGAAGCCCTAAGTTATATTGTGAACCTTTTGATGACCAGTGTCATTTTTCATTCTGTGTTTCCTTTTGGTAACACTGTGGGTCACACTTCACATTAAATGTGCTACTGTTTGATTGCTCTCAGTTCCTTCATCCATAGCTCAAGATGAATCAAAAATTTGATTTTATCACATATCTCACTTTTGCCTGAATGTGTTTTTAAATATCAAAAAATTAAAATTAGTTGCATTTCTATTTCCTTTTTAAAAATTCTGTAACAGAAGGCTAATAATTTTCATCTTCACACTAGTTCAAAGACATTGTTTTATATTCAAAGTAAAACACTTTCATTAAATCTCACAGGTAGATTAGAAAAATTAAAGGAGCTTAGAGTATTTTATTTAGAAAAAGGAATGCTGATGAAAAGACTTAAGGACTCTTAACATTTAATAGTTAGTTTCTGCACAGATGAAATTATCTATTTTATTTTTCCCCACTGAAGACAACAAAAGAGGAAAGTTTACCTTAAAGTGAAATTTCTTCTCTTGGTGGAATACCAAAAGAAGATGAACCATCTGATTCACAGGGCATCCTGTCTATGTATGTCTTTAAAAGCAGGAAAATTCTTGGCTGAGTCATATTAGGTACTGACCTGCTCATAAGAAGCTATAGACAGAATAATTTCCTATGATCACTTCCAACTCTATCGTTTTATAATTCCAAATAGAAAGCATAGATTTTGAAAAGTCAGAAGATTAATTCCCAAAACATATTTCGGAAGTTCTCTGTATATAGTCTTATATGTAATTCATAAATGTATAATGCATAAACACTTACCTATTTTTCACTCGGGTTTTAGACTCACGATACCACAAGCTAAACTCCATTGCACCTGAAATATCAATAGCTAGACCACCCTGGACCTCTATATTGGCTTTTAGTCCAGATTGTAACTGAAGTTCCTAGAAGAAAAAAGCATAATAATAGTTATAAAAATAATAAGTACAATTTAGTTAACCCCCTTTCCAATGGCACATTTGACCTCCTGCTGTAGATAATTCCATTTGAGTTGTGTTGATGTTGGAGTCTTTCTCTAGGCTTGGAAACATGCTGTCCTAATTTTAAGCACCGGAAGTAGACTCTGTTGATTTGCTAAATTAATTAGTCAATTAAAATACCAGAGTGATGAAGTGCCAATTAAGAAGGATGTTTTCCTTCAATCATTGCTACACTTTGAAAGGAACAATGGTTCTCAAAGTGTGTTTCTGTGAACAACAGCATCAGCATTGCCTGGGAACTGGTTTGAAGTACAGATTATAAGTTCCCCTTCATACCTACTAAATTAGAAACTCTGAGGATGGGGTCTAGCAATCTATGTTTTAACAAGCCCTTGTATGATTCTGATCCACCTAAATTTGGAAACTTTTGAACTAAGGAAAATGAAGGCATCTCCATCAGAAATCTAGCTGTGGCTTTTTGTCCAGGGAAGTAAGGGGAGGAGGTTTGGATCAGGTGATCTCTCGAGGTCCTTCAGCACTTCTCTAGTTATGTGCTGTGGCAAATACAGTCAACTGCATCCTGCTAGAAAATAACAGACAAGATTTAAAACTCCCAGTGGAGTGTGTTTGTCCGTTAGTATCCAAGGGGAACTTGTTATAGGACTACCTATGCCCAGCCCTGAGTATAACAAAATCCAAGGGTGCTCAAGTCCCTTATATAAAAAGGCATAGTATTTGCATGTAACCTACACCCATCCTCCCATACACTTTAAATCATCTCTAGATTACTTATAATACCTAATACAGTGTAAATGCTATGTTGCTGTTATGCTGTATTTTAAAAATTGTATGAATATATACTGTCGTTTTGCTATATTTTATTGTTTGGTGTTTTTTTTCCAAATATTTTTGATCTGAGGTTGGTTGAATTTGATGAGGAACCAGCGGTTACAGAGACGCCAACTGTATACAAGTTCCAGGAATTGCCTACATCCAACTAGAAAACGAAGGCAAATTTAACTAAGCCTAATACCCTGCTGTTTGACATTTGAAATGACACTGAGTTAATAGTCAAGTTCAACATGAACTCAATAGTATTTTTCATAGGGACAGTAATTATTTACAAACATGGCCCATCCTGAGCAAATTTTGTGGTTGTCTGAAACCCATTGTTTTGTGCTGTTTGCCTGCATTTAGCCTTTAAGTCTTGCATTTTTTTTTCATGTACATTAGTTGAGGTGATGTTGGCACAAAACTTTTTAGTTGGATTGGAATCAGATTGCCTGGGGACAGTGTTGGAAGTGATAATGATTTTGAGAAAGAGACTCAGTATCCTTAATTTTGATATTCCTCCAAAGATCTTAAATTCCTGGCAACCGGCAGGATGACTAACTTCTTTATGTAACTGCCCTACTCAGACCAAACAAGCCATGCATTTGCCAGCTATAACTGCCATGATTTAACTTTCTAGCAAGGATTGTGTTGATCTCCCTGAGTTCTCTTCACTTTCCAAAAAAAGGTCACAGGAAACCCCAGGCAAAGGACTTGGTTTACAACCAGGTGTATTAAAAAAGTACGGTTGCGGCATGAAGCTACTTTCAGTCTGAAGGACACTCTTTGATGGAAGCATGAGATTCTCAGTGCCATGCTCAGGACACATTAGGAGATAGCTCTAAGGATACTTAAAGAGACATTTGATATAGGACAAAATATGGCTGCATGGGATGAAGGGGTTGTTTGAGGCATTATAACTAATGTGATGGACACAAACTATCCTGAAGAAAACACAATAGTCATGCCCACATTTTCACCTATGCCTGTGAACTATGGGACCAAAATATGAGAGTTCTGTATGTGTACTCCAAACATGATTATTTCCAAATGAAAGCTATGGTGTGCCTCACCTCAGAAATATTCCTTTCTTTGCATCTTTTTCTCTCTTCCTAATTTGAAAATTATAATCTTGTTCATCCACCCAGTCCAGCAGAGGCCTGTGATGTGGATCTTGGCCTTCCCACCAACCATATATTAAATGGAAGGCAAAATACACCAAGTGCCATGGAAAAGGCCATTTCATGGCTGTTAGACAACGCACCTTTTGTGGGGAGAGAGCATTTCCATTGCAAGGTGGGTTATGAGGAGTGCCTTGGATTTCTGGGAAAATTCTACTTCCTTACACAAAGGGACAAAAGAAGAATGCATGTGCAAAGAGGAATTTTCTTGGACCCCCTTATAAAGATAAACCACTGACTCCTGTAGAAAAACAAAGCACTCTTTCCTTTTTGAAAGGGACTAAGCCACATGGTGCTAATTTTTAAGCAGTATAAAGTAAGTAGAACTAACAGGTTTTGAGCACATACTGTGTGCCCAAAGCTCTACAAAGCTTTGGTGTCTCATTTAATCCTCATACCAATATTCCATGGTAGGCATTATATCTTAAGATTGAAAGGAAAAATCAGGCTCAGAGGCTACACATGAAGCCAGAATAAACACTCCAATTGTCTCTAGGGTGAAGACATTTCTTTTCTTTCTTTCTTTGAGATGGGGTCTTGCTCTGTCACCCGGGCTGGAGTGCAGTGGTGTGATCATGGGTCACACCAGCCTCAACCTGCTGGGCTCAAGCAATCCTCTCACCCCCACCTCAGCCTCCTGAGTAGCTGGGACTACAGGCATACCCCACTATGCCCAGCTAATTTTTTTATTTTTTGTAGATCTGGGGTTTCACCATGTTGCCCAGCCTGGTCTCAAACTTCTGAGCTCAAGGGATCCACCTGCCTTGGCCACCCAAAGTGCTGGGATTACAGGCGTGAGCCACTGCACCTGGCCTGGGTGAAGACTTTTCTACTAATATTCATGGCTATCACAAACTCATACCTCTCTTTTGTCTCCTGGTGTACAAGAAAGCCTGTTCTAAGAAATATTGCAAAAAAGGAAAAAAAAAGAGAGAGAGAGCATAGGTTTATGTCCTTGTTTGGCCCAGAGTGCATATTTATTTAGATTCTTTCCTATGAACTAGAGGAAAAAGTTATTAGAACTTTGTAGCTAATGTGACCTCTTTGATCCTCTTGGTCCCATAAGTGTTTCTTATAGCTCAGATGCTGACATTTTGACAACTCATCCTGTTGCTTCCATTTAGGGAAATATGTTCTTTACTGGCTAAAGAGGATCCCCTTATTAAACTGACTTTATGAGACATCTTTCTCTGAAGAGTAATCCAATTAGCTGAAGAGAGAAAGTGTGAGCAAGCACAGAGTAATTCCATCTGCCCTGGTGGCTGTGATGGGCTACCCACTGCCAACATTTCCTTCAGTGTCAGCACTTGACCTAGAGTGGTATGTGTCTCTGAAGCTAGGATGGCATTACTGGAGTGCTCTGCAGAGCCAGGGGGCCTCAGACAGCTTAATTTGTATAATAACCTCAGATCTGCCAAATACTCCAACCTGACACACAGACACTGGGCTATGTTTAATAGCTAGGGGGCAATCTTTCTCATAGAATATGCCTTGCCTTAGCTGCCCTAGCTTAGTGAATAGAAAAACTGTACAAGATAATCTAGATCAGGGATTGGCAAACTATGGCCAGCAGGCAAGTCTGGCCCACTGGCTATTCTTGTACATAAAATTTTATTGGAACACAGCCATACTCATTTGTTAATGTATTGCTGATGGCTGTCTTCACTCTACAGTAACAGAATTGAGTGGCTGCAACAGAAACCATGTGGCCTGCAAAGCGTAAAATATTTACTTTCTACCCTTTACAGAACAAGTTTGCTGACCCAGATCTAGATTACTCCTCATGGTTTTACACCCCGATTCAAATCCTCAGGCATTGTTTATGGGTAGCTAAGCACATACAGGTGGTGTTGAGCTGTCCTCTGTGTCCTAAAACGTGGACTACTTTTTCAGTACTTATGCTGCCTTTAGACGATTCTTTCATTAAAACTGGAATTGTGCAATGTAAAATTCTGATATAATTTGAGAACTGTTTTTTTCATGTGTGACTTGAGGATTAAGGGATACAAGACGCACTGCTCTTTGTCCTTTCTACATTTGTATTGACAGAAACAATTTTGTTCAGACACCCATTGAAAAACTATGTTCAAAAGCTTCTCTCTCAGCTAGAGATAGCCATGTAACACCGTTTTGGTCCAAAACCTAGACAGGGATTCCAAACAATTCTTGAAAAAGAGTCAGACTCTGTGACCTCTTATCCTTCCCTTCTTCCATCTTGGAATGAGGAAGTGGTGCTGGAAGTGGAGCAGCCATCTGATAATCACAAGGTGACAAGCATGAGGTCAAAAGTCACAAGTAAGAATGGCTGAGCTGAAGGAAGGCAGCTTGGATTCTGATGATATCTTAAGATTTCCATATTAACCCTGGACCACCTACTTCCAAATGTTTGTTACACTATAAAAGTGAAACTATTTAGTTAAGCCACTCTAAATTGCTTTTTGTTTTTGTTATATACAGCTATCCTGAGCTGATATGAGGAACAAGAAAGATAGAAAATTAACACTGTTTAATCCCAAATAATGAGCTTTTGGAGGAGTTTTAATACAGTCTAATACCTAAGATATCTCCCAGCCCTTAAAATCTATGATTTCATAACCAGAACCTAACAAATCAGAATCCTCAAATTATCTGGCAAACAAAAAAGCTGATAAAATCTTCAGACCACCTGTTCCAGGTGCCTCATTTTACTAGTATGAAATTGTGGCTTAAGGCTATTAAGTAACTGCCCAAGAGCACATAGCAAGAAGGTAACGGAGGCAAAATTCAAACGTAGGCTATTATCCATTAATGTATTAAAACAATAAAGTAAACTTTACAAGTCAATCCAATCATCTGTAAATTTTTATTTCAATCTCCTTATATATTCTCAATATAATAAGTATGAATTAGAGTACACAGTGATCACTTTGATTCCTCATAAGATTTTATTTAGCAAATATATCATTTTTTATGTTGCTATGCTTAGTGAAGCAGAAAATAAATCAAACTATTAAAGAAAAATTTTAAGCACCAAACATTCAGACTCAAAGGTTATTCAGATTAACCCTCTTCTGTTTTTCAGAAAATCTAATTAGGCAGACCATCTCCATCCCACAGTATCTTGGCCACTTAAATCTTACTGCATCAAAGATAGTATTGTCATTTTTTGGTACAGTATCATAAGATTTCGGGCCACAAAAAATTGAAAACCATTTTGAAGAATGTGGCTCTAGAGAATGAAAGTACTCCTATACTCTAAGAATGAACACATCTTTCTGAGATTTTATATACATGAGAATTTTGGGCAAAGAGTCTTCATGATTTCTTGCATGTGGCTCATGGCCGTGGTTGCTTGTGCCTCTACTAATTTGGCAGGGTCAAAATGATGCACTGTATGCATCTTCATCATCTCTGTCATTACAAATGTCATCAGTGACTTATAAGGCCACATAGTTCAGCTCCTGCCTTCAGGATAAATATCACCTAAGCCCTCGTGCCTGAGAGAGCCAAGTGAGGAGACAGTGGTAGCTCTATTCTGTTGTGTCCTAAACTTTCTTGTTTCTGTTAACATCAACATTTTCTCTTTGCCTCCAATTAAAGGCACTTATTAATCATCTAATATATGAAATTATAACATATCTATAGTAAAGGAGAAAGGGGACCAATACCAAGAGGGCCAAGTGCTTGGAATATGAGCTCCAAGATGGGCACAATTTTGTCTTGTATCCTCCAAGAACTAAGCATATTTAAAACGTGCCTGGCGTATTTTAGGGACTCAATAAATACTCACAGACTGAATGAATTACCTGAGAATGATCTATTAGCAGAATAAGTCCTTTCACCACACTGATAGGGTCGCCAGATGCTGACAGCATTTTGGACATCAAATCACTGTATCCGTTGAAAAAGGTGACAGGTCTGAGCTGAACATCAAAGAGGATGGCTGACATACCAGCATAGGAGTCAAGGTTCTCCTCCCCCTCGTCAGGGGTGGCTGCGATTAAGGCTTCCAGTCCTTGGGCTTCAATAACCACCTGGATAAAATCAATATAATGTTCATGACGCAAGCTCCCTGCCTGCTCTGTAAATAATGGTGAAGCTTCTGAGCTGCAGCTAGAACTTCTCAAGGGGCCAAAAACTTAAATATTTGCAACAGCTAAAAACAAAAACTAAAACAGACAAAAACCTCTGTGCCTGAATATAAGGTGGGTTAGTTTTTCATTGAATCCTCACAACCACTCTTTGAAGTACATATGATATTACCCATTTTGTAGATGAGGCAAAAAAAGTTTTCAAGTTTACTCAGCTAATAAATGTCAGAGGCGGGACCCATACCCCTTCTGTCTGACTATGAAAACCATGAGCTTTCTATTTTATGATGGCATCCTACAGACTCTTAGTCTTTCCAGGACTGTCATATACAACGCATCAGCTGTCTTGCAGAGCATCTAAAAGTAGATGGAAAGGTGTTGGCAGAGTCATTCTAAGGCTGCTGCTATGTGAGGACATGGTATTCTCTAAGCCATGACTCACCCCATTCCATGTCAAACTTTTCTCCCTAGCCAAAAAAAAAAAAAAAAGTCGATAAACACCATGAGGGGGCTAACACACTTATTTCCACAACAAATAGGAATCCTACATATTTTCTGTCCTCCATACCCAGCCCTTTAACCCCTGGATGTTTTGCATTTCAAAGTACATATCAGAAAACAGATTGTGATTCCTCAGGACAGAAAGGCATAGTACTCTGACTACAGTACTACCAAAAGGTATAGTAATATAAGATTGATAAAGACTCAAGTTTTTATAGCATTGGATCATTTTAAAAACTTAAATGGCTGTATTTACAAGGTAATAATTTCATGTACATAAAAACTAAAAAGAAAGTACATGTCATTATTAGGAAGTCTTTATAGACCATCACCTCAATTTGGATAACACTAAAGGGATGGAAGTCAGCCAGCTGTTGAATGCCTACATTTTATTCTTTTCTCTTCTAGCAGTGTTGGAGAAATACAGATTGACTCTTTAGAGCATCATATTCTATTATGAAGGGTTTTATTATGGGGAATCAATCTCTTCATAGAAACAACCAGAAAAGGAAAATATATTCTAGAATTAAATACTTGGGGGTGAGAGGAGGCTAAGAAATATATCTGTGAATAAAAATAAAATATTATTTTTAAACGTTTATGTAAGAAATATTGGCACAATTTCAGTTTTGTGAATATGTGCACCTTTGAAAAGACAAATGGACATTTGTCAAGTTCAATGGATCAAATTACTTAGGTTTCAAGTTCAAATTCGAAACTTTCTCTGAGTGACTATAAACCATACAGCCTCTTACAGATAAGGAAATCATGGGCAAAATATGACAGAAGCCACCATTAACTTATACATTCTATAGCATTACCCACAGCATATATGTTTTATTTTACCTCAGCCTGATTTCTTGCATACTTTATTAAGCAAAATCCATGAGAAGTGAGTTACCTGGCTACCGTGAAGACCAGCCTTCCCAATGTACTGAAAGATGTTCAGGTTACTTCTCCTTAGAATGCCAGAACCCGAGTAGAGAATGTCTAGGCTGTAAGTAGATGCCGAACGGGGACTACCTGATGACACACAATAACTGTAATTTAATAGCAGTTCCAGCAATGCTAAGTTGTGGGGTATGGAAGGAGAACCTCTTTTTGGTGTACATACGTTCTATGTAGCCAGTGTAGGCAGAAGAAGATCCACTCCTGGAGAAACGGTCATAATTGTGAGCGACCATTTCCTTCAGAACTCGACGGACAATTTTGCTGCAACATATGAGGAAAAAAAAAGCTGCACATTCATTGTAATGACTGTTTCCCAAGTCAAATTTGGAAAAAAAAAATCCTCAGTGGAAAAAAGAGGAAGCCAAATTTTCCTCATGCCTTTCCAAGAGCCAGGGTGGTGCCAGCTGGCGTGGTAGCATCAGGATTAGGGCTAGCCCCTTCATTACTCAGATATTTGAAATTTAGTTTGGTATCAAAATGACAGCAAGGCAAGGGTGTCCAGCTTTGAGGTGGCTTAAGTTGACTAGTAGACACATTTCAGGCATGGCAAAATTCTTTGATTCGTCATGGTTTTATTGTTTAATAGTGCATACACTTAAAGGAAAATTGTGCCAAACTGGGGAGATTGCACAATATTTCTTTAAATGTTTTTCTGCATTCCCTAATAGTCTCTCTCACTAATGACATATAACAGTACATTTCCAGTATTTCTTCTATATCTGTGAAGTTTCCAATTACAGAAACAGCTCAGTAAAACCCATATAGAAATCATCGTCTCCTCTGGAGTAAGTCTTAATCCTTACCCCATTGCGTCCATCTTGTCTAAGTAATTAGTGTTAAGATGTTCATTTCTGATTACATAACATTAATCATATCAGTAATAGCAACATTATGACAACATAGCAAAACATCAAAATAATCAATTATAGAAATCTGGTCCTAGGTCTAAGGTAGAAAATAATTGAGGGGAGGCAATGGCATCCTGAGAGGTTTCCCCTCCAATATCACTAGGTTATAAGATTTTAGCCTAGAGAAGCAAAGATGAGAAGGGTTATGACAGCTATCCTCAGATATTCAAAGGGTCTTCTTGTGGATGAATGACTAGACGTGTTTTGCTTTGCTCCTGGGATAAAACCAGAGCCAATAGGAAGATTTCAGATTATACAAAGACATAATGGTGAGAGTCTCTGAACAACACTGGCACAAGTTCCCTCAAAGATGGTGAGCTTCCTGTCATCGGGAGAGGGAAGCAAAGTCTGAATACCACCTGCTGGGAGACTACAGCCCTACAGTGGAGAGATACCAAGCAAGGGAGCCTTTAGTGTTCCTCCCCACTCTAATGTTTTTGGTTCTGAGACTCTGAACCATAATGTTGGTGATATTTTCCTCACAATTTCTAGTCTGTTCTCTACCCCACTGTCTCCTCTTTCCGGGTCCCTGAAATGCTAGAGCCATAAGACGAAGGCAGCAAGTACACCCAGGATCTCCTTCACAGGGTCTCATAAAAGCAAACAAAGAAATGGAGAAGCTAAATGCGTTCAACTAGAAATACATGGCTGCAGAGAGATTTGGCTTCTTTTCTCACTCACTTGCTCCATTGCTCTTTCCTGAATGTCCTGCTCTTATCTCTGTTCTACTCACACCCGTTTCTTATGTCTTCCTTCAGTCTTAGTCCTTGTTTCTCTTTCTTTCAACCTTTTAATGCTGTCTTTTTTCATTTTCTTTCCCTTTATTTTCCACCCTTCCAATCTCTGTGGTGAATGCTTAAATCTGATCTTTCGTGGGGGTAGTGTTCTGCATGTAACTCAGGAAAAATGAAACTTCCTTCTCTGACCCTCTAATTCCAGGGAGGAGGCACCTTGGGGGAGCCACTTTGCATTTGGGAGGACAGACTTGGTAACTGGAAGGAAATTAATTCAGCAAGAGTTATAGAGTGATGAACTCTACTGATTGCACTCTTTAAATTTTGAATCACCTTGAAATGTGGGCCGTGCCTAAGATTTTAAACTTAAATGGGAAATTTATTTGATCTGTGATAAATGAGGCTTCAAAAATTCCTAACACTTGAAATGTTACAATGAAAACCATTTGGTAAGAATTTACTTTGTTTTGTTGTACTTATTTTTAAAATCCTGTTGAAAATGCAGTTAGCTTTTAAAACATTTGGCAATATACACTTGCCAGACTGAACAAGACATCCCTACTAAAAATTATACCCAGAGTTACCAGTCATGGACTCATAGTGCCAAAGTGAAGTTGTTTCATCTGGCCCCCTAAATAGCCCTATTATGGGAAATCTGGCACTCTTTGGTTTTATGCAACGTAACCCTGCATAATGACCACATCATTATTATTAGCTACATCGGTACCCCATGAACACACAAATAAGCTTGAATACACAGAGAGACATGTGCAATGTATTATACCTTGCAGGCATTTCAAAACGTAGGATGTCTTGAACAATGGCGAGCATGTATTTATTCATTTCTTGGGGAAGCTCCCCAATAGACAGCAGGATGTTCTTGACGTCCATGTAGGATGGATTGTTATTTAAAATGATAGCAGCTGCAGCAGTGCGCACAGTCTTTTCATGAACTTTACGGTTTTGGTGGTATATTCTGTTTAAGGTCTTCTTCACCTGTTCATAAGATGTTCAAACTTAGTGCACATCTAGATTTTTAAAATGGACATTTCAGCAGGAATAGCAGGAATAGTGAGTGTTCATAAAAATATACATGTGTTACTACATTTCCCAGATTCCTTTGTGATTTGGTGGGGGCCACGTGACTAGTTCTGGCTAATACGCCATGGATAGAATCTATGAGGATCACTTCTAGGCTGAGGCCGTTAAGAGCTGGTGGCTTTCTCCATCTCTTTCTTCCATGACTGTAGTGAACTTCAGACCACATACTTCCTTATGCACATTAGGCATAGCCTGAGAAATAAACATTTTTTTTTTGAGGCAGAGTCTCGCTTTGTTGCCCAGGCTGGAGTGCAGTGGCACGATCTCGGCTCACTGCAACCTCCGCTTCCCAGGTTCAAGTGATTCTCCTGCCTCAGCCTCCCAAGTAGCTGTGACTAGAGGCGTGTGCCACCATGCCCAGCTGATTTTTGTATTTTTAGTAGAGATGGGGTTTCACTATGTTGGCCAGTCTGGTCTCGAATTCCTGACCTCGTGATCCACCCGCCTCGGCCTTCCAAAGTGTTGGGATTACAGGCGTGAGCCACCATGCCTGGCTCAGAAATAAACTTTTAACACATTGCTGAGATTTTGAGGGACATTTTTTATTGCAGCATAACCTGGTGTTACCTAACTAATATAGAATTTTAAGGATACTACATGGCATGGGGCTCTGGGGAAAGGTAGTTATATGAAGTAATGTTTCCTTACAATGAAGTACCTCAGAATCTTCCCATCTCTCTTTTTTTTAATTAATAGACTTTTTAAAGAGCAGTTTAGGTTCACAGCAAAATTGAGTGGAAAGTACAGAGAGTTCCCACACACCTTTTAACCCTACACACGCACAATCACCCCTTGTATCAACAATGCCCTCAGTGGTACATCTCTTACATTCAATAAATCTACCTGGCACTTCATTATTACCCAAAGTCTGTAGGTTACATTAGGATCCTTTTGTTTTCTAAACAAAACATTAGCATCGAAGAAAACGTGCCAAAATAATTGCATTCCATAGCAACAAGTAACTTCATTGATTATTAGAACTGCCTAATGATATTCAATGTGTAAGGATCTATACTAAGCATTTATAAATATTTCTTTAATTTCATTTCCCTTTACCTTTTACTAACTCCCTCAAATCTTGGCTTTGCTCTCAGATATGTAGATGTTAAACAAGTCACCCAAGAACAAACAACCAGGGAAGGACAGAGCCAGAGTTTATACGTAGGTCTGTCTTTCTCAAAAGCCTGTGCCCCTAACCATCATGATTTGCAGCCACCAACTTCAACACAAAACTGGTGGGAAGGTGCTTAGCTATAAACTGGAAACACCATTCTCGGCAGATGGTTTATCTTGAGATTTATAGACATTCTCTGCCCTAACAAAGGTTTAATTTAGATGGCTTCCTGAAAAATGTAGTTGTAGTAACAAACAAAGTTATACTTAAACCAGGATATTTCAGTATTGAAAAATGTAACAGCATCTTAAAACTTATAAAAGTAAATATATTTCAAAAAAGAATTTGTTTCTTAAAATAAGAGAATATGCTTCAATATTTATGCTTCAGGATATAGATATAGGACGTTACCCTGTGAGGATATTTAGAATAGCCGCAAATGCAATTTAAGAGTTATTTTTAAGCAGGAGAGAAGACTATTTGGGGAAAATACAGAGTGACTTGAGCGGAATTTGCATTTGACTCATGTTCAGCATGCTTTTTTTTTTTCTTCTGTAAATGTTGCAAATATTCTTGGAGATTTTACCTCATCAGTTATGAAAGGGAGATCATATCTCTGGAGAGCAGTGGTAGCCAGGTGGCTGATGGGCCCTTCTCCTGCTTCTGCATACTTCAGAAGACTTGGGATGCCTTCTGGAAGCAGGGCATTCTTCAAAGCCAGCAGATACATCCTGGTGTCCTCTTTTTTCTCTGCTTTTTCAAGTCCTCCCAGGATTAACTTCTTAGCTTCCACTACTGCCTGAAAAATCATATACCTTAGATATATGCATGACCATACATTGAAGAAGACTTGGGTGAGACTGGCTTTATTCTTGGGTCCAAGAAAGCAACCTACAGTTTTACAAAGTTTTGCATTGGTTGCTTGACTGAGGCACACAGTGGAATAAAAGCAAACAAGTAAAGCTTGATAAAGGTGTTATGCTTTTTTTAAAAAAAATACATATACATTCTTAAGAAGCAATGAGTATTATCAATAATGGGCATATTTTGTTTTGAACACATTTTGAATATATAAGGCCACTTTTTAATTTCATTGTGATTGGTTATTCAAAAAACTGCTCATTCACTGAATTGCTAAAGCAACAATTAGATGGAGTCTTAGTGTCACCATACACCTTTCCTTAAGTAAGAACTTGGGTGAGACCTCTTAGAGTTCAACCATAAAGTCTGGCTCTAAATGTTTTAAAAGTGTTTGTTTTCACTTAATTCCAAATTTAATTAATGCTGCAATATAGTTCAAAAAATATTTCCTCAGTACCTCCTATGTGGTAGGTACTTTACTAGGTACTTTTCAAATATGTTCTACAATCAGAAAAGTCCTTTTGTCCTAGTCTGAGAAAAAGGGGGATTGAGTGTAAGTTAATAGTTTAATGGGAAAGCAAATTAGAAATAGGGACATCTGGGTTCTGGTCTTATATTTGCCACTACATATGTTTTAGAGGCTTCAGTTTCATGTTTAAAATAAAGATTCTTTGTATGACAGAGTCTAGGCTGAAAAATTTTTTAAAAATAAAGGGTTTTAAGATCTAATTCATCCACAGGATTCATAACCTCTGAAATTAGGCTACAAGCACACACAAACACACAGACACACACATACACACACACACACACACATACATGGGGTTGGGGAGAATGGATGATATGGGGAAGAGTGGAGAAGTATTAACAAAAGGCTCCCAATAGAAGGAAAGATGCTAAACATCACACTTAATCAGAGAAGTGACATTTCTCAACTATCAAATTGGTGAAAAATTCAAAAGTTTGCTAACATATTTTGTAGGTGAGACTATGGGGAAATAGGCCTTTTCATAAATTGCTGATGAAAGCCTAAAATGGTACAATTCCTATGGAAGATAATGTGAGAAAAACAAACAGAACTGCTTTTTGACCAGCAACTCTATCCCTGAAGCTACATCTCAACAATAGCAAAAATCTGTGCCTGAGATTATTCACTTCAGTATTATTTATAACAGCAAAATAGTGGAAGCCACTTACATGACCATTCATAGGAGATATTAAATAAAACATAGTCCATAGACACAATGGAGTACTAGGCAGTTGTCAAAAGGAATGAAAAAGATCTCTATGTAGGGAATATTTTCATGATATATTGTTAAGTGAAAAATGTAAGATACAAAAAGAGTATGTATAGAATGATATATTTTGTGCAAAAAAGTATGTAAATGTGTGAACATCTGTTTACTGTTGCAAAAAGAAACATAGAAAGAAAAATTTTTTTTAATGAGTGATTTTTTTTACCTAGAGGAAGTAGGTGAGATTGGGGGAAAAGCATCGAGAAGCGATGAGACCTCTCTGTTAATACTTTTAAAACACAGTTCTGCCTTTTGAACCACATTACTATTTCACATGTTCAAGAAATAAAATTAAATCAACAGGATGGAAAATTATCAAAATTCAGTTTAACCAGAAACAAATGAAACTAAATGTCTATCAACTTGATAATATGACTAAACAGAAGAGAATGAAAAAGAATTAATCCAAGTAACTTTTGAGCATAGAACTTTGTGTACATGCGATGGAATATATTCTAAGGACAAAAAGAACTGTAAAAGTCTTGAACTTTATTTAGTTTGTTTCTGTAGTAATATCAGTATGGCAATTCCAAAAATATATTGTGTATGTTTTAGAATTGAGCAGGTGAATCAATATATTGGTGTTCTCGAAAACCACAGTTGTCACAGTGGGAGAAGGAAAATAGAATGATGAAATGAGGGAAAAAATAACCCTGTAGTGTTGAATTAGAATTAGAATTAGAGATAGCAGTGGGAACTCACAATTTGGTAAATACATGTATTTTTTTCATTGTAAGAGACTAGTTGCAATGGCACTCAAGTAATAAGAAGTAAAAGTATTTAGAGGTAAAATGTCAGATGTCTGCAATTTATTATCAAATTATTCAACTAAAATAAGACAGAAAGAGATAAAGCAAAGATGAAAATACGTTAACAACTGATGAATCTAGATGAAAGATATCTGGGTGTTCATGGAATTGTACTATTCTTACAACTTTTCTGTAGGTTTACATTTTTTCAAGTACAAATTCAGTGAAAATAAGGAATTAGGATGCCGGGAGGTCAAAACATAAGCAAAAGACAAACATAAAAAAGAAACATGTGGCATAGTACTGGTTGTGCACTTGTCTAGCTGCCATTCAGACTGTCACAGGACTGTAGCTTTTATCCTAGTAAGTTCTGAAAGGCTATAGAACTACACAGAATGGCAGGTTCCTTTTACACAGCATGCATATAGTGTGCCCAGTAGCTACCTTAAATTTGTGCTTATTTAATACAATACATAATTTTCTTTCCTTTCTTTCATATATCTTTGATTTGGACAAAACGTAGATGAGTGTTTCACAGCAGAAAATTCAAAAGAAAAACTGAACCTTTACTACAGTTCTTCTGTAGTAAATTCACTATGGCCAAATCTTATTATCCTCAAAGATGAAAAAAAATGTTTGCTCAAAAATATTAACAAAATTGAATGCCAGTGATAGTAGATGGTTTGCAGCTACCTTCAAGGTAATTTTAAAGATGTGATGAGAACCAGGCTGTCCATTATCAGAAGAACTTTAAATTTGATCCTTTGTTCTGTTTCCTTATGCTACATGACTTTCCTAGGTAACCCCAGTCTCTTTGAAGGTTTCAGCCACTCTCTATTTCTGACCCTAACTTCTCTCCTGAGCTGCAGGTGAATGTGGACACCTGCCTGTTGGACAACTGAGCCTGGTGACCCAAAGGATTTTGAACTTAACATGGCCAAAACAAACTAATAGCTCTACTCTCCTCCCACCCCCAACCAGGCTGTATAAACCTTACTTAAGTGGTCGGCATCACCATACACCTGGTAACCTCAACTGAAAGCTTTAGAGTCACCTGGATTCTTATCTCTTTCTCATTTTCCACATCTTATCAGTCACTAAATAAAGTGGCCCTTGAATGTATCTCCTCTCAGCCCTCTGCCCCTACATTAATTCAGACCTTTACTAATTCTTGCCTAGGTTATTGCAAATGCTTCCAGTCAGATCTCACTAACTCTAATCCAGTTAAACAATCAGTCCACAAAACATCTTGCTTCTTTCTTAATAAAAAATCTGAGTATGTCATTCATCCGCCTAAAGACTTCACTGTTCTCTTCTTTCTGTGGAATGAAGGCCAGACTCCTTAGCTTGTTATTAATGAAGATCTGGCTCACCTTCCATCTCTTTTCCCATCTTTCCTGTGTCTCCACTGTCACTTATCTGCCCCCAGAAACATACATATTTTATGTTCCAACCCCACAGAATTTCTCACTGTTCCCAACCATACCAGGCCTATTTTGACTTTGGGCCTTTTCATACATTATTGTATGTCTCCTAGAATGTCTTTCATTCCATACTTTGACCTCTTCACTTAAAAACCTCTTCTAGATTAAGTGCAAAAATTGTTATTTTGGTGGAAACTTCTCGAGCACACTCAAACAGAAAACGTTGCTGCATCTTCTGTATTGTCTGAGCACTTTGTTTATATTTCAATATTATTTATTTGTTTATATTTGATAAACAGACTAGGAGTTCTTTGAGGATGGTAGAATATTTTATTTATCTTTTTATTTGAGGACTAGCATCATGCCTAGTACAGAGTAGATGCTCATTAAATACTGCTGAATAGATCTTTTGATATGTGGGTTTTATCTTTTGCCAAGATATTTAATACACAAATAGCTGAAGTAAATCAGCTACTCAAATAATTATGGAAATTGAAAAATATAAGAAGTCATGCTTCCCTAATATAAAAATAATAAATTTAATTTCTGCCAGAACTTAATAAGTTAATACCCAAGCCTTTTCAGTACTACTGTTTTTAGTGATCTTTTTCATACTTAATGTATATTCTAGTTTTGGCTTGCCTCTTTTGGGACCATTTGGTTTCAAGAACATTTTCCCTACTATTTTTAATAGCAAGCACTTAGTAAGCAAAATGATATATAGTGCTGTCTGAGGTAGAAAAAATGCTGATGGGACACTGGCTGTATAATGTGGACAGAAAAAAAGACTATGTTGTTATATATTTAGCATCTTTATTTGCATTATAGAAAGATGGACTGTGTTAGACATTAATCTATTTTGGTTTTCCATATTTAGTTATACTTAAAAAGTGTTTTTGCTTTTTGCTTTTTAATAAGAAAGACGTGAAAATTGATAGTCCACTCAGGCAAGTGGAAAAGCTTTAGGCAAATGAAATTGAAAATAAAATATAAAGTTCTCTGTGATTAAAAGTAACTAAATTTCTACTATCAAAACTTAAAACTGGAAACCACACTTACTATATACAAAGTTCTACTCTAGGAGATAGACTTAGAGTCTAATATTTCTCTGAAAACAAGAAGTATATCATACACACCATTTAAAACTGAGTACATAGTGGGCACTCAATAAAGTATATGGGTAGGGAGGTTATTGTACTATTCACTTTTTAGCAAGTCTTTATTAAATATTATCTATGTACCGGGAACTGGTGAGCAATTGGTGTTGAAAAAAACTGAGATCCATTTCTTCATGGAACTTACATTCTAGTGAAATAGAAATATACAATAAACATAATAAATGACTGAATTTTAATATATGTTAGATGGCAAAAATTGCTATGCAAATAAGGTAAGTAGAATAGAGTAAAGAGAATTAGGAGTGCCAATAGTAGGCAGCATGGTGAGTATCAAATGGACAATGGTGTAGAATGATGTAATACATGAGATTGGATTTGCACTTACTTTGAGTTTGCAGCCTTCATTCTGACACAACTTTCTGACAAGTGTCCCAGTGATGATCATAACAGTTTCTCTGATGTCACTGCTACCAATAGAACCTTTGAACTTACTCTATTAACCAAACAGGGATAAAATAGGTTACCAAGACATTTAAATATTTCCAAGGAACACTTTTAGTTAAAAAATAAACACATACTTGGTAAAGTATTTTTATGTTTCTAGATTGCAAACTCAGAATTTTGCTTTTGAGACACTTACACATTTGCTATCTAGCTTTGAATTGAAGAGTTAATCCCCTTTTCAGGGATTTTTAACCTGTGGTACAGGGAATTCTTAACCCTGGAAATTTATGGATTGGATTCATGGGGTCAATGAACAAAAAAAAAAAAAAAAAAAGGAGGGGTGAGGGTTATAAAATTTTATGTATGAGTAAAAAGGGGCCTCATCACTTTTATCAGATTCTGAATGGGTACATTTTCCATAAAGATTATGAACTATTCCACTAGATCATAGGTAGACAAGTGCAATTAAATAGATAACATTCTTGGACACAAGAGAAGTCTAGCTTTTGTTTTCAACATAAATCTTTAACAGCAGAAGAATTGTATCTCTTCAATGTAGGTGTATTAAATATCATGAGAATTTTTGAAGTCAAAACAAATCTTGTAAAATTGATTACTGAAGCATAAGCTAGATTTCTCCCCTCTGAAATTCTGTCCTATGCTATATAACATGATAGGTGAACACAATCTTTAAATTTCCATATAGTTTATACTACTTACTGAAATTACGAAAAAGGCACTAACTGAAATAATTTATTATACAGTTAATAATTAGTGGATAGAAAATACCCCAATTTGAATATGAATACTCAGAAGTCTCTAGTTGATAGCCTTCATTCAGATCTAAGAAACTTTTAATTACTGTTAATATTCTTAAGAAGTTTTATAGGAGTTGAGGGTCTTTATTTTCTATTTGACTTACAATGAGGGCTCTCAGGAGTTCTTCATTGGGATGAGAAGCAAATCCACAGGCATAGAGAAACCTCTCCTGGAGGATAATGCTGCTGTCACTTTTGAAATCCAAAAAGTCCAAAATGGCTTCTAATGAGTCTGAGGTCTGAGCAGAGGTGACAGCATCCACCAGCTGAGGTCTATAAAAAAAGGCATAATCATGGATATCAATGTTTAGGGGAAGGAATACTTAAAAATCTCTACCATTCACAGAGTTTCTATTGGTTTGAGTTTTCTCAAGAAGTGATTTTTTTTTTAATTTGAACAAATGAAAAAATGATTAAGACTTTCTCAAAAAGACCCCTCCCCATTTTATTTTAATTTTCTCCTTGAACGCCCCTCTCTCTCACTCAAACAATGTATACTCAGAATATACAAACTAATTTTACTATATTAACCTAAGCCAAGTATAATTTGGCGATTTGTAAGTAAAAATTATATAAATACAATTATAAATTAAGTTCAAATTCTTTCCTATATGAGTAATACATAAAAGCTATGGGTCCCCAAATTTATTCTCTTTCTTTAATTAGCTTTGCAAACAAACCTATTTCAGAAGTGCCTAATTGAACTAAAGCAGTATTATTTGATGGAAAATCCTTTAACCTTAAATCCAAGGGGAAAGGTTTTCCTCTTTTTAAAAATAAAAACACACCATAGTATAGTTCTATGTTTAACCACAATGAATATGTGTGAACAGAATGGAACCCCTACAGGAAAACTCTAGTTATATATTCTAGTCATCAAAAATCTTTGGCTTTTTGAGCCCGGGATGGTAAAACTTCTAAAAATAGTTGTCATACTAATTAACACATGTATGTAAATATTACATACTACCCCTATATAAGCACACCAGACAATGTGACATGTGCTTAGTAGTTTATACTTTTAAAAAATGATATACTTGTACTATTTTGATCATAACAAAAAACTAGTGAATTAAGCTTAGATAACTAGAAGACATAATACTTATTGAGTTTATATTGTGCAAGCACTGTACTAAAAATTTTATGTGTCTAATCTCTAAGTTCTTCATCTGTAAAATGAAGCCAAAGTAGTATTTACCTCAGGATTGTTGGGAGGATTAAATTATGTTATCTCTGTAAAACATTCAGAAGAGTGCTTGACATATAGTAAGTGATTGATAAATATTAGCTGTTACTAATACTACCACCTCATTTAATCCACTGAACATCTCTGTCAGTTTAATATTAATATTCCCCTGTACATGCTAGGAAACAGACGCAGATATACCTAGTCATTTGTTCAAGGTCATATAGCTGGTAAATGGTAAATGGCATTGCTGGGATTGAAACCTAGGTTTTTCTGACTCTGGAGTCCATGGTTTCTTAATTATAGTGATGTTTCTCAAAGTGTTTTCCATGTTAACACTAGTCTTACAAAATGCTTTAAGAAAAGGGATTTTCAAGATCATGTGTTTTAGAAAATATTCAAAACTTACCAGAATATTATCTGATTAAAGATACTGAAAAGTTCTGCAACAGAGAAATTAACAAGGTTTCATCCAGTTTTGCAAACTCAGTTGCTCACAGAATCTTTTCCTTTTTGCATACCTGTTAACTTCCTGCAAATTACAGGATACAACATATAGGCTTTTTGGGAAATGTTACATTCCACCACCCTGCCTCTCACTAGCCTACAATAAATAGAAAGAATTATTATCCCTATTTTACAGATGTTGAAAGTGAGGCTCAGAGAAGCTAAATATAAAAGACTTCCTTGGCCATGTGCGGTGGCTCACGCCTGTAATCCCAGCACTTTGGGAGGCCGAGGCGGGTGGATCACCTGAGGTCAGGAGTTTGAGACCAGCCTGACCAACATGGAAAAACCCCATCTCTACTAAAAATACAGAATTAGCCGGGTGTGGTGGCACATGCCTGTAATCCCAGCTATTCGGGAGGCTGAGGCAGGATAATTGCTTGAACCCTGAAGGTGGAGGTTGTGGTGAGCCAAGATTGCGCCATTGCACTCCAGCCTGGGCAACAAGAGCGAAACACTGTCTAAAAAAAAAAAAAAAAAAAAAAAAAAAAGACTTCCTTGAAGGATATACTGTTGTTGGAGGTCAGAATTTAAACTAAATTTTCCAATTTTAGTTCATCTTAGTATCCTTTCTATTACACTACACTACATGTGTGTTGCATGTTATATGGTTCAATATTGTATAAATAATCTGATTTAGAAAATACATCATGCAGTCCTCCAAATTATTGCTGCCTTAAGATTTTTAGGATACAGATAATGCTAATAAGGTTTAATGTAATCTCTATTCTAAATTAATACCTAATTATTCCACTTTTATTCTCAGTAATGTCTGCCTTTAATGTTAAGACAATGCCTATGTACTTTGAGAGTGGTAAAATTTTTAAAGAATCTTAAAAATATAAAAAATAATGTTAAGACAAGTCCCTCTACCAATATATTTTAACATGCTGTAATTAAAACAGAGCCTGATAATTTATGATTTTGCTTCTTTTTCAATTTCTGGTTTATTTATTTTTGAAGAGAATAACCAACTTTGATTAGTCATTTGGAATTCCTATCAATTTTTTAATGTCCTTAAGGCAAGTAAATAAATGCAATTGAGCATAAACAGACTTTTCAGAAAAAAGCTGCAATTTTCCTCCTGTTGGGGAATTCAGTTCTTTGAACTCAGTGACTGCTACTGCTGTGTGTGTGTGTGTAACTTGGCTAATTTCCACTTTTGATTATGTTAATGACTGTTTTTCACTGTTTGTCAAATTAATTGGGCCTTGTTCTATATCATCAATTAGGATAATTGGTATCATAAGCTCAATTTGTATATATACACAAATTCTGTATGATAGACTAAAAATACATTCTATTTAGAAACAGATGCAATGTTTTGGGGAAAAATTAAGTCAACTCTGTTTATTACACATGTAAAATGGATCATAGTTTCACCAAATATTAAGTAACATATGGATTTATTTTCTCCAGATTCTTTTCACCATTCGCCTCAGTTCTCAATTTTTTACATAAAACATAGTTTCAACTGGCTGTTTAGTGAAATCACATTTTCAACTGAAGAAGTCAAACCCTTTTTGTTGTTTTCTTTTAAATGAACTCAAATCTGTTCAGGTGTCAATTAACAGCATGAGGAACATAATTTCAAAAACAGCGAGGCAGCACATGCCCCACGATGTCACGACGAAGCCTTGCCTTCACTTATCTATGTACCAATCTAGTCCTGATTTAAACTCATAAACACAACAACATGTTTATTCCTAGTCCCTGCTGAAAATCTGCTATTGTATTTCTGGTCAAGTGACCATTAAATTACTGCACTGTGGCATAACTTTTCGATGAAAATGTAGTACAAGAAAATAATTGTTTTGGTGGTGGGGCAGTTGGTTTAAAAGGGGTCTTTCTTACTTCAAAAAACCAACAATCCAGAAATGTTTCTGACAGACAACCCCACACAAAGGTTGGGGAACTTACAATACTTCCTTATTTTCCATCTTTAGTATTTGAAGGATCTCTTCTTTCTTCGCAGTCCTGAGGTGCTGAATGAAGGCCAGGAAGTTTCTGACAGCCTCAGCCTTGGAAAGGTTGTCAGGCTGCAGGTATTTCCTGGTGGACCGCCAGAGCTCCGAGAGCTGCAAAACATACACTGCAGGCTCATACCCCACTCATAACTGTGAACATCCACATTTACAAAGGGTGTTCTCCTAGGAATAAAATGTCCCTTGTGTCTGAAGCGAAAGCAGCTTTTTGTACCTTACCTCAATACACATGACAGTTCCCTGCCCATATCATACCCCTGGGACTTCCATCCACTCTGTGAACCATTCCTCTATAGGAGGACTGTTTTTGTCTATTCATATTTAGCTTGAAGATCCTAGGGCAATAATTAACTGGTTTCTGGGTATATAGGTCATTTCACGGCTACACCAAGGGAATTTATCCGAGGCCAGGCTTTGACTACCATAGTGCAATTTAAATTGTGCAGAACTTTAATTAACAGCAAAATATTTCAGAGATAAAATAATGAGAACTGCTGAAGAATTGCATCAGGTTTCTAATTTACCTGCACCTCACTGAAAATCAATTTTTCGGTGAGCTCCCTATTCTCTCTCTTTATTTTATTATTTGTACAAAATTCAATGTTTTGCTGTTGCTAAGGTCTGAATTATTCATTTCTTATATCTATGTTTTTTAGAGTAGCATTTAGATAAAGGTAATTCTCACACACACTAAGTTATTCTATTGCGGTTTTAAAAATAATATTAGGTTGTCACAAAAGTAATGGCAAAAACCACAATTACTTTTGCAACAACCTAATAAATAGTTCTAATTAACAGCATCTCTCGGCTTTGAAACTAACTGAAGAACTTATTTTTCATACTTTACTACTTTCCCCCCTAGTTTTATGAAATCCTATCAGTGACTACTAACTCTCTAACTCTATAGTAATAACTTGCTGCCAGTTTTTAAATTATTCATTACTTTTAATAAGCAATGGATCCTTTTTTTTCTCTTTTTCAAGTGCCTTTTAGCTATGTAATCTTAAGAAGATATTCCAAGTGAAATTCCAGCTGCACTTAGCTAAAGATTTACTGGGTCATTTCTGAAGGCAGAGAGCATATCAATATGAATTCAGGTGTTTTTGTTTTTGTTTTACTTTAAAGGGCTGCAATAGAATTTACAAAAGCAAATTTGGAATTTGGAATTCCAAATTTGGAAAAGCAAATTCCTCAATAACATAAATAAATCATTTTCTATAATAATTAAGAAATAATTATCAAAAATCTTAGATGGCTCATAATGTTTAATATCTATGGGAGAGAAATTAATAGTGCAGAGCATAAGAAAAGTTTAGTTTTATTAGCCACCTTCCTAAATAATTTCCATCTCATACAGCATTAGAAAATTACATTAGAACATTAAATGACATATGAAAAAAAAAACAGGTAAAAGAAGAAACAATGTTTGAAAATGATGATTTTGTGTTTTAAAATGTTTCCTTTTTCCTCTAACTCAATTTCAGAAACTAATAAGCAATTACTGTCTTGTACTTTAAGCAAATTATGGTATTACATCTTGATGATTTCACTTTTCTGAACACCAGTAATACTGAAGGAAAGAGCATCTCCCTATAGTTACACACAGAGCATGAAGCCAATGGTTTGCTCTTCTGACAAGAGATTACAGATAAGGAAATGCTGGGTGGTAAGTCATTTCTCTGAATGTATATCATAACTGATTCATGCAATAAAAGGAAAATTTTCTTTGTTGGATTAAAAATGTTACAATGATCTACACTTTGCCCTGGGGATGAGATATCGCATTTCTGACAGGAATTGTAGGGGAAACTGGGGTAAATAAATGTTTCCTAATTTAGGCAAAGATCCTGGTATCCTTTTTCAGTCCTTGCAGCAATAATCAGAACACTGAGGCCAGTAAAGTATGTCACCTGTGGACAAATAACTATTATGTGACAGAACTTTCAAGGTTCAGCCGTTGTCCACATTCTTGACACCATATGCTTCCCCCTAACTTCATTAAGCCCTCTATCCTCCCTGAATTCTAGATGTGACTTATTAAAGGCTGCCCTTGAGTTATAACACTTTTTGAGAGGAATGAATGGTAACTATTTGTTAATTATTGATGTGTCATGCACTATGTCAGGTGCATATTGTGAGACTGCTGTCATCACAACTCTGTGGTAGCTGGTAGTTCTTTAGAAACTGTCTTCATTGAATGAGTTGATGCTTTCACTGGAGACAAAATGAAAACAGAGTCTGATGTCATGATTATTCCCATATTTGTCTGCACTTACAGAAGGACATCCTTTACAGTGGCTCTGGAAGACCTGCCCCACAATGGGAATGGCCGTGTACTTTGAATCAACTGCTTTGATTATGGCTGCAGCCTGCTTTCCAGACATCAATCTTGGGCCTGCTTCGGTTGTCTTCAGCTCTAATTTCTGCCTGCATAATACCAAAGGGAAATGCTATATTATAATCATTCTTTTGAGTGAACAAGATACTAATTGCCATTCTTTTGGCAAACAAGATAGTAATTTATTCAAGTTGTATATAGCCATGTCTTTCAAACTGTGATATCTCCAGAGGTAACTGAAAGCTCATTATGAAGTCTTTCTGGAGCAACAATTATATTAAAAGATTTGAAAATTTAAGTTTGCATTTTCAAAATATTATTTCAACAGTATACAGGGAAGAAAAATTGCCTGGATGATGAATAAGATATGCAATGTCAGCTCTTTTGAATTTAGCCCAGCTTTCTGAAAATGATATCGTCAATACAACCACGTGTTACTTATTAACCAAGACAGCTAGAAAATCTTATTTTCCAAAAATAGTCTCAACTCTATTTTTGTCTGACATGCTCTTCCAGAACCTGTCTGTCATCAAAAGGTAGGGTCTACATCCCTCTCCTTGAACCTGGGTAGGACTCTGTGACTGCCTCAACTAATAGAGGAGACTGAAAGTAACACTGTGTGATCTCTAAGGCTATGTCTTAAAAGAGAATTCAGCTTTTCTCTGGCACACTATCAGTACATGTGCTTCGGAGCCTTGAGCTACTACATAAGAAGTCTGACATGAAGCTGCAGTGCTGAGAGGCGACAGGGAAATAAAGATAGTTGCATGAGGAGCCTCAGATGTTTGAGTCTTTCCAGCCCATGCACCAGATACATGGGGGAACCACCTTTGAATAGTTTGACTGTCTGAAACTACATAATAGATGCCTAGCAAGGCCAAGGCAAGCCTGTAAATTATGACAGAGAACAGTACAGTGATTGTTGCATTTTATACCACTAAATCTGGGGTTGTTACATAGCAATGGAAATCTCATAGGCCTGATAAGTTATTTAAAATATTTATTTTATATGAAAATATAATAAAACACTATAGATATACCAGTAGTATATGAAGTAGAATGCAAAATTCTATTCCAGATGAGACTTCTATAAAATTTCAAGCATTTTAATCAGGCATTTTTACTACTATTTTGCATCTATTTGGTGCTAATATTACAGCTACTCCAGAGAAATTTTTTGAGAAGCAATGGCATAAGGTATAACACATTCACTGCTAGAAAACATTGTTTTCTGAATTAAAATCTGAAAATAACAGAAACTCTAAGATTTAACATTCTAGTTCTTAATCCTGTTAGAACAATTCTGTCCAGAGAATGGTCTTCAAATGATAAACAGGCCTAAATATTTAAGTTGCATAAGTCATATCAAAAATTTTGTCACATCTCTTCACTACGGAACTTTTTATGTTTTTTAACAACAATTTTTTTTAAAAACTCTTAAAAATTACAAATGCTACCACTTTTTTACCTTAATATTAAAAACATTTGACAGAGAAATTAGAAAATGAACTAGAATGAATCAAGTAGTTTGTCTTTTTAAAACTTAAAACCTGTTCAATAAATAATTGATTTTTAATACAATTTTATTTAAAAAGTAATTATTTACCATGTGCCGTGAATTGTTGTAGATGATGTAAAAAATAAAGATGAACAAGATATAATCACTATTTTCAAGGAGCTCACAGTTGAAATGAGGAAGCACAATAAATACAGTCATGTGCTGCACAAGGACATTTTGGTCAATGATGGACCCATGTACAAAGGTGGTCCCATAAAATTATGAAGCTGAAACATTCCTCTTGCCTAGTGACATCATAGCTGTCCTATCATCACAGTGCAAAGCATTACTCACGTGTTTTTGTCGATGCTGGTGGTTAACACACCTACTGTGCTACTGTTATATAAAAGTATAGCACGTGCAGTTACGTACAATACATAATACTTGATAATGGTGACAAATGATTATTACTGATTTCTGTGTTTATTATACCACACATTTTATTATTATTTTACAGTGTACTTCTTCTACTTATTAAAAAAATTAACTGTAAGACAGCCTCAGGCAGGTTCTTCAGGAGGTATTCCAGAAGAAGGCATTGTTATCAGAGGAAGTGACAGTTCTATGTATGTTATTGCACCTGAAGACCTTTCAGTGAGACAACATTTGGAGGTTGTAAGTGCCTTCCACTGGAGGAAGACAGTGATATTGATGATCCTGACCTTGTGTAGGCCGAGGCTAATATATATGCTTATGTCTTAATTTTTAACCAGAAATTTTTAAAAGAAAAAAATAAAAATAAAAAATTTAAAAATAGAAAAAAGCTTATAAAGATTTAAAGAAAAAATATTTTTTGTACACCTATACAATGTGTTTTAAACTATGTGTTATTACAGAGTACTTCAAAAGTTAACAAAAATTAAAAAGTTTTTAACGTAAAAATATTACAGTAAGCTAAGGTTAATTTATGATGGAGGAAAAAAGTTTTTTAGAAATTCAGCGTAGCATAAGTGTACAGTGTTTATAAAGTCTACAGTAGTGTACAGTAACGTCCTAGTCTATGACATTCACTCAGTGCTCATTTGGTGATTCATCCAGAGCAACTTTCAGCCCTGCAAATTTCACTTATGTACCTTTTATGAATAAAGGTACACCTACATAGTATCTTTTATACTGTATTTTTCTGCTGACTTTTTCTATGTCTAGATACACAAAAACTTACCATTGTGTTTAATTGTCTACAGTATGCAGTACAGCAACATGCTATACAGGTTTGTAGCCTAGGAGCAATAGGCTATACCATATAATGTAGTGTAGGCTATGCCATCTAGGTTTGTGTATGTATACTCTATGATGTTTGCACAGTGATGAAATTGCCTAACAATGCTTTTCTCAGAACTTATTCCCATTGTTAAGCAATGCATGACTACACGCGCACACACACACACACACAAACACAGATCTATTTACAAATCAAGTATAATAATATAACAAAGAATAGCAAAGAAAATAAAAATTTTAGCATTATCTTACTTCGATACTATTTTCCCCTTAATGGTTTGTAGGAAATTCAGTCCAAAATTGTGTGTTTCTTCAGCAAGCACAGCTATAACAAAGCTGTCTTCTATCTTATAGGTGGTGACAGATGTAGCTTTTGAACTGACACCCAAGACCTAAATAAATAAATAGCCATCTTTATAACAAGTAATCATCGTTTAAATTATTGAATCAAGTCAAATAGCAAACTGTCTTTCAGTCTACAAACAGCTTCCCCATTACACCCATCCCTCATTACTAACACCTACAACAATTGAAATGGGTCTATTCATTACATATGTGTGAATTTGTAGCCTAAACTAAAAATTACAAATGTTTCAAAATTCTATTTCTACTTTATTTTTCTATTACATTAAATTAGTCTCTACAAAATGTAATTATTTTAATGCCTCAAAGAAAGTGACATCTATCATACCTGATTTGGGGTCGTAAATCCAGACCTCGCTATTTTGCATGAATCCAAGGCCTTAATTTTGATCACTTTGTCTTGATGAGCCTGGTAGGTCACTTTACAATTTCCAGAGATATCTACCTAAAAAGAAAGGCAAGGGCATAATGCTTGGGATTCCTTGTGGGCCATTTGAATTCTAGTGAGAAGTGGCTTGAAAATTGAGGTCTCTAATAGGCCATAGGGGACTTTTTTTCTCCCCCAGGATGATAAGATACAAAGACAAGAACAAGGTTTCTGGTAGCTCATTGATTCCCTCCCATTCTCTTTGGTTGAGTGTCTTAATAGCGCCTTCTCATTTTTTTTCACAAATAATGTGGGATTTCCTACTTCTCTCGAAATCCAATTAAAATTAGACAAATGGCCTGGTAATAATTGAAACTTTGGATAAATGGGTAATTCTGTGGCAAGGGAGTTGATTGTTAATGCTGTATCTAGATTCTGTGTGTGTGTGGTGTGTGTGTGTGTGTGTGTGTGTGTGTAACTTCAACTAGCTGAACATGATTAGAAATTCTTAAAATCCTGTGGGATTAATTAAAATCCACTGGGATTAACTCAAATCATCATTAGCTACATCATCAGTTTGAGTTTAGGCAAATGTATCCCAATACAGACTCTGTCTAGCTTCTCTGAGCTTTTTCCTGGGGCCTCTGCCAGCATCACAGAAGCAGAGGTCTCTTTTCTAGCAAGCTAACCAACATTCTTTTGGTCCAACCCTACCATCAGATTTTTCACCCACTCATGGGCTGGTTGAATTCAGTCTAAGAAACTTGGACTCCAGCCTTGACTCCAGGTATGATACTGGAAGATCCACCTAACTTCTCTAGTTTCTTCTTTTGCAAAATGAACAGTGTTGGTATAGACCAGTGGTTCCCTACATTGACAATGCATCCAAATAATCCACAAAGACTGTTAAAATACAGATGTTTGACCAAGCGCGGTGGCTCATGCTTGTAATCCCAGCACTTTGGGAGGCCAAGGCGGGTGGATCATCTGAGGTCAGGAGTTCAAGACCAGCCTGGCCAACATGGTGAAACCCTGTCTCTACTAAAAATACAAGCCGGGCATGGTGGCACACGCCTGTAATCCCAGCTACTTGGGAGGCTGAGGCAGGAGAATCGCTTGAACCTGGGAGGCAGAGGTTGCAGTGAGCCGAGATTGCGCCATTGCACTCCAGCCTGGGCCACAGAGTGAGACTCCATCTCAAAAAAAAAGACGTTCGGGTCCTCCCCGATCTACTGAATCAGAATCTCTGGGATGAATATAGGGAATCTATATTTGTAACAAGCCCCTCCATGGTACAGTGGTGCACAGTGATATCTGGGAACCACTGGAATGATCCCCACGAAGCTCCTTTAGTATAAATATTTCTAATCCTCTCTACCTTGTAATTAATTAACAAAACATTGGGATAAATGGCAATTGTTTCATAGGCAAATGCGACTTCACTACACAAGTCACCTTTTCTGAGCATTACCTTAGTAGTAACTCTTCTACTGAAATTGTATAAGTAGAAATCCTTACAAATTTTATTGAGATGCTGAATCCTTATTAATATTGGTAAGTACCTCATTGGTGGTTCCAGAGCTTAACTGTGTCTGAAATAGGCTAGCCAGACCTCTCTTGATATTTTCTATGGCCACTGCCTCATTTTGATATGAGTAGAACTCTTTGACCTGGTGGGGAGAGGGGAACAGAACACAAATGAAGCAAAAATGCATCATTTATCAGATTTAAATAAGTGTCAGGCAAGGTCAGATTCTTACCTGTATTAATCCTGGGAGAAAGAGATCTGACACTCCAAATCTGGAATTTCCTTTTTGTGAAAAGAAGCTATTTAAATCTCTGAGACCATCAGAATATGAAGTTTAGGGAGACCGATAATGAAGGCTCTTGCATGATGGGCACAGCATTGGGAGAGAGCACTGATATAGGCTGGGAGCCTCATGAAAACAAGGATGGCCCAGGGAAGAGAAATGATGAACATTCTGTTTGAACATGTCAGCATGTTCTCTACCTGTAACTGTACTTGAAACAAAAAATAACTAAGGTTTAAAATAATAGCAAATAAAAAAGTTCTTGGACGAAAATGGCAATCACTACCTTTGAGATTCCTGAGATGGCACAGCCTTTATGGGCTATTGCAAGGCCCCAGGCATGGCCATAATACCCATGGTCAACATTTCACAGGGGCAATGTTTTCCACCCTCCAGAGCATTTATATTGGTATTGGGTAAAAAAAAAATATATATATATATGAATATATATATGAACATATATATGTGTGTATATATATGAACATATATATGTGTGTATATATATGAACATATATATATGTGTGTATATATATGAACATATATATGTGTGTATATATATGAACATATATATATGTGTGTATATATATGAACATATATATATGTGTGTATATATATGAACATATATATATGTGTGTATATATATGAACATATATATATGTGTGTATATATATGAACATATATATATGTGTGTATATATATGAACATATATATATGTGTGTATATATATGAACATATATATATGTGTGTATATATATGAACATATATATATGTGTGTATATATATGAACATATATATATATGTGTGTATATATATATTCAGAAGGCTGGAAAATTTGAGGTTGAGATTGCTACTGCTGCATAACCTGCCCCAGGCACTGCTTTGAGGTTACCATCAGAAGGCAGAGAAAGGAGGTTGAAATGAGGAGGGTGACTATGATTTGGCAGGAATAGTAAGCCACTTAGTTTTGTTTTATCATCTTTGATATTTATAGGCACAGAGATGATAAGTGTCTTTTGCCATTTTGATAATTTAACTAATGTTTAAGAAACAAGGATAAAAGTACAAAGTGAATTTAATGAAAATCAGCTTGTTGGTTTTCACCCTGTAGACTTGATATGCATCACACAATTTAGAAATAGAGGATAGATACATGTTCCCTGTAAAAATTCCCAAGGTCTATGATAATTATAGCTGAGCATTTCTACCAGAAATATCCTGAATGCCTTCCTAGTACTCTTTAAAACCAACCATAGCTTCTAAAGTAAAACATAAAGCTCAATAGCTATGCAATGAATCCAAATAATACCAAGCTCAGTAATTTAGTCTACATGAAAATTATCTTGTGCCTTAGAAGAAGAGAATACTTTTCCTGAATTATCCAAACAAGTGTCTCAAATCTCTATTTTTACTTCCTACATATACTCTGCCTAGTGATGGATTTACTAGGTACTTTATCTGGCAATCAGTTTTAGTCATTAGACTGGACTAACCTATAAATGTTGGAATAGTGTTTGTCCGACTTAGAAAGGAACTGGAATAATGACCTCAGTGTCTGAAAATTCACAGTATCATATTCTCAAACAAATCACTGGCAATATCTCAGACCCAAGCCTGAGTTTCTGAAGTTCTATTTTGTAAACTATATCTCCTTCCTCTAATAATCACAGTGTAATTTCCTTTTCAAATATTTGGAAGTGTATCTCCAGGTATCATGACCATTAGAAGTTCATAACTAGATTGCCCCAAAATAGTCAGAAGTGTTCACTCAGTGGCAATGCACACATGTCTATATGGCCCATGTCTTTTTGGTATGAACCTTAAATACTTTAGAAAGCAAGATCTCCTAAGTGGGAAAAATACCAGTATTGTCACCACTATGTCACTTTCCTTCCAGGCTACAAAATGTATCTGAGCTATTTTTAAAGTTTTACCTAAAAGGTAAGGAAACCCAGTTCTTGGATTTAATCTTTGGACTGTGCATAAGGTTCAGTGCTTATCTGTTACTGACCCACTGCAATGGATCAAGTTTTGATCTTGACCTCTGGATCCCTTAGAAAATGGTGTTAGAGCCTTTTTTCCCTCCTGGCAGGCTGAATGATAGATATAAACTGTGAAACACAATGAAAAAAGTTTTTTTAATCCTTTCTATTAGTTTTTATTGCTTCCCCAGAACTAGAAAAATGAACACATCTCTTTTTCTTTTATATGACTGCTACTTCTAGGGCCTAAATTCTGTTTCTTTAGTGTAGACTGATGAGATCCAAAGTGAAGATAGTACTGATATCCATACCAGCTAAATGTCAAAACTGTTAGAATTGAGCTGCCTTGTAATCATTTAAAAAATAATAATCTGAAATCAGAATTTTGCATTTCAAGCCACATGGCTGTCACAGCAATAATCTTAAATTTATTATTTCACAACAGGAACTGAGTAAGTTTTATTATACTCAGGCCATAAAGTTGATTACTTCATTCAGCAATGAAATTAGTTCTGAACATCCAAGAGCACAGGTTCTTATCTAAATTTACAGTACTCAGAGCTTCCAAAGAGCAGCAGCAGGTATGACCTGGTTACAAACGAAGTCTTTAACCCAAGGAAACCACAGCTAGAGGGAGACTGGGTAAAATGGCTGGGAAGGTGGTACAGTGCCTCTTCCAGCCAAATATGAGGGGCCAGTTTCCTCTTGAAATAGGTAGGCATCATTCATATTGTTTTTTCCTTAGGAAGAAGATGCCTTTCTCCACACCTTCCTTTATATTTATTTTAAGAATAAGAGGAGACTAAATTCCATTAAGTGGCCAAACAATAAAAATAATAAAAAGAATCCCAGCAAACAAAGATTAGTAATTTTATCTTTGATATCTATCTAAGACAGAGCATGGCTAGGAAATGACACACTGGAGAACAAACAAGTAAAGAAATATACAACAAATTTCAGAAGGACTTTCAAGGTGTCACATTTCTTGTGGCAGTTCAGTGTGTGTACAAGAGCCATGCTGATTTAGAGAGCAAATCAATGCCCGGAAACAATACAAAATAAAGGTCTGACTCAGCAGCCACGTGGTTAATTTAATCAACACAAAGCCAAAACCAGAAATGGAAATCTGGTAATTATCCAGTTAATTGGAGCAGCATTTCAGGCCTAAAAAAGAATCCATGGTATAACTTGAGGCATCTTTCACTCGTCAGCATTAATCAACGTAATCAGATAACTGTCACGTTTACAACTTAATGATTTGTAGACAAAACTAGAGTTATGCCCACTTATGTAGGGAAGATGAGTGGGCATGGAAAAAAGAAGATGTGCAATGAATATGTATCTAAGTATTTTAATGGACTCTCTTTTAAAATGTAAATATGAGAGCCTCAGATGGGAAAGGGAGACAGGGGGAGGTCTGGAAGGACAAAAATTACATGCTGATGAGCATCCTTGAAATCCCAGAAACTTCAGGAGCACAACTTAATTTGAGCCTGTGGTAGAAAATGCTCTCTAAGAAAATAGCCTGTCCATAGCCTTACTCTGCCTGTCCATAATTTCTCTCATAGTAAACTGAAATGATAATTTAAGTAATGATCTTTCTGACAGTGACATGGCCAAAACTTCCTGTTGGCTTCTTAGTCCTCATTGTTAAGTTTTTTCCAACAAATATTTTATTATATACTTGAAAGATACAATGATGTACTTTAACCTGTGGTTACAGTAAATCATCGCAAATCATAGCTCCTCTAGAATTGGCCCATTGCAGTTATTAAAATAATGATGTGGCAGTTCCATCCCAGCCTTTGAACAGTGAGGGTACTGAGTCCTTTCATGTGTGTAGCAGAAGACTTTGTACTCAGCTGCTACCAAAGGAGCTATAAAATGATTGGTTGTCAGTAAGATTATAAATGCAAATAATATCTATGAACTCAAGTGTCTTGCCACATTGGAAGCTCAGAGAAGAAAATAACAATATTTCTTGTTGTTAACAAAGTTGAGCCATAAGAAAATCAAATAAGTCAACTGATCTCATGATGTAAATAAGGAACACTACAAGTCAACCAAAGAGGCAGGCATTTCTCCAAATACTTTCCAGCTGGAAGACAGTAGGCATAGAAGTTTGAGCATAGACTCTATTTCAAGTCCCAACTCCACCACCTGCCAGTTGTATGACCATAGGCAAATTTCCTAACTTTTCTTAACTTTGGTTCCTCATCTATCACAAGAGGTTGATAAGGCAGCCCTTACTGCTCAGGGCCATTACAAGAATAAAAGAGACAGTTCGTGTAATGCCTTTAGTCAGCACCTAGCACACAGTAAGTGCTTAGTTCATTTTAGCTATTATTAAGTAAACAATAAGTAAAACCTTTATCAAAGTTCAACTCAGTTGAGCCCCATATAATCTTATTTGTTTATCCTTTATTTTAGAAGCATCTATATTCAGTATCCCCTATGAGCAAGGTGCTGAATAGACAGATACAACTCTGCCCATGAGAAACTTATTCTGAATGTGGAGAGCCAAGACATAAAAGGAGAGTGACAATACACTGTGATAAACGCTTTGACAGAAATAGGCCCAGGGGTTTGGAAAGATGTCGGAGAAGGCTTCATAAAATATTCAGTGCAAGGCATAATTCTGGGTGCTTTGGGGAAGGAGGGAGTGGAAGGGCATGGAGGTGAAGGGGAGAGGCTGAAATACAAAGAGGAATTGGATTTTTTTCTATCCAACACCCATAATCTAGCAATGAACACAAATGACCAAAAACAAAGTGATAAGGGTCATGAGTGAGCTGCAAAGTGCTAAGAGCATTCTAAAGAGTGATGGTTATTTCCAGCTGGCTGGAAGGGTATGAACTTTATGACAGAAATGGCATGTGAGCAGTCAGAAACATGGCAAGTATTTTGACAAGTAAAGAAGGAAGAGAAAGCATTCTTGAAGATAGTGATTCATATTTGGTTGTAGGCGAGGTGAAAACACAAGATTTCTTCTTGTGAGTTCCTTTTTAGAACTTCATATAAAAATGTGCATCATGATTAGCAATATACATATATGAAATGTCCAAAGTATTTGTTTTCAAATACTTCAGTTGAAAATAAATAAAGTATTACTTTATCAGTATATAAAGATCAGTTTTTCTTTATTTTGAATTTAGAAAGTGAAATTTCAGAGACGTATGGAATTATAACTCAATGTTCCCTTTCTGTTTTCCTGCTTTTGTTCCTAAAATTGAGCTCTCATCTTTAGACACATTTTTATGTATGTCAACACACTATCTGTAATTTTCATAAACACAAATATGTAATGCCTAATAATCAACTGATCACAATTGTTTCTCAATTCCAAATTTATTTAGACCATTTCAATTGACTAGAATCAAGCCATAAGTAATGCACACATAGAATTTTTAAAACAGATTTTCAAATATATATTATAAAGTGTTCAATCATTATTTTAATATATAAAAGGCTTTTCCATGTCATAGTTTTAAAATAATTTCTAAAGGCTTTAAAAAAACTCTACTTTAGACTTGTCATACCCTTTTAAAATCTTTAACCTTGTACTTTAGCCAGATATCGATAATCTCATAACAAATCAATATTACTAATCTCAGTTGGATCATTTCAGTCTCATAATTTGTCTCCTTTCCTGAATTCATCCAATCATGCTTTGATGACTTGCTTTGTTACATTACGTTTGTAATCCCTTATAATTTGATGAGAAATTTACCTTTTAATAATGCCTTTCATCAATAAATAAATACTTCATTCCACTATAAAGATTTCCAGAAAAATAGGAAACAAATTGGCTAGTAAATGTAAGGGAACTCAGGGCATTGATTCAGTTTGGAAACATTTAATTTACAACCTCTGTTCTTTAGTTCTTGAAGAAATTCCATTTACCATAAAAGTAGTTACAATGTGATTACCTCAAAATAATATCTACTGAAGGGAAGAAAAATATGAAGTTGGAGAAAAAGTTGTGGAATCTAAACGCCCCTTTACCTTTCCATGGATTAGATGAAGGAGCGTAGGTCTTTGCAGAGCTTCCAAGTTTTCCTTTCCCATTATTTTAGATGGGCTTTTTCCTTTGAAGATGCTCTTCTCTCCTCTCTGCTGATTCACATTTTCAACATTTACATCCTTCATCTGGAGTAACAGAAAGAAAGCTGTTAAAAAAAACTTCCTATATCTGTCTTCATCAGAGTATCTCTGAAAATAAAATGATAAAGAAACAGAAAGAGTTGGCCACAATTTCTTCTGTCATTTTTCAATTCATGATTTATAGGACCTTGCCACTCACTTTAAAAGAATGGAGAAGGTATTTAAAAACTAGGTTTTTTAATAAGGCAAAAATAGCAATACTTAAAGAACTCTGTGACTTTAGGCTTAAAATAATTGTGACTTGAGTGTGATTCTTTCCTATCATTGCCACTCTTCATTTGTTTTTTGTGGTTGCTGTCTACCTGATCACTTCACTTTCTTTACCACTTGTTGGAAAGGACCCCTGCCCTATTCTACCTTATCTGTGTAAATAAAAATAAAGTCTAATTACTGAATAAGGAGGAATATAATGTTTTCTGGAGAACAGTTTACTGTTGTATTGAGAAATGGCTCAGAGAGATGGATGATGATGCTTAGATCTAACTTGGAAAACACAAGAGCAATTAGAGACACCCAAAGAAGCAAATATCACTTGTAAATGTATTGCTATGACACCTCAATATAAAGGACACCAGCAACTACTTGTTCCAAGTACTTTGTCCTGTGTACCTGTTTCACACCAAGATGTAGAAGAATAACTGACTTTACTCAAGGAATCTATTATCTTTAGGTTCTTGAGAAGCAAATAAGGGAATCACCATATATTACAATTGGAAAAGTCCCCAGAGACCAACTAATTTGGCCTCCCTTCTCAGCACATAAATCTAAACCATTTTAACTGACCAAACACTGTTATTCAGGGGAGTACTTGGTTCCTTCCTCAGGAAGAACACAGACTAGGTTTACTCTCTCTTCAGTAATTCCACCTGTTGTATCAAGGAATGCAGGAACCTCCTAACTGATCTCCTCTTGAGTTAGAGTGGTCTAAATTGTTTTTCATACAACATGGATTATTGACCCTTCTCTCCCAGAACATTTTGAAAAGACTCTAGTATAACTTCCCTATTAACATGATCTATAGAATTGAACACCATACTCTGGTCGTTTACCAGTATATACCTTCTATTGTCTGTTGCAATAACTTGGAAAGATCAGTTCACTTTTCATCAGCAAAACCTTTAAATACATAGAACTGCTTGTTTTAGTGATAGATAAGAAACTAAATGGATTTATAAACGGGAACCCAATACAAGTGCTGTCCAATGGTACACTTCTCAAAAACTTCTGATATCTAATCTTTGCATTTATCTGGTAGAAAATGCCCACCGTTATTTGGATCAACTGGTCATCATCACCATCAGGATTCCTCCATAGTAAGGCCACATCCACGTTGGAGGAAATGCGGTAGCCCACGCTGTCTTGCAGTTTTCCTTTGCCCCGATCAAGAAGAACTTCAGTGGAGTACGTGAGCTTGTACAGCCGGTCATTATTTAATGAGAGACCAGTTGTGTGACCTGCATAAAGATAATGACACATATCCAGTTTTCATTGTAAGGGAACATGCTGTCTCACCATCAGTGCATCTCTCTACCACAGTGGGGCTCAGGAAGCTTGGTAAATATTCGCTGATTGAAACATGGTGCTACTTCATCTGCTGAAATCATTGACTTGAAAAACATAGATAAACAAACAAAAAACAAACAAATAAACTCCCATTTCAGAGAACCTTAGTTTGTATTCCTAATCACTTATCCGATAGTGCCATGGTTGAACTATAGATATTTTGGGTTTTTTTTTGTTTAAATGCCATTGTATTTCTCTTAATTATATGAACATGATTTCAAGTAGAGGACCCACCAGGAATTGGTTGATAAATTTAATATGAGCCATTCGTAATTAACGTATTATTTAAATGCAAGCAGATCAATGCCAAGGTAGTTTTAGTGGTTAGAAGGAAGTTCTTTAATTTGGACATTTTTGATATTTAAGAAACATCTCTTCAGTGTAATTTACTCTATTAATGTAATTATCAAACTTTTAGTACAAAGGTACATTTCAGCGTTGCACATATGTAACTTTAAATTAGCTGTGCCCGAATAAAATAATGTTTTACTATATGAAATCTTAGTACAGGCTTAAAGTTGGCATGGGGTAATTTAAAAAGATCAAATAGTATACAAATCTGTACTGTGAGCCAAGAAAACTGATGTATGAATGAGTTCACACAGTATCCAATTCAGTTTACCTAGCCCAAAGAAATGCCAAGGAGCAAGTCTTTCCCAGAGATGACTTAAAATGTATGGTCACATAAATCTTTTTTCTTTTGTATATTTTCTATGTATGGCTCTCAGGAGATAGTTAAAAAAGACTTCAGTTTACCTTATTCCTCAATGCTAATGGGGTTGCATTGCCCAGTTTACTATGACACGCAACCATAATCTTTTTTTCTCTCAGGAAATATACATATGGGGAGAGGGACAGAAAAGGGGTTTGGGGTGACTAGACAAGAAGCAAAGCAGCTGAGAAAGGTGATAGCAAAAATTACTTTGCAATGCCTGAAAAGGCCTTACCCACCTACACAGTAACAATCTGTTCACTGTCTCCTCTACATATGACAGCACGTACTTGCCCAGAGGAAATGGTGGTCAAAAATCCATCATCTGCATGTTACATGTATTAACTTATTTAATCCTCACAAAAATCTAATGAGGTAGGCACTATTATTAGTCTCATTTTATAGATGAAGAGACTGAGGGGACACAGAAACTATATAATTTACCTAAGGTCACCCAGGTAATTCATCATAGAGACATGATTCTTTTTTTTTTTTTTTTTTTTTTTTTTGAGACAGAGTCTCACTCTGTCGGCCAGGCTGGAGTGCAGTGACACGATTTCAGTTCACTGCAACCTCCATCTCCCAGGCTCAAGCAATTCTCCTGCCTCAGCCTCCTGAGTAGCTAGTAATACAGGTGTGTGCCACCACGCCTGGCTAATTTTTGTATTTTTAGTAGAGACGGGGTTTCACCATGTTAGCCAGGCTGGTCTTGAACTCCTAACCTCAGGTAATCCACCCACCTCGGCCTCCCAAAGTGATTATAGATGTGAGCTACCACGTCTGGCTGGAGATATGATTTTAATCCAGGCTGTCTGTCTCTAAAGATGATGCTCTTATCTATACTATATATCTCTAAAACTATAGGTTGAATTATTTTCCATTCCTAGGCAGTGAGCTAGAAATTTATTCATTCATTCAACTAGAATATAGTGAGTACCTGTTGAATAGTAAGTACTTTTTAAGGCTCTGGGACTACACCAGTTAACAAGCAGAGAAAGGCAGAGAAAGTTTCTTCTTCTTTCTTTACTTTTTTTTTTTTTTTTTTTTTGAGACAGGGTCTCACTCTGTCACCCAGGCTGGAGTGCAGTCATGCGATCTCGGCTCACTGCAACCTTCATCTCCAGGCTCAAGTGATCCTCCCACCTCAGCCTTCTGAGTAGTTGGGACCACACACTCACGCCACTAAGCCCAGTTAATTTTTATATTTTTGTAGAGATAGGGTTTTGCCTTGTTGGCCAGGCTGGTCCTGAACTCCTGAGCTCAAGCAATCCACCCACCTCACCCTCCCAAAGTGCTGGGATTACAGGTGTGAGCCACCGCACCCAACCAGCAGACAAAGTTTCTACCTTTTGTAAATTTAATACCCTTTGTAAATTTTCTACCCTTTGTAAATGTAAATTGGAAGGTACATTTAAATGCGATGGAGAAGGGCAATAAAAAAATGAGTACATAAGCAAGTTATATAGTATGATAGAAGTGCTCATAAAGAAAACTGAAGCAGGAAAGGGAATGGAGATGCTGAGAGAAAAACCTCTGTGGAAAGGTGACATTTTGGACAAAGGTTTTCGGTGAGCTACATGGATATCTGTGGGAAGGGCATCCCCCTCCCCCAACTCCTACCCTTTCTACCCCTTCCCCTCACAGAGGAAACAGCAAGTGCAAAGGCCCCGAGGAGGGCTCCTGCAGGTGTAATGGAGGAAGAGCAGGGAGACCAAAGAGGCTGGAAATAAATAAGTAAAAGACACAGTGAAGGAGACAAGGTAAAGGAGGTACCTATGGGTGGCAGGAAGATTTGGGGAGTTTGAGTGAGATGGGACGCTGCCATAGAATTTTGGGTAGTGAAGTCACATAATCTGTCGAACCTTCAAAGAAAAGGGACAAGCATTTTCATAGGAATCAAGAAGAGCCAGGAGAAGGAAGTATGAAAGGATCTATGTGTATACACAAAACCAAGCTGTGTCCAAGCACCAAGTCAGGCAGAAACTGAGGTGTGAGACACAGAAGGCAAAGAGAGTCAGGAAAAACCTTGAAGGGGATGAAGACTGGGATTCCCTCTTATCTCTATGTCTTCTGCATTGTAATTGGGGACTCTATAGCGGGTTCAAATACTGGCTTTCTGGTCAGGAAAAATATTTCGGTCAGGAGGCCTTCTTTTTATGACACCTATCAAATTCCACATAGGGCATAAAGGAAATACATGTTGTCTTATCTAATCCTCAGAGCAATTCTGAAAAGTAAGCATTGTGTGACAGCAGATAGAAGCTGACCCCAAGTTCAACCCAACATAGCAAATATAATGCAGATTTGATGTTTAAATTTACCAAAATCCAAGTTCTGTGGACTATATTAAGGTGTCCTCTGGTTAAAATAACTACGAAACATTTGTAGGAAGGTAACCTTTCTTAAATTCCAAAGCTTTCCAAACTATTATGTTATTCACTTCTTTTCTTACCTCTACTTTACTGGCCATATAATAAATCAATTTTTGACTATGAGTAGGAAATGTTAAAGCACAGAAAAGAATGGGCCCTTTATTCCTCCAAACTGTTTCCTACCTCTTTCAACAGGAGATAAAGCCTAAAACGGTTCAAATAAGGTGGACTGTGCTAGAGTGTCATCCTCTTATACTTTCCTTTTTGATAAGTATTTCTCTGTTTATGCTTTGCAGAGATCTGGCAACACTGGGCATTGGGGCATGTCCCATTTATATTGTTGACTTAATTCCTTTTGTAGGATAGTGCTCTTCAGAGTATGTATAGTAATATTTTTTGATAACTGTTGTTAGATAAAACCAAAACAGAAAGTAATATTAGCCAAAAAAGTCAGAATCTCTTTCATTTGCCCTTCAAGTGCATTTAGAATTTTTAAGTGACTTAAAAGCAACAAAACTGTTAGTTTTGAATCTTCAAGAAATATTTTTTAAATACTCCTTTGTCAGATTTATATGAGTACAATCACTGATAACTGGCTTAGTCAAGAAGACAAAGCAGAGCTGAGTTATTGGTGAGGTTTGAAGAGACATGCAGTGATGATAAGGGTGATAGGTAATGGCATTTATGAACCCAACAGAAAACTAAAGGGTCAGAAGTTAAAAAAGAAGATGAAGGGTAAGAAGAAAAAAGAACTGGAAGATGATTAATAAAAATTGACTAAAAAGTAAGGGTGGGGTGAGGGATTGAGAGAAAGACTGGAAATGAAGGAAGTGTACAGGTTTAAAGGTGACAAAATTAAATAGAAGGTAAAAATACTATATAAGGAAAACACAGAGAAGGCGCTGAAAATAGTCCAACCATGACAAAGTATAATTAAGAAAAAGTAGGGAAAACTTGAGTCTTTAGAAAGTTCACACAGCAAATCATATAGATGTGCTCTTTTATCCTAATCCTAATACCCTCTTCAGATTCCAATCTGCCATTCAATTTTCCTTTTTCTTTTCTTCCTTCCTTTCTTTCTTTTCTTTCTTTTTTTTTTTTTTTTTGAAACAGAGTTTCGCTCTTATTGCCCAGGCTGGAGTGCAATGGTGTGATCTCAGCTCACTGCAACCTCCACCTCCCAGTTTCACGCAATTCTCCTGCCTCAGCCTCCTGAGTAGCTGGGATTACAGGCATGCGCTACCATGCCTGGCTAATTTTGTGTTTTTAGCAGAGATGGGGTTTCTCCACGTTGGTCAGACTGGTCTCGAACTCCCAACCTCAAGTGATCTACCCACCTTGGCCTCCCAAAGCGCTGGGATTACAGGCATGAGCCACCACACCCAGCCTCAATTTTCTTTAGATTCTAACCTGCCCTTCAACATCCACCCAGATCTGAGGATTTACCAAACAGTTGCATTGGTAATTTAGAGATGAGTTTTGAGGCAATGAGGCATGGGATCCCCAAATTTTAAATGGACTGATTTTAAGGTAAACTCTTCACAAGTTGTTTGCTAATTAATGTCAGTTGTTACAAGGGCAAAGAATCTATAATTAAATCATGGTACCATAATGCAAAAAGTTATTCCATCTAGGTAAAGAAGCTCTCAAGTTGTACACTTTTAATTTATGATATCAGCATAAGCAACGTACCATGATGCTGATGAAGCTTAAGCTCTCTTGCCCAGGATCCTTCCAAAGACTCCAGAAGTGGACCCTAGCAATGTATCCACATGCCATATCTTTTTCAGTAACCTTTGCAATAGTAAGATATTTTTGTAATCTTTTCTCAAAAGTGGCCCCTAAATTATATATGTTTCAAGCTTTAAAAATCTAGATTTACTACTAAGCTTGTTTACAATAAACTGTAGCTACCTATAATATTCTAAACCACATTTTCTCATTTATGCCATTTCCCAATTATGCCATTGTCTAGTGTATGTGTATATTTAAATTTTTTTTTTTTTTTTTTTTTTTTGAGACGGAGTCTCGCTCTGTCGCCCAGGCTGGAGTGCAGTGGCGGGATCTCGGCTCACTGCAAGCTCCGCCTCCCGGGTTCACGCCATTCTCCTGCCGCAGCCTCCCAAGTAGCTGGGACTACAGGCGCCCGCCACTACGCCCGGCTAATTTTTTGTATTTTTAGTAGAGACGGGGTTTCACCGTTTTAGCCGGGATGGTCTCGATCTCCTGACCTCGTGATCCGCCCGCCTCGGCCTCCCAAAGTGCTGGGATTACAGGCGTGAGCCACCACGCCCGGCCTTAAATTTTTTATAAGTATATTTGAAAACATGAGGTCACCCAATGTTCTAGTTTATAAAATGGGAAAACAGGAGAAGCTCATGATAAGTACCATGTCTCAATTATTTTTCTCAAAATACTTATGGTATTAGGTTTGATACTATGGTATTTAAATCACACATATTTTGACTACTCAACAGTTTATTTGGCAGATGAAATAGTAAGTCCTCTATATAACACTCTCAGTCAGATATAATTTATAAATCTTCTTCTCATTAAAAAATTTCTTTTGTCCAAGTAAGAACTGTATGTTTAAATAGTAAATATTTAGAAATTGGTGAAAATATTTTCTTTAGTTCAAGAACCTACAGTGTGATTTGCTGAGGTGAATTGGTTTAAATTTAACCCTCTATTGCTCCAATAATGAAGATTAGGTTTTTTTCCTCATGTGGAAATTTTCTACACAAAAAATCCTGAGGCAAACTTTACTTTAATATCAAAAGCCACATTTATCCCTAACAGGTTTTATAAGTTTATAAGTGAATTGTTTTCTATCAATTACTTAGAGTACATGGTTTTAAAATTGGTCCCTATAACGCTATGTTGTTATATCAATTGGTTTTTAACAGTGTGTCTTCCTAAGAAACTAAAAAGTGATCATTTTACACAATGCAGCATTTGGAAAACCGATGTTTATAATGTAGCTGATCTGAAACATGATTCTATATTAATACACTTCACAACAGTTTTATGAAACCATTCCTCATAAAATGTTTTTTCACTTGCCTTTTCAATGGTATTAATTCATATGTATTTTTAAAATTAATTTCATCTTAAAATAGAAACTGTAAGTAGCAACATTATTTTTCCAAAGATAATGTCTTATTTCTTAAATCTGTATCAGGAAATTTAATTTTCTTTAATTCACTATGAATTCTATCATTTTTTAATTGTAACGGAATTAAATATATGTTGTGCCATTTCATTCATAATTCTTTGGCAAATCAAATGCCTTTTTCATTGGGTCTAATTCTTCTTGAGGTCACATTGCTAAGCAACTAAAAGAAAATTTAAGAACTCGGTTTTTAAAAAAAATCCTCATTTACAATTCAAATGAAGGAGCTGCATTCAATGTGACCAACAACAGCAGGTAACAATAGTGGGTATCTTTTTTCCTTCTTTTAAAAACAGACCATGAATGAGAAATTGAAGCAAGAACACACTGGTCTGAGGAACTGAAACTAAAAGAAATATCTGTTTTCTTAATGTTTGTAGGGATTTGAATTTGGTTTTCATTTCAACTCAGCCATGCTTTCACAAACATTCCAAAGTTACATGGTTTTGAAGATAGTTTAGTCAGAAACTCTTTCACTATTCACTCACACAAACACACACACACGCACGTATCTGCCTCCAACTCCAAAGATGGAAATTAAAGTTTAGCAAAAGGCAACACAAACTTACCTTTAACAGAAGCTGAATATGAGGAAATGAAGCAGAGAAAAAGCACAGCAAGAAGAATCATATTGACCAGCAATCCTCAACTGCATCCAGTGCCCAGCTAGGAGTCACTGAGAAGTGGACTCTTTCAATGGCAGCCAGTGAGGGAGTGACCCTCTTCAGAACCTGCAACAATCATGTTTATCTTTGGGGAAAGGTCAGACTCCAAACTCCAAAATCAGGACCTAAGTTCACTGAAGGGCTCACTATTAATGATTAAACGTAGGTGGGCTGCAGTTTTCAGTCTCTCACTCTTTTTAATTTTTTTCACCCAATGAGGAAACTTTAAATGTTTTCACTTTTGAGAGCTAAACCAAACCAGTCTACCATCCTATAAATGCAGAAGTACTGAGGGGCATTCAAAGAAAAAAACTGGTGGTGATACTTCTTTCTGCTTAATACATAATCATCATTATGCCTGTAATAGTAACTGCCTATATTCACATTACAATACTATGTGGGAGGGTAGTAAGGATTCTCAAACTCTGCTAAACCTAACCAAATTTTAATTTTTCTTGTATGGACATCTTTGAATTTTTATGCTATTATAAAAAATTCACACTGAATTTTAGGATTTAAATTTAAACTGTTAATTCATACCACCACCAATCACTTCAAAATAATGTTAAAGTAGATAGAACTTTCATGAAACATAGATGATTGTCCTTATGTGTGAAACTGTATGAGGTTGGAGCAAATCAGCATTGTCTGTCATTAGCACACTAGCAAGCCAATTATTTCATAGTAGACCTCTATTTGTGTCTGTGACAACACACATTTGTCTGAGTTCCCAAACAGGCTGGATGCAGTCCTGTCCTTTCTGAATCTCATTTCTAGGAAGAGATTAAGAGGGGGAATTCCAGATCTTAGTTCTTTTGCTACAGAATATTAATTAGAAAACTTCTGTAGAATTAAAGCAAATACCCTAGTATGGCTAAGGCCATACTAACTGAAGCAATCCTTGTCCCTGGAAACTCCCATGAGAGAGACCTGATATGAACAAAACCTACTAACCCTACTAGAGCACATAAAGCCTGCTAAACCTACTAAACCTATAAAATGAGGTGACTTAGGCCGCCTGTGGGAATGTTTTGGCAAAGAAGGGAAAAAATGTGCCAGCAAAGGGCTATTTGAATGTATTTAAAAATATTTATGGCCATATTTTAGTATAAAATGAATTCTTAAATCTATCCTGGTCACTCTCAAAACCCTTTTCTCAAACCGTAACCTTGAGCTTAAATCTTCCAGACAATCTAGGTAAAAGATAGTAGACTTGATACAGACACAATGCAATTTAAAATGTAAAAATCTACAAAGTTAAGCATATTTCCTCTTGAATTATATATATGAAGATCGAAACATGAAAATTGTTTGTTCTTCTATTGGGATTAGAATTTCATTTGCTGTCACAAATTTTGTATAAAAAATATAGCTATAGTACCTAGCAAAAATAAATTGTTTGGTTGGAGAAACCCCCTTAAGTTATAAATACGAAGTTTTCCGGGAGTTAAACAGAAAAGTAGCTTTGTTAAAGAAATATAAGTTTTTATGAAGAGTAGGGATTTTGAATACAAGGCAATGTGAAAGTGCTTTGTTACTTTCCATTTGAATAGATTTCTACAGTTTGCCACAATTTCTGTGATACATACATAGGGATATAAAATCATTATAGTCACTTGAACTTTACTTACATATTTATTTAAATTAAAAGCTAGTTTGTATTGTATTTGATTGTATGAGAGCTGTCCTTATGTATTTTCATTTGAGGCTCACAGTTACAAGACCTTTAATGTTTGTGGTTAGGCTATGTGGTGCATGATACGTGCCCTTCGGGTAAAGTACTATTCGTTGTCAAGTGTTTTCCAGAGTCCAACCAATAAAAGACATATCACTATTGCCTAACAAACTAAATTCTATTTCATTTGAGCATTTGATTTCCACTAGAAAGCTCCTATGAGTCACTGTATTAAGTAGCAATTTCAACATAAGATGTTCAAATAAGGCTGCTTCTGCTGGTTATAAATAACATCATCCTTTTATAAAATATAAACATAACTTTTTTCTTTTTACAAGGACATTTTAGAAAAGACTTCTGGAGATTGTTTCATTACAGATGACATAAGAATGCCAAAGCCTTTCCAAATTCAGTAAACTCTGTGTATCGAAGAAGTATGCTCTTCTGTTACTGTTGATCGTCCACAGCAAACACTGTGCAAACATGTGAGCACTACCTCCTAAAACTCACCAGCTATTTTACATAATATGTGAAGCAGGGCAGAAGCAAAGCACAGTAAAAAAACAAGAGCTGCCATCTATGGAACAATTACATACTTTGTTAATCACCTTACGTTTTTATAATAATCCTTACAACAGTCATTTGACATATTAGAAAAATGAGTCTCAGATTAATTTACTGAAGTGATATTAGGACTACAGAAAAATAAACCTTGAAACCTAGACCCAAGTATTCTTCTTTGCTTAAAAAAAATTACAGGTGGGGAGTGAGAAAAAAATTGATTTCTTACAGATGACATGCAATTGTTAATTGGGACTGTCTTCATAATAAGTCATCACAATTTTGTATGAAAACTAACAGAGCCCTTGATTTTTGTGAAATTGTGGTTAGACATTCAGGCTGAACATACAGGGGTAAAACTGATCTATGATAGTTAGATCAAAATCAAATGATACATTTCAAAACAATGCTATTGCAATGAAATTCCTTAGGTAGTACATGACACTGTGAAATATTTGCTATACTTCCATTTGCATTGATAAATAAGGAGACTATGAAATAAAGATGGATGATTAATTCCAAAGTACAGTTGTGTTTCTGTTGAGTGTCAGAGGTTGTCAGGAGTTAACGTATTTTCTTAGATTAGAAGACAAATGAACTTCACCCCACTAAAGGTTGGAAGGAAATGTATTACCCTACTAGATATAGAAAGTCAGGATGTATGAAAGCTATGTGAAAAAACAGTCTGTTTATAACATTGAAACACTTTGTTCTTAGAAAGAAGCATGACATTAATGAAAAAAAAATTTAGAAGGACACTTTAAGTTATCCCTACATGGTCATAATAGTTTAAACTCTAAAAGTATTTTCAAATCAATGAGGGAGTTAGCATTTTGAAAGAATCTTGAAAAAATTTCTTAAGTTAAAAATATTCTTAATGTGATGACTTTTTTTATTCCAAGGCAAAATTATATAGGAATACATACAATATTTTGAAAGGTATTGTTTAAAAATTCTCTACGAGAAAATAAAGATTCACTGAATTCCTTATCAAAAGCAAACTTGGTTTGAAACACTGGGAATCTAAAACTCCAAAAAGAACATTCATTTTTCCAAAATAGAGTCACTAACCAAATTTTCTACCCCCTATACATATATACGCACATACAAATTTGACAACAACCAAAAAAATCCTTTGTATCATATCAGTTACCATAAAAGGATTCTAAATTATCTTTGACCACACAAAACTGAATTGCTAGCATTTAAAGGAGAGAATTGATGTAAACTCTTTTAGTAGACTACTGTAAATACAATAAGATTTTAATTTTGATCAGAATAAATTTATCAGACATTTAAAAAAAGAAATTTCAAAACCTAAAATATAATAATATCCAAGTATAAATGCAATTTTCCTTTTAAAGTATATACGATACAACAATTACATTTATGAACTAATTCTTAATATGTAGATATAAAAATATGAATTTATTTGAAGTGGAACAAGAAGCCAATTGTTTTAAATAATTACCAAAATAAGAAAATAAAAAATGTTAAAGAGAGGTCAAGAGATATAGAGGATAGAGTGAGTGGTGCAAAGGCAATATTTGGGGAATATATTTGAAGAATTTCCAAGAACTATTGAAAGGCACTGTATCAGTTCTCCATAGCTACCATAACAAATTACCACAAAACTTAGTGGCTTAAAACAGCAGATTTATTGTCTTATACTCTTGGAGGTCAGAAGTCTAACACTGGTCTCACAGGGATAAAATGAAAGTATTGGCAGGTGTATCCCTTTCTGGAGGCTTTAGGGGAGAATTTGTTTCTTACCTTTTCTAGCTTCTAGAAGCTACCTGCATTCCTTGACTCGTGGTCCCTTCCTGCATTTACAAATCCAGCAAGAGTAAGCTGAATCCTTTTTACTTCATATCACTCTGACCATCTCTTCTGTCTCCCTCTTCCGTTTTATGAATCCTTGTGATTATACTGGGCCTGCCTAAATAATCCAGGATAATCTTTTTACCCTGAGGTCTGTGGATTGGTAACTTTAATTTCATCTACAACCTTAACTTAGACTATCACAGGTTCTGGAGATTAAGACATTTAAGATCTTTGGGGAGCCATTGTCTGCCTATCACAGATACCAATCCACAGATTCACGAGGCTCAATAAGTCTTAAGCAGGATAATTTTTAAAACACACATACACACAAGTAGATACATCATAATTAAACTGCAGAATATCAGAGAGAGAGAGAAGATATTTAAAGGAACTAGATAGAGAGGACAGATTATTTTCAAGAAGAAAGAGAAGCAGACAACTACTAAATTATTAACAGTATCAATGAAAATTAGGAGACATTAGAATGTTGTCTTCAATGTGCTGAGAGAAAATACTTGTGAATTAAGTATTCTATATATATTCTGTAAAGATGTCTTTTAAGTATAAACTTGAAATAGAGATTTTCCAGAAAAACTAAAACTGAAAATTTACCAGTAAAGGACTCCTCCAAATGACATCTTTAAAAATCTGCTTCAATTAGAAAAAAATTGACCCCAGATAAAATCTGAGATGCAAGAAGGGATGAAGAGCAAAGAAAGTATGGTGGAGAAACACACTGGCTCTTAATAACAGTGTCTTGTGGAGTTAGGCATAAAGTGCACAAAAAAAAAACATTAAAAATGGTGTCACAAGGAACTTTGTGGTATAGTGAAAATTTGGATACCATGTTTGGTTAATGACAAAAATAGTTCAATAAATTATGGCGTATCAATTCAACAGAATTCCATGAAGCCATTTTAAAATAATACTATAAAAGTGTGTATTTTGTATAGTTTGGTATATGTAAATATGTAAACTTGTAAATATAGTATATTTACCATATCTTAGTAAGTAAAGGAAGCAGTCTGGTAAACAGCAGATGTAGATATGGTTTGAGATTTCTTGTTTAAACAATATACATACATATGAGCACAGAAAAAGGATTAGAACAATATTCACTGAACACCTTAATAATTATTATCCCTGAGAGACGGAATATAGTTTGTGCTTGCATTTTCTTTTTTTGCCATTATATTTTCTCACATTGTATAATGTATATGTTACTTTAAAATAGGTTTATTGTTTATAACAGTTTTAGATTTACAGAAAAATTGCTAAAATAACACAAAGATTTCTCATATAGCCTGCACAGTTACTTCTGTTAATAACTTACATTAGTGTAGTTGATTTGTTATTATTAATAAACCAATATTAATATATTATTAACTAAAATTCATACTTTATTTAGGTTACTTTTGTTTTTACCTAATTCTTTTTTTCTTTTCCAATCTCCCATCCAGGGTACATTACATTTAGTTCTCAAGTATCTTTAGGCTCCTCTTGGCTGTAATAGCTCTGAGGAGAAATGGTCAGATACTTCGCAAGATATTCCTCTAGTGAATTTTTGTGGTATTTTTCTCATGATTTGACTGAGGTTGTTAAGTTTGGAGGAGGAATACCACAGAGGTAAAGTGCTATTTTCTTGATACCACATTACATCAGAGGTACATAATATCAACATGATTTATCTCTATTTACATTGACTTTGATCACCTGGCTCAGCAGTGTTGTCAGATTTCTCCATTGTAAAGTTAATTGTTTTTCTTCACCCTTTTTTTCATAGTGCACTCTTTGGAAGGAAATGCTATGTACATCCCACATTTATGGAGTGAGGAGTTATGTTCCTCCTCCTTGAGGGTGGAGTAGCTACGTAAATTATTTGAATTCCTCCACATGGGAAATTTGTCTTTAATTTCCAATTGATTTATTTAATCACTATATCAATAAGGACTTGTGGATATTTAATTTATACTTTGGGTTAAGGTTGAATCCTTCTTTGTTGCAACAATTGTTCTATCTTTAGCCACTGGGAGTTCCTTCAGTTGGCCCCGTTCCTTTGACATACCCCATAAATGTGTTTTGTTTGGGTTCTGGTTTTAGTTTTGGTTTTTAGCATCTCCTTATTATCTGGCACTGCAAGATGCTCCCAGGTCATCTTGTGCATTTTTACTCCAATCTTAGAATCACTCATTTCTCCAAGAATCTCTGGTTTCCTTTATTGAAGAACTGTACTAGAAACCAAGATCTGGACACTAGGTGTGCTCATTTTTACAGCATCAAGTCTCTCAATCTATGAACACATATCTCTCCATTTATTTAGATCTTCTTTGACTTCTTTCATCAGAGTTTTGCAACTTCTTCATGTAGATTCTGCTCAAATTTTTTAGATTTATACCTATTTCATTTTGGAGGGGTTGTTTCTTTTTAATTTCAAGTTCCAGTTCTGCACTGCTGCTATATAGGAAGGCAATTGACTTTTGCATGTTAACCTTATATCATGTGACCTTACTATAATTGCTTATTAGTTTAGTGAGCGTCTTTTTTTGGTATGTTTTTGGGGATTTTCTAGACAGACATTCAGTCATCTACAAATGGTTTTATTTCTTCCTTCCTTTTATTTTCTTTTTAAATCTTATTGCACTGGTTAGAATTTCCAGTACAATGGTGAATATATGTGTGTGCTTTCTATATTTCTTATTATTGTCTGAGTTCTTTTATTCATCTTCAAATATTTATTTTTGAATCATTTTCATTTTTATGTGGTTCTCTAATATTTTCTATTATTTAAAACTTGCTCTCTGTTTTGAAATATTACATTACAGTTTTCATCCACTTTTTTTTGCTTCATATTCTCTTTTCTATTATAGCAACTTTAAATGAAATTCGACCATGATCCTTTTCTGTGGTATATTTTTAGGCTAAGTTATTCTGTATTTTTAAGAGGGAGGATTGGGTAGAATATCTTTTCCAGTTTCATGGCTCTAGAGGTTCCTTTTCTAATATTTCATAAAATGACACACGTGTCTTCATATTTTCTGAGATCTGTCTCCTCTCTACTCTCCCACTTTTATCTGCATCTGCTTTTTTGTTGGCCCCTATTGTCTCTGTTCTGTTCAATTTGGATTCTACTTTCAGTAGTTTCTCCCTAGTGTTGGGCTATGTTCAAGAACGGAGCTCCAGTTTGTTGGTTTCGAGAATTTACAGGCCTCACATCCCTCCAGCAGCTTCAGACCCTCCTGCTCATTCCTTCACACTTAGCTGAGCTTAGAGTCTGCTGAACAACCTGCCAGTTTTGACGCCGACCTCACATTGGTTTCCTCTGTTTTTTAGTGATTTTTTGTTGGCAGTTTTGGGGCCTTCCCATTCTGAGGGTCTTCAGATGATCTGTTGTCTTCCCACTATTCCCTCCTACACAGTTGCTGATATTAAGTTGGGTTTGCTCCTTCCTGTTCATATTTTGAGGTTTTAGGGATTCCTTTTCACCTAGTTATGTTATAGCTATCTTCTGGGATTTTGTTATTGTCTATCCTAGATGCTTTACCTGTTTTTATCAGGAGATTCAGGAAGTTCACAGACTACACTGCCTGTCTAATCACCTTCCCAGAGTCTTCAATATTCATATATTACGTGGGAGGATACCAGTAATATGTATGTATAAGTATGTAAATGTACAAATACATTTTAAAGTTTTTTTTCTGTATTTTTGGAGTCAGTCGAAATGCAGGTTGAAATGATTATAGATGAGTGGCCGATTCTTCCTTGTAGCTACCTTTCAAGTCATGTTTAAAAATGGGTTTCTTTTTGGCTTTCCTAGCCTGAAATTAAAGTACTCACAAGTGTTACTCTATTTCCACATCTCCTCAACTCCCAACTTGCTGAAGAGTATCCTAAGACTTAGAATTAAGCTTAAAATAATGGAATTTGTAATGATTGCCCAATGTTTTGAAATCAAACTTACGGAGGGGTTCATAATCATAGTTATTACTGTATTTTTATGTCCTAAAGTTCTAGTTCTGTCTGTAGCCTCCTTCTTATTCTACCAACTAGGGCCCAATTTAACAAACTGGTTGCCAACTGTCTGAATATAGCCCACAGACATATTTTATTTAGTCTGCTCAGTATTTTAAAACAAACAAAATAGCTGCCAACACTTTAAAACCAGATTTCATATTTATGGCTGTTCTTAAAAAAATGAGATCTGGTGCCATTAAGCCCATATTCTCTCCTGGAACTTTTATCCTGATTAAAGAGGAATTGCACTCTCAGGTTTGTGATACTTTCCTTCTAGACGCTTCTCTCATTTGCTACCTTCCAGTCCCCATAGATACTATGCATTTGTAACCCATGGAGTAGTATCTCTTTGAGTCCAACCTCTTATATTAGCTTAAACTACAAGTATGTGCTCATTCTTTTTAAAATCTGTTTCTACTCAGATGTCCTGCAGACTCCCCAGAATGCACATATTTTAAAACAAAACTATTTTTTCAAAACCTATTTTTCTTTTTTTTTTTTTTTTTCTTTTTTTTGAGACGGAGTATCACTCTGTCACCCAGGCTGGAGTGCAGTGGCAGGATCTCGCCTCACCGCAAGCTCCGCCTCCCGGGTTCACGCCATTCTCCTGCCTCAGCCTCCGGAGTAGACGGGACTACAGGCGCCCGCCACCACGCCCGGCTAAGTTTTTGTATTTTCAGCAGAGACGGGGTTTCACTGTTTTAGCCAGGGTGGTCTTGATCTCCTGACCTCGTGATCCGCCCGCCTAGGCCTCCCAAAGTGCTGGGATTACAGGCGTGAGCCACCACGCCCGGCCTCAAAACCTATTTTTCTTCCAGTATTCCCTAAATGACCCGGTTAATGTTACTGCATTCCTACAGTTGTCCAAGTTAGAGAAGCCCTTAGGGTTATTATCTCCTCCTTCTTCCTCATTCTATCCACAGCTTTTCAGTCATGTGCAAAACTATGACACGCTTAGGTCTTTGCTTTCACTGTTCCCAATATCTTAAACTTCTTCACTTTTCTGACACCTGTACAACTCCTACTTACTTTCCAAGATGAAACAAAATTATTTAATCTCCAAAACTATGTCCTCTGCCTCAAGGAGCATTTAGTTGCTTCTTTCAAAGTACAAGCATCTCAAGTACATGTTGTATGGTATTTATTTACTGCTGGCTCCCCTATTAGATTAAGGATTCCTTAAGCACAGAGAGCATGATTTCGTCATTTCTGTATCACCAATACTAAGACAAAACGCATAGAACTCGATACATGTGTCAAATAAATAAATACATAAATTTTACAAATCAATGAAAATATTGTTTCACATGATTTCACCGTCTTAAACTTTCTATATGTTTCAATTTTTTGTTAAATTGACTTTTGCTGGTGCTCTTTTGGTGCTTACTTTGGATTAATAATAGAATCATTTTAAATTTTGCACCAAATGACTACAAAGTTAAATGTCTATGTCAAAAGAAAATTTATTGACTTCATTATTAGAATATGAAGTGGTTTTTTTTGCTTTAAAACTTTGTTTAAAATATCTAAGGAGGCCAGGTATTAACTCTGAAAAAACTGTATAATTATTTATAAAACAGATCCCATAGGAGCAACTGAACAGCTGTGGAAAGATTTGGCACATCACTTTGCCAGCCTGAATTTAATGACCTACATGTGAAGGGCTACATATCCAATTACTAATCCTCCCTCAGCTACTCTTTGCCCTCATATGGAGGCAGCTGAAAAAAGATGCCCTACTAACAGATCAGAAGTGGATCCAGACTTTTTTGCCAGTGCTCAGTTAACAAAGATCTTTTAGGTTTGAGATGAGGAAGAAACAGAAGAGGGACTCACAACAGTGTTATAGCTGATACAGTGTTTCAAGTAAAATTTAAGGGCTTATGGCAAGAGTGACTTTAGTTTTGTAACTAAAGTCAAAGAAATTTCGGCTCTTTTAGAGAATCTCAAATTCTGGATTTAATTTTCTATTCACTGAAGCCTTTAAACATGTTCAAATATCTTCAAGGATAATTTACTTCAAAATTCTTTCTATATGAGAAGCCAGTCTTCTATTCAAGATGCAAACCTCATTCTTACCTTCAAATTCTGCAATAATCACCTATTAGAAGTAGAGGAGAAAAAAACTAAATAGAAAATGACAATCTACGGGGTTGTATTTCATTTCTCTCTCAGTTGACATGATCTATATATAGCAAAAGATTATATAAGGTCAAGTATTATAAACAATGAAATGTCATCTGATGTTTTGCAAAACAGCATAGGAAAAATAGCTCAAGGAATGAATAAAGAGTAAAGCTATGGCTGTTTTACTTCAGCCATAAAAAAGCCTTACAGATTCTAAATTTAAATGCATTTTATTGTGAATCTGACTCACTTTTTGAATTTAATTTTCCACTTGAGTTATGTAAAATCATGTGATATGGTAATTTTCTGTATAAATTAAAAATAATATAGGCAAGAGATGTTTTTCTCTCATTTTCAACACAGAAAAATTAGGAGCCTTTCTTCGTTGTTTTGCATTTTTAACAGTGGGACTATCTTAATTCCTTCATCCAATACTCACAAGAATATATGAATGAATACACGTCTGCAGGTACACACTTAATTCTTGAACGGGAAAAAACAGACATCACTGTAACTACCTCCCACTCCCAAAACACTAACTCCAGACCCCGCCCCGCATAAACCCCTCCCCTTTCTTCCATTGCGGGTTCGAAATGGCCGCAGTTCGATGACGTAAGACGCAACCGCCGTAGCCTCCACTGCGTAACTACCGCCCCTGCCTCTGGGAATTGAAGTTTCTGTGGAAGGAAGCGTGAGCCGTAACCAGGCCAACCCAGAAAGGCTTTCTTTCTGAGATTTCACTTCCCTGTCAACTCTTCAGCTCGGTAAGTGTCCTGGCACTGGTTGGCGCTCCCCCGCACTATGGTATTCTCTGGACGCAAAGGGGCGCGTGCCATGCAGCCCCCTACTAGCAACAAGGGCTTCCGGGGGAGAGGGGAGCAGTGGTGTGGAAGTGGTTTCCTGCGGCGCTCTTGCTGAAGGAAATGACGTCGATGACAGGCGCCCCCCGCGGCCTACCCAGCTGCTCCCTGGTTCGCCAGAGACAGCTTAATCCCGTCTCTGAAATGCGTTTGCTGGCTGGGAGCCTAGAAGGGATAGTGGGCGAGGCTCCGCCCCGTGGTGGGGCGCTTTCCGTCGGCGTGTGTTTTGGGGTTGCCATCGGCCCGTAGTATGTGAAAAGTGAGTTTGCAAAGAATCAGTGGGAAATCTGTACTCTAAAGGGCCGGAAAGCGTGTTATGGCCCTGCCACTTCGTGGCTAGAGACCGTGGGCTTTACCTCTTTAAAGCTGCCTTACCTCATTTTTCCTGCAAAGGGCTGACGTCGCTGAACTCTCTGAAATGTAGAGAGCCCGAGGGGAAGTTGCTGCAGGTGCTGTGAGCTGAGGACAGTTTTATAAAGATCGAAGTGTTACTTGATTTCACTGAAATACTTTAAATTTGGGAATTTTTCTACAGATATGAAGAGGATGGCAACACATTACTTGTCACTTTCTGAAAGAATTTCATCTGCCCCTTCCATTCCCAACCCTCTGCCCAAAAGGCTTGACAACTGAAGTGAACAAAGGGCTTTTCGCTCCTCCACGTTTAGTCCGCATGTCTTTTAAAAGGGCATTCCTGGCCGGGCGCGGTGACTCACGTCTGTAATCCCCGCACTTCGGGAGGGCAAGGCGGGTGGATCACCTGAGGTCAGGAGTTCGGGACCAGCCTGACCAACATGGTGAAACCCCGTCTCTACTGAAAATACAAAATTAGCCGGGCGTGGTGGCGCATGCCAGTAATCCCAGCTACTGGGGGGGCTGAGGCAGGAGAACTACTTGAACCCAGAAGGCGGAGGTTGCAATCAGCCGAGATTGCGCCATTGCACTCCAGCCTGGGCAACAAGAGCGAAACTCCGTCTCAAACAAACAAGAAAGGCCGGGCGCAGTGGCTCATGCCTGTAATCCCAGCACTTTGGGAAGCCGAGGCGGGTGGATCACGAGGTCAAGAGATGGAGACCATCCAGGCCAACGTGGTGAAACCCCGTCTCTACTAAAAATAACAAAAATTAGCTGGGCGTGGTAGCGCGCACCTGTAGTCCCAGCTACTCGGGAGGCTGAGGCAGGAGAATCGCTTGAACCCGGGAGGCAGAGGTTGCAGTGAGCCGAGATTGCGCCACTGCACTCCAGCCTGGGCGACCTAGCAAGACTCCCTCTCAAAAAAAAAAAAAAAAAAAAAAAAAAAAGGCATTCCTTTGCTATCGCTGTCAAGTCATTAATTCCAATCTGCATTATTCCCACATTCGTTGAGATTTTTCTGAAAAGGAGACTGTCATAAATTAACGACGATTATTTATTTTATCCCAATCCATAACTTAATGCAGTTTTAAAAAACTTTTTTTTTTCTTTTGGTGCTCATTGATGTAGGATGTGTCCTTGCCTTACAAAGTGAGATAGTTTGTAAGCCCACTTAATAACCTATGTCTGCGAATGAACCCCACAAATTTTTAAAATTTTATGCAGGAGTAAAATTTCACACACACACACACACACACACACATATATATATATATAATTTTTTTTTTTTTTTGGAGACGGAGTCTTACTCTGTTGCCCTAGTTGGAGTGCAGTGCTGCGATCATGGCACACTGCAACCTCTGCCTCCCGGGTTCAAGCGATTCTTCTGCCTCAGCCTCCCGAGTAGCTGGAATTACAGGCGTCCACTACCACGCCTGGCTAATTTTTGTATTTTTAGTAGAGACGAGGTATCGCCATGTTGGTCTTGAACTCCTGACCTCAGGTGATCCGCCCACCTCAGCCTCCCAAAGTGTTGGGATTACAGGCATGAGCCACTGCGCCCGACCTCACACAAATATTTTTATAGTTACTGTAAAATACGTTCTTGAACATTTGTTGAACTTGGTTGAATGAATGAAAATGTACTGTGAGCATCACTGCATGTGAGAAAGGAATGAAAAACTCTGCCATGGAATTTTATAAATTATTGCCCAAACTAAAACAATTAGAAAGCAAGTATACCTAATAAAATGCTGTTTTGCTTAACAGGTAATCTGAACACGCTAGTACATAGTGCAGTGTAGATATACATTATACTTATTGTATAGTGTAGACAGTGCGAGTTGGTAGATATCTTTGTAAAGTATACTATACGGAATAATTTATAAGATATCAGGTTAGCATCATTTTTGTTGCATTCCATTTGTCTCAGTGCACCTGGCTTATTTAAAGCCTAAAAACTTCACTTAGTACAGTCGTTTTCTTAGTTAGGAATAGTTTTTAAAAAGATGATGATGATGATGATGAAGATGTTGACCATCTCATGACCTTTCCTTGTGTTTGAGAGATTGAAACATTAATGTACTATGACAGGTCATATTAAATTTAACTTAAGACTTCTTAGATAGGAAAGGCATATGCTCCCCCTGGTGTACATGACCTGTAAAACATTACATTGCTCTTTAAAAAGTCTTCACGTAGGCCGGGCCTGGTGATTCACGCCTGTAATCCCAGCACTTCAGGAGGCCGAGGCAGGCGGATCACGATGTCAGGAGTTCGAGACCAGCCTGACCAACGTGGCGAAACCCCTTCTCTACTAAAAATACAAAAATTAGCCAGGCGTGGTGGCGCGCGCTTGTAATCCCAGTTACTCAGAAGGTTGAGGCAGTAGAATCGCCTGAACCTGGGAGGCGGAGGTTGCAGTGGGCGGAGGTTGCAGTGAACGGAGATCGCGCCACTGCACTCCAGCCTGGGTGACAGAGCAAGACTCTGTCTCCAAAAAAAAAAAAAAAATCTTCACATAGAGCTAATCAACACATGCCGTTTTTGAATAAAATAGAGAACTAACTGAAAATGATGCCACTGATAAACAGAAATGTACTCTCTTGGAATATTATTATTTCATGAAGAGAGCAATTTGTTTCCTGTGAATTTTAATTGTGCTTTTAAGTTTCCTCCACTCGGTGTCGTTTTGGATACCTGCATAGCTGAATTTTATTTAATGTATTGTGTATTGCAAGAAAGGAAAATAAAAGTGATCCAGGGGATCAAAATACATATTTTTTAATTTTTTTCCATCTAGCCTTTTTAGGCTTATTCAGTTTCCCCACCTCCAGTTTCTTAAATTGAATGCTTACCTTACTTTCTAGATTTTTTTTAAAAAAATTAATGAATGCATTCAAGGCTATATGTTTATCTCTAATTACCTTTTTTTCCTGTATCTCTCTTATTCTGTTATCCAAGTCTTTACTGCTCCTCCATATTATTTTTCTGTTCTATTTGTGTCTGCATCCTGAGTCAGATTGTCTTCTAAGTCATCAGTTACTTCTTGGGACTCCAGATAATCTGGAGTTTGTCTCTTCTATTGAACTTTTTATGTCTTCATTTCCTAGTTTTCACAGATTCTTTTTCACTGATTCTGTTCTTTTTCACTGATTCTTGTTTTACTTTTTAGTAAAGCCTGCTTTTATATCACAACTTTCTGTCTTGTTCTTATACTTCTTATTCCCTTATGACCTCTCTGAAATATTTCAGCCAAATTTATTTTAAAGTCATTTTGATTGCCCTATTTTTAATTTGTATCAAGTGAATTTATTTCTTGGTTATTGATTTCAGTTTTAAAAATCAGTTCTGTCTTTTTGTAGTTTCCCTCATTCTACAGCATTAAAAAAGACTATAGAAAAGATGCTTTTCATCTCTTTTTAAAATTTTTTGTTTTATTAAAAACAATATATTTTCATTATATAACTTTAGAAAATGCAGAAAACTGTGGGTAAGAATTAAACGTGTGTGTGTATACCTTTTTAAAAAAGTTGGTCGTAATGTATATATTGTTTTCTTTGATTTTGTTTAATGTATAACCGTTTCCCCTTATCATTAAATATTTTTGGATATATAAGTTTTTCTGGCTGCTTAATATTCCTTGCCCATGTTATAGATTAACCGTAATTGTTTAGTTTCCTTTCACTGACATTCAGGAGGTTTCTAACTTTTCACTGTTAAAAATAACACTGCATTGCATATACTCTTGTGCACATTTTTGTGTGCATTTCTGATTTATTTACAGAAATTTAAGGAAATACTGAGTCAAAGGGTGTCTAAATAGAGATTTTGAAGCTCTTAAAACATATATATGTGTTGCCTTCTGGAAAAATTGTACCATGACCACCAGTAGTATATGAAACACCCCATTTCTTTAGACCTTTACTAGCATTGCTGAATATTTAATTGATATTAAATGGTATTTAAATGATATTTACAATTAAATGACATTTATTTGTCTAAAGTTTTATTTATATTATTTTATGGTTTAACTTTAATCATATTGATTATTTGAGTTTTTTAACTTTTTTGTGCTTGTAAATTATCTATTCATGTCAAAAGTTGTTTTTCAGAGGCACCAAATAATGTCATCTGAAATGTTGCCAGCATTTATTGAAACTTCTAATGTTGACAAAAAGCAAGGCATAAATGAAGATCAAGAGGAGAGCCAGAAGCCAAGATTAGGTGAAGGGTGTGAACCAATATCTAAACGACAAATGAAAAAACTAATAAAACAGAAACAATGGGAAGAGCAACGGGAACTCCGCAAGTATGTGTTTCAAAATGTATATGCTCTCTTCCTATTTAGAGATATGCAATGTTAAACCTTGCATAGCCCTTTGGCATATTAAATGTAATTGTGTTACTTAAAATTCAATTACTAATTTTAGACAAAAGCGTAAAGAAAAACGCAAGAGAAGAAAATTGAAGCTAACAACGTATATTGTTAGCTAACACTGTCAACTGGCTGTTAAAACTATTTTTTAAAATTGTTTGGGTTTCTTTTAGCACTGTTGATGATCTTGCACTCAACACTTTTTCTAATGCAGAACCTTATTATGAGTAGCAGCACAATTTTTGAAACAACTGACTTAGATAAGGGATGTAATTAGTGTCTGTGTGCTAGTTATGGAATAAAAACAGCCAACTCAGAAAGATCAAGTTTTGGCCTGACATTGATTTTGCCACAAGAACTGTTGCAGGTTTTGGTGAAAGCAGTTTGGCTAAATTTGTCGTTGTAATAAATGCCAAAATTTATGGAGAGAAAATAAACTGTAGTTGGTGTAAATTAGAGAAAAAGTATGTAATTTTTTTAATGAACAATTTTATTTTGCTTTTTTCTATACCTTATAAATGTGGCTTAAAAATCATATAGGTAAATTATGAAAATAAAATTCGTCATAACTCAAACTCAGTATTTATAAGGTTAGGGATAGTATGATACCAATAACAAATGAAACTATTCAGATAGTATAGTTAGGATTTAGATAGAAAGCTTTAGATCATTTTTGGAAGCTCATTTCCTTCCTATCTGAAGCTTTTAGATGGGTTGTATAAAACTGCTAATACTTGACCATTTTTGAATGGTCACAGAAGTGACAATTTCATATGATTTAACCTGATGATTTTTAAAAGGAATTGTTTATTTAGAAGAGTCTTGTAAATAACTGAATACACAATAACAAAATGTTATTTCAATTACTAATTTTAGACAAAAGCGAAAAGAAAAACGCAAGAGGAAAAAATTAGAGCGACAATGTCAAATGGAACCAAACTCAGATGGACATGACAGAAAACGTGTTCGAAGAGATGTTGTTCATAGCACCCTTCGCCTTATTATTGACTGTAGTTTTGATCACTTGATGGTATTAAAGGTATCATGAATCATTGTCAGAAAAATCTTGTATGTGAATTAGGTCGAATCATTTTTGTTTTAATATGCAATATCCCTTTTATGTAAATTTGTGTATTGAAATGAATCTTCAGTTTTTCAAACTTTCCCCTAAGTTAAATTAGCTAGCAAATTGCATTGATATAATAAATATGTGTATTTATATATGTGTGTATGTGTGTGTGTCAGTATGTGTGCAGACAGGAAAGAGAGACAAACACACACTTTGTAGTCTAGATGACAGAACTAAATTAACTACTTATTGATCATAAAGATCTGTGGGGTTTTACCAGTGTTGTTGGTAAAACATGAAAATAGTAATAGTATGGCTCTAAAAGTCTTGTTGTTGTCTCTTTAGAGAGTAGCCGTTTTCATGAACTAGCATTTTAAATAAATACAAAATATGAAATAATGGGTCACTTACAGAGCATTAACTTACAGTAATTTTGCTAGTATGTAAGGAAATCAAATAACATTTATCAGAATGCATTTGTATTTAAGAAGAAAAATTGTATGTATATAGTCATCCCTTCTGCTTATTCCATTCCTTTAAGATCATAGAATGGCCATAGACAATTTTAATAACTTTGCTTTAAAAATTGAACTCTGTGATAGGACATTAAGAAACTTCATAAGCAGATTCAACGATGTTACGCAGAAAACCGACGGGCACTGCATCCTGTGCAGGTATGTGTAAAGATTTTAAAGCAGACTCTAGTTTTCTTTTATGTCTTTTGTGGCAAAAGACATAGATAATTCCTATAGTCTTTGCAGTAGTCTTACAGGTAATCTTGTTTAATGCCTATGTGAAAAAAATTTTTTTGACAGAAATGAAGCAAAATATTTTAAACATCTTTTAATATGTTATCTTAGACACACTCTTTCCAGTAATCATCAGTCTTATACAAATTGGCCTTTTCATTGCCTGTAGTTGATATCTTCATTGTGGGACATACATATATTTTTATACCAGTTTTTCAGTTTACAATTACTTCCAGTGTGGGAGAGAGATTGGACAGAGAGGCAGAAGCTGTGGCTGCCACCGCTTGACATATGTCGTGGTATCTGTTGTATAGATTTTGTCTACTTAAAGGTTTTTAGTTTTCTTTTGGGTCACTGAGAGTTTTGACAGGTCTTTTTTAAGCTGAGGTGAGGGAGTGATTTGGGAGACTATTTGGCTACTGTTAAGAATAACATCTTTCTGTTGGAATTCTAGGTGACCTAAAAATTAATACTGGCTCACTGATGTTAAGAACCAGGAACTATTAATATATTTTGGTTAGATATTTTGTTTTTACCAAGTGATAGTAATTTTGTATTTTTGTTTTTTATACTTTTTGTTTTATAGTCTCATATCACACTTCTGTGATAGTCCTTTTATCCCCATTTTTATCTGTAGTAGACCCCTTCTCACCCTTGATTCAAACTTAAATAGGTGTCAGGGTTTAGAATCAAAGAAAAATTATGAAGACTTTGTATTGTTTTAAAAAAAAGAGGAGTGGGAACTTGACATGGAAGCAGGGAGTTTGTAGACAAGTGATGATTAAGGTACAGGCATGTTATAACTACTTGGGATGAAAATGTAAATGGGATACTGCAGCTACTGGGTTATGAAACATGCACACAAAACGTACTATTTCTACCACAGTTTATTGTTTGCTCAAAGCATGTCACAAATTTTTTTTCTAGATGAATGAGAATAAATATATTTTGTGTTTCATTGATCGTCAGATAAGTAGATGAGAGAAATAAAATATTAGACTTAAATGGTCATTTGTTCTCTTTTTCTATACTTACAAATCTTTTATCAGTTTTACTTGACAAGCCACGGAGGCCAGCTGAAAAAGAACATGGATGAAAATGACAAAGGATGGGTCAACTGGAAGGTAATTAAAACAGATAAACTCTCACATAATTCCAAGTATTTTTATGTTTCTAAAGGTCTACATTTTGTACCTAAATTCTATATAATGCTACTTAATACAACAATCTCCAGATGCAATCTCTGAACCTAAGTCTAAGATTACAAATCAGAGATGCTGAAGAAGGGAGTGAGACATCTGGTAGCTTGTATTTGTTCTCATTAAATCTTCCCTATTTTATGGTCAACTTTTAAAACGTATTTTTAAAAAGAAATAATTTTAAGGGCCTTTATATCATTTCTCCCTAACATACTAGCTATACATTATATGTTACCTATAAAAATGAAGTCACTCTAAATTTTGGAAGTGTGCCTGCATTCTGTTTCTTCTTACTCTGTGCTGGCCACTATCCACATGTGGCTATTGAACTTGAAATGTGACAGTCTGAATTGTGAATTGAGATGTGCTATGAATGTGAAATACATACTGGATTTCAAAGACTCAGTACCACAAAAGAGAAAGAATGTGAATATCTCCTAGGTAATTTTTAAAATATTTATTATATGTTTAAATGATAAACTTTTGGGTATACTGTATTAATAAAATAAATTGTTAAAATTAATTTCACCTATTTTCACTTTTTAAAATTTGGATACTAGAATATTTAAAATTGCCTATGTGGCCTCACAGTTTTTTCTATTGGACCAAATTGTTCTCAGTCATTGGTAAAGGTGACTAAATAGATTGGCCTTGGTACCAGTCCCTGAGGAACTTGATCCTATTTAGGGAAGTACTGGGTTATCCCTATACCTTTTTTCTTTCTCAAAGTCAGTTCTCTCAGTGACACACTTTCCCTTTCACACTCACTAATTCCATAACAAAGGCATTTATTTTATTAATAGCCTATGATATGAAACATTTTCAAAGGCTTTTAAGTTTTTAAGTACAGTATATTTACCAAATCCTGTATTTGTGCCCATTTTTCCAAGAACTAGTGTAATAAATTAAAAGAGGCATGTTTTCAGTTATTTTGCGACTTGTTAAATTTATCATTTATACCATCACCTTTCCAGAGAGACTTGAGATTCATTGGTCTCTAATTAATCAGGTTCCTCTTGGGGCCTTAAATTTGTAATATAACATTTTCCAGAAAACTGGCTATTTATTAATTATACATTTTAGGAGAGAGTTCTTTTGCCTCATTCTTGGTTTCATTAAAAATTATGGATAAATGTCATCTGAGCCTGGTGATACATCTTTTATGCAGTCAATGTGGCTTACAAAATCATGACTGCCAGCTATTGTTCAATTTTGTACCTGTGACCTGACAATTTTGGTGAAGAAGTTTTCAAATGTGTGTCTCTTTGTAGAAACAGATACATGGAATTAATTAAATCTATAAACTATTTCCTTTTCTTTTTTTCTTTCTTTTTTTTTTTTTTTTTTTGAAACGTAGTCGCTTGCACTGTCACCCAGGCTGGAGTGCAATGGTGCAATCTCGGCTCACTGCAACCTCTGCCTCCGGGATTCAAACAATTCTCCAGCCTCAGCCTCCCGAGTAGCTGGGATTACAGGAGCCCGCCACCACACCCAGCTAATTTTTGTATTTTTAGTAGAGACAGGGTTTCACCATGTTGGCCAGGCTGGTCTCGAACTCCTGACCTTGTGATCCACCTGCCTCAGCCTTCCAAAGTGCTGGGATTACAGGCATGAGCCACCGCACGTGGCCAGCTATTTCCCTTTCATGATTCATGTAGATGGAGAGGAAGTAATTGGAGAAGGCATTCTTTGGTCATAGAACAATGTGAGCAAATATGTGGCAGTAAAAATGCGTTTGTTTTGTTGGAACAGAAATAAAGTTGGAAAAGTAGATTACTGCCATATTCAGGAAAGAGTTTTTAAATTAAGGATTTCAGATTTTATCCCACAGAAAAAGATAAAACATTGAAAGTAGTGTTTTTAGAAAATGAGCCTGCTATCAGTGTGTGGAAGTAGGTTGGAGGGGTCTGAGGCCAACAAGGAGGAAATAAAATTAAGAGGCTATTTAAATGATCAAAGTGTGAGATATAAGAAATTGATGTAGTAAATTCAAAATAATGCATTGTAATTATATTATTTCAAACTTTGTTTCATATATTTTTGAATGGATTTGTTTTGGGAAAAGAGAATAATCATTTTTAGCCAACTTTCATAAGGTCTTATTAATTAGTAACCTCTTTCCCTGTTGTCTTAAAGGATATCCATATCAAACCAGAGCACTATAGTGAACTCATAAAGAAAGAAGACCTGATTTACCTTACGTCAGATTCACCTAATATACTGAAGGAATTAGATGAATCAAAGGCCTATGTGATTGGAGGATTAGTAGATCACAACCATCACAAGGTACTATTAAATTTTTATTTTTGCTTTTGCTTGTTCTTAAAATTGATATATCACCATTTCCTGAAAGTAACAATAATACTAATGATAGCTCATCTTTATTGAGTGCCTACTATATGTCAGTCACCTTCTGAGCTAAGCAAAGTATTTCACATAAGTTAGCTTGCTTAATCTTCACTCAACCCAGTGAGATTAGTGCTATTATTATTTACGTTCCACAAGTAAGGAATTCATGGCACAGAGAAATTAAGTCTAAAATCAACAGTAGTAGGTGACAAAGCAGCTATTTGAAACCAGGCTGATTGCTCTGGAGTCCACATGCTTAAATGCTGTCTATGCTTTACTGATAGAAGATTCTGCTGCTAATCAATTGCTAAGCCATTGGAACTTAAACTAGTTTTTAAATATGTTATTTTCATGGGATGTTTTTTCTATTATCTTTCATTTGTACTTTTCTCTCTTCCCATCCATACCTTTATTTGGATGAAAAATTACAGAAATGCACTTTCTAAAAGAAAATGTCATTTTGTACTTCGCCAGCTACATTGCAGCATGCAAAATTCTTCGTATCTGCTTGTCCAGTATGTTAGGTCTGTGGCTATTGAGCACTTGAAATGTGTACAGTATGACTGAAGAACTGAATTTTTTAAATTGTAATCAATTTAAATTTAAGTAGTCACACATGGCTACCAATTGGACAGTTGCAGCTCTATTGCATCATAGGGAATTTTATCAGAATGATCTTTTAGCCTTTTTGTTTTTTTCTTAGTGGAAAAATTCTATTTTGTTATTTATATAGAACCACATTTTTTCTCATGTTTATGTTTTTCTGAACTAAAACAATTTTGTTTTCAAAAGCACCTGCTTCAATCTATTATTATTTGCTGCCTCCCCCCCCCACCAAGTATGCAAACCATCAGTTGACAAATTGAGCTTTTCTTTCTCCTGTACTCTGTTTTTCGACCATTTCAGTTCTGGTTGGACATAGGTTTCAAGGATTTTAATTTTGAAGAGAGATGAAATTCATATTCTGCATTTTTTTAATTGACAGGGAAAAATAAAACTTGTCAGTTATTTAAAATTTCTCAATTCAAGTTTTCATTTAATTTGTCTTTGTCATTTGTGCAAAGTAGTGTTACTAATTGAAATTTAATTTTTTTTTACACTTACGGGAAGAATGATGGTGCTTCCATAGGAATTCAGTTTAAGTTCAGTCGTATGTTGCTTAATGATGGGGATACATTCTAAGAATTACATCATTTAGCGATATCAATATTATAGAGTGTAGTTACAGAAACCTAGATGGTATAGCCTACTACACATAGGCTGTATGGCATAGCCTATTGCTCCTAGGCTACAAACCTATACAGAGTGTTACTGTACTGAATAGTGTAGACAATTGTAACATAAAGATCTTTGTGTTTCTAAACATATTTAAACATAGATGATATAAAAGATTTTTAAAATACAGGTATACGTGGTATACATGTATAGGGCACTTACCATGAGTGGTGCTTGCACAACTGCAAGTTGCTCTAGGTGAGTCAGTAAGTGAGTGGCAAATTAAATGTGAAGACCTGGATATTACTGTACACTGCTGTAGACTTTATAAATACTGTACACTTATGCTATACTAAATTTATTTAAAATTTTTTCTTCAATAATGAATTAACCTTAGCTTACTGTAACTTTTTTACTTTATAAACTTAATTTTTTAAACTGTTGGACTCTTTTGTAATAACATTTAGCTTAAAACGTAAACACATTATACAGCTGTACAAAAATATTTTCTTCATATATCCTTATTCCATAGGCTTCTTTCTATTCTTAATTTTTTAACTTTTTAAAATTAAAAAAAAAATTTTCCTCTTTTTTTTTCAACTTTTTAAACTTTTTTGTTAAAAACTACTACACAAACACACACATTAGCCTAGGCCTACATAGAGTCAGGATCATCAAAATCACTGTCTTCTACCTCTACATCTTAGTCCACTGAAAGGTCTTTAGGGGTAATGACATGCATGGAGCTGTCATCTCCTGTGATAACAGTGCCTTCTTCTGGAATATCTCCTGAAGGACCTGCCTGAGGCTGTTTTATATGTAATTATTATTTTTTTTTTTAGGAGTAGGAGGAGTACACTCTAACGATAAAAAGTATAGTAAATACATAACAGGTAACATTTATTATCATTATCAGGTGTTATGTACTGTACATAATTGTATGTGCTGTACTTTTATGTGATGAGCAGAAGGTTTGTTTCTTCCAGCATCACCACAAACACATGAGTAATGCGTTGCAGTATGATGTTCCAACAGCTCCAAAGTCACTAGGTGACAGGAATGTTTTAGCTCCATTATAATTTTATGGGACTACCACTGTATATGAAATCTGTCATTGCCTGAAACTTTGTTATGCAGTGCAGGACTGTATTTTAAGCTGAGATAAAGGCAGGGTAGAATGGGGAAAAGATATTTGAGTTAGGAGATATGTGAGCCAGATTTTTCTCGTGATTCTGCCACTGAGGAGCTTTGTAACTCGGCAGGAAACATAATGTCTTTGGTTTCCTCATTTGTAACTTGAGGAGCTTAAAACAAATGCTCTGCACATTGACTATACTTATTGTCAAGAGAATGTTTCCAAATGAGCAGTAAAACACACACATACCCCCCATTCAGATAATATTCTCTGAACTATAAATTCTCTGAACTATAAATCTTATCTAAAAATTATTTATACTATTACAGAAACTTTAAATAATTTAATGTTCTTGTCGAAGTCATAGTGTCTTTGTTTTAGGGACTCACATATAAACAAGCGTCAGATTATGGAATCAATCATGCACAGCTCCCACTTGGAAATTTTGTGAAGATGAATAGTCGAAAAGTTTTGGCAGTTAATCATGGTAAGCTGTAAGGGATAAACTGAAAATATACCTGAGCGAACATTGTGAGAAAGAATATTACATTTAGTATTTGAACAAGTAGAAAGTATTACACCTTCCTGGAGACAAAATTGTAAAAAGTAATAATTTATAATTTGTTTAACAGAAATAATGTGTATTAGAAAATTTTGAAAATGTACGAAAGTATTAAAAAATTAGCTGTGTCTTACTACACAGAAATACTTGGTGTTAACTTTTTGGTGTTGACCTCTAGTTCTTTTCCTATGTATATATATTATTATTTATTACATAATTGGATTTTCACTATATTACATACAATGTTGTGAATCTGGGATATTTTCTCTCCTTTATTACTTTATTTTTTATGTCATTGAATGATTGTTAATGGTGGCCAGGCACAGTGGCTTACACCTGTAATCCTAATCCTAGCACTTTGAGAGACCGAGGCAGACAGATTGCTTAAGCCCAGGAGTTCGAACACAGCCTGGGCTACGTGGTGAAACTTCATCTCTACAAAAAATACAAAAATTAGCTGGGCATGATGGTGGGTGCTTGTAGTCCTAGCTATTCAGGAGGGTGAGATGGGAGGATCACCTGAGCTCAGGAGGTGGAGGCTGCCGTGAGCCATGTTTGTGCCACTGCACTCCAGCTTGGGTGGCAGAGTGAGACCTTGTCTCAAATAAATAAATTTAAAAAATGGTTGTTAATGGCTATGTAGTCCATCATTTGAATATACAATTATTTAACCATTCTACTATGGTTGAATTGTGTTTTTTTTCTTTTTGCTGTTGCAAATAACATTGAAATAGACATCCTTGTACCGGTCTTTGCCTGGACTTTGCTTTAAAAAAATTTTTAAGCCGAGTTTTTAGTCAATACACAACTACTTATTAAACTTTTTATGCGCTACTTTCTATATAGCAGGTTCTAGGGAGTTATAAAAATGAAATTATCGATTCAACAAATGAATTGCCTCTAAAACCTTTGATATATAGTAGAAATTACTTTTTCCACAAAGTAATTCAGGTTAGCCCTTCAGCAGTATGCTGATGTGAGAGTACCCTGGAGACAATATTGATACTCTTGACTACAACCAATGTGAAAAGAAAAACAAAAGAAAAAAAAGCAGTCAAGGAGATCCTAGTGTGAGTGGCTCTTTACAGGAAACATGAAGAAAGTTAAGTGAATGCTAACTAGGTTGTTAGCATGTAAAGGATAAAGATGTGAAGGGGCTAAAAAAGAGTAGGAGAGAAACTGAAAAGGTCTTTATTGATTATAATTGACATGGGATACTGGTAAATTTCTGAGTGCTTAAGAACTGAACTGAGAAAAAGCTAGATAGGAGGTAATAGACTTAAGTACCTTGGGGCAAATTGGGCTTGACAGACAATAGAAAGAAGAGCTAAGAACAAAGTAGTTATTAGGACAAACTAGCACTCTTAACACAAAGGCAATGTATTTTAAAAGACATTGTGCAGCATTGTGATGAACTTGGCTAAGAAATGTACGGAATATGTCTTTATTGCAGTGTTTGAAATTATTCTGGAATACCTGGAAACAAGAGACTGGCAAGAAGCATTTTTTACTATCTTGCCCCAACGGAAAGGAGCTGTTCCCACAGACAAAGCCTGTGAAAGTGCTTCTCATGACAATCAGTCTGTCAGGATGGAGGAAGGTGGATCGGACAGTGATTCCAGTGAGGAGGAATATAGCAGAAATGAACTAGATTCACCACATGAAGAAAAGCAGGATAAGGAAAATCACACTGAATCTACAGTGAACTCTCTGCCACACTAATGTTACCTGGTTTCCTTTTAGTTTAAGGAAAAATTAGGAGAAAGTGAGGTGCTATATAGAATATTGAAATTGGAAGAACATTTTATTTTCTCTTATTTCTGTTGTGATTTTTAAAAACTTTTTTTTGGACCTAAATAATAATAAAAAAAAAAGCCCTTTAAACTTTGTAAGGAAATATTTTTTGATTTTGCGTAAGAAGATTTAAATGTGTATGTGATTTTTTTTGTTTTTGTTTTTAAAGCCTCAGTAGTTTCTAGATAATTTTACTGTATTAGTATATTTTCATTTTCTTTCATTTTATATTCTTTAGAATGTGCCTTCTGACCTTTCAGTTTTTTAATTTTATAGTCACATCAACATCTTTATGATCTATTGCCTATATATCTGTGAGGGCACATATTCATAAATATACTGTCAATCTATCAGCATTTGTGTATGGTAGGTTACCCTCTATTTGCAGCTTTTATGTTTAAATTAGTTACTTGAAAGAATGTAGTAATTTTAGGAAGAAGTATCAGTTTGATAGACTTAATAATTCATTTCTTTTGGACTATGGAGCGCATATCTGTTCCTTCTTTATGATGCCTTTTTATGGTTCTGAAGTAATTACTGAAGAGTTGAGAATCTCTTTAATGCATTTTCTTAATTCTTACAATGGTGATAAGTTACTTCAATTATAAAATTGAATTTTGCAGACTAAATTATTTTATAAGGCTGTTGCTATTGAAAGATCAATTTTGTCTTTACCTGCATTTAAAATGGAACAGCTCTTAGCAGCTGTGGTTTTTTTTTCCATATTTTTTTTAAATTTGTTGGCTCTTAAGATGAATAAAGTTTATAGGTGCATCTGCCTCCTCTTCTCTAAGAATATGCATACTAATGTTTGTTTCTATAAATCAAATACACATGTGATAATATGCATGTAAATACATAACTATCCTCATCATGTATGGCTCTCAGTTCTTAATTGATGATAACATGATTGAATTGCCATATATCTGTATTACTTGTGTGAATGGTTGTGTTGAACACGCTAAGAACAATTTGAATTTTATTAAGTACAAAAATCCTTAACGTTTGTATGGGAACATTGGCAAGAAAGAATAGTGTGAAAGGGAACTGTTTTAGTTTCCTATCAGTAATTGTACATGCAGTTAAATGTTTAAGGTAAAATGATTGGTCTCTGTCACAGCTAAAAGATTTCAGTAGCCTTCATTGAGTTTGGGTAAAATAAGTTGCTGTTCTTTTGTCTTCTTTTTAATATATAAAAGTTATATTTAAAAAGTATATAACATACTATATATGTTACATACTAACATATATATACACAACAGAAAGTTTATTGGATTTAGTACTGATATTTACTGTCTATTTTTGTTACTTTGTTCTTAGTAATCTATTATAGTTACCTATTTTAAGGTAAGGTCTGTAGGCAAGATATGTAAGTAAAGACAAGCCCTACAATTTTAAAATAACAAAGCTTATGTCTTAAGTTGTATTTTTTCAAAGGTTCATGTTTTTCTGAGTAAATGTGGTTTATTAGCATGAAATATTATGCCTTTTACTTAAATTATTTTATGTAAAATAGGGCACTGTTTAATTATGAAAGGGGGAAAATCATTCCAAATAAGAGTTTAATTTTTATTAATTATAAAAAACTCTGTATTAGTTTCCTAGATGTGCTAGAACAAATTACCACAAACTGGGTGGCTTTAAACAACAGAAATTTATTCTCTTAACAGTTCCAGAGACTAAATGTCCAGACTCACAATGTCCCAGTGCCATGCTTCCTCCTTAGGCCCTAGGAAAGAATACTTCCTAGCCTCTTCCTGGCTTTTGGTGGTTGCCAGCAATCCCTGCTGTTCCTTAGCCTATAGTGGCTTGACTCCAATCTCAGTTTTGTTGTCAAGTGGTCTTCTACCCTGTCTTCTATGTTTGTATCCGTGTCCAAACTCTTTTTCTAGGGAGACCAGCACTGGATTAGAGTTCACCATGATCCAATATGACCTCATCTTGACTACATCCGCAAAGACCCTGTCTCCAAATAAGGTCACATTTACAGGGTACCATGTGTTAGGATTTGACATATCTTTTGGGGGACACAATTCTACCCACTACAGGCCCATATCTTATCTAGGATGTTGGTGGCAAGAAGGTGAAGATTACTACCTCTTTTGATATAACTAGTTTCTGAGGTATTTAAAAATTTGGTTTTAAAAATATTAAGCTTTTTGCTCATTTGCATGTATACTTTTCTCTCAACATTGTTTTGGTTTATTTAGGTTATTTGTTAAAACTTCAGTAAATACTAAAGTTACTTGTATTAGAACATAATAAAAGTAGAGAATTAAACTACCTAAATAAATGCATCAAAAAATATATGTCTGCTGAAATACAGAATTTCCTCACATTTAATTTCTTTAATAACCTACAGTGATCATAAAGCAAGCTCATTCTTAAGAGAAGAACCATTCTTCATTCTGATTCTCCAGAGTTTGGTGCTGTTGACATTATAGCATTTGAAAATGCTCAGAATGGAAAAATCAAAATTGAGAAAAGAAAGTAATTCTACTGAATAAACATCTTTTGGGAGGTAAATGAACAATGATGAAATCCAGCAGTGACTGGCAATTATAAAGCAAAGGGACATACTATTTCACTTTATAGACAGAAAAGGTAACAGAAATGATGTAGATAAAAGGCAAG